>NC_000005.10:148203659-148828659 GCF_000001405.40 Homo sapiens
AATTAAGACAATGGGGAAATTGGAAACTCAATGAGAAAAATCTTTGAAAATATGTAATTGAAACTTAGAATGCAGAAACATATGTTTCTGGTGAGCTAAATAATCTTAGAGAAGGAGAATATCTTTGGACACTTTAGTGAGGTTCAAAGCACAATCATACTTCAAGGTTATGTTTTTTAAGACAGAACCATCGGAATGAGCAGGTCCATCATAAGCTATTTTCTTCCTTATTATTCTACTCTTTCACGTTGTAGGGCACAAAGCAAATGCTAGTTTTTAGACCTAAGACCTAGTTTCATCTCTTCTATTAATGGCCTGTGTCACTTAAAGAAATAACATAATTTTCTGAGATATTTTGTCATTTGTAAAATAATAGAAATAAAACTAAGCCCTGGGACCTTCCATATCTTATGTATCATTTTGTGTGACAGTAGCAGATGAATTTTACTACTATGCAAGATTTTAAATGGATGTACAAGTAAAAAAAAAATCAATGAGATTTAGCTGATAGAGAAGCCAGTGTTCACTGTAGCTGGTCATAATTACAAAAACAAATACACTTAGAAATACAAAAAAAATGGGTAAAGGATTCCTGTGATATTATGGAGTAAGCTTGACTACTAAAGCCAAATAACCTTAATGGGTAGTTCAATCAGTTGCTGAGATGGCAGAAAAATATATATCTGACTATGTAAAGTTTAGCTGCAAAGATAGTCTCAGAAATCAATTGTTATTTCCTTTTCTTCTCTTTACAAAGGTGAATTGATCTTTAACAGGATCTGGTTGACTAATACAGTTTACCAAAGCATGGATGCTTCACAGACATACTAGATAGTATTTGGGAGGCCATAATGCCTAAGGGCCTTAATGCTGAAACAGAGTAAAGTGAATTTTAGCCCTGGCACTTTCATTTTATAGCTTTGTGAACTCTCTGATGTTTATTTCACTTATATATAAAATAAACATATAAAGGACTATCTCTGTGTGGAGAATTAAATGAGAAAAAGGCATGTACAATGCTTAACATAGTGGATGGGGTATAGTGCATGTTTAACAAATGTCTATTAACATTATTGCCATAATAAAGTTTAATAAAAAGAGTACTAAATTGGACTCCGTCATTGTGAATATTAATCCTGTTTTTGCCTTGCCAATTCCTACGTATGAGACATTAGGCAAATCTCTCCTCTTTTGATGACAGATTTGTACAGTGGAGACTTACTGAAAATTCTAATAATAAAATATCCCTGGCTATAAAAACCACTTAGAGTCTTTAAAAAATATGGACTGTCCAGGAACTCTCTGGTTTTATATAATAGAATTTTTAAGTGATTGCCCTAAGAATTTGTCATTTTAATAATCACCCATATTGCTAGTTATAAATCAATAAGGCTGGTAATCACTGCTGAAAAAATGAACAGTAACCTTCTTTCAAATTAAAAAACAACAGCTTGTTTTCTCCTTATCTTTATTATTAGAGATTGTGCTTTAAGGAATTTCCGGTTGTTATCCCATAAGTGTTGGCCATCATTGGAGATGGATTCCGCTAACCCACACTCTCTCTCATTGCAGTGCTCTTGGGCTTATGTGTCAGAGGGATTGGGAAAGGAGTCCCATAGGAATGGCCACACATCAAAACTCAGCAGCCCATTCCAAGACTGGATTGAGGGATTTTATTATTTAAGTATTTTAAACCACTGAACTAATTAGTCACACAAACTAAAATTACACATACAATATTAAGAGAAAGGAAAAGGGAGAGAAACAAGACTATATATATGGGATCTTTTCCCTTTTTAGGAATTTAGAGAGATGTAAAAGGAGAAATAAGTCACAAGAATGAATGAGTTGTTCCTTACCAGTTTATATTTGGGCCAAGTTTTAAAAGTTGAGCAATTTCAAACTCAAAGAACAAACTACAAGCTTAATCTCTTTCCCAACTGCCTGTGGCAAAGGCTTTTGGGAGGAACTGCATGAAATGAACCTTGAAATGTCAAAGGTAGAGGATACTTTCCAATTCAACTTCTCCACAGTGAGACCAGCGATGATAAGGTCATTTTCGTAGTAAATTAGTGACTGGGCTAGGACTGTAACATGAATTTCCAGATCCTTAATCCATTTTTTTTCTACCCCACCCTAACCTCCAACAATTGTTACCTCCTCATGGTTCATGTCTTTATATGACCTTCTTAAGAAGTGAGCAGATTAAAAAAAAAAAGAAGAAGAAGAAGAAAACAAAAACAAACAAAAAAAATACGATGACTTTTTAAGATAGCCAAGTACCAGGAGTAGATATTAGGAATTTCCTAATGTTGAAAATTTCACTTTTTGTACATCAATGAATTACAGTGTTTGAATGTTGTGCTTTTCTTTCAGGTGTCTTCAGTCAGGGAGGACAGGTCAGTGCCTATTTTTATCTCTGCTTTCTGCCTGGGTGGTGCTTGGCTTGATCTTCACTGGCCAAAAAGAAATTTGTCTATGGTTAACAGAGCAAAAACAATGAGCAGGCAAACCTTATGCAGACATCAGCAGAAATTATTATTCTTTAACTAAACTCTTGTCAGTTTAAAAGAACCTAACCACACATTCTCATAATTTTTTAGGGAAGAATAAATATAAATAAAAAATAGGATGTATCTGGGATAAAATTCATGCTCTATCATTGATTTCACTGTGTGATCTTGGGGAAGTTACTCAACTTCTCTGAGCTGCAAGTTCCACAACTATAGAAAAGGGATAATATTCACTTCATAGAATTGCAATTATATTTAAATTATTTAAACAATGTGAAAGTATTTGGCAAGCCATTAAAGGCTATATATGTATTAGTTATCGATTAAAAATTAACATCCTCTGAAGAAGTTAGGATATAAGTTATTATTTCTTTTTCAGAAATAAGAACTGAAAGTAGATAAGAAACTAGTTTACTGCTCTGTAATGAGGATATACAGACTGATTCACTCAAATTTTAATAATATTTGGTTTAAAAACTGGAATGAGCACAAGTTATCTTCATCATTGGATTTTTTTTTCCTCCAAATTAGTTCACCAATGTCTTTCTATCTTTTTCATTTTAACTGTCAAAGGACAACACAAGTACTATTTGTTCTGCCAATCCTGTTCCTTTGTCCATATTAAGCATTTCTACTTGGTCTTGGCACTAGTTCTTGTTTAGCCTTGGCGTGCCTTGTTATACCTTTGACATGAAAATTTCTAGACACTACTGCTAACTAATTGGAGTTGGCAAAGCCATTGGAAATATTTTCCAACCCTGATATACCCACTGCATTATATAAGAATGTTAGTTTTTTAAATTTTAGCATCTCAGAAATTAGGATGCATCTTACAAATGATGATGCATTTGTGTGTGTGTGTGTGTGTGTGTACATGCATGTGCACTTTAGGTGTATGTCTAACACATGCACACATGTGTGTTGGCATTGTCATATGAAACTGTATACCTTCAAGTTGTATTATTATGTTTAAATAAGCATGATAGTATGGTCTATACTAAACATGAAAACAAACACACAAGGAAAGGACATAACACCCAGCCAACACATTTCGTATCTCATTAGGTAGTAAAATATAGTAAAACCATTACTCATAGAATTAAGAAATATGGAATTTAATCCTAGTTTTCTCATTAACACACACGTTACTTCCCTTCTTTGAACGTTGATTTCTCAGATTTTTTTTCTTACAAACAGAGGTTTTATTGCATTTGGTCCACAGACATATTTCACATTATCTCATGGAGCAGGGCCCCTGGGTGGGGGTCCCTGCGTAGTACTTGGCGGGGTGTGTGGCTGGGAGAGATGGCAAAGTATAGCTGCTCAGGCCCAAAAAGGGAGAAGGAAGGCTGGGGTCTCCTTAAAACCTACTGAAGGGCCGGGCACGGTGCCTCATGCCTGTAATCCCAGCACTTGGGGAGGCCGAGGTGGGCAGATCACCTGAGGCCAGGAGTTAGAGACCAGCCTGGCTAACATGGTGAAACCCCATCTCTACTAAAAATATAAAAATTAGCCAGGCGTGGTGGAGTACCTGCAGTCCCAGCTACTTGGGAGGCTGAGGCAGGAGAATCCCCTGAGCCCAGGAGGTGGAGGTGCAGTGAGCCAAGATTGTGCCACTGCAGAGTGTTTTCTAAAGTTCATTTAAATTTTACTACTTACTGATTTTATGCTTTAGATGGGCCAAAGTCTTATAGTTTGCTTGCTTCATGATTACCTGGATTGCTTACTAAATATACAGATCCCCAGGCATCATGCAAGACATTGAATAATAATCAGAAAGGTAGGGAGTT
Organism: Homo sapiens; assembly: GCF_000001405.40. Taxonomy (NCBI): domain Eukaryota; kingdom Metazoa; phylum Chordata; class Mammalia; order Primates; family Hominidae; genus Homo; species Homo sapiens. The sequence continues at coordinate 148,207,963 of NC_000005.10, forward strand.
TGAGTCTGCATTTTAAATAATTATCCAGATGACATTTATACATAAGAAAACTGAGCATTTTTCCCTAGGTAAGAGGAGGCAAACTGTATTGGGAAGCATTGGCTCTGGAGTCAGATAATATAGATGAGTGGAGTCCTCATTCATACTTACTTGCTGTATGACTTGAAAAATGTGGTTTCCCTTCTCATTGCCTTTGTTTCCACATTACTAAGATGAAGATTTGAATTCAATGATCTCTGAAGCCCCTTCCTGCCCTAACTGTCTGAATTGTTATCAACCAAGCCTGTCCTGCCAAGGCTGCTGTCTCTTCTCCACTCAAATATAAATGACAGGGAAGCTCCTATACTTTTAAATGGTACTGAGGCTGCCATTTCTCTTTTGCATGCCTGGAGGGAGGGTGGAAGTTTCAATGCCAGCAGAAGACATTGAAACTATCATTAGGAGCATGCTTGCTCAAGTCTGATCCAGCCAGGACAAAAGGAAGTAAGATTTCCTCCAACACTGAAGTAATTCTTCTCATGCCAAGAATTCTCTACATGATGAGACAACTGATGGGAAATTATAGTTAGCAGTCTGAATTATGGACTTCAAAAAATATCACATTAATTTGAAAAGATTATTCAAGCTAAACAAAATCATGTTGCCAGACTTTTGGAAATCATATTCCAGTAAAATTTTCCCTGTAAATGTAAATGACTAATATGCTGACAACTCTTTAATTTGCCAAGGAGATAGATTAAATGGCACAATAATAACAATAAGAGTAAAATAAAACTACTATTTGTCATCACTAGCGTTTCATTAAGTAATTTGTTGTATAGCGCCAAAATGTTTAAAAGACACATTTTCAGAATAAAGATAGTCCTTTGACTGAATACATTTTGCTTTTTGAATCACTTACTGCATTGCCTTTAATATTTTTATATTTTCCTATCAGGCTCTGTATTTGGGAACCTTATCCTTAAAGAGCTGTTTAGATGAATAGTTCGAAATGAAATAACCAGAACAAGCCTTTTAAAAGCAATGATTGGCAACCATTTTCTGTTACAATACTTTTTGAAATACTTAAGTTTATTTTTGCTTGTATTTTAAGATAAGAATTGGTGAATTTTCATACAATTGGTAAAACAATGCTCCATGACTCTAATGAGTTTGAAGTTTTTCATTTTTCCTAATTAGCTTGATTTTGCTTAAAATTAATATACTGACAAAATGTCTAAATAAAATTTGGAAATGTTATCTAGTACCTATAACTTAATTACAAATTGAAAAACTAAAGCCTCAGAAACGAGGTCTAGCTGACTTACATCTACCAACAGCAGTAAAGCTGCAAAGTCAACACTTCAAGACTCCTGACTCCATCTGGAGTGAGCTTTCCGTGGCTGCATACTGTTTTTAATCAGCAATAGAGGGCCATTGTGTAGTGAATGTGAAAGAGCTTTGAGCAGTACAATTTCTTAAGCAAATATAAGGTAGTGATTACTATTCTCACTTAAGCAAATAATATGATAAGTATATTAGTTTCAAATAAGATAACTTGTGTCCACATGCAGGAAAGATTTGAAATTAGGAGGAAAATGAGGAAGAGACCATGTTAAAATGTCTCACACAGTGAGTTTAGAGGCTATCTAAAATTAAAGGAGGAAGTATTTGTGCAAAAGTAGCTATTTCTCTCACCCAGCCGAAATTAAGGAGATAAAAACTTATTTTATTAGTCCAGACAAGAAATGTTGAGAACTGGTATAGGCAGTAAATTTGGAACTGGCAAAGAAAATGAGGTAAAGCAATGCAGAAGGTAACACAAGGGAAAATAAATGGCAATGTTTCCATCTGAGGGAGGGTTGGAGAATCTAAAAAATGCTGCTATCATGAAAAATGGAAAAAATGGAAAAATGGAAAAAACAGAATACAAAACTAGTTTGAAAGAAAAGAGTTGTACTTTGCACATAAATGTCTTAAGTATGAATGAAATTGAGTAAAAGGTTTCATATATATGTATACATACATACGTACGTATGTATGTATACATATACACGTATGTATACATGTATGTACGCATGTACGCATGCACAAACGTATGTATGCATATATGTATGTATATGTATGTATGCATATATGTATGCATGTTTACATGTATGTATGCACATATGTATGTATGTTTACATTTATTTCTGCATACATATGTATGTATTTCTGCATGCATATGTATTTCTGCATGCATATGTATTTCTGCATGCATATGTATTTCTGCATGCATATGTATTTCTGCATGCATACGTATGTATTTCTGCATACATATATATGTATGTGTTTCTGCATACATATATATGTATGTTTCTGCATACATATATATGTATGTGTTTCTGCATACATATATATGTGTTTCTGCATACATATATATGTATGTGTTTCTGCATACATATATATGTATGTGTTTCTGCATACATATATATGTATGTGTTTCTGCATACATATATATGTATGTGTTTCTGCATACATATATATGTATGTGTTTCTGCATACATATATATGTATGTATTTGACCATTGAGAGTTAGAGTTTGAGATATTTATAAAAAATCTATGAAAAATATTCTGGGATTTTTCAGTACCATATGGGAAATTATATGTCATTAGGAAGAGAAAACCAAGTATATTAAACTATCTAGGAAATGACCATAATTAATATTCAGGAGTAAAAAAGAAAAGACAGCAAGAGAGAGAAGAAACAGACGACCAGAGAACCAACATATAATGAAAGTCTGGAAAGAGTTTCAAAAAGGTTGGAGTGATCAAGAGTAGCATATGTCATGAGGAAATCATAAAAGTTTTAAAACAACCAATAGATGTATTCTGTATTTTTGAAAGCAGTTTCAGTAGAGTAGAAAGGGGAGGGAAATAAGGGTGAGGGGAAGCCAAGCTTGGTAGCAATTAGGACAACAGATATGGTAAAGAATGGAAATTATTTAACCACATAGGTAGTGTTTGTCAGTAATAGACAGAAGAGATGCCATTATATATCCCAAATCTATGTTTGTGTGATTGCAAATTTTCATTGGTTTTATCTGTAAACCTAAAACACTAGACTTAAATATGAATAATCCTGAGTCTTTAGTTGACTTAATGACCATATAAGCTCAAATTTCCAGAAGCAATTTGCACCTTCTCCAACCCCTGGGGCCCAGAGAGAGTGGTCCTCTCCTGCCCAGCCACCATATTAAAATGTCTCATAGAGTGAGTTTAGAAGGCTCTCTAAAATTAAAGGAGGAAGTATTTGGGTAAAAGTTGCTATTTCTCTTATCCAGCTGAAGTTAAGGACATAACAGCTTTATTTAAAACACATCACTGAAAGTATTCATTGATAAATCTTGAACCATCAAAGCTAGAAGAGTCCCAGGATACCATTTAATCTCATGGTGTTGATGATTTTCTATGAGTTACAGAGATCTTTTAGAGCTACTGTAGTTAGCATAGACCTGTAATAAGGTTACTTTCTACACTCCTAACCCAGAACTATTTCAAATATTCTATATTAGTTCTCTACAACTTTTATATGACCACATTTGTTCCTTATAAAAACCTTGGGAATCTGAAAATTAGGCATGACATGTGTTCCTTGTTGTTTCTTGGTTAAGAAAATTGAGGTGCAGGCATCGAGTCCGTTGTTCAAGATAACACAGACAGTCAATGGCGGAACAGGTTCTAAAACACGATTCTCAGCTTACTTCAGAGATCATTGAAGGCCACTAAAATTTAAGAGTATGATATTTATCTGTTCTATGGAAGTTTGTTCATATGCCACTTGATTGATTTGCTTTCATTTATTGAAATGCTTTGCTCTTCCTAGTCTTCTTCCACGGGGCAGAGGAAGAAAATACTTGGGTGTGGGTTCAGTTGTGCTAGGCTCAACTGAGATAATCTGTGTGAAAGTAGCTGGAATATTTTGAAGCAATTGATAAACACAAGACAGTATCATTTTAGACAGAGAGAAAGCAAGTTTCCTCTCTCCATATGTAAGTGTCACTTCATTCCACACAGATATATTTGGAGGGGTTCAGCTTAACCTATTGCTTGTCATTACTCTTGAAATAATGGCTCAAATGTCATTTACACACCAAATATGGACTTGACATTGTGTTGAAAACAATCTTAAAACTCCAGACTACTTTTGAAAAACAGCTATAGTTGAAAGGATATGTTAGTGGCAAAGGTGCTACCATTCCTACTATGGAGCCCATAATAATAATTATTAATCAGTCATAACATATGTTCTCAACAATAGTGCAACCTTAGAATCATTTTAAACACAGCAACTTAGGCAGCCATTACTAAATGATTGTAGTAAGCACAAAAGTTCAAATTCCACAGACTCTGAAACAGGGTAAGGTAATAAAAAGACATAGATGCACCTATAATCTTAGTGACTTGGAAGGCTGAGGTGGGAAGATGTCTTGAGGCCAAGAGTTTGAGACTAGCTAGGGCAACAGAGGAAGACTCTATCTCTAAAATACATATTTTTTATATATATATATATATAAAGTATATATTTTATATATATAAAGTATATATTTTATATAAGTATATATTTATATATTTATATAATATATATTATATATTATATAAATATATTTTATATAATATATAATATATATTTATATTATATATTATATATTATATATAATATAAATATATATATTTATATATTTATATAATATATATTTTATATAAACTATATATTTATACAATATATAGTTTATATATTTTATATAAACTATATATTTATACATTTTATATAAAGTATATATTGTATATATTTATATATTATATTATATATTTTATATATATAGCAACATAGCAAGACTATCTCTAAAGTATATATATTTAGTATATAAATATATATTTATAATATACATAAGTAGATATATTTAGTATCTATATGCTTTAGAGATAAGAGTATATATGTACTTTAGAGATACACTTTATATATACATATCCTATATAGATTAGTTTATGTGTATATAAGTGATATATTTAGTATCTATATACTTTAGAGATAGAGTATATATATACTTGATATACTTTATATATACATATCCTATATATATTAGTTTATGTGTATATACATAAACACATTAGAATTTTGTTTTCAAGAGCTTATGGATGGATATTGCATCCACAGGGAAAAGTAACAAGCATCAGGTGATGTCCAGTGCCCCTTGTAAGGTTCATCCATGTTTTTTGTTTGTTTGTTTTTGTTTTTGTTTTTGTTTGACGGCGTCTCAGTCTGTCGCCCAGGCTGGAGTGCGGTGGCGCGATCTGGGCTCACTGCAAGCTCCGTCTCCCAGGTTCATGCCATTCTCCTGCCTCAGCCTCCCGAGGTGCCCGCCACCACACCCGGCTAATTTTTTTTTGTATTTTTAGTAGAGACGGCATTTCATCGTGTTAGCCAGGATGGTCTCCATCTCCTGACCTCGTGATCCGCCCGCCTCGGCCTCCCAAACTGCTGGGATTACAGGCTTGAGCCACCGCGCCCAGCCCATCCATGTTTTGATAGCAATACAGGAGTACTGTTAGAGCACATTAATATGATGTTTAAAAAGTCGTTTCATGACCGAAAACCACTCTCAATTGGAATAGTTTAATGTTGGAGCAAAAAGTTTTACCCATATAGCATTTGACTACATCATTAATTTACTCCTGAATACAATCTGTATTCCTTGTAATGAGTTTCCTGTGACTCAAAGAAAATGTCTCAAGTATATTTAATGTATTCTACTTAAGTAGGTAAGTAGAATACATCAGATAAGGAGAGCTATTTTATATTTCAGAATGCTTTATGTCACAACTATTTATATATGGTTTTTAAAGTTTGCTGTCTAAAGCTTCTGTTCTGAAGGATGGTCTCTTAGAATGCACTGATGTCAATGTCACTCTGCTTACTTTGGTAGGTTGACTGTGGTGAGTTCCAGGACCCCAAGGTCTACTGCACTCGGGAATCTAACCCACACTGTGGCTCTGATGGCCAGACATATGGCAATAAATGTGCCTTCTGTAAGGCCATAGTGTAAGTATTATATTCATCAAAGCTGACCCTTGCAAACACAAACTTCCATAATAAGACTAAGACACTTTTTCGAGGTATTATAGAAAACACCCATACCTCCCCATAGAGACTGAAGAAACAAGCTTCAGGCAATTTGATTGAAAACAGATGGGTCAAAAGCAACAAAAACATTACATACTAAATTATTTGAAGACATAATCTTAATCGCTTTGCTTTGTTATTATTAATTTTTATTGTCTTAGACAAGTTTTCAAAAACATTCACACATCTTATACATTATAACTTATTATATTTAATAATTTTGATATGTTTTAATGTTTTCATTTGTTTCTAATTAGAATTTGCAATATCAATACATAATGAACATATGTCTACACTTATATATAACACATCTGACTAATTAATACCAAACTTTTCTCAGGAGAAAGTCAGTGGTGTAATATGAGATTTGAATTAATAGATGCATATTACTGAGAGGGCTTGAATGTGTCACCTGCTCTAAAATGTCAAACGCCTGAATATCTGTTTCAACTTCTTACATCTTCTGTCAGAAAAAAACTATAGTCCCTTTGTCATTATTTCTCCTGTGACCTCTACCTTTTTCAATGGTATACATATTTACTCTTGGAGAATGAGCAATTGGTACCAAAAAGTCTAAGACTTATGATAACTCTGAAATTTGTTTAAGATTCATACTTTCCACAGCTAGGCCAGATGTAACCTCTGAGTGCATTTAATTAACATCTTCTGAATCATATAAATGGAATTTATAGAATCAAATAATTAAATGGACCATGCCATTGTTAAATATGTTTAGAACTTCTATGGTGAGTACTTACGATATTGCACTGAGTATATATTTGTCTTTCTTTTTTGTAGGAAAAGTGGTGGAAAGATTAGCCTAAAGCATCCTGGAAAATGCTGAGTTAAAGCCAATGTTTCTTGGTGACTTGCCAGCTTTTGCAGCCTTCTTTTCTCACTTCTGCTTATACTTTTGCTGGTGGATTCCTTTAATTCATAAAGACATACCTACTCTGCCTGGGTCTTGAGGAGTTCAATGTATGTCTATTTCTCTTGATTCACTTGTCAATAAAGTACATTCTGCAAAAGCATTGACTGTGTTCTTACTTTGAGATCAAGAAAATATATACATACAACAGAGAATAATTGAACTGGGATAAACTTGGATCAAGAAACCTATTTTCCTGATCTAAGTTAACCATCCAGTCATTGTGAGATCATAGGAAAATCCCTTCCTTTCTCTTATTCTTAGAATCTCCATGTTTATAATGAAGGATTTTGACAACATGACCATATGCTATGCTTACAGTTACTTAAAATATCTAGCATTAATTAGATCACATAATATTCATTCTTCCCAATTTCATAAAAAGCATGTTATATAAAAGAAAAATATTTGTTCTCTACAGGCCATTTTTTTAGGCATCTGGAATGGAAAATTTGGACTATATAATTTCTAAAGACATACAGTGTATGGTTTTCTGTAGTAGCAGTATCATAAGGTATACCAGATATAATGTAACAAAATATACAATAAATGGTGAATATTCAATAAAATCAGTCACTTGGCAAATAAAACAGCTGTAGTTAAAAGAAGACTGAAGGTTAAAGCACAGCTCTGTTGATAACAAGCTCAATCTCCATGTAGCTGCCTCAACCCTATGAAAATCCACAGTTTGATACATATATATCTTATTCTGAACATTCACATGGAAGTATTGAGAATTCTTTCTCTGAGTCGTTTCATGTAGTAAAGCATGCTTTTATAAATAACACCTTACTGGGGAAACTCAGACAGAATACATCTCTAGCTGCAATGTAATAATCATCACTCCAGCAACAAATATTTACTGGGGCCTACTCTGTGGTAGATTCTGTTCTAGGTGCCTTGGATACAGCGTGGATGGTAATGAGACGGGCCAATGACCCTTCAATATTTAATGAAGTTTAAATTCCAACAGGAAGAAATATACTAAAACAATAAATATAATAATAAATGGTATAATAAGATAGAAGGTTATAAGGGCTATTAGAAAAAAATAAGAAGAATATGTTAATATGGATAAAAAATACTTAGGGAAAGGTGGTAACCATTTGCAGTACTAAATCAGTTGGTTCCAGTAGTTTTTATTGGAAGACCCAGAGATGAAGAAATTGGCCAAATACATATATTGGAGAAGAGCAAAAGGAGATGCTAAAAATAGCCATTAAGGTTGTGGAGCATGCCTGTTTTGTTCAAGGTTTAGCAAGGCATTGGTGACTGAAGAGGACTGACTAAATGGGCAAATAATAGAAGACGTAAAAGAGGAATGAGCCTGATTCGGGAAAGACTTTGTAGTTATTGTTAATATTTTTTCTTTTACCTTGATGCATGAAATGTGTTTCTAACCATGCATATTAAGATTATATTTCTGATTTTAAAATCTCAAATATATTTTATGCACATGGATGTTACCCCTAATTGTACATAATTAAAGAAGACTGACCTGGCCAGACTGAGAGATGTATCCAATATCTAGATAAAGAGCCAGGGAATAGATTAGATTATGCTAGAAAAACTATATGAGCATTCTGTTCCATGGTTAAAGATTATTCCCCTTGATGGGTAAGAATGAACACATAGTCTATTATTTGGGTACAGCATTGATAAGAGAGGGTATACTCAAGTCACACAGACCAGAATGTGAATCATGGTTCTGATGTAAGTTATGTGCCTTTGAGCAAGTCATTTAGACTTCTTTGTATCATTATTTCTTCATCTGAAAAATAGAGATAATAATATCTACCTTTTTGTTTTATGATGAAGACTAAGGATATGATGCATGTAAAGCACTTAATCATTAATATATAACAAAAGCCAAGTTGTTAGTGGCTGTTATTATTAAGCTCTGTCATCAGTTTCAGCATTATATTGTCTTCACCGATCAGGATCTTTTTGTGTTCTATTTCCTAGTCTAAAAATGTCTATCTTTACATTTACAATTTTTGGAAATGCTCATCTCAGCTGTTTCTTTCCACCTTCCCATTTTCTTTGTAGACTAAATTCGATGCTCATTAGAAAAAGTAAACCTAAATCTCTTCTTTAGTTTCTACTCCCTGAAACAATTTAGCTACTTTTAATGTAAACGTGTAGAAAATTATGTATAGTTTGATAATAGAATCACCGAGCATTGGTGAAAGTACTTTTTTAATTATTTTTGAGACAAAGTCTCACTCTGTCACCCAAGTTGGAGGGCAGTGGTGCAATCTCAGGTCACTGCAACCTCCACTTCCCTGCTTCAAGCAATTCTCGTGCCTCAGCCTCCCGAATGGCTGAGACTACAGGTGCCCACCACTATGTTCAGCTAATTTTTGTATTTTTAACAGAGACGGAGTTTCATCCTGTTGGCCAGGCTGGTCTCGAACTCCTGGCCTCAAGTGATCCACCCACCTTGGCCTCCCAAAGTGCTTGGATTACAGGCATGAGCCACCATGTTGGGCCTTGGTGAAAGTACTTGTATCTCCTATTGGAACCCTCCCCACCAGCCAGACCAGATTCCTACCAGCCTTCTTCCACACAAAAGTTTCAGTTTCACCACTTTGCCTTTGCCTATCTGAAATGTCTTTTATGATATCTTCTTCCACACTGCCTAACTCTTCTTTTCTCATACAAATCTGAATCTAATTGCACCATTTATTTTAAGGCTTATGTCAGGGGCTATATCTGAAAATTGTCATAAACTATCTCTTGTCTAGTTCTGAGCTATTCTTCAGAAATGAAGGGAAAGTATATAAAAATAAACCACAGAAGACTAGATGACTTACATTTCTTGGAAAGAAGAAGCAAGTCACATAAAAAAAGAAGTCAACAGTCAAAATATACGGATTTGGGCTACAGAGATATCCACACTCTCAAATCTCAGTGAACACACACTTAAGATTTATGCATATTGTAGTTTGCTTGTTTTTGACAAACCTGACAAAAACAAGCAATGGGGAAAGGATTCCCTATTTAATAAATGATGATGGGAAAACAGGCTAGCCATATGCAGAAAGCTGAAACTGGATCCTTTCCTCACAAGTTATACAAAAATCAACTCAAGATGGATTAAAGACTTAAACGTAAGACCTAAAACCATAAAAACCCTAGAAGAAAACCTAGGCAATGCCATTCAGGACATAGTCATAGGCAAAGATTTCATGACTAAAACACAAAAAGCAATGACAACAAAAGCCAAAATAGACAAATGGGATCTAATTAAACTAAAGAGCTTCTGCATGGCAAAAGAAACTATCATCAGAGTGAACAGGTGACCTACAGAATGGGAGAAAATTTTTGCAATCTATCCATCTGAGAAAGGTCTCATATCCAGAATCTACAAATAACTTAAACAAATGTACAAGAAAAAAGCAAACAACCCCATCAAAAAGTGGGCGAAGAATAGGAACAAACACTTCTCAAAAGAAGACATGTATGCAGCCAACAAACGTGAAAAGAAAAAGCTCATCATCATTGGTCATTAGAGAAAGGCAAATCAAAACCACAATGACATACCATCTCACGCCAGTTAGAATGGCAATCATTAAAAAGTCAGGAAACAACAGGTCCTGGAGAGGATGTGGAGAAAAAGGAATGCTTTTACACTGTTGGTGGAAGTGTAAATTAGTTCAACCATTGTGGAAGACAGTGTAGTGATTCCTCAAGCATCTAGAACCAGAAATACCATTCGACCCAGCAATCCCATTACTGGGTATACCCAAAGAATTATAAATCACTCTACTATAAAGACACATGCACATGTATGTTTACTGAGGCACTGTTCACAACAGCAAAGACTTGGAACCAACCCAAATGCCCATCAACAATAGACTGGATAAAGGAAATGTGGCACATATACACCATGGAGTACTATGCAGCCATAAAAAGGATGAGTTCATATCCTTTGCAGGGACATGGATGAAGCTGGAAACCATCATTTTCAGCAAACTAACACAAGAACAGAAAACCAAACATTGCATGTTCTCACTCATAAGTGGGAGTTGAACAATGAGAACACATAGACACAGGGAGGGGAACATCACGCACTGGGGCCTGTTGGGGGGTGAAGGGTATAGGGGAGAGACAGCATTAGGAGAAATACCTAATGTAGATGACAGGTTGATGGGTGCAGCAAACCACCACGACACGCGTATACCTATGTAACAAACCTGCATGTTATGCACATGTACCCCAGAACTTAAAGTATAATTTTAAAAAATGGCAAAACACACACAGAGAGATTGTGTCAACAGGGTCAGATATTTGCAATTGTTTATGTTCCTCATTTTTGTGATATCCAGTACAAAACATGCTGTTTCACATATGGTTTGTATTCAAACTTCAAAGCATAAAAAGATAGTTCGTTTGATCTCAACATCCATATTATTATACCTTCAGATGACAATGGCAGCATTGTTAAAATTAAATCATTCCAAATCTTTAACCATTAACTGTCCTTATTCCTCCACTACAATTGATGCCAAGACACTTATTTCTTTTCTCTTCTTACTTGTTTTTGAAGTTAAATTCGTGACAAAAATGATGTGGTATGTCAATGATTAGGCTTGAGTGAAAGGGGTTCTCTGGAGCCTTCCTGTCTGTTTATGACAATGTGAAGGTTTTTTTAAGCAAAATACACACACATACACACACACACACACACACAGAAAAGTTAAAAAGGGTACAACATGGGGAAAAAAGGTCAGAGAAAAAATAACTAAGATAAACATTGAAATAACTCGTTACTATATGTCAACTAACCCATTCACTGAGTTTAAATTTACTGAATTTAAATTTAAGATACTTAGTATCAATCCCATTTTCTAAACTATATACTACATAATTATGATAAATTGAGTGACATGAATGTAGATGTTGAATTGGACAGATTAGTCTTATATATTTGGTGACATCAGAAATAGAAATATTCATAATTCAAAAAAGCCTTAAGCGAATGTTTAGAGGGTGACATGCATCAGCCATAATTTCCAGCATGTGCACTATTATGTTAATTTTGTGATGGGACTACCGTTTAATCCTGAGAAGGCCTGTGTTCAAATGGGCTGACTAACTCTCCACTGGACATCTAATGAACTGCTTTTTTCTTTCTTGGACTTTCTTTTTTCTTCTAGCTTTAGCACCTGTGACTTTTTAAAATGTTAATTTCAGTTCTGCAGTTTGAGTAAAGGGAGAGATAGGCAGAACAGATTTCCCCTGATTTAGTTAGAGAAGATATAGACCTAATAAAAACAGGTACTCTTAATGGCCCAGTTTAGTTCACTGCAGCTACCCTTCAGATTAGATGAGCATACTAAAAGAATCCAAGTAATAAAGCACAGCTATGTGTCTGCTTGGAATCATTCTACATCACTTTGGATAATATTGTCACCTTAGCAATAAATTTTCCAATCCATGAGTGGAAGATGTCTTGTGATGTATTTATGTCTTCTCTAGTTTCTATCACAGTGATCTGTAGTTTTCTTTCATAATTGAGATTTTATTGGATGTGTTGAAGGTCAGTACAAAGACATTTCAATTTGTACACAATTCTTAAGATACAAACTGAAAATCTAAAAAGCCATGCATTGTAATTGTTTAAAAAAGTTATTCCAGTGGCTTTCTAACTTAAAATTTGGAGGCAAATTTTCCTTAAGAGGCTATAAAGTCCCAGTATGTTCACATGTTGATAAGTTATTACGTATGTCCCACCAATTCACAGTCTAATACACATACTATGTACTCAAAACTTTAATCTTTCACAGCACATTGACAAAGGTTTTAGGAAAACAGGACTACCATGACCAAAAAGATGTTACAGAGTGTACACAATTCTGACAGGAAGAGCCATAATCAAGAGTGGTTTTCTTCAGGAAACAAACAATTCTACGAAAAACAGCATGGGAATAGATGTAATTTAAAATGTTGAAGACATTAAATGCAGGACTGTGACTCCATATTGCCATTTAGTGTATGCGTTGTATTAGAGGATGTAAAAACTAACCCACCATCTATAGAATGTTAAGCTGACATCTAAGACAGTCAACGCCTCCCATAATTCAATATCCCACACTAGTTTCTGGTTGTACCCAAAATAACTACCAGTGAACCATTTCACCTCTTAAATAAAAAGCACTTACACTTAAGTAATGGGAAGGTGAGATTCCCTCCTTCTTAAATATGTTTCTAGAGCTATTAAAAAACTTGCATTTACAAAATAGTTGATTAAAATATTCCTTTGGGTTGTACATGTAGAGAGACAAGGACCACTGATAAAACATGGTATATAGTTTTAATCAGACCTGGCTTCTTTCTCTCTGGCTTCATTAGAAGCTGGACTCTTCTCGGTTTTAGTTTCTCCATTTTAAGCAGGTAAATATTCTGGTTACATCTTTGGCCTGTTTTCTCTTTGCTCCCGCTTTCTCCTTTTCATTTTTCACTTTTTTTGGTCTGAAGATTTATCCTTTCCTGGTGCCTTTTTCGGCTTTGTTTCTGCTTTTGAAGGAGTAGGTTCACCTGACAACTAGGCAGATCTTGGGATCTTCCCTCACCACCCCTTCATTAGGCTGAGCTGACCTTCTTTTAGGCATCTTTGCCTTTGGGAGGACAAGTGCTGGGTGCCTGCAGCTCCCAGCGCACCAAAAGCCTTGGTGAAGCTGAGCTGCCCGGCCACTGCCACTCCTCCTGCAGACGAAGGAACTGAGAACCACAGGGACAGTGGAAGAGGATGGAACCGGTAGTTTTCAATATACTAGGCTTTCACCTCTTTATTAAATTTATTTCTAAGTATTTTAATCTTTTCGATGCTATTGTAAGTGAACTTTTCTTATTTCATTTTTTGGGATTGTTGTTAATGTGGAGAAACACAAGTGATCTTTGTGTGTTGATTTTGTATCTTGCAACTTCGATATTTTTATTAGCTTTAAAAGTTCTTGTTATAGAATCTTTAGGGTACTGCATATAAGATCATGTCATCTGCAAACATAAATAATTTAATTTTTTGCTTTCAAATTTGGATGTATTTTATTGCTTTTTCTTACCTAGTTTCTCTGGCTAGAACTTCCAATTCCGTATTGAATAGAAGCAGTAAAAATAGGCATCCTTATCTTGTTCCTCTCTTAAGGAAAAAGCTTTCATTCTTTATCCACCGTGTTTGATGTTAGCTGTGAGTTTGTTATATATGGCCTTTATTAAGTTGAGAAAGCTTCCTTGTATCCCTAGTTTATTAAGTGTTTTTATCATAAAGTCATGTTGAATTTTGTCAAATATGCTTCAATTGAGATGATCATGAGCTTTTTTTCTCCCTTTTTTTCTACTAATTTCGTGTATTTCATTGGCTGAACTTTATATGGTGAACCATTCTTGCAGCAAAGAATAAATCCCACTTGGTCATGGTATATGATCCTTTTAATATGCTGCTGAATATGGTTTGCTAGTATTTTGTTGAGCAATTTTTGCATCAATATTCATAGAAGTTATTGGTCTGTAGTTTTCTTTTTTGTGTACTCTCTTTACCTATCTTTAATATCAGGGTAATACAGGGCTCACAGAGAGAGTTAGACTGTTCCTTTTTAATATTTGGGGAAAAATGGTGTTAATTCTTCTTTAAATGTTTGGCAGAATTCAATAGTTAAGTCATCTGATCAAGAATTTTTCTTCAATAGGTGGTTTTGATTACTGATTAAATCTTGTAGTTATAGGTTTAGTCAGATATTCTATTTATTCATAATTAAATTTTGGTAGATTGTGTGTTTCCAGAAACTCATTCGTTTTATTTAGTTAATCTAATTTGTTGGCATACAATTGTTCATAGTATTCTCTTAATTTTCAAAAATTTCTGTAAGATTCGTATTAATATATAACTTTTATTACTGATCTTAGTAATTTGAGAGCTCTCTTTTTTCTCTTAGTCAATATATCTAAAGCTTCATCAATTTTGAAAAGCCATGTTTTGGTTTTGTGGATTTTTTCCATTGTTTTTCTAGTCTCTATTTCATGTATCTTTACTTTCATCATTACTTTTTTCCTTTCTTCAGTTAGCTTTGGATTTAGATTGCCTTCTTTGTCTAGTCATTTAAGTTATACAGCTTGGTAATTGATTTGAGTTCATCTTTTTTTTTTAATGTACCAACATAGATATTTCATAACTACCAATCTTGTTATGAATGCTTGGCTAGTGACAAACATTTTATAAATAGTTCTATTTTTCCCAAAGAACTAATAACTTTTACCTTTTATTTTTTCTTTATCTCTTTTGGGTAGGGGTATCTTTAGAGTAGGAGTATTCTTAGTCTTTTATTTTTTGTATCCTCAATCTGTAAGGCAATGAGTGACACATATTTAGTGCTAATAAATGGGATGTGGGATCAAGAACTTAAATTATAGCCAAATTTACATTGGAATGTTATTGGAGATTTGTTATATTTAATGGTTAACAACTTTAGCCTCTATAGTAAAGTTTTTTCAAAAATCAGATGTCTGGAGTCCAGTCTGGTGTAAAGTACCTGGTGATAGGATATTAGAAATTATAAGAAATGTGGTGACCTGTAAACTAAGTGCCCCATTAAGACAAAAACCATAGCAGCAAAGATAGAACAGAAAACATGTGAACTAGGTTCAGTCCATGTATCTCTGCTGCTTTAGAAACTCATGCTTTTCCACTAGGGGAAGGCATGTTCTAATATTAAAAATTATATATGTATATATATATGTATATATGTATATATATATGTGTATATGTATATGTGGATATATATATGTGGATATATAAACAATTTTAAACACTTGGGGAAATATAATTTGTGAATTAAATTGTTAAAAAAAGAATACAACCAAGACGACATTTTAATCTAAAAATCTCTAAAAGGATGAAATGTGAATAGGAAATACATAGCAGTCAGAGATGTGCTGATATTCAGGAATGGAGTAAGGGTACAGGAGTGGATGCCAAAAAACTAGTAGTGAGAAATAAAGAAAATTAACTCTCAACTTTGTTGCTACAAAAGTATATGAGGTCATTTGCTGAGCAACGAAAATGGTAGTAGTAGAGAGAATCTCACAAATCTCAGTTCAGAGTAACAATGGCAATTACCTAAATTACTTTATTATATGAATAGTTTGACTTAATAAGCACAGTCCTTAAGTTCTCATTTCACGGGAAACTGTTAGCTCACCCAATAAAATCTAACTCATTCTGTGGCACTGATCTTGTTAGATGAGCAATGCTTTGGAAAGTTTTATAGGCTTAAGCCAACGTCATTAAATACTTGCTTACTGAGTTTTTAAAGATGTATCCAGCCCCTCCTATATGTGTCATAACTAATTATAGGTTGATTTCTGGGACTTACTGAAAACTTTCTTACTGTTTTATATTCATAAACACATAAGAATCTCATAAACACATCACTGTGTATGAATTCCTTCCCACCCCTCTAAGGACACTAGCTTTTTGTTTCTAAAATCCTAGAATCTGGAAAGAAACTCACTTCAACTTGCTAATAAGCAATGTACATATATGGTTTGTAGGAAGCAGTTGTACTATTGTGCTTAGATGAGAAATATGACACAGTAGAAATACACTGAGAGGAACAGAAATGTGTAGTTTAGTAAGTAGATTGTGTAAAGCAAAAATATGTTAAAGGAGACTATTCACTTTTAAAAATAGATATAGGGGGTACACCTGCATTTTTGTTATGTGAGTTTTTGCATAGTGATAAAGTCTGGGCTTTCAATGTAACCACCACCCCAATACTGTACATTGTATCCATTAGTTAACTTCTTATACTTTACCTCTCTCTCACCCTCCCACTTTTCTGAGACTTCAATGTCTATTATTCCACTCCCTATATCCGTGTGTACATATTATTTAGCTCTCACTTATAATTGAGAACATGAGAACTTGCAGTATTTGACTTTCTGTTCCTGAATGATTTCACTTAAGATAATGGTCTCCAGCTCCTGTTGCTGCAAAATACATGATTTCATTTTTTATGCCTAAGTAGTAGTCCATTTTCTTTATGTGGATATACACTTATAGACACTTAGGTTGATGGTTGATTCCATAACTTTGTTATTGTGAATACTGCTGTGATAAACATATAAGTGCAGGTATCTTTTTGATATAATGATTTCTTTTTTGTAGATACCTAGTACCGGAATTGCTGAATTGAATTGTAGTTTTCTTTTTAGTTCTTTGAAAATCTCTATACTGTTTCAACAGAAGTTGTACTAATTTACATTCTTACTAACAGTGTCTAAATATTCCCTTTTCTCTGCATCCTCATCAACGTCTGCTAATTTTTGACTTTTTAACGATAGCCATTCTGATTGGTGTAAGATTTCCCTTTACTCTGCATCCTCATCAACATCTACTAATTTTTGACTTTTTAATAATAGCCATTCTGGCTGGTGTAAGATGGCATCTCATTGTGGTTTTATTTTGCATTTCTCTGATTATTAGTGATGTTGTGCTTTTTAAAAATATGCCTTTTTGGCCAATTGTATGTGTTCTTTTGGAAAATATCTATGTTTTTTGTCCACTTTTTGTTTTTTGTTGTTGTTGTTTGTTTGTTTTTCTTGTTGAGTTGTTTGAGTTGCTTGTAGATTCTGGATATTAGTCCTTTGTTGAATGAATACTTTGCAAATATTTTATCCCATTCTGTAGGTTTTCTATTCGTTCTCTTGATTATTTCTTTTGCTGTGAAGAAACATTTTAGTTTAATTTAGTCCCATTGATCTACTTTTGTTATTGTTGCATTTGCTTTTGAGGTCTTAGTTATGAACATTTGCCTAGGACAATGTGCAGAAGAGTTTTTCCTAGGTTTTCTTCTGAAATTTTTATAGTTTCAGGTCTTACATTTAAGACTTTAATTCAACTTTTTGTTAATTTTTTGTTTATGGTGAGAGATTGGAGTCCAGTTCTTTTTTCTACATATGGCTATCCAGTTTTCCCAGCACCGTTTAATGAATAGGGTGTCCTTTCTCCAGTGTATTTCTTGTTGACTTTATGGTTGTAGAGATGTGACTTTTATTCTGGGTTCTGAATTATTGATGATACCGGTATGAGATGCAATAAGTTAGAGAGGAAAAGTTGTGAGATTCAATATTTAATATGTTAGTTGAGGATACAAACTCTCACTTATTATTGCATATTTAGACAATAATTTCACAAATAAACTCCAGTGCCCCACAACCCTTATGCCCTTCAAGTAATTTTTCACAAAGTGGAAGCAATGATCTTTGAAATTATTTTTAATCATGATGCTTTTTATATGACTCTTATCACCTTTATAGTAAGAATAAGATAAACCCAAGTCTTTAGCATAAAACTCTAGATTTGACCAAGATGCAGTAAGAGGGAGTGGTTTTACCCTCATACCTAAAACAACTAATAAACTAGACAAAATATACTTAACAATGTTTCTCATACATTGGACACCAGGCACAGGACATTGATTCTCAAGGGAAGAGATAAATGAAGTGAGAACTAAAATGGCACCAGTTTGCTCCTTGGAGATTTTTCAGGTGAAAGCACAGGAAGCTGAAACCCAAGCAGATCTTAAATCTCCATGAGGTGAAGACAAGCAACTGGAGTTCAGAGGGCAGAATAAGAGAGGTTGGGAGCTCTGCAGTGATATCCTTTCTAGTCTTCAGCTCAATGTTGATCATGATGTGTGTGTTAGGAAACTACACGAGGCCAAGAAAAGAACCCCCTAAATGAAGTACAGAGATAATAATCCTTGGATTTCACACAGGACTGAAAATATTTTGTGGTCCTACCAGCAGAATGAAAAACTTCATAGTACACGAGTAGCATGTGGAATGTTCGGCAGGGCATTGCCTCTGTAGTGTGGGGGTACAAGTGGCCCTAGAATAAAGGCTACTCTGGTTCATCTAACAAAACTTTAAAGCGAGTCTCACACACACAAAAATATCAAACCTTTTCCAAGTAATTTAATTGCATCCAGGGACAAAGATGAAAAACATTTAAAGAAAATTTTTAAAAATCCAGTGTCCAACAAAGTGAAATTCACAATGTCTGGTTCCAAAGAAGCAGGAAAATATAGCCCATAATAAGAAAAAATATAAATCAGGTAAACAGACCCAGAAATGGGACAAATAGTATAATTGATGATGAGGGCATTAAATCAGCTATTCCATGTGTTCAAGAAGGTAGAAGAAAAATAGAACATATTAACTAGATTCAAGGAAGATATGTATTTTTAAAAAGTGTATTTTTAAAGATGAGAAAACACAATGCTTGGAGAGGAAAATGTACTATATTGTTATTAAGAACAGATTAGACAATGCAGAAAAAAAGGCTTGTAAGCTTGAAGATACAACATTAGAAATCAACAAAAAGAAAACAGAAAAAATATTCTGAAGAAAAAAATGAAGAGAGCATTAGTAAGTTGTGGGACTTCATGCAGCTTATAAGAAATGGTAAAATTATGAAAAATGAGAAGAAATAATGGAAATAATCTTGATTTGATAAAAACTATAAACCCATAGATACAAAGATCTTGGTGGATCTCAAGCACAAGAAACATGAAAGACACATAAAAACCTTTTTTTAAAGTTCCATCTCTGCATTCGAGTCTAACCATTACTTTCATTTCCAAAAAAATACAGTTTTGTTCTTATTTGTTTTATTTCCATAGCATTCTTTATTCTTAGAGTGCTGGTTATCCCTTCAAGTGCTTCAACACCTTCTAATATCTCTGAGGGTCAGGTCCTTTGTGGAGCCTGGTCATGACCATCTCTGCTCGGTCCATTCCTCCACCCTACTTCCAAGTGAATATGGTCTCTTTAGTGGTTCTCTACTTAATTGTGTATAACTTTAATTACATTTTTTTCACCTGTTGCCTATGAGCTTCTCTCACTCATCTTTAAAATATCAATAATCAGTAGGTTCCACCTAGTAAGTGTTTGAGAGAAAAATGAAGAATGTAAGCTCTATGAATATATTTTTGTTGTTACTATATTTTCAGCATCTAATAATACCTAGAATAATAGTCCTCAATTATTATTTTCAAAGGAAGAAAGGACTTTTCATTGGTTCACATTTGTAAAATCAAATGGTGTCTATGTGCTTCCAAGTGCAAAACAAAAGATCCATGAGCTATATCCTAGTGTGTATGCACCTGTGTTTGTATATATATTTGTGAGTATGTAAGTGTAGATTTGATGGTGAGAAAATATACAAATAATTAATGAAATAAAAAAGATAATTTCAGATATTGAAAAGTATTATGATGACAATAAAACACACTGATTTAGGTTGGAGTATTTTAAATAGTTAGGAAAATCTTTACTGAACAAGTAATATTTGAACTGTTACTTCTGGAAAGAAGAAATGGCCATTTACTTTTCTGAGACAGTAGTTTTCCAGGCAGAGGAAACAGTAAGAACAAGAGTTCTAAGGTAAACAGTGAATGATGGATTTGAGAATGAGAAAGAACACAAGTGTGTGTGGGATATATGTACAAGGACCAAAGTCAACCTGTGAATTACTCATTAAAATTAACAAGTAAACAAGACCAAGTAACAAGTAAACCAAGTAAACAAGAAACCATCATGCATAGGCTGACTAAAAGCAAGAGGCTGAAGGAAAGAGCCCCATGATTCACATTCACCTTGAATGTCGAGAGTTTCTAATTCAATGATTATTGAGAGTGCCCTCTTACTTTGTCCAGTAAATCCCTTGACTTCAAAATTCCTCACATCAGCATTTTAATTTCCCTGGTAGTTGTGACACCAAGCCATATTACTATTAATACTGTGCACAAATTGTGCAAATCATCCTATAGGTTACTGCATAGTGAAAGCTCTCTGAAACAATGCTCTACTGGAGGCAAGTCTAACATACGCAAATTGGAAGATGATGACTTGATTGTAATTATCACCATGGGCTAAACAGCGGAAATTATGGGTATGTTACCTGTAGTACATTTCGTTCTACTTCAACATTATTTTCTGACTATTGTTCCTGTCTGTTTAAAAAACGCCTGAAGTTTCTTTGGTTTCTGGTGTCTCTACTCTTTGGGGAAATACATTACATAATTAAGATGAGGGATGTAACTGACTACCAAATTTATAGGTACTTAGATTCATTCACATATCCACTTAAAGTACAGCCTGTAGAATGTCAATAGTGAACTCTATTAACATATTTCCTATAAACCATGCAGATCTTATTTACCAAGAAGCCATCAGGTACCCTTCTGCTTTTTATTAGTGTGGCCTGTTTATTCCTCTTTGCAGGTGAGTTTTATGGAATTCTAGACCAGACCAGTCAATGACAGAAGCTGTAACACGATTTTTTTTATGATGATGATAAAGATGGTTAATCATAGTGACTACAAATCACACTTTTAATTTAGAAGGAATTTTTATTTATAAATTAGCTCCTTTAATTTTCACTAAAATGCTGTGGAAGAGATAGCTTTATCCAATTCGAAAAACAATGTTACATGTCAAAATGAGAAGACCTGCTCTAGGTCAAACAGGCCTCTTAATCTAGGAGTCCCAGGATTAGGAGCTATGTTCCCCTTAGTAGACCACAATTAACAACATATGTTTACAGTCAAGCTTCATCTTTAAAAAAATAAATGTATATTGAATCAGAAATTCTTAAGTCACCTTCAATAAATTATTGTCTAAAGAGCTTCAACTGCTAGAATTTTGCTGAGATCCTCCTATTTTATGAATAGCTGTTGTTATTTTTTGCCATCTGGGTAGGCAAAGTGAAGAGATGATTAGATAGGTAAGTATATAGAGAAAGAAGAGAGAGAGAGAAAGACAGACAGAGAGAGAGAGAGAGAGTAAGATTAACTTGCATAACACATAGCTAAAAAAGGACAAAGTACTTGGGTCATTTGACTCCATTGCTATTGTTATTTCCACCAAGTATAATGACTACTGAAAGAAAAGCCTTGGTTTAACATCTCACTCTAAGACATGTGGACATTATCCTCCTTCTTAAATATGTGGGTGTAGTGAGCCTGCTCCAAGCCAGAATTTTGACCTTACTCTCAAATGTGAAGGAGAGTAAAAATGGAAGACAATTCTACAGGTGGGAAAATTTCCATTATTATAAGAAAAATTTAATGTTTCAGTTAAGATAACTGTAGCATCTAAACAAATTAGTCAAAAAGCCTTCTTAAATGATTTGGAAAATAGGTACGTAAAGAGAGACAGAGCAATCTTACTCCATGCAACCAAGAACACCTTCAACAAATAGACAGTCTCTAAGACCTCAGAGTATGAACTTGATGCTTGATGAGAGTTTATTACTGCCCGACCTACAAGACACTCAATAACATTCATTATTGATATTGCTATTGTGTTATATCAGCAGTACTGGAGTTAGAAAAAAGCATGGGCAGGACAGATGAGAGCACTGAGTGTTTAAGAGGCAATTGCCTATGCAAAATACAAATGCATCTGTTGTGACCCGTTTGTTATTTGGAAATGTACTACGTTGAGTTCCATTAATGAGTATCTGCATGTGAAAATAACTTCTATAAAATTTACCTATTTTGGCGGAGCCAAGATGGCCGAATAGGAACAGCTCCGGTCTGCAGCTCCCAGCGTGATTGACGCAGAAGACGGGTGATTTCTGCATTTCCATCTGAGGTACCAGGTTCATCTCACTAGGAAGTGCCAGACAGTGGGCGCAGGTCAGTGGGTCCGCGCACCGTGCACGAGCCGAAGCAGGGAGAGGCATTGCCTCACTCGGGAAGCACAAGGGGTCAGGGAGTTCCCTTTCCTAGTCAAAGAAAGGGGTGATGGACGGCACCTGGAAAATCGGGTCACTCCCACCTGAATACTGCGCTTTTCCAACGGGCTTAAAAAACGGCGCACCAGGGGATAATATCCTGCACGTGGCTCGGAGGGTCCTACGCCCACGGAGTCTCACTGATTGCTAGCACAGCAGTCTGAGATGAAACTGCAAGGCGGCAGCGAGGCTGGGGGAGGGGCGCCCGCCATTGCCCAGGCTTGCTTAGGTAAACAAAGCAGCCAGGAAGCTCGAACTGGGTGGAGCCCACCACAGCTCAAGGAGGCCTGCCTGCCTCTGTAGGCTCCACCTCTGGGGGCAGGGCACAGACAAACAAAAAGACAGCACTAACCTCTGCAGACTTAAATGTCCCTGTCTTGACAGCTTTGAAGAGAGCAGTGGTTCTCCCAGCATGCAGCTGGAGATCTGAGAAGGGGCAGACTGCCTCCTCAAGTGGGTGCCTGACCCCGACCCCCGAGCAGCCTAACTGGGAGGCACCCCCCAGCAGGGGCAGCCTGACACCTCACACGGCCCAGTACTCCAACAGACCTGCAGCTGAGGGTCCTGTCTGTTACAAGGAAAACTAACAAACAGAAAGGACATCCACACCAAAAACCCATTTGTACATCACCATCATCAAAGACCAAAAGTAGATAAAACTACAAAGATGGGGAAAAAACAGAGCAGAAAAACTGGAAACTCTAAAAAGCAGAGTGCCTCTCCTCCTCCAAAGGAACGCAGTTCCTCACCAGCAATGGAACAAAGCTGGACGGAGAATGACTTTGACGAGCTGAGAGAAGAAGGCTTCAGACGATCAAATTACTCCAAGCTACGGGAGGATATTCAAACCAAAGGCAAAGAAGTTGAAAACTTTGAAAAAAATTTAGAACAATGTATAACTAGAATAACCAATACAGAGAAGTGCTTAAAGGAGCTGATGGAGCTGAAAACCAAGGCTTGAGAACTAGTTACGTGAAGAATGCAGAAGCCTCAGGAGCTGATGCAATCAACTGGAGGAAAGGGTATCAGCGATGGAAGATGAAATGAATGAAATGAAGTGAGAAGGGAAGTTTAGAGAAAAAAGAATAAAAAGAAATGAGCAAAGCCTCCAAGAAATATGGGACTATGTGAAAAGACCAAATCTACATCTGATTCGTGTAACTGAAAGTGACGGGGAGAATGGAACCAAGTTGGAAAACACTCTGCAGGATATTGTCCAGGAGAACTTCCCCAATCTAGCAAGGCAGGCCAACATTCAGATTCAGGAAATACAGAGAACGCCACAAAGATACTCCTCGAGAAGAGCAACTCCAAGACACATAATTGTCAGATTCACCAAAGTTGAAATGAAGGAAAAAATGTTAAGGGCAGTCAGAGAGAAAGGTCGGGTTACCCTCAAAAGGAAACCCATCAGACTAACAGCGGATCTCTCGGAAGAAACCCTACAAGCCAGAAGAGAGTGGGGGCCAATATTCAACATTCTTAAAGAAAAGAATTTTCAACCCAGAATTTCATATCCAGCCAAACTAAGCTTCATAAGTGAAGGAGAAATAAAATACTTTACAGAAAAGTAAATGCTGAGGGATTTTGTCACCACCAGGCCTGCCCTAAAAGAGCTCCTGAAGGAAGCGCTAAACATGGAAAGGAACAACCGGTACCAGCCGCTGAAAAATCATGCCAAAATGTAAAGACCATCGAGACTAGGAAGAAACTGCATCAACTAACGAGCAAAATAACCAGCTAACATCATAATGACAGGATCAAATTCACACATAACAATATTAACTTTAAATGTAAATGGACTAAATGTTCCAATTAAAAGACACAGACTGGCAAATTGGATAAAGAGTCAAGACCCATCAATGTGCTGTGTTCAGGAAAACCATCTCATGTGCAGAGACACACATAGGCTCAAAATAAAAGGATGGAGGAAGATCTACCAAGCAAATGGAAAACAAAAAAAGGCAGGGGTTGCAATCCTAGTCTCTGATAAAACAGACTTTAAACCAACAAAGATCAAAAGAGACAAAGAAGCCCATTACATAATGGTAAAGGGATCAATTCAACAAGAAGAGCTAACTAATCTAAATATGTATGCACCCAATACAGGAGCACCCAGATTCATAAAGCAAGTCCTGAGTGACCTACAAAGAGACTTAGACTCCCACACATTAATAATGGGAGACTTTAACACCCAACTGTCAACATTAGACAGATCAATGAGACAGAAAGTCAACAAGGATACCCAGGAATTGAACTCAGCTCTGCACCAAGCAGACCTAATAGACATCTACAGAACTCTCCACCCCAAATCAACAGAATATACATTCTTTTCAGCACCACACCACACCTATTCCAAAATTGACCACATAGTTGGAAGTAAAGCTCTCCTCAGCAAATGTAAAAGAACAGAAATTATAACAAACTATATCTCAGACCACAGTGCAATCAAACTAGAACTCAGGATTAAGAATCTCACTCAAAACTGCTCAACTACATGGAAACTGAACAACCTGCTCCTGAATGACTACTGGGTACATAACGAAATGAAGGCAGAAATAAAGATGTTCTTTGAAACCAACGAGAACAAAGACACAACATACCAGAATCTCTGGGACACATTCAAAGTAGTGTGTAGAGGGAAATTTATAGCACTAAATGCCCACAAGAGAAAGCAGGAAAGATCCAAAACTGACACCCTAACATCACAATTAAAAGAACTAGAAAAGCAAGAGCAAACACATTCAAAAGCTAGCAGAAGGCAAGAAATAACTAAAATCAGAGCAGAACTGAAGGAAATAGAGACACAAAAAACCCTTCAAAAAATTAATGAATCCAGGAGCTGGTTTTTTGAAAGGATCAACAAAATTGATAGACCACTAGCAAGACTAATAAAGAAAAAAAGAGAGAAGAATCAAATAGATGCAATAAAAAATGATAAAGGGGATATCACCACTGATCCCACAGAAATACAATCTACCATCAGAGAATACTACAAACACCTCTACACAAATAAACTAGAAAATCTAGAAGAAATGGATAAATTCCTCGACACATACACTCTCCCAAGACTAAACCAGGAAGAAGTTGAATCTCTGAATAGACCAATAACAGGAGCTGAAATTGTGGCAATAATCAAAACTTACCAACCAAAAAGAGTCCAGGACCAGATGGATTCACAGCTGAATTCTACCAGAGGTACAAGGAGGAACTGGTACCATTCCTTCTGAAACTATTCCAATCAATAGAAAAAGAGGGAATCCTCCCTAACTCATTTTATGAGGCCAGCATCATCCTGATACCAAAACCTGACAGAGACACAACCAAAAAAGAGAATTTTAGACCAATATCCTTGATGAACATTGATGCAAAAATCCTCAATAAAATACTGGCAAACCGAATCCAGCAGCACATCACAAAGCTTATCCACCATGATCAAGTGGGCTTCATCCCTGGGATGCAAGGCTGGTTCAATATACGCAAATCAATACGTGTAATTCAGCATATAAACAGAACCAAAGACAAAAACTACATGATTATCTCAATAGATGCAGAAAAGGCCTTTGACAAAATTAAACAATGCTTCATGCTAAAAACTCTCAATAAATTAGGTATTGATGGGACATATTTCAAAATAATAAGAGCTATCTATGACAAACCCACAGCCAATATCATTCTGAATGGGCAAAAACTGGAAGCATTCCCTTTGAAAACTGGCACAAGAGAGGGATGCCCTCTCTCACCACTCCTATTCAACATAGTGTTGGAAGTTCTGGCCAGGGCAATTAGGCAGGAGAAGGAAATAAAGGGTATTCAATTAGGAAAAGAGGAAGTCAAATTGTCCCTGTTTGCAGACGACATGATTGTATATTTAGAAAACCCCATTGTCTCAGCCCAAAATCTCCTTAAGCTGATCAGCAACTTCAGCAAAGTCTCAGGATACAAAATCAATGTACAAAAATCACAAGCATTCTTATACACCAATAACAGACAAACAGAGAGCCAAATCATGAGTGAACTCCCATTCACAATTGCTTCAAAGAGAATAAAATACCTAGGAATCCAACTTACAAGGGATAGGAAGGACCTCTTCAAGGAGAACTACAAACCACTGCTCAAGGAAATAAAAGAGGATACAAACAAATGGAAGAACATTCCATGTTCATGGGTAGAAAAAATCAATATCGTGAAAATGGCCATACTGCCCAAGGTAATTTACAGATTCAATGCCATCCCCATCAAGCTACCAATGACTTTCTTCACAGAATTGGAAAAAACTACTTTAAAGTTCATCTGGAACCAAAAAAGAGCCCGCATCACCAAGTCAATCCTAAGCCAAAAGAACAAAGCTGGAGGCATCACACTACCTGACTTCAAGCTATACTACAAGGCTACAGTAACCGAAACAGCATGCAGAGCCCTCAGAATTAATGCTGCATATCTACAACTATCTGATCTTTGACAAACCTGAGAAAAACAAGCAATGGGGAAAGGATTCCCTATTTAATAAATGGTGCTGGGAAAACTGGCTAGCCTTATGTAGAAAGCTGAAACTGGATCCCTTCCTTACACCTTATACAAAAATTAATTCAAGATGGATTAAAGACTTACATGTTAGACGTAAAACCATAAAAACCCTAGAAGAAAACCTAGGCATTACCATTCAGGACATAGGCATGGGCAAGGACTTTATGTCTAAAACACCAAAAGCAATGGCAACAAAAGCCAAAATTGACAAATGGGATCTAATTAAACTAAAGAGCTTCTGCACAGCAAAAGAAACTACCATCAGAGTGAACAGGCAACCTACAAAATGGGGGAAAATTTTCCCAACCTACTCATCTGACAAAGGGCTAATATCCAGAATCTACAATGAACTCAAACAAATTTACAAGAAAAAAACAACCCCATCAAAAAGTGGGCAAAGGACATGAACAGACACTTCTCAAAAGAAGACATTTATGCAGCCAAAAAACACATGAAAAAATGCTCACCATCACTGGCCATCAGAGAAATGCAAATCAAAACCACAATGAGATAACATCTCGCACCAGTTAGAATGGCAATCATTAAAAAGTCAGGAAACAACAGGTGCTGGAGAGGATGTGGAGAAATAGGAACACTTTTACACTGTTGGTAGGACTGTAAACTAGTTCAACCATTGTGGATGTCAGTGTGGTGATTCCTCCGGGATCTAGAACTAGAAATACCATTTGATGCAGCCATCCCATTACTGTGTATATACCCAAAGGGCTATAAATCATGCTGCTATAAAGACACATGCACACATATGTTTATTGCGGCATTATTCACAATAGCAAACACTTGGAACCAACCCAAATGTCCAACAATGATAGACTGGATTAAGAAAATATGGCACATATACACCATGGAATACTATGCAGTCATAAAAAATGATGCGTTCATGTCCTTTGTAGGGACATGGATGAAATTGGAAATCATCATTCTCAGTAAACTATCTCAAGGACAAAAAACCAAACACTGCATATTCTCACTCATAGGTGGGAATT
The DNA here is from genome assembly GCF_000001405.40 of Homo sapiens. Lineage (NCBI taxonomy): Eukaryota > Metazoa > Chordata > Mammalia > Primates > Hominidae > Homo > Homo sapiens. The sequence goes on from NC_000005.10 coordinate 148,236,371, forward strand.
GAACAATGAGAACACATGGACGCGGGAAGGGGAACATCACACTCTGGGGACTGTTGTGGAGTGGGGGGAAGGGGGAGGGAGAGCACTGGGAGATATACGTAATGCTAGATGACGAGTTAGTGGGTGCAGCGCACCAGCATGGCACATGTATACATATGTAACTAACCTGCACATTGTACACATGTCCCCTAAAACTTAAAGTATAATAATAATAAATAAATAAATAAGAAAATGAAAACATATTAATAAAGCAAGCATGAATAAACTTTTATAAAATAAAAATAAAATAAAATTTACCTATTTTGATAGAGATATAGTAGAACAAATATAGCAAAATGTTAGTTGATTAATCTTGTTGGTGTGTGTATTGGTGTATTAGTTCATTTTCACGCTGCTTATAAAGATATACCTGAGACTGGGTAATTTATCAAGAAAGAGGATTAATGGCCTCACAGTTTCATGTGACTGGGGAGGGCTCACAATCATGGCAGAAGGCAAAAGGAATGTCTTACATGGAGGCAGATAAGAGAGAATCAAGCAAAAGGGATTTCCCCTTATAAACCCACCAGATCTTGTGAGAATTATTCACTAAACAAGAACAGTATGAGAGAAACTGCCCTCATGATTTAATTGTCTCCCACTGGGTCCCTCCCACAACATGTGGGAATTATGAGGTTCAATATGAGATTTGGGTAGGGACACAGCCAAACCATATCAGTGGGTTTTCACTGCAGAATTCTTTAATTTTGTCTCTATATTGCAGCAGTTCATAATAAAATTTTTGAAAAATTAACCTGAGCTGTGTGTATATATATATGTGTGTGTATGTGTATATATATATGTAAACCATCCATATATGTGTGAGTATATATATGTGTGTGTGTGTGTATGTATGTGTGTTTGTGTGTTATATAAACAATCCAACTCTGTCTGGTTCCATAAGCTTCCTTTGATACTCATGTGAATTCCAGTCAGTTTAGAAGATAATTACGCAGGGAGAAAAAGTTGCTTTCTTACTATAGGAAACTTAAAGTTGGTCTCTTTTGATGCCATAAAATTGCTTGTTTGATTAAAAGAAATCATCTATTATTTTCAAACTTCTCCTTCTTCTAAGTAAGTTGAAGAGAAAATCAAACAATCCAGAACCACTAAATCTGAAAGTCTTAGAATCGGAAGTAATTGGAAAAATTATCTAGTTCATCTCTCCTCCCAAAGTTGAAATTTTCTTTAGAACTCTAAGATATTTATCCTGAACTTCCTTATATTATTTCTGCTCTCTGTAACTAAACAGTTCAAATAATATCTTTCTTCTCCATAGTGATGTCCTTGAGAAGATGAAGCCAATGACAGTAACACTCCCAAGTTCGTGCTTTTCTGAGCTTACATTTCCTACTGCCATAAATCTACTTCATGCTTTATGGTATCCAGACCTCACATTATCAAAGTTATCTTTTGGACATGCTCCAACTGATTCAAGTTTCTCTTATTTAGAGAAACCAGTCGTGAAGAAAATATTCCAATGTCTAATAACATTGAGCTTATGACCAACTAAAAATCCCAAGGTAATTTTCCCATGAGCTGCTGTTTGACGTAATAACTTGAAGCAACAATGCCAATTGTGTAATGTTATTTCTTAAACATGAGCTCTACTGTCTCCTGTTACCTCATAAAAATGCATTTCTTGTCATCATTCATCTTGATGAATACTGTATGCATTCATTACTACTAATGACGAATATTCAATGCATTTTTACTTGCTTTTAAAAGATAATTTGAAGTAAATAATTGACACATAAATCACTTGAAAGTTTCTCTTGTGGCCATAAAAACTTGGCGAACAAATAATAATATTAACTGAAGATAAGCCATCCCTTAGCAATAAAAAAGTGAAAACTGAATTTACCACTTTCCCAGATGGGTTTCATCATTTTAATTTTCTTCTGGGAGGAAGATATCTAATAGGCACATATTAAAGTTTGAATATTTATGGGAGTTGGGGCATGGAGCTAATTTTGAAAATGACAGTTTATTCAAGAAGCAATACCTTCCAGTTTGTGAAAATTACTCTGTAATTTATTAAAGACAGTGACAGTGTTTGGCAGTTAGGGTGAAGAATTTTTCCAATATATAACACGGTGGTAGTGAGCATGGTTTATTTGAAGAGCACCTACTGCAGAGTTAGGCTTAACTCCACCCAACAGCCAAGTCTGAAACCACTGACGGTACCATGAGGGCTTTCATTTTCTTTCTCTTCATGCTCCTGGCCATGTTCTCAGGTAAGAAAGTCACAGTCAATAGCTTTCCTTCCAAATCTCAAAGGAAAGAATGAGAAATGTTAAGTGATTTAGCAATACTTTATCAAAAGATTTAAAAATAGGCAATCCATCAGACAGAGAAATGGAAGAAGGTAAATTTCTGACAAAATAAATGTAGATCTGGAGTCATAAAAATAGTGACTGAATGAAATCAGAGTGAATAGTTTGGTGTGACTGAAGAGAAACAGATACAAGGGAGTAGGAAAGGCAAAACATTAGACTGGAAAGATGAATTTAGACTAAGAGGCTTATGAGTTTGTGAATATGCAAGTTCATAATTTATAAGAAAATGGTTTTGTGATATGATCCTGGACTACATGGTCAAATAATAATGTGTTCAAATCTTGATGTTTTTTTCCCATTCATGTGATTTGAGGAAACTTGTTTAACTTACTTGAATCTCAATTTTCTCATTTGCAAAACGGAAATTATTATTCTTTCCTATAGAGTTATTTCGGGAACTATACAGATAATAGCTTTAGTTACCATTACCTGTGTTTTTTTAGGTACTTGACTCTCAACTTACTTTTCTCTATTCCTTACCTCAGTACAGTTAGGTGATTTTCAGATATGTAAATTTCTAGCTTTGAGATGTAAATTTCTCAAGATAATAAATGATAGTTAATACATTTCTCAAGATAAAAATTATAATAATGAAACTGATTCTAATTTATCCCCAAATCATAAGCTCCCACTTGACCATCTTTCTTATACCTAGTGAAATGAAATAATAAAAGTAAAGTGCCTCAGACCCCCCACTTCTTATATTTGTAACATCAAAATAGTGTTTCTCTTTTCATTGGAAACACTGCAAAGCTGTTTCAGAGTTTTGAGTACAAGAGTGATAATATTCATCTTGTTAAGAAATATCAGTCTTGTGGTAATACTAAAAATGAATTAGATGTAAGAAAAGTTGTACAGTAATGCCACTGAGGAGCTGCTGAAGTAACAGAGTTAAGAAAAAAAAAGGGTGAGTTAAGAGATAGAATTAGAGAAAGGAGAACAATACGTGTATGTGTGTGTGTTTTAAAGGGGGAAAACAGATATTCAGATAAAATTCCTTTATAGAACATATATTTCGTATTTCATGATGGCAGGTACTGTAACTGTTGTGACCTTCAGTGCCTTGCTAAGTGCTAGAAGGTATTTTGTGATGGAAGAAAGTGTATTATATATGCAATGATTATATATATTGGAAGATGAAGAAGAGAGATGAATCAGAAAAGCAATACTAAGCGCATCCTAGAGTTTGTAAAATCAGAAGGGAAAAAATACAAAACAAAGCTGAAGATACTTATTTTCCAAGTTTTTAGCTTAAAAAATAGATGGTGAAACCACATTATAATATCTTAATTGTCTCTTATTACTCCAAAATTCACCCTTAGTTTTTATTTAATAAATTTACTTATCCATGTAAGAAATGATGTATTATTAGGATTTTCATTGATTCATTACTTACTTTAGCAAAAGAGGGAAATAAACTACCTGTTTATTACTAGAACACTGGCTAAATAAATTATGATAAACCCATAAAATGGGATACTATGCAACCAACGAGGGGAAACAAATAAATATGCTCTATATGTATTGAGGTAGTGAAATCTTCATTATATTGATTGTCCTTGGAGAAAACAAAGAGTAGAACTCTGTGTAGAGTGTGCCACCAATTGTGTGAATAATTATATTCATATATGTTTGTAAATACATAGGGTATCCATCAAATAATTCACAAAAACCTGTAAATGTGATGGTGTCTTAGGCACTTTACTTTTACCATTTCATAGGTAATAGGAAATAATTATGTCGTAGTTAGGAAATTATTTTTGTGGGGGGTTTGGAGTGGGGGTACAGACAGGAAAGAAAAGGAAAGTAATTTTAAACTGTTTACTCTTTGCACCTTTAGGATTTGGCCCCATTTACTCGTGTCACCTGTTAAAAAAACTGAAAGTCATTAATAAAAATATGTTACCAACTCTTTTTTCCTATTTCTTCCACATATCTACTTTAATTGATTTCTACTTGGTGTTAGCAACTGTTAATGAGCAATGTTTTATTCCTAGAACTGAAAGAATCCATACATGTACTCATCTCTCAGCTAAAAAAAAATATTTTTTCTCATTAATTTCTCTGGTTGAATCTTATGTTTCTTATGTACCTCCTCCTCCAGGAAGAAAAAAGGATTCCACACTCTCTGCTACCTTGATTAGGAGACTATTGTCTAGTTTACTCCTCACGTGATAGCATTGATCATTCTACTATAATATAAAGTCCTACTTATTTGCCCCACTACTAGACTTCTCAGCTTCATGTGAACAGGGCCGTGAATGTCTTGTTCATTCCTAGCTCTTTCTAAGCTTCTTTTATAATAACAAATTATTTAAATTTATATTTTTTTGTTAAATTGAATGAATGGCTAAGTTATACTCACAATCCATATCCACACTATACCACAGTTTAGTTAAGCAGGTTGCTAAGCTTCTGTGTCTTGACTAGGACCTTAATCACCTGCAGGAGTATACCATAGCATGCTCAGTGCATACCAATTGACTATCATTTGACTTTGCTTAAATTGACTTGAAGGTATAAATGTGTATATTTATGGAAATATAAAGCAGAGCAATTGAAAATTCAAGTGAGACCCTAAGTATACATCTGAAATAATCAACATTGGAATGATTTAAAATTGCGTATATTGAAAAAAATACCAAAAAAACCTATGCAGAAAACAAAATGTAAGCCTAATTAAAATCTTTAAGAGAACCCCACATTAGGAAAGTGAATAAAGAAAGAGGAATTATCAAGCAAGAAGGAAAGGATGAGAAAAATATACACTTCTACCAAAAAAAAAAAAAAAAAAGGAAAAGAAGCATAGCCCAATGCAATACTCTTATACTTAGCTCTACAGTGATTCCATTTGCTTATTTATTGTTTTTTAGATCCTGCTCATTATGGAATATAATCTGAAAAAACATAAAACATATACACATACACACAATTACATATATTTCATTAGGGCATAGGTGGGCTTCCAAAATAAGTTGGAGAAGCTATAAAACACAGGGTTTAAGAAATAATCGTGATATTTACCATTCTCTTGAGCAATTTGACCAAAATAGAAAGAAGAAATATAACCACCAGAGAGAGCATGATTGATCCTAAGGCCTTTTGTTGGAAATGGTGAACATAAAGCTGATTGAAAGACACATGTTCTGAAGGAGAAAGGAAACATCTGTTTTAGGGATGGAAATGGAAAGAAAGTTGGCTACAGATAATATGTATAGAGATGGAAGTGAGAAGAATAAAGTGGGGCTCACGTCTGCCAGCCTTTTCCTGTCTGGAAAGTTGATGGCGTTATCCGTAAAGTGAAGCTGGAAAATTAGGACTAAAGTACTTGGTGTGAAAAAATAAGTTTATAATGAGCATTGAGCAGAGCCAGTTTGATTCATCAGAAAACCATTTAAAGGAATTGGGGGTAGAATGAAGTCTCAATTCAAATAATTCAGACTTTATGATTTAGAAATGGGGCAAGTTGGATTGATCCTCTAATTTTTGAAAACCATGTAGTACAGTAAAGAAAACAAAGGAGGAACCCAAATATTCAGGATATGAGGAAGAATGAGAAGATTCTATCTTGGGGCTTGGTTAAAAAATCAAGAAAGCATTAAAAACATACTATATCTTGGACAAATGTTGTTGATTTAAAATTATTTAATGTATATAACTTTATTTTCATTTTTTTCTGGTTGTGTTATTATTCCAGCATCTTCAACCCAGATTTCAAATACCAGTGTTTTCAAACTAGAAGAGAATCCAAAACCTGCACTTATTCTGGAGGAAAAAAATGAAGCTAACCATCTAGGAGGACAAAGAGATTCTAATAAGCAAGGAGGTAGTTATACACAAGGAAATCCAGGAACGTTTAGGCTTCAAGGACAACCAGGCTATTTTAACAAGCTAGAGAAACCAAGACATTTTAAGCAAGGGAGAGCAGGAGTTTTAAACCAGCCTGGGATTTTAAAGAATTCAGGAAAATCTAACCAAAAAGGGAATCCAGAATCTTCTAATAAGCAGGAAAACTCAGGATCTTCTAGCCAACTAGGGAGACCAGGGATTTCTACCCAACAGGGAAATCCAGGGTCATCTGACCAACAAGAGAAACCAGGGTCATTTAGCCAGAAAGTGATGGTGGGGTCATCTAGCCAACAGGGGAAGCCAGGATCATCTAGCCAACACGGGAATCTAGGGTCATCAACCCAGAAAGGGAATTTAGGATCTTCTAGCCTACAAGGGCATCTGGGTTTATCTAGCCATCAAGGGAAGCCAGAGTCATCTGGCCAACAGGGGAAGCCAGGGTCATCTAGCCAACAAGGAAATCTAGGAACTTCTGGCCAACAGGAGAAGCCAGGATCTTCTAGCCAACAGGGGAAGCCAGGGTTGTCTAGCCATCAAGGGAAGCCAGGGTCATCTAGCCAACAAGGAAATCTACATTTATCTAGCCAGCAAGGGAATCAAGGACCTTCTAGCAAACAGAGGAAGCCAGGTTCATCCAGCCGTCAAGGAAATCTATGATTATCTAGCCAGCAAGGGAATATAGGATCTCCTAGCCAACAGGAGAAGCCAGAGTCTTCTAGCCAACAAGGGAATCTAGGGTCATCTAGCTATCAAGGGAAGCCAGTGTCATCTAGCCAACAAGGGAAGCCAGTGTCATCTAGCCAACAAGGGAAGCCAGGGGCATCTAACCAGCAAGGAGATCTAGGATCTTCTAAGCAGCAGGGGAAGCCAGGATCATCTAGCCAGCAAGGAAATATAGGGTCATCTGGCCAGGAATGGAAGCCAGAGCCATCTAGCCATCAGAGAAAATTAAGGTCATTTTACAACCAACGACAAAGAAAAAATATTGACAGCACTTTTGATGGCAATATAATGGACTTTGAGGTTAGTGCTAATAACTTCTTTTTCTCAGTCAACTTGACCCAGCAATTCTCTTTTCCAAGACTTAAAATGCTTTAAAAACCACAGTGTGTTAATGAAAAGTCACTTGCAATGACACTGATCAAACAAAATGAGAAGAACTTTGGAGCTGATTATTTTCATGCATAACACTTATGATTATTAATGAATGTACTGCCCTTCTATTCTTTCATTTCCCTCTATTATTTTCCACTCAAACCTCCCTACCTATACTAGAATAACTCAGATCCTCATCAACTGAGCCCACATCTTTGCCAGGTTTAACTTTCATGTCCATTTTTATCCCATCCGTAATCTATAAATCACTGAAGTAATATTCCTAAATCAAAAATCCTCTCTGATATTTTAGACCCCTGCTTGAAATTCCCCAGTGGCTTCATACTACCTAGAAGATGTAACTTAAACTCCTAAACATAGAATTTACAGATTTTCATGATTATACTGCATACTGTTTAGCCTCATTTCATGTCACTGTTGCTCACACACCACCCATGTCATACAGAGCCCTTTGATTTTCCACTCATGTATTCCTAATACTAATGATTTCCTCTATTATTAAACTCACCTTAACACTTTGTAATTGTCTATTATCAGCTAGATAATGAACTTCTTGAAGAAAGTACCATGTATCCCCAGAACCTAGAATAAGTGTGGCATGTAGTAAGTTCTCCTGAACTGCATGTTAGATGGATAGATTAATGCCTGCTACTTGGAAGCTACCATTTCAAATAGGTGAACATATCTGATCCACATGTCTCCTGTATTCCCTTTTGAATCCTGCTGCACTTTTACTTTCACTTGCCTGCCTCTCTTCCAACAATCGGCCTCCTGATTTATTTAACAATTGCTTTGAATACTCCGTTTGATACTCACATTCAAAACAGTTTTCTAGAACACTATCTTATCATCTTAATGGAAACCATTTTTTTACCTCATAAATTTTCATTCCTCACAAGCCTTCCAGATGAAAGTCATTTGTTCTCTTAGTCATTATCAGTTGGCTGGCATGAAGTAGTAATCTCTCAGAGAGACTCCCTACCATTCAGATCTTAATGCCATCACCAGCAGGTCTCTGAGTTTTTAGGATGTCACTTAAATTTTTGCAATTTTATATTTATTCTAGAATAGGAGAAATAACCATGTCCAATTAACACAGTATGTGTGAAATAAATTGATCGTTATGAAAGGGTTGTATGATTTGGAAAATATGAAGGTATTTTTTTTTTATCTCCCTACAACATCTCAGCTCTGAGAATTCCACATCCTCTATTAAAAATGTCTCATCATTCTCATTAATGACTCTGTTCTCACCTGCTAGTCAAAGGGTACTTATATTCACAGGCTTCTGCCATTTAGCTCACATCCAAAGAAAATGCATCAGGTATTATTTAAATAAATCCTGCATGATCCTACTTCCTGTATAATTTTTTTCATGGGCATACCAAAAAAAGGGAATCAACAAATTATGACTGTATGCGTTTTGCATTTGCTTGTATGACTTTTCCCTGACTATTGTTTGTCCAGGTAGAGGAAGAATTGCCTCCAGAAAATTAAAATGGAGGCAGTCTGACATATAGTAAGTGAGTAGTTTGCAAATATTTTCCTTGATTCTGTGGGTATCTTTTCACTTCATTGATTGCTTCCTTTCCTGCGCAGAAGTTTTTCAACCTGATGTGGTCCATTTTTGCTATGAATTTTCTGTGTTAGTTAGGTATTTCAACCTGATGTGGTCCATTTTTGCTATGGTTGTCTGTGTTAGTTAGGTATTACTCAAGAAATCTTTGCCAGTCCAATGTTCAAGAGAGTTTCAACACAGTTTTCTTGTAGTAGTTTCATTGTTTGAGGTCTTAGATTTAAGTCTTCAATCCATTTTGAGTTGATTTTTATGTATGGTGAGAGATAGGATTGTGGTTTCATTTTTCTGTATATGGATATCCAGTTTTCCCAGCATCATTTATTGAAGACTGTCCTTTTCCCAGTGTATGTTCTTGGCACCTTCACCAAAAATGGGTTCACTGTGGACATATGGATTTATTTCTGGGTTCTCTATTCTGTTCCACTGATTCATGTATCTGTTTTTATACCAGTACCATGCCATTTTGGTTACTATAGCTCTATAGCATAATTTGAACTCAGGTAATGCGATTCCTCAAGTTCTCTTTTTTGTTTTGTTTTCTTTTGCTTATGATAGCTTTGGTTATTCTGGGTATCTTTTGTCTCCATATAAATTTTAGCATTGTTTTTTCTATCTCTGTGAAGAATGTCATTGGCATTTTGATAGGGATTGCATTGAATCTGTAGATTGTTTTGGGTAGTATAGACATTTTCACATTGATTCTTCCAATCCATGAACATAAAATGCCTTTCCATTTTTTAGTGTCCTATTTAATTTCTTGCACCAATGTTTTATAGTTTTTATTGTAGAGATCTTTCACTTCTTTGGCTAAGTTAATACCTAGGTATTTAATTTGTAACTAAGGTAAATTGAATTACTTTCTTGATTTGTTTTTCAGATTGTTCACTATGGGTATACAAAATGCTACTGATTTTTCTGTGTTGATTTCCTTTCCTGCAACTTTACTGAATTTGTTTATCAGTTCAAATAGCTTTTTGGTGGAGTCTTTAGGTTTTTCCAAATATAAGATCAGATTATGTGCAAACAAGGATAATTTGGCCTCTTGTTTTCCAACTTGGATGCCCTTTATGTCTCTCTTGTTTAATTGCTTCAGGAGGACTTACATTACTGTGTTGAATAAAACTTGTGAAAGTGGGCATCCTTGTTGTGTTCCCAATCTTGGAGGAAAGGGTTTTGGTTTTCCCTCATTTAGTTTAATACTAGCTGTGAGTCTGTTGTACACTGCCTTTATTTTGTTGAGGTATAATCTTTCTATATCCAGATTTCTAAGGCTTTTTATCATAAAGGGATGTTGAATTTTATCAAATGCTTTTTCAGCATTAGTTGAAATGATCATATAGTTTTTGTTCTTTATTTTGTTGACATGACATATCACATTAATTAATTTGTGTATGTTGAAGCATCCTTGCACCCTAGGATAAACCCCAGTTGGTCATGATGAATGATCTTTCTAATGTGTTGTTGAATGTGGTTTGCTAGTATTTTGTTGAGAATTTTTGCATCAACATTTATCAGAGCCATTGGGCTATAGTTTTCTTTTTCTGATGTCTCTTTGTCTGGTTTTGGTATCAGGATAATACTGGCCTCATAGAATAGGATTGGAAGTATTCCCTTCTCTATTTTTCAGAATAGTTTGAGTAGAAATGGTATTAGATCATCATTAATTGTTTGGTAGAAATAAGCAGTGAAGCCATCAGATCCTGAGCTTTTCTTTACTGAGTGACTTTCTACTATGGCTTAATCTCGTTAGTTGTTATTTATCTGTTCAGGTTTTGGATATTGTCATGGTTCAAGTTTAGGTTGTTTATGTCTAGGAGTTTTGTCCATTTCTTCTAGATTTTCCAATTTATTTGCATATTGTTGCTTATAGTAGTCGCTAATGATCCTTTGAGTTTCTGCAGTATTGTTGTAATGTCTCCTTGTTCATCTCTGATTTTATTTATTTTTGAGCTTCTCTCTTTTTTTCTTAGTCTGGCTAACAGTTGGTCTATTTTGTTTAACTTTTCAAAAAACAACTTTATGTTTTATTCATCTTTTATGTTATTTTCTTCATTTCTAATTCATTTATTTCTGCTTTGATCTTTACTATTTCTTTTCTTCTACTAATTTTGGATTTGGTTTGCACTTGCTTTTCCAGTTCTTCAAGATGCATCATTTGGTTATTTACTTGAAGGCTTTCTTCTTTTTTGATGTAGGTCCTTATAGCTACAAACTTACCTCTTAGTAATGCTTTTACTGTATCCCATAGGTTTTGGTATGTTGTGTTTCCATTATCACTTGTTTCAAGAAAATTTTTAATTTTATTTTTAATTTTTTCATGGACTCACTCGTTACTCAGGTATATTTTGTTTAATTTCCATGTGTTTGAATAGTTTTCAAAATTCATCTTATTAATGATTTCTAGTTTTATTACACTGTGGTCAGAGAAGATGCTTAATATTGTTGCAATATTTTTTGAATATTTTAAGACTTTCTTTGTGAGCTAACATATGGTTTATCCTTGAGAATAATTTATCTGCTGAGGAGAACAGTGTGTATTCTGCAGCCATTGAATGAAATGTGTAAATATTTATTAGTTTTATCGGTTCTATAGTGTAGATTAAATACAATATTTCTTCTTGTGTCTTCTGTATGGAAGATCTGTCTAATGCTGAAAGCGTGGTGTTAAGTCTCCAGCTATTATTGTATTGGGATCTCTCTCTCTTTAGCTCTAATAATATTTTCTTTATATATCTGGGTTTTCCAGTGTTGAGTAAATATATACTTATAATTGTTATATGCCCTTACTGAATTGACACCTTTGTCATTATAGAGTGACCTTTTCTCTTTTTATAGTTTTTATCTGGAAATTTATTCTGTCTAGCTACTCCTGCTCTTTTGTGGTTTCCATTGGCATGGCATGGGGTATTATTTTTCATCCCTTTATTTTCTGTCTATGTGTATCTTTATAGGTGAAGTGTACTTTTCTTTTCTTCTTTTCTCCTTTCTTTTTTTGGGGGGGCGAGGGGACAAACTCTCGCTGTGTAGCACAGGCTGGAGTGCAGTGGCGAAATCTCAGATCACTGAAACCTCTGCCTTCCAGGTTCAAGTGATTCTCCTCTCTCAGCCTCCCGAGTAGTTGGGATTACAGGCGTGTGCCACCACGCCCAGCTAATTCTTGCAGTTTTAGTAGAGATGGGTTTCACCATGTTGGTCAGGCTGGTCTTGAACTCCTGACCTCAAGCGATCTGCCTGGCTTAGCCTCCCAAAGTCCTGGGATTACAGTCTTGAGTCACCATGCCCAGCCTGTGTATATCATGAAAAGTCATTGTAGTTATTATTTTTGATTGGTTCATCATTTAGTCTCTCTTCTTAAGAGTAGTCTATACACCACAATTATGATGTTATAATATTCTATGTTTTCCTGTGCATTTACTATTACCAGTGAGTTTTGTAACATGTGGCCTCTTGTGTCCAACTTCTTTCACTTAGAAAGATGTTTCTGAGGTTTATCCATGATGTAGCATGTGTCAGTAGTCCCATTCCGTCCCTGGACCCACTCTCTCTCACACTCCTCTCTGTAGTTCTAACCAACCAGGAATCTAATGTCTGTCTCTATAATTTTGCCACAAACTCTTGTATTCTTATCAAGATTTAGTAGAGTTTTAGGAATAAATATTTCTCCATTTGCTGTATGCCCTCAGGACTGTTTTCAGAAACAAAAATATTTAAACAGAATTTTCATCAATTAAATGCTTGTTTCACTGGGAAGAGAGTCCTCTGAATTGTTCACATTGCCATTCCACCCATTGTGGTTTTTATTTGCTCCTTCCAAATGACTAATGCTTCTGATTGTTGTCTCATGTGCACACAACCATTTCTAAATCTTCATAGTAAAATGCCTGTTCCTATCTTTTGCCAATTTTTTTTCATTTGTCTTCTTATTACCGAGTTATATGGGCTGTATTTCATTGTACTCTATTTTTGTTTACCAGATATGCTACTTGTTTTTATCACATCGAAAATAGAAATAGGAGTTTTTTTCCTAACTATTAATCTCTTTAATGAGATTAAGGTCTTAAAAGAAAAATACTTTTCTTGAAAGATTTACTTCTTTATTCCTCATCTTTTGATATTTTGCATAAATTTTTCACTAGAATCAGCTCTTCTTTTCTAATGCTTTTCTTGTGTTTGAATTTTTTTCAATTGAGGGTCAACCTTATAAAATTTTCCTAGCATGGGTGGTCTCTTTATTGATTCTGGCACCATTTTAAGCTAGAAATAGAGGCACTGGCAACTAATGGACAATTTGGGCTTATTTCTCATTATTGTCTCTTTTACAACTTTTTTTCTCTATACCGGAAAAAACATACAGGTATTCAATTTATATTATCAAGCTCAGTGATCATCTACCCCTCACCACCTGGGGTTCAATAAAGGTACTCATACGTGAGAAGAAGGAAAATGCCAAGATGGGCGTCACCAGGAAAGCTCTGGTCATTTCTGGGATTCAACTATTTGGCCACCATCCAGGGACCTGCTCCTTAAGGCCTGTAAGGTTGTTGGCAGTTATCACCTCACAACTCTATATTCAGACCATCTTTCCAAACACAATATTTCTGGGATTTCTTTCAGTCTTATCAGTCACTTGACCAAGGCAAAGAGGTGATATATGGAATGATATCAGAGGGAACTCAGCAGTCAGAGATGGAGAACAATATCTAGAGAACAATAGGGAATATTACACTGCCAATACTTTTGTTTTTCAATATCAAAAGAAAGTTGACCATATAACCACTACTCCATTAATCACAACAGAATTTAATAGCAAACAAGCAATCAAGATGTGTTTATCATGCAAATCTTGGAAGTGAAAAGACTTTTCATCTTTATTGTATAGACACGGAAAGAATTCTCTTAAAGCCTTTTGCTTTAAGGTATTTAATTTTTTCCAAAAAAAATGAATTAACCTATCAAGTTTAATAATTTAAATTAGTTTATGTAAATACATCAGGACAAATAAAAAGTACTATTAAATTCAAACAATTCAATATTCAAGATAAAACAGTAAACAGAAAAAGTATGTTTCAAAAAAATTTAGGAACTATCTCCTAGCTATGTAAGTTTAATCAATTAAAAAGGCAAAAACTTATCTAATGAGAACTATAAACAATATTATATATAATATATATACATGTGTATATATATGAAGTTATATATACATATATATTCATATACATGCATGCATAAGTATATATACATGTGAGTGTTACAAAACTCTTTACTTACAGCATTTTTTAAGTAAAAATTAAGTATAATAATTTTATGACCAATGTTTTAAAAATAAACCACTGAAATATCTAGCATATATTAAGCTATTAATATATGCTTTGATTTTTTTTAAGTTTAAATCTTTCAGTTAAATGCTAGTATTTTCAATTGTAATATATAATCCCTCTTTGAGCAATTAATTTACTATTTGTTCTAACTAAGGTTTCATAACTCCTAGATATATCTTACTCTTGCCCAGCTCATATAAAGGCTATAAGAAAGTTTCCTACTGGACATCAGATGAGATCAAACTGTCAACTTCACCAGAATGAACCAGAATATTTCTATTAAATCAATGTATGTCAATTTTATTTGATTATCCAAATAATTTCTGTCCTTAAACTTTTAAATTTTATTTGTTCTTATGATTATAGTCATTAAAATATTTGTCTTCTAGTGATACCATGAGTTCTTATTATTTAGCTTCAACCTGTAAGTGAGAAAATGTGGTATTTACTTTTCTGTTCCTGCATTAGTTGTCTAAGGATAATGCCCTCCAGCTCCATCCATGTTCTTGCAAAAGACATAATCTCATTCTTTTTTATGGCTGCATAGTATTCCATGGTGTATATGTACCACATTTTCTTTAATCTGTCATTGACAGGCATTTAGATTGATTCCATGTCTTTGTTATTGTAAATAGTGCTACAATGAATATACGCATGGCTGTGTCTTCATGATAGAATGATTCATATTTCTTTGGGTACATACCCAGTAATAGGATTATTGGGTTGAATGATAGTTCTGTTTTTGGCTCTTTGAGAAATCACCCACTGCTTTCCACAATGATTAAACTAATTTACACTCCCACCAATGGTGTATAAGTATTCCTTTTTCTCTGCAACCTCACCATCGTCTGTTATTTTTTGACTTTTACATAATAGCCATTCTGATTGGTGTGAGATGGTATCTCATTGTGGCTTTCATTAGCATTTCTCTAATGATAGGTGAGATTGAGTTCTTATGCTTGTTGGCTGCGTGTATAGGTCTTCTTTTGAAAAATGTCTATTCATATCCTTTGCCTACTTTTAATGGGGTTTTGGTTTGTTTGTTGTAAATTTGTTTAAATTCCGTATAGATACTGGCTATTAGTCCTTTGTCAGATGCATAGTTTGCAAATATTTTCTCCTATTCTGTAGGTTATGTTTACTCTGTTGATAGTTTTCTTTGCTCTGCAGAAGCTCTTAAGTTTAATTAGATCCCACTTGTCAATTTTTGCTTTTGTTGTGATTGCTTTTCTATTTGATGTTTTATTTTCAATAATGAATTGTTTGAATTTAATTGTACTTTTTATTTGTCCTGATATATTTGCATACTAATTAAAATTATTAAACTGGACAGGTTAATTCATTTCTCTGGAGAAAATTAAATACCTTAAAGCAAAAGACTTGTGATTGCTTTTGACGTCTTTGCCATGAAATCTTCGCCTGTACCTACGTCCAGAATAGTAGTGCCTAAACCCCAAGTCCTCTAGGGTTTTTATAGTTTGGGGTTTTACATTTTTTTTTTTATTATACTTTAAGTTTTAGGGTACATGTGCACATTGTGCAGGTTAGTTACATATGTATACATGTGCCATGCTGGTGCGCTGCACCCACTAACTCGTCATCTAGCATTAGGTATATCTCCCAATGCTATCCCTCCCCCCTCCCCCGACCCCACCACAGTCCCCAGAGTGTGATATTCCCCTTCCTGTGTCCATGTGATCTCATTGTTCAATTCCCACCTATGAGTGAGAATATGCCATGTTTGGTTTTTTGTTCTTGTGATAGTTTACTGAGAATGATGATTTCCAATTTCATCCATGTCCCTACAAAGGACACGAGCTCATCATTTTTTATGGCTGCATAGTATTCCATGGTGTATATGTGCCACATTTTCTTAATCCAGTCTATCATTGTTGGACATTTGGGTTGGTTCCAAGTCTTTGCTATTGTGAATAATGCCGCAATAAACATACGTGTGCATGTGTCTTTATAGCAGCATGATTTATAGTCCTTTGGGTATATACCCAGTAATGGGATGGCTGGGTCAAATGGTATTTCTAGTTCTAGATCCCTGAGGAATCGCCACACTGACTTCCACAATGGTTGAACTAGTTTACAGTCCCACCAACAGTGTAAAAGTGTTCCTATTTCTCCACATCCTCTCCAGCACCTGTTGTTTCCTGACTTTTAATGATTGCCATTTTAACTGGTGTGAGATGGTATCTCATTGTGGTTTTGATTTGCATTTCTCTGATGGCCAGTGATGGTGAGCATTTTTTCATGTGTTTCTTGGCTGCATAAATGTATTCTTTTGAGAAGTGTCTGTTCATGTCCTTCGCCCACTTTTTGATGGGGTTGTTTGTTTTTTTCTTGTAAATTTGTTTGAGTTCATTGTAGATTCTGGATATTAGCCCTTTGTCAGATGAGTAGGTTGCGAAAATTTTCTCCCATTTTGTAGGTTGCCTGTTCACTCTGATGGTAGTTTCTTTTGCTGTGCAGAAGCTCTTTAGTTTAATTAGATCCCATTTGTCAATTTTGGCTTTTGTTGCCATTGCTTTTGGTGTTTTGAACATGAAGTCCTTGCCCATGCCTATGTCCTGGATGGTAATGCCTAGGTTTTCTTCTAGGGTTTTTAAGGTTTTAGGTCTAACGTTTAAATCTTTAATCCATCTTGAATTGATTTTTGTATAAGGTGTAAGGAAGGGATCCAGTTTCAGCTTTCTACATATGGCTAGCCAGTTTTCCCAGCACCATTTATTAAATAGGGAATCCTTTCCCCATTGCTTGTTTTTCTCAGGTTTGTGAAAGATCAGATAGTTGTAGATATGCGGCGTTATTTCTGAGGGCTCTGTTCTGTTCCATTGATCTATATCTCTGTTTTGGTACCAGTACCATGCTGTTTTGGTTACTGTAGCCTTGTAGTATAGTTTGAAGTCAGGTAGTGTGATGCCTCCAGCTTTGTTCTTTTGGCTTAGGATTCACTTGGTGATGCGGGCTCTTTTTTGGTTCCAGATGAACTTTAAAGTAGTTTTTTCCAATTCTGTGAGGAAAGTCATTGGTAGCTTGATGGGGATGGCATTGAATCTGTAAATTACCTTGGGCAGTATGGCCATTTTCACGATATTGATTCTTCCTACCCATGAGCATGGAATGTTCTTCCATTTGTTTGTATCCTCTTTTATTTCCTTGAGCAGTGGTTTGTAGTTCTCCTTGAAGAGGTCCTTCCTATCCCTTGTAAGTTGGATTCCTAGGTATTTTATTCTCTTTGAAGCAATTGTGAATGGGAGTTCACTCATGATTTGGCTCTCTGTTTGTCTGTTGTTGGTGTATAAGAATGCTTGTGATTTTTGTACATTGATTTTGTATCCTGAGACTTTGCTGAAGTTGCTGATCAGCTTAAGGAGATTTTGGGCTGAAACAATGGGGTTTTCTAGATATACAATCATGTCGTCTGCAAACAGGGACAATTTGACTTCCTCTTTTCCTAATTGAATACCCTTTATTTCCTTCTCCTGTCTAATTGCCCTGGCCAGAACTTCCAACACTATGTTGAATAGGAGTGGTGAGAGAGGGCATCCCTGTCTTGTACCAGTTTTCAAAGGGAATGCTTCCAGTTTTTGCCCATTCAAATAGACACAATAAAAAATGATAAAGGGGATATCACCACTGATCCCACAGAAATACAAACTACCATCAGAGAATACTACAAACAGCTCTATGCAAATAAACTAGAAAATCTAGAAGAAATGGATAAATTCCTCAACACATACACTCTCCCAAGACTAAACCAGGAAGAAGTTGAATCTCTGAATAGACCAATAACAGGAGCTGAAATTGTGGCAATAATCAAAACTTACCAACCAAAAAGAGTCCAGGACCAGATGGATTCACAGCTGAATTCTACCAGAGGTACAAGGAGGAACTGGTACCATTCCTTCTGAAACTATTCCAATCAATAGAAAAAGAGGGAATCCTCCCTAACTCATTTTATGAGGCCAGCATCATTCTGATACCAAAGCCGGGCAGAGACACAACCAAAAAAGAGAATTTTAGACCAATATCCTTGATGAACATTGATGCAAAAATCCTCAATAAAATACTGGCAAAACGAATCCAGCATCACATCAAAAAGCTTATCCACCATGATCAAGTGGGCTTCATCCCTGGGATGCAAGGCTGGTTCAATATACACAAATCAATAAATGTAATCCAGCATATAAACAGAGCCAATGACAAAAACCACATGATTATCTCAATAGATGCAGAAAAAGCCTTTGACAAAATTCAACAACCCTTCATGCTAAAAACTCTCAATAAATTAGGTATTGATGGGACGTATTTCAAAATAATAAGAGCTATCTATGACAAACCCACAGCCAATATCATACTGAATGGGTTTTACATTTAAATCTTTACTCCATCTTGAGTTGATTTCTGTCTATAGTATAAAGAAGAGGTTCAGTTTCAATCTTCTCCATGTGGCCAACTAGTTATTCTAGCACTATTTATTGAATAGAGAGTCCTTTCCCCATTGCTCGTTTTCATTAGCTTTGTTGAAGATCAAATGGTTGTACATGTGTGGCCTTATTTTGGGGCTCTCTATTCTGTTCCATTGGTCTATGTGTCTGTTTTTGTACCAGAATCATCCTGGTTTGGTTACTGTAGCCCTGTCATACAGTTTGAAGTCAGGTAACATAATGCCTTCAGCTTTGTTTTTTTTTTTGCATGGGTTGCCTTGGCTATTTGGGCTCATTTATGGTTCCATGTGAATTTTAAAATCGTTTTTTCTAGTTTTGTGAAGAATGTCATTGGTAGTTTGATAGGAATAACTTTGAATCTATAAATTGCTTTAGATAGGACAGCCATTTTAACAATATTCACTCTTTTTATAAGTGATCATGGCATGTTTTTCCTTTTTTATGTGTGTATCATCTCTAATTTCTTTGAGAAGTGTTTTGTAATTCTCATTGTAGAGATCTTTCACTTCCATGGTTAGCTGTAGTCCTTGGTATTTTATTCTTTTTGTGGCAGTTGTGAATGGAATTGCATTCCTGATTTGTCACTCAGCATGACTGTTTTTCATTTATAGGAATGCTAGTGATTTTTTATGTTGATTTTGTATCCTGAAACTTGGCTGAAGTTGTTTATCAGCTGAAGGAACTTTTAGGCCAAGACTATGAGATTTTCTAGGTACAGAATCATGTCATCTGAAAACAGGGAGAGTTTGACTTTTTCTCTCTTCCCATTTGGATGCCCTTTATTTTTTTCTCTTGCCTGATTGCTCTGGCCAGGACTTCCAATACTGTGTTGGATATGAGTGGTGAGAAAGGGCATCCTTGTCTTGTGCCAGTCTTCAAGGGAAATACTTCCAGCTTTTGTTCATTCAGTATGAGTTTGGCTATGGGTTTGTCATACATCCTTCTTATTATTTTAAGGTATGCTCCTTCAAACTTAGCTTTTTGAGAGTTTTTAACATGAAGTGATGTTGAATTTTATCAAAAGCTTTTTTGCATCTATTGAGATAATTTGTGGGTTTTGTCTTTAGTTCTGTTTATGTGATAAATTATCTTTATTGATTTATGTACGTTGAATCAACCTTGCATCCCAGGATTAAGCCTACTTGATCATGGTGGACTTGCTTTTTGATATACTGCTGGGTTTTGTTTACAAGTATTTTGTTGAGGATTTTTACATCAATTTTCATCAAGGATATTGGCCTGAAGTTTTCTTTTTTTGTTGCCTTTCTGCCAGGTTTTGGTATTAGGATGATGCTGTCCTCATCGAATGAGTTGGGGAGAAGTCCCTTCTCCACAATTTTCTAGAATAGTTTCAGCAAGAGTGGTACCAGCTCTTTGTTGTACAACAGGTAAAATTCACCTGTGAATCCATCTAGTCCTGGGATTTTTTTGGTTTGTAGGCTATTTATTACTGATTCAATTTTGGAGCTCATTATTGGTCCTGGTTCAGTCTTGGGAGGGTGTATGTGTCCATTTCTTCTAGATGTTTAGTTTGTGTTTATAGAGTGAACACAGTACTATTATATTGACATTTTTCTTTCTGTGCGATCAGAGGTAACATGCCCTTCATCATTTTTAATTGTGTTTATTTTGATGTTCTCTCTTTCTTTCTTTATTAGTCTAGCTAACAGCCTATCTATCTTAGTGTTTAAAAAGAAACCCAACTCTCATATTTGTTGATCTTTTGAATGTTGTTTTGTATGTCAATTTCCTTCAGCACAGCTCTGATTTTGGTTATTTCTTGTCATCTGCTAGCTTCAGAACTGATTTGTTCTTGCTTCTCTAATTCTTTCAGCTGTGATATTAGGTTGCTAGTCTGAGCTCTTTCTAACTTTTCAATGTGAGCATTTAGTGCTAAGAATTTTCCTCTTATCACTGCCTTAGCTGTACCCCAGAGTTTCTGATACGTTGTATCTTTCTTCTCATTAGTTTCAAAGAGCTTCTTTATTTCTGCCTTAATTTTATTATTTACCCAAAAGTCATTTTGGGAGTATGTTGCTTAATTTCCATGTAATTGCATTGTTTTGAGTGATCTTCTTAGTCTTGACTTGTATTTTTATTGTGCAGTGGCCCTAGAGTGTGTTTGTTATGATTTTGGTTCTTTTGTATTTGCTGAAGATTCTTTTATGTCCAATTATGTGGTTGATTTTAGAGAATGTGCCATGTGGCAATGAGAAGAATGTATATTCTGTTGTTTTCAGGTGGAGAGTTCTGTAGAAGTATATCATATCCATTTGGTCCAAAGTGGAGTTCCAGTCCTGAATATCTTTGTTAATTTTCTGCCTTGATGATCTGCCTAAAAACTGTCAGCAGAGTGTTGAAGTCCCCACTATTATTGTGTGAGATTCTCTGTCTCTTTGTAGGCCTCTAAGAATTTGCTCTATGAATCTTTGTGTTCCTGTGTTGGGTGCATATATAGTTAGGCTAGTTAGGTCTTCTTGCTGAATTGAACCCTTTACCATTATGTAATCCCCTTTTTTTGTCTTAGTTAATCTTTATTGGTTTAAAGTCTGTTTTCTTTGAAATTAGGGTTAAAACCATTGCTTTTTTCTGGTTTCTTTCATTCCTTTATTTGGAGTCTGTGGGTGTCATTGCATGTGACATTGGTCTCTTGAAGACAGCATACCATTGGGTCTTGCTTTTTTATCCATCCTGGCCCTCTGTGCCTTTTAAATGAAGTATTTAGCACATTTACATTAAAGGTTAGTATCGATATGTGTGGATTTTATCCTGTCATTGTGTTGCTAGCTGGTTATTATGCTGACTTGTTTGTGTGGTTGGTTTGTAGTGGCAGTGGTCTGTGTGCTTAAAGGGTGTTTTTGTATAGACTGGTAACAGTCTTTTCTTTCCATATTCAGTGCTCCTTTCAAGATCTCCCGTAAGGCAGGTTTGATGGTTAAAACAAAACAAAAACAAAAACAAAGAACCTCCCTCAGCATTTGCTTATCTAAAAACAATCTCATTGCTCTTTGGCTAAGGAAGCTTAGTTTGCGTAGATATTAAATTCTTGGCTTAAGAATTTTTCTTTAAGAATGTTGAATATAAACTCCCAAACTCTTCTGGCTTATAGGGTTTCTGCTGAGCAGTTCACTGTTAGCCTAATGGGCTTCCCTTTGTAGGGAAATGGCGGCTTTTTCTTGCTAGCTGCCTTTAACATTCCTTTTTTCATTTCAACATTAGAAAATCTGGTGGTGATGTGTCTTGAGGATGACCTTTTTGTGTAGAATCTCACAGGGTTTTTCTCTGTTTCCTGAATTTGACTATTAGCTTCTCTAGTGGGGCTGGAGAAGTTTTCGTGATGATATCATGAAATATGTTTTCCAAGTTGTTTGCTTTCTTCCTGTCCCTTTCAGGGATGCAAATGATTCACAGACTTGTCTTCCTTACATAATCCCATATTTCTCAGAGTTTTTGTTTCTTATTTTTTATTCTTTTATCTTTATTTTTGTCTGACTGTCTTATTTCAGAAAACCACTCTTTAAGTTCTGATGTTCTTTCCTCAGTGTGGTCTATTCTGCTGTTAATATTTGTGATTGCCTTGTGAAATTCTCATCCTGTAGTGTGTTTTTTGCTCTATCACATGAGTTAGATTATTTTTTAAATCGGCTGTTTCATCTGTCAGCTCCTGTACACTTTTGTTGTGATTCTTAGTTTCCTTGGATTGAATTTTGGTCTTCTGCTGAATCTTGATGACCTTTTCTGTCCAGATTCTGAATTATATTTCTGTCATTTCTCCAGATTCTGGAGAGTTCACAAGGACCAGGGGCCTGGAGACAGCAAGGACAAGTGTTGTGAAACAGCAAAGACCACAACCCACCCCTCCTACTTGAAGCTCCAACCCAGGGAACTGCAAAGCTACTACTGGTTTGATACCCCTGGTTGGGGGAGTGGCTGGAGACTCAGCCCAGGAAGGATCCACCCAGTGAGAAGATATGGGATAGGGGACCCACATAACAAATAGTCTGGCTACCTTTGTGTAGGGCTGCTGCAGTATGCTGGGAGTCCACCACACTCCCTAGTCACCTCAGATTTTCCAGTATCTGAAGGTATCAACAGTGAAGGCTGTCAAACAGCAAAGATAGTGGCCTGCCCCTCCCTCTGAAAGCTCTGTCCCAGGGAGGTATGGACATGTTGTCAGCCCAAACACACCTGCAGGATGTGGCTGGAGACCCCAGTCAAGAGAGGCCACCCAGTGAGGAGAAACAGGATTGGGAAACTGCATAAACAGGATTGGGAATCTGGCTGCATTTTTTGTAGTGCATCTGTGCTGCACTGGAGGCCTACTCCAGCCTCCAGTCACCTCAGACTTTCCAAAGCCCAAAGGCAAGAACAACTAAGGCTGTCAAACATCACAGATGGTTATCTGTCCCTCCCTCTGGGAGCTTCATCCTAGGGAGGTATGCAATCACTGTCGGCTGGAGTTTGGATGACTGGAGACACCAGGTGGCGATTTTGGCCAGTGAAGACAAATGGGATCTGGGTTCCATGTGAATAAGCAGTCTAGCTGCCTCTCCATAGAGTTCCTGGGCTATGCCCTGGGACCACTCCAGTTCCTAATTGCCTTGGACTACCACTTCTTTGGGTTGGGGAAGCTCCCTTGGCTCTGGGTCACTCCTGGGAGGATTGTCATCCTGCCTTGCTTTTCTCCCTTCCCCATGGGTTATTTCTTTGATGAGTCCCAATGTGTGTACCTGGATCTTTCAACTGAAGGTGCTATATTTATTATTACTTGTCCCTTCCTTTTCCCTTCATGAGAGTGGCACACATTAGCTCCTTCTAGTTGGCCATCTTGGCCAACCTCCTTATAATTGTTTATAGTTTCATATTTTCTTTTTCTCTCTCAAACTCTACAAGTACTTGACCAAAGGATGAAATTTTTAATTTGGTTTTAACTTTATTAATTTGAATTTTAAATCAGCAGCAGAAAAAGCTGAGCCCTGGGGCAGAGTGCATGACATTTTTATGTGTGAGGATTATCTGGAAAGAGGGGGCTTATAGTGAAGAGAGAGTCAGAAGCTAAAGGTTCCTGTCTTGCCTCCCTATATGTTTAACATGTAATAGGTGAAATTTCCCTCCCTACTTTGAGCCTTCTGCTCCCCCCATGTCCAATGAAATTAACCTCGATTAGGGCTCTCAAATTTTTATTCAGCAAAACAATCCTTTCCTCAAATAAATCATCCTCAAAACACCTGTATATATAACAGATTAATATGCCTGAGAGATGAGGGTCAGGCTGACTTTGGATGAGATTGGAATCTTACAACTGGATACTTTTTTCACACCTAACACACACTCTACTCCACCCACAATGCTTTCACAGATTTTTTTGTAGTCATTTTTGTATTACTGTTTTAGATTTGGCAGACTAGCTCTAACCTTTTATATTTCCCCTCTTTCCTTTTTCCTTCCATTTGAAACATGGTATGTCTAAGAAACTTAACACTTTTTTTTAAATTGTATTAATTTAAATCTAAATTTAAATTGTCACAGGTCCTTTGACTAGTGACTACTGTGTTGGATGTGCAGGTCCTCAGTTCATCACATGAAACTGAGAAAGGGCACAAGCTTTATTTCTGAAAGCTTTTTTTCTGAAAGCTCTTTCCTGAGACACTCCTGCTCTACTGTGCCTCCTGTAGTCCTGGTAGGCTAACTCTCTTCTGCTTTTCCTCCTTTTACAACTGCTGCTCTCAGTTCCCAGAACCTGAGTTTATTCTACTCCATTATTTTATTTTATTTTATCTTATTTTATAATTTTTTGAGACGGAGTTCCGTTCTTGTTGCCCAGGCTGGAGTGCAATGGCGCTATCTTGGCTCACTGTAACCTCCACCTCCTGGGTTCAAGCGATTCTCATGCTTCAGCCTCCTGAGTAACTGAACCCCATCATTTTTCTGCTGTTTTTCAATCATAGGTTGCTTCCAGGTCCCATCTGCTCTTGCATATGGAGCCACTTCTAATTCTTGAATTTCTCAAATACCTCACCTGTTACAATTTCTTGTGTTTTCCTATCATTTCAATTCTCATTTCTTCATCTTCTCTTGTCTCCCATTGTATTCTTCTTCAAAAATGTTCTCACAGCTTTACTCTTTATACACCCTCAAAATCTTAAAATGGGGTCTTAAAATAGAAATCATAAGGCTAAAATAACAGATTCTTATGACAATAAGATCCAAATTCTAAACATGACCTAAGGCCATGCCAGACAAGGGTCAAATCATACACCCCTACAGGTCACTCTGACCCAGTGTATTGGTTAACAGACTTCCTGATTTTAACTTAAACATTCATTTCTGCTGACTCCATATATTTAGACTAAGCTTTATTCCTTTAGCCAATAGCAAATTAAATAATTTCTGAAACCACATATGACCTGTAAGCCATTTCAAGATATCCAATCTTTTAGGCCAAACCAATATATACAGTTCATGTATTAATTTATGACTTTGCCTGTAACTTCTACTTTCCTAAACTGTAAAAAACAGAGTTGTGACCTAACTGCCTCAAGACATCACACTCAAGGCTTCTTAGGTTTGTGTTGCCCTCTGGCTGTGGTCACTCATGTTGGCTCACAATAAACCTCTCTAAAATATTTTACATCGTTTGGGTTTTCCCTGAACAAGTCAAGTAATAAGAGTGCTCCCTACTGAATTAATAAATATATAAGTATTTTGCATCACTCAATTTATTTGAGAAAAGAAGATATTTTACACTGAATATTGCCTTAATCACTCTTCCATTCAGGAGTCCTAGTGACTTCTTCATTGTCTAAATTTCAATCTAGGGAACATGAGGATGGTAGCCTAAATTTATTGAACACTGATTATTCACCAGGCCTTGCAAAAAGTGTTTTAAATCTGTTATTACACTTACTTTTCTCAAAACTAGTTTGAAAAAATACAGTTCTCTTCTCTTCTTTCTATATGAGAAAACTGAGGTTTGAAGAGGCTAAAAATGTTTCTTAATTCCAGAAAATTGGTTAATGATGGTGCTGTTCCTGACCTCATTCTTCTGACTTTAGAGTCCATGTAATTACTTGCTGCAGTCTACAATATGGGTATGTGAAAACTCCTTTTCTCCTTGCAGCTGGATTGTGAGAAATATAATTCAAGGCACAGGAACATCTTGACATTCTGAGCTAATCCTCATCTCTGTGTGTGGTACAGATAGAACAAATCAGGATAATCCTAGCCAACTGTCCATGGAAATCAAGTGAGGATATTAATAGGAGTATGATGTACAGTATAGGCTAATTATGCATGTGTACTTAGAATTCTTGCTTTTTAGAGCAGGAAGAGAGCAAGTCAACCACCCCATTTTACAGATGGACACACTGAGCTCCAGAGAGGGAAATGATTCCTTACTCATATTCCTTACTCATAATGATTCCTTACTCATGTACATTAGAACTAGATCCCAGGTCTGCTGACTCCCAATCGAGGGCCCAAGTAGTATTGAGGTCTGCATCATGAGACAGTCAACTGTCAGGTTGTGGACCTGAGACACAAGGTGCATTATATTTCTACTGAATGTAATCTTAATCTCATCAGATTGTCTAAATATAAATTCTTTCCTTTTTCAGTGATTTTGTCATCTGTGGCAACTTAGTTTCCTTCTTTTTAGCTAACCTTGGGAGTGACTTTGGCTTATGATGACTGTATTTTCTAAGCCTTTGACAGAGACAGTTCGTGTGTCCATGATTAAGCCATAAAAAGGCTTATTGGTGTCAGTCACATTCAGCATGAGTATACTCTCTGACCTTCTTTGTTTGAGGAGTATTTTGGACTAGAAGTTCTTTCTGGTGTTTTCTTTTGAGGCCTCCCAGTTTCTCTGACCTATCCTGCTCCTACCTCGGAAATTTCTCAGTTGACTGGATCCTTTCTCTTCCTCTTCTCCAACCCCTGCTGACTGTATGCTCCACTACTATGACACCAATTCTGTCCACTTTCTTCCTTATTGATATGAATATACTAACTTTAAGCCCTCTGCCTCCAATGGGTTCAGTTTTTGAGAAATTCAGAAACCCCAAAAGCAACCACGTGTGGCCAAAGCCATTTTCTCCATCAAATTATATGTTAGAACAAAATATTATATTAAGAGTCCTCCATAATATTAGAGGAAAGTTTTCACCCTCATTTAAGCAGATAACCTTAATATGTCCAATCTTCCAGAGAAAGAATTCTAATAAAAATGTAAAGTGGGAATAGATGAGAACCAACTTTTATACAAATTAGTAAGTTTTATGCTTTTGTATTTGTACCTAACTCATTACTAAAATTTTTAAGTGAAATCTGTAAGGTTTCTATTTGTGTCAGTCTATATGTTTATACATGTTTGCTATGTATATCTGACATTTTTCTACCCCCAGATGGTATTGTCTTTTTTGTTTGTTTGAGACAGAGTCTTACTCTGTCGCCAGGCTGGAGTGCAGTGGTGTGATCTCGGCTCACTGCCAACCTCTGCCTCCTGGGTTCAAGCTATCCTCCTGCCTCAGCCTCCTGAGTAGCCGGGACTACAGGCACACACCACCATGCCCAGCTAATTTTCTGTATTTTTAGTAGAGATGGGGTTTCACCATGTTGGCCAGGATGGTCTCGATCTCTTGACCTCATGATCCACCTGCCTCGGCCTCCCAAACTTTTGGGATTACAGGTGTGAGCCACTATGCCCGGCCTGGTATTGTCATATTAATTTATAAAATATCTGTATTAGTCCATTTTCATACTGCTGATAAAGACTTACTCAAGACTGGGCAATTTACAAAAGAAAGGTTTAATGGACTCACAGTTCCACGTGGCTGGGGAGGCCTCACAATCATGGTGGAAGGTGAAAGGCATGTCTCACATGGATGGCAGCAGGCAAAGAGAAAGAGTGAGAGCCAAGTGAAAGGGATTTCCCCTTATAAAACCGTCAGATATCATGAGACTTATTCACTACCACGAAAACAGTTTTGGGGAAACCAACCCCACGATTCAATTATCTCCCACTGGTCCCTCCCACAACATGAGGAAATTATGGGAGCTACAATTCGAGATGAGATTTGGGTGGGAACACAGCCAAACTATATCAATCTCTTAAAAAGAATTCTATTCTAATAGGCTTAGAAAAAAATAAGCACTTCCTTAAAACTCCCAGAAATTTAGTAACTAATCCAAATGTTTTTCAAGGGTATGTAATTTGTATAAATCTTTGATAAGTAAGACATTTGATAGTATTGGCTAAATAAAATCAGATATGTGACTGAGTTGTCAGCATGAAGTATAATGGAGACATACATTTTATTCTACTTGGGTTTACTATCCAAATAAGCTAATATTATATTTGATAGGTGTTGAATATTATAAAACTTATAAATCTGATTTTAATCAAAGTGAGTAATTATGCTAACAACTTTTTTTAGTGATGATTATGTTTTCAGCTAACATTTACTCAATGGTGAAAACTGAAAGCTTTTCTTCTGAGATCAGGAACAAGACATGATACTCACTTTAACCATTTATTTTCAATGTAGTACTGGAAGTCCTAACTGGAAAATTAAGCAAGAAAAATAAATAAAAGTCACCCAAATAGGAGAGAAAAAAGTAATCCCTAAAGACTTCATCAAAAAAAAAATGTTAAAACTGATAAACAAATTTAGTAAAGTTGGGTGCAGGATAGAAAGTCAACATATAAAATCAGTAGTGTTTCTGTATACTAACAACAAACTGTTTAAAAAGTAAATCAAGAAAATAATCACTGCCATGGTCTGAATGTGTCCTCCAAACTGTGTGTAGAAAACTTAATCCCCAATGTAACCATGTTGAGAAGTGTGGCCTTTTGGGAGGTATTTAGGTTATGAGGGTTTTGTCCTCATGAATGGATTAATGCCATGATAAAATGGGCTTCAGGGAATAGGTTCATTCACTTTTATACATACATCTTCTGCCATGTGAGGATGTAGAAAGAGTAAGAAGGCCCACATTAGATGCTAGTACCTTGATCTTAGACTTCCCAGCCTCTAGTACCATTAGAGAATAAATTATTTTCTTTATAATTTATTTATAGCAGCACAAAATAAACTAAGATAATCTCACTTACAATAGCATAAAACAAATAATAAAATACCTAGGAGTAAGTTTAAACAAAGAAGTGTAAGATAAGTATACTGAAAACTATAAAACACTGATGAACGGAATTAAACACAAGTAAATGAAATATGTCCCATGCTCATAGATTCAAAGAATTAGTATTGTTGCAACATCCTTATTACCCAAATCAATCTACAGATGCAAAGCAATCCCTATCAACATTCCAATGTCATTCTTCACAGAAGTAGAAAAAAATTTCTGAAATTCATATAGAGTAACAGAAACCTCAAAGAGCCAAAGCAATCTTGATCAAAGAGAACAAAGCTAGAGGACCCATGCTATTAAATTTCAAAATATACTACAAAGCTATAGTAATCAAAACAGCATGGAACGACCATAAAAGTAGACACACTAAACAATGGATAGGATAGACAGCCCAGAAATAAACCCACACATATATGATTTTCAACAAAGGTGCCAAGAATCTACAATGGGGAAAGAACAGTATCTTCAATAAATGGTGCTGGGAAAACTGGATATTCACATGCACAGAAATGAAAGTGGATCCTTAGCTCATCCCCTATACAAGAGTCAACTCAAAATTCATTAAATACTTTAATGTAATACCCAAAACTAAAACTACTAGAAGAAAACAGAGGGGGAAGAAAGAGCTCCATAACATTGATCTGGACAATAATTTCTTGGGTATAACCCCAAAATCACAAGCAGCCAAAGCAAAAATAGACAAATGGGACAATACCAAACTAAAAAGCTTTGCACAGAAAAACAAAACAAAACAAAACAAACAAAAAAAACCAGAGTGAAGTGACATGGAAAGAGAGAAAATATTTGCAAATCATATATCTGATAAGGGACTAAAACTTGAAATATGCTAGGAACTCAAACACATCAATAGCAAGGAAACAATAAACCAACTAAACAGTGGGCAAAGGACTTGAATAAAGATTTCTTAAAAGAAGACACACAAATGGCCAATACATACATGAAAAAATGTTGAAAGTTATGTTAAGCAGTGGATATTTATTAAATACGTAGATCATTTCTAGCTAAGAAACTACTGAAACATTCATTGCTAAACCTAAATTTGAGCTCATATAATTTTGGCTTCTAATTTTTATAGAAATATTAATATTATTAATTACTAAACGTGGAATTTTTCAATTCCACATTGAAAAATTGCACTATTACAGCATATTTATAAAATTTGCTAATCTTCTATAAAATTCTTATATATGACAGATAAATCACAACAATCTACTTTCTCATTTTCTCTGTAAAAGAAAGGTTACTAATGATTGAACATTATAATCAATATATGTGCATAAAAACACTAGAAATAATGAGGGTGAAGGGAAGCAACATTGCATACATGAAAAGTATGCAAGGAATATTGTGTGTGTTTCTATTCAGGGGGAAAATAAAGGGTAACTTTATCCTTAAGTAAAATGAACAAGTTGATTTCAGTTACACAAAGTAAAATGTTACTTTTGTCATACCCGAGTATTATTACCATAAATAATAGTACCATAATATAAGCAATGAAGAGCCAATGGAGGACTTGAGTAGGGCAACAAGATCAGATTTGTATTTGGATTTGTGTCCACCATTCAGGTAATATCTGTACATAAATAAAATGGATAAACTACCCTGCAAGTCAAAAAGAAGGCCCATCATATTCATGTATAAAGGAACTATATTATAAAAATATTACTTTTCCAAAATTTATGTGACTCCTTCATCAAAATTAGGTGTTTTTTTTTTGGTGGACTAGATACAATGTCTCTAAATTACATCTGTGAAGACACATTTTTAAAAATATCCAAGAACACAGTAAACAACCGAATAAAAAAGGGATGGGTGGACTACTTTATTTCACCTTATATCTATTTATTTACTGAATACTTACCATGTGGCAAATTCAATGCTCTTCACTGTGATTACAAGGTAAAAATTATTAACAGATATAGGCAAGGCCTTTTCCTTAACAGAGCCTATATTCTAATAAATTAGAAGGCAGTATTTTGAAGAGATTAAAATCACTGGCTTTGGGAAAAGCAAGATTTAATGAAAGGAAGAGGGGTACTTTTTTTTTTTTTTTTTTTTTTTTTTTTTTACCAGAAAGGTGAAATGTGTTATACAAGGCATCCATGGTAAGGTTCTAAGAAGACTGTTGGAGGATAAATTGAAGGGATTTTTTTTTTCTAAACTTAGAGCAAATGTAGAGATAGCAAGTCAACATGGTCTTTGGCATGAATGTCATCTCTGTCCATTCTAGCATGGTTAGTAGCTAGTTGGTAGCTCCAGCAAATGAATTATCCCTTTGAGTTATCCCTATCTCAGTTTCTTTTTCTCTTATACAAGACTCAGAGTGGTATATACCTCACAGGATTATTATGAGGAGTAAATATGATGAGAAATGTAAACTCCATAGCCAGGTGCCGACAGAATGAAAAGAATGAATGAAGGTGTAGATCCCCAAGTAAGTTGATATGGAGTGAAGAATAAAAACAGAGGAAAAAAACGTAGATCATAAAAATTCCAGAATTTTAAAGTAAAAGGGAAAATAGTGGACAGGGCTTGTTCATCCTGAAGTTTGTTTACTCAGCAATGAAGAGATGAAGTTTTCCACTCAAAGTCATGTGGGTGGAATGGGATCAGATAGTGGAAATAAATTGCATAAAACAAAGAAAATGGTATGGGACATGTGGCATAAAGTAGGGACATGACATTAAATCAGAAGCTTTCACTGGAGTCTAAAGAGCTTAGGTAAATAATGATGTTAGCAGGATCACAGAGTCCCCTGTATGGAACTTTTTCTATCTTTCTCCACAACCAAGGTCTGGAGCAGGAAAATAAGAAGCTGAATTTATCCCAACTTGGAAGAAAGAAGGAAAAATAGAGAGCAGGACATCAAGAGAGGATGGACGTGTTAAGGAGCTAATTATTAACGTCAGACTGTG
Organism: Homo sapiens; assembly: GCF_000001405.40. Taxonomy (NCBI): domain Eukaryota; kingdom Metazoa; phylum Chordata; class Mammalia; order Primates; family Hominidae; genus Homo; species Homo sapiens. The sequence continues at coordinate 148,268,150 of NC_000005.10, forward strand.
GAATTCAAGCTAGTACAGGAACACAAAGCCACAAAAGAGTGCTAACTACTCTAGGAGAGATTAAAGCCTGTGAAATAGAACTTTTCCAGATAATGGCGAGTTTTTAGGCTTGCTCATGCTGAAGCTTAATATAAGCTAATAAGTAGAGAAATTAGGAGGCTTGGATATTGCAAACTTTATTGGTTGGGGTGTTACCCAGGCTAATAGAAAAAAAATTATATCCTAGAAAGACAGAACAGGTGCGACTTCTGAGAAGAAAGGTTAGAGAAGACTAGAAAGGCTGGGACCACCTTGAATTTGGCACACACACACACACACCCACACGCACACACAAAATCACCAAATGATCTGGAATGTGGTAGGTCATTAATCTGCTTTGCAAATGTCAGAACTTTAGGATCCCAGTACTTCTTGTTCTCAGGATCCACAACCAGAAATCACAAGTACAGAACCTCCAGGTCTGTCTCTTCCTGCTGGAACAGGACACATCAGAGGGGTTGGTTCCGGAGAGGGATCAAACTCAGAAACAGCCATTAAAGTAAACTCATGCCAAGCAATTGGTCACTCAGCTATGCGATGAGTCAGCCTCCACTGCTGTACGTCCTTGGCTACAGACTCCTGGAACAGCAGCTCTTCTCAAGGCTAGTTGTGACAGACTCCTGGAACAGCAGCTCTTCTCAAGGCTAGTTGTGACATCCAAAGTGACAAGAGCAGGCCCATATTCAGCCACCTCATCCAGGTAACCACTCTTTGACTTCTCTCTCCTTAGTCCAAGTCAGCGGTGGGATCTCTTCAGCCTTCCTCTCTGTCAGTGGGTTTCCCTCTTTTTCCTCTAACACCCTCCTTTTGTTTCCTCTGCATATTAAAGTAGAGAAAATGTCACACTTATTTATGGTTCTCCTTCATTTCTCTTTATGCCCCTGCTACAATTTTGAAAGGAGACAGAATGGATAGAGTAGGGCGTGAGCAAGTTAAGGAAATGGACGGGGAAGGTATCTTCTCCCTGGGCCTAAATATTTCACTCCTAGCAAAGAAAAGTTGGGCTAAACAAATTGTCAATTTAATATGTTTAAACTCTACTTATATTAATATCAGTTGATTCTTTCAATATCCTATGAAGTTCATACTTTCTGAGGCCTACACTTCTCAGAGACATTAAACCAAGAATTTGAACTGCCATCTCTCTAACTCCAAACTCTGATTTCTAGCATCTCACTCAATTCAAGGTCATATGTCATATGTTTTTTGTTTTTTTTTCTGATTCTTGCATCAGGGAAGGTATACACAATTTTTATTAAGCATGACCAACAATTCTATGTTTAACCCATTCTTTATATTTGAGCCCATGTGACTGACCTGGCAAAGAGAAATTTAGCTGGGAAATAAAGGGCTTAAGTGTGGGAGAAACTGGTCCATCTCAGGGAATCACATGTTATAGGGTTATATGTCCAAGATTGTACAGGACAGCTCTCAGTTTACACCTGTTACCTCAGAATTCTTATGAATTCTTTACATGTCTGTATTCACTAACAAGAAGGCAGCAGCTTAGGTAATTAACAGCGAGATAATTAGATAATTGTAGGGTGAACCTATGTATAGGTAATAGACTTTGAGTCAGCCCTGATGAATATTGGGCCTAATTTTTCTTCCAGGCCAGAACTGTGATTGTCAGCTAGTTTTTGGCAGAAAAAAAAAAGTCATTTTTTTATGTTTTTCATCTTCCTCTTGAAAGCAAAAGGGCTCTCTCAGGCCTGAGTTCCTGGAGACCAGGTCAGTATAAATCACCAGGGCAAGTGTACAGGAATGGTATCACCTTAGGGTATTGTGTTCTCTCACATTGGAAAAGCTAGCTGTGGGGGAAACTAAAAACAATCTTGGGCATGTTCACAGGCCTTATCAAAGAAGAGTCTTATATGAGATCAAATGGCTGCCTTTCCCCACAAGATTATATTTTTCCTGGTATGCTCTACTTTGACACATGTGGCTTTCTCAGGTGAGTAACCTAAGAGGTTTTGGGAGATAAACTCTGATTTTCTTAAAGTTATAGGAAAGAAAACGAGTAATTTTTTACTTTTATGGGAAATATTTTGCTGAAATGTAAGCCAGTGCAGTCCAAACTGGGTATAATTAAAATGTATATTCTTAAATAGAAAAACCAGACTTGTTTTCTACATGGTGGAGTCACAACCTCGTGTCTATTCTGTCAATTCAAAAGAAATCCTCTAGAGCAGAGAAAATTGTGATTTTTTTATTGTAAGCAATATACAGTATAATTATTATTTTTCCTAGAAAAAATGATGCATTTTCTTATGGATTTCAAATATGATAAATGATATGATAAATATGATAATGAAAAATAAGCCAATGAAAAAAGCTATTTCTGTGATTGATGTTGGGTTGATATGTGTCTTTAGAGTTCAGTAGTAAAAATCATGAATGTATAAAAACAAAACCTATGTTACCTGCTAATTATAGATGGAATAATGCCTCCCCAAAATATCCAAGTCCTAATCACTGGAACCTGTGAATATGTTGACTTGCATGGCACAGGGGACTTTGCAGATGTAATTTAGTTAAGGATCCTAAGATTGAAAAATTATACTGGACTATTCAGGTGGAACAATATAATCACAAGGATTCTTATCAGAGGGAGGCAGGAGGGCCCAAGTCAGAGAAGATGTGACAATGGAAGCAGAAGTTAGAATGGTGCAGTAAAAGGGCCATGGGCCGAGGAACTCAGACAGCCTGTAGAAGCTGGAAAAGGTAAGGAAATTAATTCTTCCTTAGAAACTCCAGGAGGAATGCATCACTGCTGACATCTTGACTTTAGGACTTCTCACCTCCAGAATTGTAAGATAATAAATTTGTGTTTTGTTAAGTCACTAAGTTTGTGACAATTCATTACAACAGCAATAAGAAAATAGTACACCTGCAAATAAATTACAGATTAGTAAAGCAGACACTATAACCTCATGTTTGCATTTCCAGATCATCCTTAAATACATGGTACAAAGTAAATGCTCAGTAAATGAATGTTTAAAAATGTAGCTATTATCAATTGATTGCCTGCTATGTGTAGGTTCTCTGTGATATACTTTATTATTTTAAATATGCCTCAGTTGGATAGAATTGGATTAATCACAATACTTGGTTCAATAAATTTCATTGGGTTCAATCAAAAAGCACCATGAATATATCATTCTTGCAAAAATCTAGACTACTGACAAAAGTTCAAATCCAGTAATGTAGTATTCAATCAACCAATTCTCTTGTCTATCTTCATCCAAGAAAAACACAATTCTACATCTTTTTTTAAATTTATTTTTTCCCAAAATTCTTACTTCAGTTTCAGTCATTCTAAATCTTGTGTCCATTCTTCTCATGCTCTTATTTTTAATATAGTCTTTTATTTATACACATCATGGAAAATATATTTTTATAATTATTTTAACATTTATGTAACATTTATATAACTTGTCATAAAGGACTTTTTGTTTTGTTTTGTTCTGTTGGAGACGGAGTCTCACTCTGTCGCCCAGGCTGGAGTGCACTGCAAGCTCCGCCTCCCGGATTCACGCCGTTCTCCTGCCTCAGCCTCCCGAGTAGCTGGCACTACAGGCGCCCGCCACCACGCCTGGCTAATTTTTTGTATTTTTAGTAGAGACGAGGTTTCACCATGTTAGCCAGGATGGTCTCCATCTCCTGACCTCGTGATCCGCCCGCCTGGCCTCCCAAAGTGCTGGGATTACAGGCGTGAGCCACCACGCCTGGCCTATTATTAGGACTTTGTAGTTCAATACTATATGAAGAGAATATTTTCATCTTTTGAAATTTGCTTTTTCCTACATATTGTTTAAATTTATAAATATTCATGTGTGCAGTTGTTCATTTAGTTTCATTGATGAATAATATCACATCAATGAATAATATCCCAATGTGCGACCATACCCTAATTTCATTACTCTTTTGTTGATGGACATTTGGTTTGCTTACAAATTTATGATGTTAAGAGCAGAGCTGGTAGAAATATTCTTATACATGTTTTTTGATGCACGTGAACGAGAGTTTCTCTTAGGTATATATCTGGAGTATATAGCAAGAGTAGAGTTGCTATGCTACAATGTGTGTGAATTTTCTATAATAGAAGATAATGCCAGATGGTTCTCCAAAGTTACTGCATGAACTAATAACTTTTCATTAGAAAATTAAAATTTAAAAAATATTAGATAATAAAAAAGTTTCAGATGATGGTGCAATATATAAATTGAGATTCTTTTTTTGTTTTCCTTCCAGAAGCCCAATTGTTTTAGTATGGTTTGTGGAAAGGATGATTCTTTTTCCCCTAAATTGTTCTTTCCCCTTTGCCAAAGAGAACTTGTCCATAGAAGTGTATATTTTTGAACTTCTTAGATGCCTATATTTCTGGACTCTATCCTTTTCACTGATCTATTTGTTTATCTTTATGCCAATCTGTTATGAAAATGTCAGACCTTTAGGATGTCAATACTTCCTGTTCTCAGGATCCACACCAGAAATCACAAGTACAGAACCTTCAGGTCTGTCTTTAACAAATTAACTAAACCATATTTTAAAAGAAAAATATGTTTACACCAAAATGGGAGGAATGGAACTAACCCAACTTATCTTTGAATCTATTAGTTGAACTATATATTCTTATTCTAAAGACAAAAAAGTCATTTATACATTGAACTCTAATTTGTAGGCTTACATTTTGCAAAAGCATGGAATAAGAATTCTGTAAATGCAAATATAGTTTTGTTCAATATTGCCAAATTTTACTTCATAAACATTCTTCCAATTTGGATTCCCACCAGGAACCTCTTTCTCAACAGCTAATCTGATACGTGATAAATGGTATTTCCATATAGTTTTAATTAGCATTTTTCTTAGCATGAGTAAGGCTGAATTTCCTTTAGAGATTTAAGGGTCATTTCTGTATCTTTTTGAGTATGTATGCTTGCATAAATTATATTTGCATGCATATTGTCTGCTCTTCAGTTAGGTTTCTTATTTTTTTCTTCCCTCAATTTTAATGAGTTCTTTATAAATTATGCCCTTTATCAAAAATCTTTTTAGATTGTATATGTTTATTTTTTGCCAGGAAGTTGTTTTCATTTTTAAGTAAAAAAAAATGCATCTGTGTTTTCTGTTATTGTATTTAGATTAATGAATCTTTATGATGAAAAAGGAATTATGTCATTTTAATTATTGTATAGTTTTATTTTTTTATGTTTAAATCCTGATTCATTTGGAGTTAATTCTTATGTATGATGTGCAGTATATACATGTAATTTTGTTTCATTTTTACTAGATGAAGACCTTTATTTTTCTTTTCTTATAACTATATCCAGCTACTTTTGTCATAAAAATATTCTGACCTTTCAGAAGTAGATAAAAGCATTCTATCTTTTTTGTTCTCTGAAAGAGTGTACATGTAATCAGCAAGACCTATTCCTCGAAAGGTTAGTAGTCTTTTCTTTGTGGGAAGATTTCTAAATATCGTGCAGAATTTTTCTTTTACCTTCTGAAAATTCTAACTTTTGGAAAGTCAGAATATTCTATGATATTTTAAATATCACTTAACAGTGACAGATAAGTAAGAGCATAATACAATAAGTACTTTCTTATTTCATTTTCCCACAGGCAGCTAGTCACCCTCTGTCCCAGGCAACACCAGCACCCCTCATACAACCAACCCATAAAGTCAGTATCCTGAAAGCCAGGGAACTCCCTCAGTTTTCTTATCATAACTGTGCCCACTTTAATTCAGCATCTTGGTAGGAACTGGCCTGATACATTACTTACTATATCATATTTACTTTTTTAAATTTTAAAAATGCATGTAATTACCCCAATTGCAGTGAAGAGGAAGCTAAAGCCAATAAAAGTGAAAATAAATAAATACAATTATTTTAAGTTATATATACAACCTCAGTTTTTACTCTTTCCTCACTGATACAGCAAATTTATAAATAAAATCAATACTGTGAAAAAGAAAAAGTGGATAAAGTAATTTAAAAAGGAATGTTACTGCAAATTCTATTGCTATTAAAATTCTTTTGTATATATTTTCATTATTCAATTTTACATTATTCAATCAGTGACTTCAGTAGGTGATGTTATATCCCATGGAGAACTATTTCCTTTAACTTACTGTGTTTATTCTTTATTAGCAGGAATTTTCAATAAACGTGACTTCACTAGGTGGCCTAAGGTAAATTTAAATTTCTCAGTTCTAGGTTGTAATTCTAGTCTAATCACTCTCCAGACATGAGAGATCTAAAACTTCATGGAAAGTCAGGCACAGTGGCTCATGCCTGTAATTCCAGAACTTAGGGAAGCTGAGGCAGGAGGATCACCTGAGCCCAGGAGTTCAAGGTCGGCCTGAGCAACATAGGAAGATCCTGTGTCTAAAAAAATACAAAAATTAGCCAGGTGTGGTGGGGCAAGGCTGTAGCCAGCTACATGGGAGGTTGAGTTGGGAGGGTCACTTGAGGCCAGGAGTTGGAAACTGCAGTGAGCCATAATGGCACTACTGCACTCCAGCCTGGGCAACAGAGTGAAACCCTGTCTATAAATAAATAAATAAATCTTCATGGAGGTAAAGCAGAATAGAAGGATTCTATGTGACCTTGCACATAGACCTCTCCATACTTAGATTGTCTCCCATGTAGCACAAGCTTTAAAATATAATATTTTAGTAAAATAAATATCTTTATAGTCAAATAAGATATTGAGTAAATATATCTCTGATCATTAAGTAAAATAATACCTGCCATGTGTTCAAAGTCACAAAGCTAAACCGTGGTAAATCCAGGGTTTATTCTCAGTTTTAATAAGTTTTGGGATACATGTGCAGAACATACAGGCTTGCTACATAGGTATACATGTGCCATGGTGGTTTGCTGCACCCATCAACCTGTCATCTACATTAGGTATTTCTCCTAATGCTATTCCTCCCCTTGTCCCCGCTCCCCCAACAGGCTCCAGTGTGTAATGTTCCCTTCCCTGTGTTCATGTGTTCTCATTGTTCAACTCCCACTTATGAGTGAGAACATATGGTGTTTGGTTTTCTGTTCCTGTGTTAATTTGCTGAGAATGATGGTTTCCAGCTTCATACATGTCCCTGCAAAGGACATGAACTCATTCTTTTTCATGGCTGCATAGTATTCCATGGTATATATGTGCCACATTTTTTTATCCAGTCTATCATCGATGGGCATTTGGGTTGGTTCCAAGTCTTTGCTATTGTGAATAGTGCTACAATAAACATATGTGTGCATGTGTTTTTTATAATAGAATGATTTATAATCCTTTGGGTATATACCCAGTAAAGAGATTGCTGTGTCAAATGGTATTTCTAGTTCTAGATCCTTGCGGACTCACCACATTGTCCTCCACAATGGTTGAACTAATTTACACTCCCACCAACAGTGAAAAAGCATTCCTATTTCTCCACATCCTCTCCAGCATCTGTTGTTTCCTGACTTTTTTTCTTTTTTTTTTTTTTGACGGAGTCTCACTCTGTCACCCAGGCTGGAGTGCAATGGCGTGATCTTGGCTCACTGCAAGCTCCACCTCCTGGGTTCACACCATTCTCCTGCCTCAGCCTCCCGAGTAGCTGGGACTACAGGCACCCGCCACCAAGCCTGGCTAATTTTTTGTATTTTTTAGTAGAGACGGGGTTTCACCATGTTAGCCAGGATGGTCTCAATCTCCTGACCTCGTGGTCTGCCCGCCTCCGCCTCCCAAAGTGCTGGGATTACAGACGTGAGCCACTGCGCCCGACCTGTTTCCTGCCTTTTTAATGATCGCCATTCTAACTGGTGTGAGATGGTATCTCATTGTGGTTTTGATTTGCATTTCTCTGATGACCAGTGATGATGAGCGTTTTTTCATATGTTTGTTGGCTGCATAAATATCTTCTTTTGAAAAATGTCTGTTCATATCCTTCACCCACTTTTTGATGAGGTTGTTTTTTTCTTATAAATTTGTTTAAACTTCCTGTAGATTCTAGATATTAGCCGTTTGTCAGATGGGTAGATTGCAAAAATTCTCTCCCATTCTGTAGGTTGCCTGTTCACTCTGATGATAGTTTATTTTGCTGTGCAGAAGCTCTTTAGTTTAATCAGATCCCATTTGTCAATTTTGGCTTCTGTTGCCAATTGCTTTTGGTGTTTTTTAGTCATGAAGTATTTGCCCATGCCTGTGTCCTAAATAGTATTGCCTAGGTTTTCTTCTAGGGATTTTATGGTTTTAGGTCTTGCATTTAAATCTTTAATCCATCTTGAGTTAATTTTTGTGTGAATTGTAAGGAAGGGGTCCAGTTTCAGTTTTTGGCATGTGGCTAGCCAGTTTTCCCAACACCATTTATTAAATAGGGAATCCTTTCCCCATTGCTTATTTTTGTCAGGTTTGTCAAAGATCAGGTGGTTGTGGATGTGTGGTGTTATTTCTGAGGCCTCTGTTCTGTTCCATTGGTCTATACAGCTGTTTTGGTTACTGTTGCCTTGTAGTATAATTTGAAGTCAGGTAGCGTGATGCCTCTAGATTTGTTCTTTTTGCTTAAAATTGTCTTGGCTGTATGGGCTCTTTTTTGGTTCCATATGAAATTCAAAGTAGTTTTTTCTAATTATGTGAAGAAAGTCAATGATAGCTTGATGGGAATAGCATTGAATCTATAAATTACTTTGGGCAGTATCGCCATTTTCACAATATTGATTCTTCCTATCCATGAGTATGGGATGTTTTTCGATTTGTTTGTATCCTCTCTTATTTCCTTGAACAGTGGTTTGTAGTTCTCCTTGAAGAGGTCCTTCACATCCCTTGTAAGTTGTATTCCTAGGTATTTTATTCTCTTTTTAGCAATTGTGAATGGGAGTTCACTCATGATTTGGCTCTCTGTTTGCCTATTATTGGTGTATAGGAATGCTTGTGATTTTTGCACATTGATTTTGTATCCTGAGACTTTGCTGAAGTTGCTTATCAGCTTAAGGAATTTTTGGGCTGAGATGATGGAGTTTTCTAAATATATGATCACGTCATCTGCAAACAGAGATAATTTGACTTCCTCTTTTCCTATTTGAATACACTTTATTTCTTTCTCTTGCCTGAATACCCTGGTCAGAACTTCTAATACTATGTTGAATAGGAGTGGTGAGAGAGGACATCCTTGCCTTGTGCTGGCTTTCAAAGGGAATGCTTCCAGCTTTTGCCCATTCAGTATGATATTGGCTGTGGGTTTGTCATAAATAGCTCTTATTATTTTGAGATACATTCAATCAATACCTAGTTCATTGAGTGTTTTTAGCATGAAGGGGTGTTGAATTTTATTGAAGGTCTTTTCTGCACCTATTGAGATAATCAAGTGCTTTTTGTCATGGTTCTGTTTACGTGATGGATTGTGTTTATTGATTTGCATATGTTAAACGAACGTTGCATCGCAAGGATGAAGCCGACTTGATCATGGTGGATAAGCTTTTGTATGTGCTGCTGGATTCAGTTTGCCAGTATTTTATTGAGGATTTTCCCATCAATGTTCACCAGGGATCTTGGTGTGAAATTTTCTTTTCTTGTGTCTCTGCCAGGTTTTGGTATCAGGATGATGCTGGCCTCATAAAATGAGTTAGGGAGGAGTCCCTCTTTTTCTATTGCTTGGAATAGTTTCAGAAGGAATGGTACCAGCTCCTCTTTGTACCTCTGGTAGAATTCAGCTGTGAATCCATCTGGTCCTGGGCTTTTTTTGGTTGGTAGGCTATTAATTACTGCCTGTATTTCACAACTTGTTATTGGTCTATTTAGGGATTCGACTTCTTCCTGGTTTAGTCTTGGGAGGACGTATGTGTCCAGGAATTTATCCATTTCTTCTAGATTTTCTAGTTTATTTGCATAGAGATGTTTATAGTATTCTCTGATGGTAGTTTGTATTCTGGAGGGATTGCTCGTGATATCCCCTTTATCATTTTTTATTGTGTCTATTTGATTCTTCCCTCTTTTCTTCTTAGTCTGGCTAGCAGTCTATCTGTTCTGTTAATCTTTTCAAAAAACCAGCTCCTAGATTCATTGATTTTTTGAAGGGGTTTTTGAGTCTCTATCGCCTTCAGTTCTGCTCTGATCTTAGTTATTTCTTGCCTTCTGCCAGCTTTTGAATGTGTTTGCTCTTGCTTCTCTAGTTCTTTTAGTTTTGATGTTAAGGTGTCGATTTTAGATCTTTCCCACTTTCTCCTGTGGGCATTTAGTGCTATAAATTTCCCTCTGAACACTGCTTTAGCTGTGTCCCAGAGATTCTGTTATGTTGTGTCTTTGTTCTCATCAGTTTCAAAGAATATCTTTATTTTTGCCTTAATTTTGTTATTTACCCAGTAGCCATTCAGGAGCAGGTTGTTCTGTTTCCATGTAGTTGTGCAGTTTTGAGTGAGTTTCTTAATCCTGAGTTGTACTTTGATTGCACTGTGGTCTGAGAGACTGTTTGTTATGATTCCCGTTCTTTTGCATTTGCTGAGGAGTGTTTTACTTCCAATAATGTGTTCAATTTTAGAATAAGTGCGATGTGGTGCTGAGAAGAATGTATATTTTGTTGATTGGGGTGGAAAGTTCTGTAGATGTCTATTAGGTCCACTTGGTCCAGAGCTGACTTCAAGTCCTAAATATCCTTGTTAACTTTCTGTCTCATCAATCTATCTGACAGTGGGGTGTTAAAGTCTTCCACTATTATTGTGTGGGAGTGTAAGTCTCCTTGTAGGTCTCTAAGAACTTGCTTTATGAATCTGGGTGCTCCTGTATTGGGTGCATATATATTTAGGATAGTTAGCTCTTCTTGTTGTATTGATCCCTTTACCATTATGTAATGGCCTTCTTTGTCTCTTGTGATCTTTGTTGGTTTAAAGTCTGTTTTATCAGAGACTAGAATTGCAACCCCTGCTTTTTTTTTTTTTTTTTTTTTTTTTGCTTTCCATTTGCTTGGTAAATCTTCCTCCATCCCTTTATTTTGAGTCTATGTGTGTCTTTGCACATGAGATGGGTCTCCTGGATACAGCACACTGATGGGTCTTGACTCTATCCAATTTGCCAGTCTGTGTCTTTTAATTGGGGCATTTAGCCCATTTACATTTAAGGTTAATATTGTTATATGTAAATTTGATCCTGTCATTATTATGCTAGCTGGCTATTTTGCCCATTAGTTGATGCAGTTTCTTCATAGTGTTGATGGTCTTTACATTTTGGTATGTTTTTGCAGTGGCTGATACCGGTTTTTCCTTCCCATGTTTAGTGCTTCCCTCAGGAGCTCTTGTAAGGCAGGCCTGGTGGTGACAAAAATCCCTCAGCATTTGCTTGTCTGTGAAAGATTTTATTTCTCCTTCCCTTATGAAGCTTAGTTTGGTTGGATATGAAATTCTGGGTTGAAAATTCTTTTCTTTAAGAATGTTGAACATTGGCCCCCACTCTCTTCTGGCTTGTAGAGTTTCTGCAGAGAGATCCACTGTTAGTTTGATGGGCTTCTTTCCATGGGTAAACCGACCTTTCTCTCTGGTTGCCCTTAACATTTTTTCCTTCATTTCAACCTTGGTGAAGCTGACATTTATGTCTCTTGGGATTGCCCTCCTTCAGGAGTATCTTTGTGGTGTTCTCTGTTTATCCCAAATTTGAATGTTGGCCTGTCTTGCTAGGTTGGGGAAGTTCTCCTGGATAATATATCCTGAAGGGTGTTTTCCAACTTGGTTCCATTCTCCCCATCACTTTCAAGTATACCAGTAAAATGTAGGTTTGGTCTTTTCACATAGTCCCATATTTCTTGGAGGCTTTGTTCATTCCTTTTCATCCTTTTTTCTCTAATCTTGTCTTCACACTTTATTTCATTAAGTTGATCTTCAATCTCTGATATCCTTTCTTTTGCTTGATTGATTTGGCTATTGATACTCGTGTATGCTTCATGAAGTTCTCATGCTGTGTTTTTCATCTTCATCAAGTCATTTATGTTCTTCTCTCAACTGGTTATTCTAGTTAGCAGTTCCTGTAACCTTTTATCAAGGTTCTTAGCTTTCTTGCTTTGGGTTAGAACATGCTCCTTTGGCTCAGAGAAGCTTGTTATTACCCACCTTCTGAAGCCTACTTCTGTCAATTTGTCAAACTCATTCTCCATCTAGTTTTGTTTCCTTGCTGCCAAGGAGTTGTGATCCTTTGGAGGAGAAGAGGCTTTCTGAGCTTTGAAATTTTAAGCCTTTTTGGGCTGATTTTTCCTCATCTTTGTGGATTTATCTACCTTTGGTCTTTGATGTTGGAGACCTTCAGATCGAGTTTTTGCGTGGTCATCCTTTCTGTTGATGTTGATACTATTGCTTTCGTTTGTTAGTTTGCCTTCTAACAGTCAGGCCCCTCTTCTGCAGGTTGGCTGGAGTTTGCTGGAGGTCCACTCCAGCCCCTGTCTGGTTATCACCAGTAGAGGCTGCAGAACAGCAAAGATTGCTGCCTGCTCCTTCCTCTGGAAACTTTGTCCCAGAGCGGCACCTGCCAGATGCCAGCCAGAGCTCTCCTCTTTGAGGTGTCCGTAGACCCCTGCTGGGAGGCATCTCCCCCTCAGGAGGCACGGGGGTCAGGGACCCACTTGAGGAGGCAGTCTATCCCTTAGCTGAGCTCAAGCACTGTGCTGGAAGATCCACTGCTCTTTTTAGAGCCAGCAGGCAGGAACGTTTAAGTCTGCTGAAGACGCACCCACAGCTGCCCCTTCCCCCAGGTGCTCTGTCCTAGGGAGATGGAAGTTTTATCTATAAGCCCCTGACTGGGGCTGCTGCCTTTTTGTCAGTGATGCCCTGCCCAGAGAGGAGAAATCTAGAGAGGCAGTCTGGCTACAGCAGCTTTGCTGAGCTGCAGTGGGCTCCACCCAGTCGGAACTTCCCAGTGGCTTTGTTTACACTGTGAGGGGAAAACCACCTACTCAAGCCTCAGTAATGGCGGACGCCCCTCCCCCCACCAAGCTTGAGTGTCCCAGGTCGACCTCCGACTGCTGTGCTGGCAGCAAGAATTTCAAGCCAGTGGATCTTAGCTTGCTGGGCTCTGTGGGGATGGGACCTGCTGAGCAAGACCACTTGGCTCCCTGGCTTCAGCCCCCTTTCCAGGTGAGTGAACAGTTCTGTCTCCCTGGCATTCCAAGCACCCCTGGGGTATGAAAAAAAAAACTCCTGCAATTAGCTCAGTGTCTGCCCAAATGGGCACCCAGTTTTGTGCTTGAAACCCAGGGCCCTGGTGGTGTAGGGACCTGAGGGAATCTCCTGGTCTGCAGGTTGCGAAGACTGTGGGAAAAGCATAGTATCTGGGCTGGATAGCTCTGTCCTTCACAGCACAGTCTCTCATGGCTTCCCTTGGCTGGGGAGGGAGTTCCCTGACCCATTGCACTTCCCGGGTGAGGTGGCGCCCCACTCTGCTTCTGTTTACCCTCCGTGGGCTGTACCCACTGTCTAACCAGTTCCAGTGAGATAAGTCAGGTACCTCAGTTGGAAATGCAGAAATCACCCACCTTCTGCATTGGTCTCACTGGGAGCTGCAGACCAGAGCTGTTCCTATTCAGCTATCTTGCCTGCAGTTTTAATAAGTTTTAATACAAAATCCTTATTCTGACCAATGACACTTGAGGTCTGTCCTCTAGAAGTTCACAAACACATAAGTATCTCCACTCATAAACATCCTACTGGAACTGAAACATGAAGGTTAAACAGGGATATTAAAATGGTTATGACTTGAAGAGATGATAGGATGGGTGGGGACACTACAATCAGAAAAAGAAACTGGCCTGACAGAAGGCCACAGAACAGTGAATCCTTGATAAGATCAATTGACTGGTATGATTTAATATTATTTTTTAAGTGGGGCAGAAGTGACAGGAAGAAATAGATGGGAGAGAGTGTATTATTTGTCACTTTATGGTGTCATGTATTTGCAGCCCCGATGTAAAATGTATATCCCACTGGACCCTGATTACAATGCAGACTGCCCCAATGTGACAGCACCTGTTTGTGCCTCAAATGGCCACACTTTCCAGAATGAGTGTTTCTTTTGTGTTGAACAGAGGTAAGTTCAGAATAAAATGCCATTATTTTTTCCCTCTACTTCTTCACAGAAATTTCAAAGAAACATAGTCAAGGAATTGGGTTTTACTGATGCATACTTTTTTTAAAAAAATAGCCTCATTATTTACAAAAACTGGGGACAGACTACAGAGAGAGTGAAGAAAGTCTCCTAGAATTTAGTTAGTATTCAAAGTTGAATCATTTAAAAAAGAAAAAAGGCTTACATAATGTTCTGGGAGAACTGTACAGAGATTATATTTGTAGGTAATCTGTAGATTATATTCAAGCAATAAATGGAAATCTAGTTATTTAAAAAAAACACTGAACTTTTTTTATATGTCACATTGACAAACCTATGAATAGCACCTATCAGTGTTTGGTAGCTATTAAGAGATGTAGAAAAAGATGCAGATGCAGCTATAGCCATAGACAAACGTATAAACATAGATGCAGGTATAGATACACACACGAGTAGCAAAGGGTGGTCTTACATGCATAAAAATTGACAGTCAACTTTTCATATTGTTTTTGCCTTTCAAATAAATTCAGTAGGAAATTTAGACTAAAGAATTAATAATATTCCTTACAATGTATATTTAGCTCCATTCAAAATTGTTTTCACAAATCAGCCCTGTGTCTTGTCAGTTAACTTCTTCATGACCTGTGAGATCTTCTCTGTTGAGGTTCCCCAAGACTATCTTCAGGCTTGAGGATTCAGGAGGACTCATAAAACTCAGAAAAGCTGTTATATTCATGGTAACAGTTTATTATAATGAAAGGATACAAATTAAAATCAGCAAAGACCAAAGATGCATGAGGTGGAGTCCCCGAGAGAGCAGGCACAAGTTTCCAGCTGTCTTCTCCCAGTGGACTCACAGAAGCGATACTTAATTCTCCCTGCTACCATGACAACACACATGAAGTATTGCTTACCAGGGAAGCTCACCCAAGACTTGGTGTTCAGACTCTTTAATGGGGGTCAGTCAGGTAGGCACAGAATACCTACATGGCTGATCTTAAATACTTAATCTCCAGCTCCTCCCCAGCCAGAGATCAAACTGATATGGAGTGCTCCAGGACCCTAGGTAAACAACAACAGGTGTTCATTATAAATTTCATGGCTAGCATAAACTCTTTGGCAGACCCAGGTCCTGGATATACAAACATACCCTATTGCACAGACTATTCCAAGGGCTCGTAGGTTATCTCCCAGGAGCTGGTTTGAGCATGCCAAGCCTGCTGAGCCAACTCTTCTGCACAGCTTTCTTTGAAAATAATCCTCATGAGCTTCTAGTATCATGCTTTCAATGAGGATTATTCCATTTCAGAGGATAATTGAAATGTCCTTTAAAGAAAAAGAATGTAAATGTAAAAATGTAAGTTAACCAGGTCTCTACTGTTGGCTCTACTGTTCTCATTAAAAGATGAACGAGATACCAGACTATATAGAATAATTAAGTTACATTATCCTTCCTTCCTAATGCGGTTACTGTTGATTTCTTAGAAATGAGATAGTCAGAAAAGAGACTTGGAAATGTCTTTGTAGCTCTTCCATGTAATATTTCTGTTATACTCTGTGGTGTTTGTACACACACTACTAAAAAGAGCAGTGTAAGAGGGTCTTGCTGATAATGCCCTGGCCTCTGGAAAATCACATAGATTCAAACAGACACACAATGTGGGCCGTGATCTGCCGGACTATTACTTCACAACTTCCCACAAAGATCATTCTAAGATTCCTTTCAGGCTCATCTAGGAAATGTGAGGAGGCTGTAACCTCACGGAATGGTGTTAGCAGCTCAAAGATCAGGCCTCAGATCTCCTTGGCAAAAATGGGGATGAGGTTAAAGAAACAATCCCTTCTTTCCTTCCTTCCTCCCTCCCTCCCTTTCCTTCCTCTCTTCCTTCATCAATTCCTTCCTTCTTTCCTTCCTTCCTTCTTTCCTCCCTCCCTCCTTCCCTTCCTTTCCTTCCTTCCTTCCATTTTTCCTTCCTACCTTCTTTCTTCCTTCCTTGGGCTTCTAGGTCATCCTCCAGAAGCTGGTAATAATTCCTGGTGTAGTAATTCCTTCCTTCCTTCCTTCCTTCCTCCCTCTCTCCCTCTTTCCTTCTTTCCTTCCTTTCTACCTTGTAACTCTGAGAGATGTACTGTGACCACTCTAGTTTTTATTTCTCAGTCTAAGAATAAATGAAGAGCCCTGCTGGTTAAAATAGTTAAAAACCGTTCAGTAACATTGTAGCCAATAGGAGCACAGTTCATATCAAACATATCTTATTCTGGAACACAGAAAATTAATTCCAATGGCAGGAATGGTGCAGTGACATGCATATTTGCTTAATTCTCCATATGACCTGAATGTATAAACTTAATTTTCATGCCATTTCTATATCTCGGGGCAAGAAGAATAGTCCTAATGCTCTTTTGAACAATAGGAGGAGAAGGGTAATTCCTTGGTCTCTGCTCTTGGCAGTGTTTTGAGGAAAAAGCCCTGGCAAATTGGACTCACTGCTCTCAGAGATATCTGCCACTTGTGAACAACGTAAAATCTTTGAAAAACAATGATGAATCCAAGACTTGGCTAGAATTTATAGAGTCATATTCTCTGTCCTTAATGAATCCCTCAAGCCTACTCAGCCTAGCACTCTGGTAATATATGCTAGGAAAAGAGAACATTACATGAAACAGTCCATACTCTTAAAAAGCTTGTGGTCTTATTTGACAAAAAGAACATATGCATGCAAAGTTGATGAGAATAGAAAGCAACCTTGGTTTTGTTGGACAAAAATGATGTTTTAATACGTTTTGAAATCATTGATAGAATTTACCCACAAATGCAGATTTCAAACTTGCTTAGTGATACTAAGCAAGGATTTCTCAGGCAATAAATAAGCAACAGCTGCCTCCTAGTAGCTCCCTGTTCAAATGGAGATCATGTGTTCCAAACAACCATAGTTCTTCCTCTCTCTTTTGTGATGGAAGTGGCTCACATCACTTACTTATATTACCCACTAGGCTCCAAGCATTTATGTTTGCAATTCCTGAACCAAATAAGTGCATTAGATATATATCAAAGGTGAACCTGATTATAGGGGTTGGTGTGGGAAGTCTCTTGAAGAACGAGAGGGCTAAAGGAGTTTTAAAGAAATGGAACACAAAAAAGAAAATGGATTGTTCAATCTACACAGTGCCAACTGTTTGGGAAAACACTTGGAATCAAATAAGTGTGCAGTGTCTTTAGAGATGTAATACAAATATGATGCTGAAAGGAACATTATGTATTTAGAGAATAGTAATATGTAAAGATGGAAAATAATGCAGAGGCTAGTCTTTTGTGAAACATAAATACCCAAGTAAGGGGAATAGACTACAATCAATGGACAGTGTGAAAACAGTGAAAAATTTGAGCACAGAGCAAATTGCGTGAATTATGCATAGCATTATTGCTGTGGTTATCTTTTACCTCTTGGTAAAAAAAAATCTGGTATTTCTATGTTGAATGGAAAGGTATTGAGATGGGAATGGGTTAGGGGATGAAAAACTCTACATAAAAAATGTCATAGGACACCTTTTGAATAATCAAGACATGGAGAAAGAATGTACAAATTATAGTGGTAACAAACAAAAATGAAAAAAAAAAAGAAGGATGTAAAGGGAATTTAAAAGCAGCTCCCTTTTCAGGACCTCTTTTAGAAGATAAGGAAAAGTACATTCAATACCAATGTTCACTTTCCTTATGATACTAATCTTCTTTTTTTCTCTTCTCTTTAGGGAATTTCATTATCGTATAAAATTTGAAAAATATGGAAAATGTGATTAATGGGTACCAGAGTAACTACACTTGCTTATTCTTTTTCTACTTAATTCAGAATAGTATTTCTTTTAGAGTGTGAGAATGTAAATTAAATAACATCCCTATGCTGTACTTAAATGTCGAACAAAATGAGAGACAAAAATGAAGGAATCAAACTGACAAGAACCAAATATCACATTTGTTACAAATAAACAACAAAAGAGCTGATATTCATTTCTGTGTATTGATTGTTTTAAGTCATCTTACTCCCATTTTGGGTAGTTTAAATTCTCTTCACCAGTTGGGCTTAACACTACCTAAAATTATACTTACCACCAATTGCAGGCCTATCTGCAGAATTAAACCCTACCCCACTAATATAATTAAAAGACATGGAGCAAAAGAGAAAATATCCTTCCTACAAAAGACAGAGTCCAAAGGAAGGAATCACTGAGTTACTCAGGTCTAGTGCTACTTTTCACCGTTCACAAATGGATGTTATACTTTCTGTGGTTGGAGAAGTAAAATACCATGGAGAGAGGAAGAGTATTAGGCTACTGGATGATTCCTACTCAAAGAAAGAAAGGACACTGGTATGGAAATAAGGAGACATGAATTTTGCCCTCAATTTTGCCACTGATTAACTATAATTTTGGGTCACATTCACTATCAGTGTCTCTGGCCATAGTGGCTTTAAATTTTTCTTGGTTCCACTTACTGTTTTGTTTATACAAAATAGTAAGTCATCCACTTTACTGGTATCTAGCCTTATATATATTGAATATCCTGATGAAATACACTATGGCTCCTCCATTTGTTAGCAAGATTGGGATTTGAAAATCCACTATAGGTTTACATCAGATAGTAGAAATATTCTGGCAATAACAATGAGTGTTGTTAGTAGCTAGTATGGGAACTAATGATTAAAAAAGTCAAATAGAGTAGGCAT
The DNA here is from genome assembly GCF_000001405.40 of Homo sapiens. NCBI lineage: Eukaryota > Metazoa > Chordata > Mammalia > Primates > Hominidae > Homo > Homo sapiens. Next base: position 148,286,971 of record NC_000005.10, read on the forward strand.
GTTTTGCTGATGTCTCTATATCCAGTCATCTATATTCTAGAAACTAAAATTCAATTATCTTTTTGTGATTACCCCAACCCTCAAGGTTGTGTCTTCATTTGTGTTAACTTCATCATGATCTGGGGTGGAACACATAATCTGGGCCTATGCACATCTACCAATGGAAGTCCCTTGGTCACAGACATTAGTGCAGGCAACAGCACATGACGTAAAACAGATCCATTGATATTCTGGTCCTTACTTAGAAATCCTAAGAGAAAGATTATCAGTCTTTTTTCCTGTAATGTGTTTCCTCAGAGCCACAGGCAGCAATCTTGTAAGAACAAATGGGAGCCCGTTTAAGAATGAAGTTAAAGAGCAGAGCAAACAGAAACAAGAGATACAGGGAAAATATATTCTGATGGCATCGATTTTCTGTCTCCAGCCATGCCATGCCTAAATTAGATCTACTCTTTGACTTTTCTTTTATAGGTAATAATACATTTCCTCTTCTCTTACACGGTTGGCATCATGTTTTCTGTTCTCTGAGATAAGCCAAATGATAAATTAAAGAACAATGTATCAAAGGAAAACAGACTCCCTAGATTTTTCACTTTTGCAAAGATCCTTTCCTAAAGCCTATTTGTATTGGAAACCAGAGCCTTTTCCCTGGTTACAAAGGCAGTATAGGCATCCAAGCCCAGACATTTTTTAATATACATAAAATGTTAACATCTAACTTCAACATAATAAAAGTCATATATGAGAGACCCACCACTAGTATCATACTGAACAGGGAAAAACTAAAAGCCTTTCCTCTAAGTCTGGAACAAGACAAGGATGCCCACTTTCACCACTGTTATTGGACATAGTGCTGAAAGTCCTAGCTAGAGCAATCAGACAAGATAAAGAAATAAAGAACATCCAAATTTTTTAAAAAGTTAACTACTTACAAGTTGAATATATATTGCATGGTTACAGAAAGTCATCTTCTGCAAAAAGAAAGGTTCAAAATCTGTATACTCTATTAGAGAGCTCATAATCAGGACAACAGAGCCTTTTTTGTCCAAGGAGAATAGAAGACCAGCTCGACCGCTGCCTGTGTGGAGTTTTGGCAAGCAGCCTTGTCTTAATCATATCACATTCTCTTACAATTTTGTGCTTCTTCTCCCCAGTCCTTCTTTCCATGGCTGTCTTCCCTCATGAATATTTCCACTGCGTTCTACAGATATTTTGTGTTGTTTACCAAATGCTACTTGCACCTCCTTGCCCCTGCTGACTCGGGTGTTTCCCCCAAGGACACTCTTGACTTTGGAATAGTGAGAATAGGGGATGCCCATTCTCCTCCAGGGTTGTGGAGAAGACTGGAATCATCTTGATTTTCTGAGGCAGCTTTCAGGCCATCATTTATCTGCCCTGCTGGAAAAGCAATGTTAAGGCACATGCCAGGTGAATCGCTAACGATGCCTCATCTCTGCTGTCTAGACACTGGTCATACCCCCATAAGTAATTCAGGCCTTTTGGCCTCTAACAGACACAGCCTTTCTTGACAACATTCATGTCATTGTCCTAGGAAGCTTCTATGTCCACGTAGTTTATTCATCCAAACCTCTGGCCTCACATTTTCTTAGTCCAGACATTTTAAATGTCAGCCATGGTATGCTTGAGTATGTTTATATGTTTGTGATACACATTTGTGCCATTCTAATTTAAGATTCATTTCTAGTCTAAGAGTTCATGACACAGAGAGCTTTCAAGGCACTCAACACCTCTAGGATCAGTACTGGTGGATAAATTTTACTTATGAAGGAAATGCTCTCCCCCTAACAGAAAATAATGTCTGTTCTTGAAAACTGTAAAGGATGCTACCCCAGTGAGTGTCCGTGGGCAGAGGAGGTTTTCTCAGGGCTAAGTGTGGCACTGAGGTGCAGTGAGCTGAGGGATGGACATGGAGCACTGAGGCTTAGGTTCACTTCCTCCTGCCACATATGTGACTTCCATTCCTTGAGTAGCCCCTTCTCTAACTTTAATGCCACTTTTTACACCTAATGTATGGGATTCCTGCAAACACTAAAGAGAATGTTTGGGAAAATGCCTTTTATAGAGATGGGTGTGTAATATCACTCACTACATTTTACATTATTAATAATTGGTTTATTGCCATACATATAACCATATATATAACTATATATAAATATATATATATATGTACATGGCCATTCTTTTCATACACTCAACTCATTTCAAATGGATTCCAGGCTAAAGTAAAATATGTATCTAACAATGCCCTGAGATGCAGTAGAGACAGCTGCATTTACGGGCTTACCTGAGGTGGGAGAAGTTTTCTTCTCTTCTCTCATTTATATTAACAAATGCAAACAAACACTTCAAGGCACAACCTGAAGTGTACTAAAGGATGTTTTGGTGGTAAGGTGACTTTCCCTGGGTGTTAAAAATATCATATTCTTCCTTGTTATGAATTCACTTAAGAAACTATAGGATAAAAGACACAAGTTTAAAAATATCTTTTGTATCCTCTTCATTCATTGGTTGTGAAATTATGCATGTCAAGCATTTTACTGAATGTTTTTCATGTTATTTCATTTAATCCTCACAACAAAATTATGTTACACATGATGCATCTCCACTTTGCATGTTCAACATATATTTAATGAATATGTATCAATCAACTTATAAATTCTGATCTCTGATGAAGATCCAAGGGGAATTTAAAGATAGTATCATCATCAACATGGAAGAGAAACACAAATAACTAAGGATAAAACATAAGAAGAATAGCAACTTCTATTTTGACTGCTTTGTAGTTGAATGACTTATTAGACATCTAGGCCAAATTGCCCTCTAAATATCTAGATCTGGGAATCAGAATTAGGATGGTGCTGACAAAAAGTTTAGAAGTCATCAGTGGATAGGTATTGGAGCAGAAAAGGTAAACTAAGACCTCCAACCCCTCCCCCCTCCCCCAACACACATACACATATACACATAGCTGTGGCCTTTTAACTCATTTCCTGGGTAAAGCCCATATTCATTAGGATAGAATAGTGGCCACATGTTAATAAAAGGAAGAAGAAGAGCCAAGCATTTTTGGGGATTACGTATGTTTTTGAGCAGAAGAGAGTGAGTTGATATCATTTGATCCCCTAGTTCCAGCATACCTAATGCTCACTCCATCTCATCCTATTCCAATTATATCATTGTATTACTCCGTTCTTTCACTGCTATAAAAAAAATACCTGAGACTGCATAATTTATAAAGAAAAGAAGTTTAATTGGCTCACGGTTCTGCAGGCTGTGCAGGAAGCATAGGGGCTTCTGCTTCTGGGGAGGCCTCAGGAAGTTTCCAATCATGGCAAAAGGCAAAGGGGGAGAGAGGTGCCTCACGTGGTGGGAGCAGGAGAAGAGAGAGAGAGAGGTGAGGTGCCACACACCTTGAAACAACCAGATCTCATGAGGACTCACCATCGTGACGACAGCACCAAGGTGGATTGCGTTACACCATGAGAAACCACCCACATGATCCCATCACCTCCCACCAGGACCCACCTCCAACTGGCACTGGGGATTACAATTCTACATGAGATTTGGGCGGGGACACAAATCCAAACCATATCAATCAGTCAATAAATTATTTTACTTTTTGGTTTAATCTGGTTATAATTCGTCACTTATAATGGGAAGATCTTGACTAATATAGAGGAATGAGATCATTATTATGTATGAAGACTGCAGAGAATAAAAAGTGAAGAAACTCTCTTCCTTTGGCTCCCTTGTGCCCTGGAACATTACCTGTTACTACATCTAGATGGCAGCCTCATTCTTCTGTCTTGCCTTATTTAACTAGTTCTTTATTTCACTAGAAGGGTCCAGAGAGCTGTGCCTAACTACATTCTCCATCAGCTTTCCAGTTAAACACACAGTCCAGTTCTGCTGGCAATAGAGACCCTCACCTTCTTTCATCTCCTCCCTCTTTTCTTTTGTGTCCCCCTGGTCAGTAGGTTCCATCAGGATGGCTCTCTCTGGAGCTGGAAAGAAAGAGTTTCAGGTTTTTCCAGTTTCAAAAAGTAAAGCAGCTTCTAAAATACAGACATTTGTGTTAATATTGGCTGTCTATTATAGCCTAACACTATTTCATTATTTAGTCTATGTCTCTGCTTTACACAAAATAACAAAAACAAAAATGAAATCTTCTCCAAAGAGAGATGGAGAGGAACAATCCTGTATTACCACAGAACACAAAGAAAAATATCAAAGAAAATTGTATCCTTTCTTTTTCTCTCTTCAAAATATAGAGCTCACAATTATTCTATTGTAGTAGGAAAACAAACATGCAAAGTCTAGAAATCCCTGATTTATAAATGTCTTCACTATTGTGTGAAAATCCTGTGCTGGTTGAAAGACAAACATGAACACAAACGTAAAAGCAAGGACATTTAGAGGGGGCTCTGGGTGTGAGCTGATAATGGAAATAATCATGCGAGGTTCCAGATGAGAACACAAGTGTTCCATTACAGGAACGGGCAGTGTGACACTAAGGCACAGCACATGGGCAGAGATAGAGCTGTAACAATAATTAGCCCAGGTTCAGGGAACACATGTACCATGCCAAGTGCCATAGCATGTTTTATGTGCCTTGTTTCAATTGATCCTCTCCACAGTCTTATAAGCCTAATACCATTATCACCCCCATACTACAAATGAGGGAACTAAACTCACACAAGGTAAGTAAACTATGTAATCTTGTAGTTCATGAAGAAGGACTGAGATTCAAACCCAAATTATCCTGCTTCTAACCACAACCTTGTGTTGTCAAACCCAAATGGAACCAGAAAAAAAGAGGACAGGGAGCGGTGATTATAAGAGATTTTCAAAAAAGTACAGATGCATATCTTCTTAAAAATATTAGTCTCTTCTTTAAGAAAGTATTCTGCCTAGATGTAATAATGAATTAATAGTAGTTTCAACAATTTAAGGACATTGAGCAAGAGCCTGACTCCTCTAGATAAAAGTGCAGAACATAGTTTATCTCTAACCACTAGGACAGCTTCCTCATATCCTCATCTGCCCCCTGATTTTGCAGACCCTTGCTCTTCAGAGTGTGGGTAAGGGCCAGCATTGGGAGCTGTTACCAATGCAGAATTACAGATCTCACCTCAGACCTACTGGGTCGGATTCTGCATTGTAGCAAGATCTGCAGGGCACTTGATCTGCAGGGCGCATTGCAGTTTGAGAAGAATCGGTTTAGACCCCTTAGAGCAATTTTTCAGAAAAATGAGTGGATTATTAAAAAATGGCTTTGTTTTTTCCCTGAAAGACGCAGATACTTCCAAGATATTGTGTAGCTTGTTGTTAATGACTCTGAGAAAGATTTACTTCAGCATCTTTAATGGTTAGCAGTCAATGGTTAAAAAAACAAGCTCTAAATCCAAACAGTCTGAATTCAAACCTCAACTCCACCACATATTATTTAAGTGACCTCCAGCAAGTCATTAAACTTAACTCCTCTGTGCCTTAACTTTCTCGTGTGAAATAAACTGCCCTTGGTACATAGGGACTACATAAGGACTTGTTTTTATTATTACTATTGCTTTACAATGATATCATTATTATTTTATTATCCTTATTGTTATCATCACCATCATCATAATTATCATTGCTCTGTTACTTTCTCTTGCTACAGATAGGAAAATTTACATTACCTGGGAGAAAAACAACCTTGATAGGAGGTGTAAATCAATTTTATTTGAAGCCACTGAATGAAAAAATATAGCTGCTCAGATCTCATAAGACATCATTCTCTTCTTTGAATCTTACAATTACTATGATTCAACTATGACTTCAGGCAAATGATCCTGATCTTATCTTTTCTATGACCTCAGCTCCAGTTCTAGAGCTCCAGTCTCCTGCTAGACCCTGTATCTGAATTTTCTACCATCATCTTACAATATAGAGATCTAAAACTCAAACAAGCATCTCTCACCACAGGCCAGCTCCTCTTCCCTATTTCAGGCCATGGAGCTTCATTTTCCCAGTCATGAGGCTGAACAATTTTGCTCTTTCTTTGTCCCTCCATGGCTCCACCTATGACCATATAATCGTCAAACTCTCTATTGAAGTTCTTAAACCATTTGTGTTTGAGGATCATTTTTTCAAAAACTTTCAAGCCATCAAAGGCCAATATTTGTATAAAAGACAATAAAATGGATCACTAGAAAATGAAATAATAAAAAGTCAAAGAAAATATAAGACCAAAATTTTTTATCACATTCAGATATTAAAATCAATTTCAATAAATTCAGTAAGTACAAATACAGGGAAAGAAAAAAATGAGAAAACTGAACTCATTTATAGAAAGTATGCATACAGGTGATCAATATATCTAGTTATTACATTCATAATTTTTGCTTTTCTGCAATTATAAATAGAGTAAAATAGCAATTTTACATATGAAACACCTATATGAGTACTTTGAAAGAACATGCTCTTGTAACTGTTAAAAGATTTAGTGTACTTCTTAATTATTAACTCATCTAATTTATTGGTATCAATGCTGCCTCCAGAAGAGTCTATATATTTAAACTCTTTCTGTGTTGTTTTGCTTAAATAATGCTCATGTTTGAAAAGCAAATCTCACAGGAAATATGTATGTTAAATTTAGAAAATACATGTTAAAGCAATTTCAGCAAGCTCAGGATATTCTATTTTAACTGTTAGATGATATTAAGAAAGTGATACTGTATTTGCAAAATTAATCTTCAATCTCATTAGTATTCAGTTCTAAAAAAAGTGGTATAAAATTACAGTTAATAAATTACAACTGATGAAAGAAATAGATTCTGGTTCTGTAAAGTTTTTATTTATAAGTATTCTTTTGAGAGAAAATAAAATTTGAATTGGAAACAAATGTGTAAGGTTTTGCTGCTAACTTTTCACAGATGTTTAATATCAAAATTACCACTACCACTTATTGCTAATTGTTGAATCATTTACATATGTCATAAGAACTTGTAGAAACTGTTCATCCAAGCATCTAACTTTTATTTTTGTTGTTAGTTCATGAAAAACGTTCTACATTCTTTCCTTGAATGGAAGTATTAAAATCATTAAAAATACTGAAGATATCAGACAAGTAAATAAGCATGGCTCATTCATATCCTTAAAAGTCTGAGATCAAACTGGTTTCAAAACTTGCCATAACAGGACATTTGTGTGGTAGTTGAAATATTTAACAGAGCATTTCTACTTAAAAGCTATAAAAGACAGTAACTATTGTTCAGATCAGCATCCATAATATTACATAATAAAGATAATAGTATTCAAGAAGTAATGCTGTAACCTTATGTAATTCAGTTTTTAATGTCATTAAGAACACTTTAGTTCAACTGCTTTTCTTTTCCATAGTGAGACTTTCTCCATGAAGGTAATAGTGATTTATATTCTAGTACGAGTTCTTTCATCTAGGCAACCACTTTAGCATGTTTTCTTGTCATCATAGGTTCAGTATCAAAGTATATAACTATGCAAAACTTCAGTTTAAGACCATATTTGCTTACAATGTAATCTTTCAGAATTTTAGGTAGCTCAGAGTTAATCACATTTGTTGCCAAAGAGGAAAAAAATAAATCTTCCTTCATATTTACATCACCATGTGTAAATTACACAAGTGCTAGTCAAGTTACAGTGGAAGATGTTTCAGCAGCTTCACTTATTCTATGAATTAATATTTTATACCACATGTCAGCACGCTATGGTGTTACTAGAAACTGATAGTTGAGCAACCATCTTTGCCAAAAATTCACCCAATATTTCCAAGTAAACATCTTTGATCCAGTCTCTCACTGATGTCTCAGCAAATGTATATGCTTATACTGATCTGAGCAACCTGTAGTGACATTTAATAAGAAGCCCACAAAGCACTAATACACTTATGTGAAACTTTAAACTTTTTTTTTTTTTTTTTTTTGAGAGGGAGTCTCGCTGTCTCTCAGGCTGGAGTGCAGTGGCGCGACCTCGGCTCACTGCAAGCTCCGCCTCCTGGGTTCACGCCATTCTCCTGCCTCAGCCTCCCGAGTAGCTGGGACTACAGGTGCCCGCCACCACGCCCGGCTAATTTTTTTTTTTTTTTTTTTTTTGTATTTTTAGTAGAGACGGGGTTTCACCGTGTTAGCCAGGATGGTCTCGATCTCCTGACCTCGTGATCTGCTCGCCTCGGCCTCCCAAAGTGCTGGCATTACAGGAGTGAGCCACCGCGCCCGGCCAAACGCTAGTGTTTTCATTGCTTAATTTGCCAAAACATTTCCATAAGTGATGAAACACTATGGTTTAGCTGTTCATAATGGCTATGAAATTAAATTCAATTTTATAAGGTAACATACATTGGAGTAAAACCAATACAAACTCATTTCATCTTTATTTCTTCTGAGTCAATTTTATCATCATTTGTTTTACTACTTGTACTGTACTCAGAGTAGGTGTGTCTATTTCTTGTTAAAAAAAATCCAGTTAGGCTTATTTTTCTATATATAAATTATGGGTAAAATGAATACAAATTTGAGTTTCCTAATTTATCTAATAAGGTTAAATAAATAAATTTTTAAAACAGGTTTATCTAAAATTAAGATAATTCTAAAAATTAAAAAGATATAATATAAATTATTCTATTTTTTTGGACTGTTATACATTTTGAGGACAAGTAGTGCTGGAAGAAGGATGAGCAAAAGCCCTAATTTGTACCATTTGTTCATTTTCGCAGGGTAAATACTCTCAAGTGGTCAAATTCAAGCTGCCCTTAGCAATCAGTTTGCAAAATCCCTGAATACTTACTTGAAAACCAATTCTCAAGGGCTGATGTAAGGTGACTCCAGCACACTACCTTAAGTAAAAAAACTAAGCTTAAAATACTACATATTGTATCTTATCGAAATTTAAAGCTATTTAATTCTTTCGCTTTGTTAAATAGCCTATTAAAAAGATGGAAAGACAAACTCTAGACTGCAAGAAAACATTTGTAAACCACATATCCACTAATAACTAGTGTTTAGGATATATAAACTCAACAGTAAAGAACAAACAACCCAATAAAAAATGGACCAAAGTCTCTCTCAGGGTGTACTGTCTATTCTGCACCTAACTTCCAAATATTATTTTTCCTTTGTAATAAATTGCCCTATGCTGCACCTCATTTGCTGTGTGTCTCTTGTTTCAATTCATTTAAACTATGAAGACAAGAACCAGGGTCTCACAACAGCCATCAACATTGTTGGTGATAGGTTATGTTATTTAAACTTTTATATACTTAGCGACATTTTATCCCCTTTGACAAGCGAATGTCTAATACTAAGAGTGATGTGTTAAAGTTTTCTATTATTATTTTGTTTCTGAACACTTCTCCTTGATAGTTCTGCATCATAAAATTGGCTGTATTTATTGTAATTGGAGGCTTTAGCATTGTAAAGTGTTCATATTTGTCTTAATTTGATGACTTTTGGCCTAAATTCTACTTTGTCTGTTATTGACTAAGGATCAAGGGGCTAAGAATAGCAGAAATAAGCATCACTGGAGGATGGAGTTCATACATACATAATTTATCTTCCCATGTTTCTTCCCTTGCTGTATTACTACAGTTGCCAACAACAACAACAACAACAAAATCTGCCACCTACTACTATGTTGCTTAGGACAGATCCCTGATCCTCTCTGAGATCTACCTTCCACATGTGTAAAATGCAGGTATCACTTCTTAGTGTTGTTGTAAAGACTAACAGCACTGACAGCATTGGCAAGTTGTGAACTTTTTTTATGGTTATATTTGAAAATGAGAGTGATACAGGCTTCATTATCAATGATAAGGTAGAAATTTCTTCTAGAAAGGGTACTGTGTTGTCACAATATCCTGGATCAGCCTCCACTGGTAGAGGAACTCACAGGAAATCATCCACCCAGATTGGGCCTAGATTTACTTCCATGGCACTTTGATGTTCCCTTCATGTGCTCCAGAATTAAACAAAGATATCCCAGACAACCTGCAGGGAATTCATTGAACGTACAAAAGACACATGGATATATCAGTCACACTCACAGGAGAGTGAGGGAACACTTAGTTGTATTGACTATTTCTTTCCTGTCTCAGAGAAGAGACATGGGTAAGAAAAAGACTCAAATAATTGAACCAACCCTTTATTACATACTTTGCTACCAATAAGTCTATACATATCCCATGGATACAGATTCTATCTCTGTGACTTACCATGACACATGACACACAGAATTATTAAGTAGGTTGATAAAGTGTGTTATGGAAGCATGAATGTCACAAACCAAAAAGAATACAGAAAAGGACTGAACAACGTTTCTAACAAGCACAGTCATGGTTAAGAGAATGAAGACAAGACAGATTCCAGCCCTTTCCTCTTAATCCAGGAAGGCTTCTTAGAGTAGGCAGGGTTTCACAAGCCAATTGACTATATAAACAGTTGAGCTAGGTTGGTTCTTGCATTGCTATAAAGAAGTGCCTGAGGACGGGGTAATTTATAGAGAAAAGAGGTTTAATTGGCTCACGGGTCTGCAGACAGTGCATGAAGCCTTGTGCCAACACCTTCTCTTCATACCTTCTGAGCTCTGTTGCGCTCTCAGATGCAGCCCTTCATGCTCTCTGGTTCCAGTAGCCTTGACTGCCACTGTCTCTTTCACTTGCCCCTCTTGCTGTCATTTCTAAGTTTTTATTTCTGGAAGGCAGATATTCTTCTTTTACTGACTTGTATCTCCTAAGATCATTTGGTTTATTTTCCTTCTTGGCCTTCAGGGGCCAAACTGCCTAATTCTCACAGCTATACCATTTCCTGTAAGTCTCTTGCCTTAGGCTTTACCCCATTTTTCAATGACTCAAGCGTCTTCTAATTGGGCCAGTCCTGCCTCTTGGGCTCCTTTGATCATCTGGTTTTCCCTTCTGTAATACTAAATGTTCCCAGCTCCTCGGCTCCCTCTATCTTCTGTGGCCTCACCATTTGTTCTTTCGTCATTGCTCTGGCTTTATGTGTCACTTCCATCATTCTGTCTCTTGCACAGCTCTTATTCATTTAGCTACTCCCTCACTTCAACTGCTTTCATTTCCTCACTGCCCGAGTTGTCACCTCATGGAGAACTAGAGTAGAGATTCATAAGCACATTAGAATTCCTAGGAATTTTATAGACCATATCTGTCTCCAAGCTCCTCCATTCACTTTGTTTTTCTACTCTGTTTTCATATCAGTGAATGTCTGTTCTCTCTACTGTCCTTATGTCAACTTTCCCTCTTTCTAAATGCTATTCATCTTCCGTGAGCTGATTTGAAAAGTGCTACGCTCCCCCAGTGCCATTTCTTGCTTTGGTGATTTAGCTCTTCTCAGCTACACAGCTTGTCAGCTAATCTCACTGACCAGATCTCCATCCCTTCCTCAACACACACTTATTTTGCCCTTAGCTACTTTTTACTCCTCAGTTGCTCACCTATCCCAGATGCTCTGATAGTATGGAATCACATCCATTTCCTGAACTTTTCTCATCTTCTCCACTATATAATCCACCATTGTGCTGTCCACCATTTCCACTCTGCTCATTTCTTCAACTTTTCATATATCCTACTAAAATGTTCCTGCAGCTATAATCTCTTGCCCTTGCCAAGCCACTTGAGTTGTCCTGATGTTCCTGATCAATTGTCAGAAACTGTCCTCAAGGGCTTTTAAGAAATTTATTTCTTCATTGCTCATTATACTAATTGTCTCCTTGTTCCTTTAATTCTTTCAAATTTCTAGTTGATGCTAAACTTCAGCCTTTCTCAGACTCCTAAAACTGTTCCCAGCTGTTCCTGCTAACCTCAGTCACAAAGCATATTTACTATCTTGCTCTATGCCCTAAAAAGTGCACTTTCCTATTGTTTGCCTTTTATTGTATTTGTTTTGCTTCTAATTGATATTTAAATTATGCACATGTTCATTTCCTAAATTGTTCCCATATCCCACATTACTCCCGAATTCAGTAATTATCCCTATCTGGAGTTAGCCAAACTATGGAGATCAAGGGCATAGTCCTTCACAACAAGACTGCTCTCACTTCTGACACAAATTGCAAGTTCAGAAGTTCCTATAACCACTCACGGGTTCAACAATTTGCTTGAAGGACTCACAGAACTCCCTGAAAGCTATTATACTCATGCTTATATTTTATTATAGCAAGAAGATACAGATTAAAATTAGTCAAAGGAAGAGACACAGGGCAGGGGAAGGCAAAGCTTGCTTTGTCCTCTTTCTGTGGAGTCAGCACACATTACTTTCTGTGCAGCATCAATGCGTGACAATACATGTGGAGTAATACCAACCAGGGAGTTTCCATAAGCCTTGGTGTCCAGAGTTTTTATTAGGGCTTTATAGCAAAAGCATGATTGGTTGATTGCTTGATTGCCCACATGGTCGAACTCAGTCTCCAGGTCAATTGGAGCCCTCACCCTAAATTACATTGTTGGTCTTTCTGGTATGAACAGCCCTACCCTAAATTGTCAGGTGTGGCCAGCCACATCCTAAGATCTGTTGTGGCCAGATGCTGCTCTAAACAAGGACACTCTAACTTAAATTACATCTCAGAAGTCAAGAATAAAGGCCAAATCCTTTTTTGGAAAAGACCAATTTCTTCATGACACAATTCCGTATTCTCTTTACTACACAATTCCATATTCTCTGATGCTACCATGTCCTATACAGTTTTGGGGTTAATTTAGTACTCATTTCTTCAGCTCTTTCTTCTCTGTATTTGTGCTATTATTACTCTTTAGCTTTTTTCACTTTTCCTATTTCTCAGACATTGCCCAAATAATCTCACTTCTTTTTCATGGTTCCCATTTCATCATATATTTTAGTTTTTTTCATCTCCTACATAAAACTGGAATTGGAGTTTGTAAGGAGGTCCCATTTTTTAAATTGAAAAGCTACCACTACCTGGCTGGTCACGGTGGCTCACACCTGTAATCCCAGCACTTTGGGAGGCCGAGGTAGGTGGATCACGAGGTCAGGAGTTTTGAGACCTGCCTGGCCAATATGGTGCAACCCCGTCTCTACTAAAAACACAAAAATTAGCTGGGAGTGGTGGTGTGCGCCTGTAGTCCCAGCTACTCAGGAGGCTGAGGCAGAAGAATCGCTTGAACCCGGGAGGCGGAGCTTGCAGTGAGCCAAGATTGTGCCACTGCACTCCAGCCTGGGCAACAGAGCAAAACTCCATCTCAGAAAAAAAAAAAAAAAAAAAGAAAGAAAGAAAACTACCACTACCTTTACCTATATGTTTCTAATCCTCTTGCCATCATCAGGAATGCATTTTCTGTTGCAGTGCTTTTCCTTCAGTACTGTCCCAGGGTTCATAGAGCCTGATTCCTTTCTTTCATGCTTTCTTTTTCTCCCCTCAATCCATCTCCTGCATCAAGGCTTTTATCTCAGGGTCTGTCTCATTTCCCATTATCATTGTTTAAAAAAAATGTTTTCCAATGTGGAAAAAAAGCTTAAGGATGTTTTTCATAGTTTAAAATTTGGGTCAAATTATAACAAACCCATTAAACAACAATGTCATTAGTAACAAAGAACCAGCTGAGATGGGTGGTATAATAACACCCATCTCTGAAAGTTAACAAGACATTTCATTTTTATTGCATCAATGCATCATGGATTTTTCCAGCAAAGCATTTTGATTTATAATATTTATTTGTATTCAAAATGGAAGCATTACCTTGTCCTGTTTAATAATTTAAAATATCATGCATTATGTTAAGGCAAGTTAAAAAGTACTACTAAATTTTAGTAATTCTATTTGCCATTCTATTTGCCATTAAGAACATTTGTGATTCATGGGAGGAGCTCAAAAGAACATTAGCAAGGGTTTAGAAGGTGAATACAACTGTCATGGACAACTCTGAGGGGTTCAAGACCAGTAGAGGAAGTTGCTGCAGTGTGGTGGAAATAGCAAGAAAACTAGAATTAGATTGGAGTCTGAAGATGTGCCTGAATTGTTGTAACCTCATGATTAAACTTCAATGGATGATGAGTTTTTTCTTATTAATAAGTAAAGGAAGTGGTTTCTTGAGATAAAATCTACTGCTGATGAAGATATTGTAAACACTGTTGAAAACACAATAAAAAATTGAGAATATCACCTAAACTTAGTTGATAAAACAGTGGCAGTTTCAGAGGATTGACAATTTTGAAAGGTCTTTGGGTAAAGTTCTATCAAAAATCACTGCATGCTATAGAGAAATCTTTCTTGAAAGAAAGAGTCAATTGATGCAGCAAACTTTACTGTTGTCTTATTTTTAAAACTTTCCACAGCTACCCCAACCATCATCAATCACCACTCTGATCAGTAAGCAGCCATCAATATCAGATCCTCCACCAGCAAAAAAACAACAACTTGTTAAAGGTTCAAATAACTGTTAGCATTTTTTAGCAATAAAGATTTTTTAATTAAATTATGTCTATTGTTTTTAGACATAATACTATTGTATATTTAATAGACTAGAGTACAGTGTAAACATAATTTTTATATCTACTGGGAGACCAAAAAAAATCCGTGTGACTTGCTTTATTGCAATAATCACTTTATTTTTGTGCTCTGGTAATGATCCTGCAACATCTGCAAAGTATGCCTGTATATCAGACATGAGTAAAGGAAAGTCTTTTGAATCCACAATACATTGACTGAGTTTAACTTGGGTATAACCACAGGTTTTCAGAGTTGAATGAGGACTCAGAGACCATCTAAATCATCTCTGATTTCTTTCGCAGTATTCCTAGTGGACCAGCATCTACAGGATTTTCCACAAAAAGGAAATGCACCTCATGATGAAGCATGAACGTTGCTATAGAGATCTGATTGATAGGCAGCTCTGCTTACCTTAAATCCACAGCTACATTTGTGATGCTTTCAACCTTCAGAGCCTTTCATGACAGAACAGGTTTTTACTCTCTCTCCCAGTTAGTCATATAAAATGCATATTCCTACTTCTACTTAATGCATTCTCAAATTTTTCTTCTCCATTAAAAACAAAAACCCTCAAGTTACTAGAGTCATTTCTCATGACCTTTTTTTTTTTTTCTTTCTACCCTGGGCCATTTGATCTGGACATGCTACATTTAGGCAGTATCCATGTTTTAAGTAAGTAGATACAACCTTAATTAATAAAGCCTTTTGATTAGCTGATAAATCTTTTTATAGATTATGTCTGGGCACTCCTAGGACTGGTGTATTCCTTGTATTGATGCAGTGATGGTAGCAGCTAAGGGGGAGTAGGCAATGGTTCTCCTTCAGCCCTAAGGCATACATTTATCCTTTGGCCTTCTCTCCTAACAGCAGCTCTGCAAAGGGGTCTCTGCATGCTCAGATAATAATTATTTCGACTTAAACATTATTATGAGTCATTGGGGGGGAAGTGAAAGAAAATATGTTAAACATCTTAGTTTCCTCTTATTATTGAAATTAAATTCAATAAAAAATGGTTAAATTATTTTTAGTTCCAGTGAGGTAAGTTTACTTATTTTGTTTTAATCCACTAAAGGAAAAGATATGATTTCTCCCGAATGCTGGATGAATTGTGAGTTACTCTACAATTTGGCTAATGTTGTGGAATCTTAGGGCTATTTATTAATCTAGCAATTATTTATTGCCTAGTTCCTACTCTGGGCATTGCATTGTGTGAGGTGCTAGACAGGCAAATTAAAAACAGGCAAGAGCCTGGTCTTGTGGAAGCTGAATTCAAGCGGTGAAATACAAATAGTATACAAATAAATAAATAGGTGATGTCGTATAGTCAGTATGTCAGTAATGAATGCTGTCGTAAAAATGAATTAAAAGTCATATGATAAAAAGTGAGGCATATAATAGGAATTGAATAGATAGATGTTGAATGGAAGTTTGAGACTATAAACTCCTGGACAGAGACTCCAGCTGAAATCACTGGAAGGAACACTTGCAATAAAAAATAAGAAGAGAGAACCAACGAAAAAGAAAAGGTGATTTAAAAAAGAAACTAGATGGAAGAAGTTTTCAACTCAATGCCATGTAGAATTCAGTATAAGACATTTTGCCTAGTTACAGAAGATACAGGCTACAACTTGCTTGATTTCCAAATTGAATGTTTTAAGGAAAAAACAGCCATTTTATATAATGCTGGAACTGAAGAAAACAGAATCCTTTAATGTGTTACCACACCAGCTATTCCCTCTTCACTACCTGAGCTTTTTGCACTCCCAGACTGGCTCCTCATAATTAAGGTGTCCTTCAAATATCACCTTCTCTGAGAAGTATTCCCTAGTCACCCGATCCAATTCATCCCCCATTTCCATGTTACCTCCTATCTCAATATCATGATACATATTTTTAAGATACTTGTCAGGATCTGAAATCATCTTATTATATTTTCTTGATTTTTTTTTTTTCTTACTCTACAATAAAGTAAGCTTCATGAAGTAGGGATCCTGTGTGTCTTTTTCAACTCTGTATCTCTAGTGTGGGGAACACTGCCTGGAACAGAGAAGGGAAATAGTAAAATTGGTTATTACTTGGTATTTCATTTTTATTAAGCAAACTTGTATTAATATGTCAGCATAGGGAGGACTTATAATTATGACTATGTACTATAAGGGGAAATATTAAGAGATCTAATCATCTGGAGAAAAAAAGACCTTGACAGGGCACTCTAGAACTGCCTTTGCAGGTCTGAAGGGCTATACTTGAAAAGAGGGTGCAGACTTGTTATGTTGGGCTCCATTGTTGAGAACTAGAATGTTGGAGGCCACATCCCAGTGGAGCTCTGTTCAATGTGATAAAGAACTCCTGAGCAGTCGAAAAAGACCAAAAATTCAGTGACCTTCTTTGGTGATGAGTCTGGAAAATTGGAGTAAATCCTTATTTTTTTTTTATTGTTCAAGAAAACACTGGCACCTTTTAGATGTTAGTAAGTGTTCTATAACATGATAAATAAACTGTAGCCAGTTAAGTTTTGGAAAAATTGAGTTAAATAAAGTGAAAACTTTCCATATTGCAAAAAAATGTAATTGAACCTTTAATAAAATAAAATGTATTGTGAATTCCTCAAAAAGAAATGGAGTACCCAGAGTTTCCCATGTCTGGTTGATCAGGGAATCTTATTTTCAAGAAACACTTATTAACATTTTATGAAATACCAGGGTCTTGAAGATCAAAAGTCTATAGTTCTCCACATGTGAAAAGAATATGCATATTGAGGGTCTGGGGGTAGAACGTCATGGACTGAATTTTGTGTCCTCAAAATGTATATGTTGATCTCTGATTTAAAAAAAAAAGAAAAAAAGAAAAACTTCATCTGAATTACATTTAAAGAAGTTGAGTTTAACTGAGAAATGAATGATTTGCAAATTGGCAGCCTCCCTAGCAAGAGTAGGCTCTGAGACTCCGGCGCAGTCATGTGGTGGAAGAAAATTTATAGACAGAAAAAGTAAAGTGATGTACAGAAAATGACAGTGAGGTGCATAAACAGCTGGATTGGTGATGGCTCAGCCTTTGCCTTATTTGAACACAATTCGAACAGTTGGCTACATTTGATTGGCCAAAACTCAGTGATTGCCACAAGTGTAGGCTATGGTCTGTTTACACCTCCACTTGTAATAGTTCACGATGTACAGAGAAACCTTTAGACTGAACTTAAAATATGTAGGGAGGCAGCTTTAGACTAAACTTGATTTAACATCTCCAATGTGACTATATTTTGAAATATGGCTTTAGGATAGTAATTAAGGTTGAATGAGGTCATAAGAGAGGGACTCTAATCCAATAGAACTGGAGTCCTTATAAGAAAAGGAAGAGACATCAGGGGCATGTACACAGAGAAAATACCAGATGAACACACAGTGAGAAGACAGACTGTCTGCAAGCTACAGGGAGAGGCCTCGGGAGAAACCAGACCTGCTGGCATTTTGATTTTGGATTCTAGAAGTGAAAAAATTTCTGCTGTTTAAGCTCCTCAGTTTGTGACATTTTGTTACGGCATCCCTACAGACTAATACATTTCCTGCTGTTGGCTAACTCTGAGGTTACAGGTATCTTTTCAGCACTGAGCACAGGAAACATGATTATTTATTTATTTTTAAATGTTTTTTTAAATTGACAGATAACATTACATATTTTTATCTTGTACAATCTGATGTTTTGAAGTACATTTACACTGAAGAATGGTTAAACCTAGCTAACTAACAAATGCATTACCACTAATAGTTATCATTTTTGTGGCAAGAGCACATAACATCCACTTTCTTGACATTTTTTCAGAATAAAAATGAATATATCATCATTAACTCTAGTCACCCTGCTGTATAATAGTTCTGCTGAAATGTATTTCTCCTAACTGTAATTATGTCTCCTTTGACCAATGTCACCCCATCTCCACCTTCTTCCTAATAACTCTAGCCTCTGGTATAGGCAATGTCCTACACTTGCTTCCCTGGCCTTCTCCCAAGCAAGTATCTATCTCTCTCCAAGCTGTGCTGCCTGGGGTTAGAGGAGGGGGTTGTGGGTAATATAAAACTGTCTTTTCTACCCTCTTCAATGTATATTTTCTTCTTATTATTTTTAAACTAGGTACTCTTACCTGGTTTATTTAGCTCTTGTCAAGATTTTTCCTGTATGGGTAATTGTTACAAATCAATTTTTCTGTTCAGGGACAATCACTGGAGAATCCTACTCTGCCATCATGCTCTGCTCCTTCCTAGTAAACATGATTTTTACCAATTGGAGCTGGGAGCTGTGTGTGTGTGTGTGTGTGTCTGTGTGCATGTGCTCATGTGCACGTGTGCGTAAAGAGTCTTCATCCAGATACTGTGAGGTCCCCTAGGAACAACATAAATTAAGAAAAAAAAATAGTTGTTACTGTTCATCCAAATCACCTTGTTCCATGATTGGAGCTATTTAGTCTCAATGGCCCAAAAAGAAGTGAAGGTATTCAAAGCATAAGATCCCTGGATGTGCTAACTCCCTGCTCTCATGAGATGCAGGGAGCAAAGTCTTGCCAGACACAAAGTCAAAATGCAAATATCCAGATTCCTAGGTCACTGTGCCCTCAGTGGTCACAAGGACATGATCATAATCAGGGCTATCTTGAAAAATAAAAAAGAAAAGAGTTGGGATGTGAAGGGGCCATAAAGGGAAAGAAGAAGAGACAAATCTAAGCCAGTGATTTTTAAACTGTCAAAAGACCGCTTGAGAGTGTTCAGTGGTTTGTTTGCTGGATGTCAAGAAGAAAGGCACCCTGGTGGGGGTGGGTGAGAGGTGCTGGTGAAGCAATGAGGAGGGAAAACCAGAATCAATTAATAAAGTTCCACCCTCCCCTTCCCACCTAGCCTCACTCCTCAGCCTTATTTACTGTATAAATTAGTGTACCATGGATGGCTTTTTAACTCGAAAATGTGAACTACCAATCTAGGCTAATCTTACTAGATTTAGAGGAAGTAGAGAGCTCACATTGGAGAAGGGATTGTCACAGCGTTGCTCCCTAGATAGATGGGGATGGGGGACAGGATAGGAACCCTTGGATCCTGGCTCTCAGTCCTCCCCTCTCTCCACTGGAGTGAACCCTCTTTCCAGATGATCCTCACAGATGAAAATGTCACACACTCTGGCCCAGTGTTCAGCTCCCTCTGCTGCTCACTCAAAACTTAGCTGTCCTTCCTGACTACTCTGATTCTGCCAGTTACACTCCTATTATTTCAGTGTCCAATGAGTTTACAAATCTACCTTTTAGGTTTAGATTTAAAGGTAATACACAGGAGTGATTAAAAAGAATCTTTAAGCTCTTTACCTTAAACTAGTCATATCTCTTAAGTTCCCATTATTGCAGCTAAATAGCAGGGAGAATAGCCATTCCTATTTCCTAAGATTGTTTTAAGTATGAAATGAGATAATGCACACAGCAGGTGTAGTGCAGTTCTAGCACTTCATAAGTGCTGAATATATGGTTAATTTTCTTATTATAACAGTCCATCCTTAACGCCACTATTCTATACCTGGATTCCTGCACAGCTACAGTGCTGGCTTCCCTATTTCCCTCCAGCTAACTAACCCAAAAACTCTTCATACAGACCTTGCTCCAATTTAATTCCCTCACCCTTCTCTAACCCTCTAATGAGTTATCCCACTCTTCCTTGTGACACCCCAAATCTATAAGGGAATAAATCCCCAATACTCTCAATTTTTTATATTAATTTTTTATGCTTTTCTTCCAAACCTTTTCCCATTTGCCCTGAGAATACTCGCTGGTAGCACTTGTGGCTGCAGCATTTACCCCAAGAAGAAGGAGGTGACAATGCTGTCAACATTCCACAATTGTCTTAGTCCATTCTCACAATGCTATAAAGAACTACCTGATACTGGGTAATTTATGAAGAAAAGAGGTTTAATTGACCACAGTTATGCAGGCTTAACAGGAAGCATGACTGGGAGGCTTCAGAAAACTTACAATCATGGCGGAAGGCAAAGGGGAAGCAAGTACCTTCTTCTAATGGTGGCCAGAGAGAGGGGGAGGGGGGAAGTGCCATACACTTTTAAACCATCAGATCTCATGGGAACTCACTCACTATCATGAGAACAGCAAGGGGAAATCTGCCCCCATGATCCAATCACCTCCTACCAGGCCCCTCCTCCAACACATGGAAATTACAATTCGAGATGAAATTTGGGTGGGGACACAGAGCCAAACCATATCAACCATGATACTGTGATTGAAGTAGACAGCAGAAATGGAAAGAAAACTAAGGAGCCATGTGCCATTGTGGATTATAACAAGAATATGGGAGCGGTGGATTTGGCTGATCAGATGCTCACTTCTTAACCAACTGAGATCAAATGTTTGGTATAAGAAATTATTTCACTACCTTCTAAAAATTACAGTGCTGGACTCCTACATCCTGTTCAAGAAGGACAATCCTGAGCACACAATTAGCCATGTAAACTTCAGACTGACATCGATTGAAAGAATGCTGGAAAAATATCACAGACCATAGCTGGAATATCTTTGAGGTCGTCCATGCTCTGATGATGTCACTCTTCTTTGCCTGTCTGGAAGACATCTCCCCAAGAGCACACCACCAACATCAGGGGGGTGGAATCCAACTGGTCACTGCAAGTTTGCTGCTTACACAATGACAAGCATAGCAAGATCTGGAGAGAAACGGAATATTTTTGTGTATAATATGATGTTCTGCTTTGTGTTGTTCTGTGCTTTGAAATTTACCAAATTAAAAAAAAACTACTAAATACTGATCATCATTTACATTTCTGTTACATTAGGATTAGAGATAAGTTCTGTTTAGAAATAACTCCAAGAACAGTTTTTGTATTTTATTTTCACATTGAAAATTAGATTTACTTCAGCCTCAAAGAGCATGTTTATGTAAAAATAAATGAATGCCGGCAGCAAGCTGCACTTTTTTTTTCTAAATGGGAAAAGAGCTAATTTTATTCTGCCTTCTTCATGATGAAACCAGGACCATAGTTATTCTCTCTTACAAGGCCTCAAGATTTTCTCCTTGGAGAACTATAAGGATAAATGAAAAAACTATCCTGAAATGGACTGCTTTTATCTTCACAGGCTTTGACTCTCATTTTAAAAGCCTCCTCCATAATTTGTGCCTCAGTATCTGGCTGGAAAATTTCCTCTCTATGTAAATGGCTTCCAAAACCCAAACCAACCCCTCTCCTGATCCCTTGACCTCACCTTTCCTCATCCTTTTCAATCGAGAGACGTTTATCTCCACCCACTGGATACACCCTGAGGATCATTATCTCAGCCCCACCCCTGAGAAATAGTATCCGACAACTTGATTCCTAGCCCTGTCTCAATAAACAATTGTTCTTATTTCCTATACCTACCACATTTTGCCTAAACCTTGATCTCTAAACACTTAAATGCCTGTACCTTGTGTAGCCCATCAGAAACTTCTGGAACATTTAACTCTCTTTCAAGCTTTGCCACCTCCTAATGCAGTCTTTATGGTATCTTCAAGCCTCTGATGTATCCATTCCCTATCTATAAAATCACTGTTCCCCATTTCTCACTCTGTGTCGCACAAACTTTGGGAGAAATACGAGGAATAGTACTAATTGGGCCTTCTAAAATCTAGTTCTAACTTGTCCAGTGGCCATTAATCTTTAGATCCATTGCTGACTATCTGACATGCTGCCAAGTCTTCTATCATCTGTCTCAAGCTCCCAAACGAACCCAGTTCTCCCAGTGCAAAAAAGCAAACCAGCACTGAACAACTAGAGCCTACCTTACAGTGGGCTTCCCCCATCTCTCCTTCCTTACCCTTCAAAATATGCCTGTCTCTACATTTATCCACTCTTCTCTCTCTCATGTGTCAGAGAAAATGGTTTTTCATCTGTGCTCTTAACCTTATTTTCTATCTTTCTACATGCATCTAATTAGCCACTCTCTACCATGTATGTAAAATTTCTTCTTCTCTTTGGTTTTAAGACATGCTCAGTCTATCCTAGATCTTTCTGTAGCCTCAGCTTCTTCCATTCCTCCTTTGACTATCAAAAATTTAAAAAAAAATCTGTGATCCTATCTTTTACCACCATTTTGACCACCCTTTGACCCTATTCCCACTCCTCTTTGATAAAAGCACATTTTCAAACTGCAATAAAGATACCTCATCTTGAAACACAATGGCTTTTTCTTAGGATTCATTCTTTTCAAACATTCATGGCAAACAATGAAACCTACAATTACCTCTCCTTATTGGAACCTTCACTTTGCTTCTTTTCCTTGACTGAACTCAGCAGTTTCCTCCATTAATTGTATCATGATCCTTGGGAGATTACTTAAATCCTCTGAGTCTTAACTTACTCACTGGCAAAACTAGGGTAACAAAAACTCCTTCCTTAATGAGTTGTTATAAAGAGCACATTCCATATTATTAGCTACCATATATCAAGATCTAATTATGAGCTTGGTGCCCTAATACACAAATACATACAAACCACACAAGCATACCACACAGACACCTCACAGACATGCATCCATAAGAGATTATATGCACAGTTGACCCTTGAATAAAATTGGTCTGAACTGCACATGTTGACTTATACATAGATTTTCTTCTACCTCTGCCACTCCTGAGACAGTAAAATCAACTTTTCCTCTTTCTTCTTCTCCTTAGTCTACTCAAGATGAGGACAACAAAGATGAAAACTTTTATGATGATCCATTTCCACTTAATTAATGTAAATATATTTTATCTTCCTTACAATTTTCTTAATAACATTTTCTTTTTTCTAGCTTACTTTGTTGTAGGAATACAGTGTATAATACATGTAACATACAAAACGTGTAGATTAACTGTTTATGTTATTAATAAGGTCAACAGTAGGATATTAAGGATATTAATAGTTAAATTATTGAAAAATAAAAAAATTGTATGTTAATTTTTCAACTGTGGTGGTGTCAGCACCCCGGACGCCATGTTGTTCAAGAGTTGAATGTATAATGTGTGTGTGTGAGAGAGTGTGTGTCTGTAAAATCTAATTTAACACTCAAAACAACCTATGAGGTAAATATTATTTCTGTCATAAGGATGAAGACACTAAAGTATCAGATGTTAACCTAAATACTAAAAGACACACAGTCAACATTTTTTAGAAGAAAGATTCTAAATGGGATCTACTCAATGCCCATGCTCTTAACTACTAGATTACATTGCCTCCCAAACAGATATAGGAGTAAAATATTAGAGATTATGCAATATCATTTATTAGTCACTTAATATGTCTTGTAGATGCTAGTTTTAGAATGTACTAAAATAAACCTGCCAAGCAGTAAACTAGTGGGACAGTCTACTGCCTTCCCCCAGGTCTTCATACATATGTCCTTAAACTCAATAAGCAAACTGCAGCTATTTGGACAGTTGTGCATGGACAATACAGTTTACAATCTAATGTCAGCAACTCATAGCATTAACTCTTGGTTTGTAAATAATAATAACAATCACAATAATATTATTAAATGCACTGTGCTTTAGAGCAGACTTTTATGTATATGATTCCAATTATGTGAACTCTATTGTGGCTAACAACAGGCCCTATTGGACTGGGATGAAACTCAGTCTCTGGGATGGTCTCTGTTGTTTGCCAACTATTCTAGTTCTTCATCCAACCTTCAGGTCAGGGAACAGGTCAGGACAAGGTAAGACTGTGTATTAATCTGTTTTCAAGCTGCTGATAAAGACATACCCAAGATTGGGTAATTTATAAAGAAAAAGAAGTTTAATGGGCTCACAGTTCCACATGGCTGAAGAGGCCTCACAATCATGGCAGAAAGTGAATGGCATGTCTTACATGGCAGCAGGCAAGAGAGAATGAGAGCCAAGTGCAAGGGGAAACCCCTTATAAAACCATCAGATCTTGTGAGACTTATTCACTTCCATGAGAACAGTATGGGGGAAACTGCCTCCATGATTCAATTATCTCCCACCAGGTCCCTCCCACAACATATGGGAATTATGGGAGCTACAATTCAAGATGGGATTTGGGTGGAGACACAGCTAAACCACATCAGATTGATTGCACTCACTCCATACATAACAAAGCATGTGATGGCCACGAGACCATGAGGGGAAGTGACAGCAGTATTGCTCTGGGCTGGAAGTTTTAATTGCTAAAATGAGAACTCCTTGAGAACGAACTCAACTTCACTTCACCTTGACTACAGTGTTCCAAATAGTGATGACTCTGCCCACTTGGCATCCACAGTGAAGGCAATGTAGCATGAACAGCTGACTACCATACAAGTGTAGCTTGAGTAAGAAACAAAGTTTTGTTTTAATTCACAGAAATCTTGTGGTTACATGTTATCACGACATAACCAAGCCTTTTGGATTGATAAAGGCTCACAGCATATAACGACTTATCCAAGATTATACAGGTAGAAAATATCAGAAGTATTATGTTAGTGCTTTTCTCCATACCTCATAAATGCTAATGTCAGTGTTCCTTCCATTAGGTCCCAGTTTGCTTCATTGGTTCATTGCCTCAAAAATAAACAATATTTCCCCAGGTGCCAAGATATAAACGTAGGTGTAATCAGTCTAATCGGGGTTTAATAGATTCCAGTTTCGTAAAATAAAGGAGGTTTGAGATTTTCACTTATTTCATAACTAAGTCAAGAAGCTCATACTTAGTCTCTTCTAGTTCATGAAGTTTAGAATTCTTAACAGTCCCACCTTTGGGGAAGATAGAAAATACTTCTTACCTCAAATAATCAAATCATTGGTCAGATAAGAAGTGGCAGTTCAGTAACAAGGACTGTA
This sequence comes from Homo sapiens, assembly GCF_000001405.40. Lineage (NCBI taxonomy): Eukaryota > Metazoa > Chordata > Mammalia > Primates > Hominidae > Homo > Homo sapiens. Next base: position 148,312,314 of record NC_000005.10, read on the forward strand.
ACACAGCCCAGGGTGTGGCACCGTGCTTTGAGATCCTCTGGATGACCTCACAGGAAAGGCGGAGAAACCAAGCCTTGCATATATATAAACATGACCCCTTACCTGGGATATGGTCGATGCAGCTGTAGTGACAATCTCAGAGCAGCTTCTACACCACAGCCATTTCCAGCATGAAGATCACTGGGGGTCTCCTTCTGCTCTGTACAGTGGTCTATTTCTGTAGCAGCTCAGGTAAGTTAAGGTCAGACAGTGCCCTATATAGCCATTAAGATTGTTTTCATAAATAATCCCTCCTGCGATGTGAGCATCTCAGAAACATCTGGTTGTAAGAATTTAAAGTGTACTGGTTTGTAATAGGATCTTATGTTCCATCTGGAGTTTGAGAGACTTGAGTCCAATGTCTTCACTTTCAAGGATTCTTATTTGCATCCATAGAACAAAAAATGATCTAATTTCTCTGTAAGTCTTCCATTTCTATGTTCATATGGACACTGGAAGTTGTCAGTGTTATTAGATATACCATTTCTTAGTGCAAAGATACAGAAAAACTTGGATGTCTTCCCAAATCAGTTTGGGGGGATTAAAATAAAACACAAGTCTCAAAAAGCCAAGGGTCAACAATTAGACTTTTATACTGTGAAAAATTAATTAAAGTGTTTCCAACCACATAAAGACATTCAATTGCATTTCTTTATGTCAATTGGGAAGGAAAGGATATCAGAGATGATCCTTCAGGCTCTTAGGAGTGATGATTTTAATACTTCTTATTGCTACTTGACTTTGGCCATTATCAAAAACACTATGAGGTTCAGAAAACATTCCATGATCAATAAATAGAGGAAATTTTTATAATTCTCTTACCTAAACCAAGGGTTAACCTAACCCATTGGCCATTCAACTTCCTCAGCAAACAACTAGGATTTTGCATAAGGATGGAGAGTGTGCTGAATCTCATTGCTAAAGGAAATGTAGAGTAATTATATAGGATGAAACTTATATTAATTAATGAGATTTAAAGTTTGCTTTACTTTTAACATCTTCATCTGTATCTCTTTTTCAGAAGCTGCTAGTCTGTCTCCAAAAAAAGTAAGTATGTTGAATAACATTTTAATGTCAATAACTATTGACTGTCATTTAGTCAACATATATGTAGGATAAATTATGTTTAGGGGGATTCGAGAGGGAGGCAAACACACATGGAGAAATGGTACCTGTTCTCCAGAAGGCAACTAAACAAATATGACATACATATAAACAACCATATTTTAAAAATGTTTTTTAAAAATGCCAGAGTTAAAGAAGGGAGAACCGCCTTCCAGCTGAGAAGTTGGTGATGTTTTCATAAAAGGCATAACGTGTAAAAGGCAGAGCAAAAGTACCCTGATAAATTGCACAGGCTCTAGATTCAAATCCTAACTCTACTACTTACCAGCATTTATCTTCAACAAGTTATCTCTATTTCTAAGCTTTAATTTTCACATTTGTAAAGAGAGGTAATAGTAGAATTTACTCTAGTTGTTCTGAAGATTAAACAAGAAAATTCATGCAAGATTTAAGTTTAACGCCTAGCCCAGAAATGCCCAGCAATTGTTAACTGAGTGTAGCAGAAAAAAATAGAATACCAGTAGTGCTAGTATTTGTCATAGTGATAACACTAGTACTTAAAGAAGTGGCCAAGCAACATCTGAATATCTGAGCTGGGACTTCCAGCCCTTGTAGTATATCTAATAGTGGCCTAGCTTGGGGTCTGGGAGAAAAACAGGACATTTGCTTGTATATGACACAGGTGGACTGCAGCATTTACAAGAAGTATCCAGTGGTGGCCATCCCCTGCCCCATCACATACCTACCAGTTTGTGGTTCTGACTACATCACCTATGGGAATGAATGTCACTTGTGTACCGAGAGCTTGTGAGTACCTCATAAGAAGAAAATGAGATCTGGAGTCAGTGCTCTCTACTACAAACGCTTCTACTTTCCAGGATCCAGCTTAAATCTCTATAAGCTGTAATTTATAATTATTCCCACCCAGAACAGCAGGTGGGGATAGAAAACTGACTGTTGCACAATCAGACAGGGTAGAGTCACCTGCTCTGCCAGCTTGGACTAGTCCCATCCCATCACAGAACCTCCAGTTCCTGTCTGTCAATTGTGAGAATCCAGTAAGGCTGTGGATTCTCAAACTGCTGTCCCCAGAGCACAGAGGTTCTATAGAGGCAAGTCAGGAGTCACCATTAGGGTTAAAGGGACTATTTGGGGTAGTTGACAACATAAAGTTCAGCTTTGACTATTTTAAGTAGTGGAGTGCCATACAATATCATGCTTGAAGAAAGGGCCCTGAATCCCCACCCCCCATAAAATAATTGAAAACTACTACACTACCTGACTTAGATTCTAAGATAATTAACATCCTCACTGCAGCTTGATTCTTAGACAAAGTGTCCCTAGAGGTTCTTTATCTTCGAATTTCTAGAGGCTCTAAGTATCTGTAGCTTTAAGGGGGGAATAAGGCTACAAAAATGATTACTTTTCCTTTATCTAAAATAAGGGATGCAAGCTGTCAGTATTTGGACCAGAATACCACGGACATGTTTTGTTTAGGTATTTTCTTTGGCCCACAAAATGTTTTTGCAGAAATGTAGCTAGGCAGATGTCACTTCTTTGGTACAAGACATGCAAATTACACTTAACTGTCTCATAGCAAGTCTGCTGTGATCATCGTTAACTCTTTTAGGCCACTGGATTTTGGACACTTAGATCTTGCGTTTTCATCTTTGTGATTATCTTAACAAGTGAGAACAACAAGCCCTTAGCCCAAAAGGACATGTCTATGTATTTATTCCTATTTGGGAGGTTTTATTTCACAAAAGGGAAAATTCTGTAACATAGGCAGACTGGGAAACTAGCCCTTGGCCAGGAAACTAGCTGTTTTCAAGGGACACTGGAGAGAAACATGATGAAAGTCCTCCTCACTAATGCAGGATCCAGCTTCGTCAAAGGACTTGCTGACCAGGAAAAGCTGAGAGACAGGCCCTCTCAATTTTGTCAGAGTACTCTTTCTTTGTTGTGTTAAGACACTGGGTGGTCAGTGGGGCTCTGGAATCAGAGGAGGCAGCAGAGGGGTGGAATTATCACTGGACTAGGGAAATTCTGCTTCTTCCTCTGTCAGAATGTGCTTTGGCAAGGTCATTCATTTTCTGAGACTCAGTTTCCTTATCTGTAAAATGAGGTGCTGCCTCATAATCTCTATAGTTCCTTTCAGCTCTAACATTACATAAAATTTCCTCTTGTGCTAATGAATCTTGTGAACTGTGTCTTCCCTTAGGAAAAGTAATGGAAGAGTTCAGTTTCTTCACGATGGAAGTTGCTAAATTCTCCATGGACATAGAGAGAAAGGAATGATATTCTCATCATCATCTTCATCATCCCAGGCTCTGACTGAGTTTCTTTCAGTTTTACTGATGTTCTGGGTGGGGGACAGAGCCAGATTCAGAGTAATCTTGACTGAATGGAGAAAGTTTCTGTGCTACCCCTACAAACCCATGCCTCACTGACAGACCAGCATTTTTTTTTTAACACGTCAATAAAAAAATAATCTCCCAGAAAGTTTATCTTTGCTTCTGTTTGTGTTTGTTTCTTAGATCGGGGTATAAAATAACACAATTATAAAAGAAAATTGAAAAACACACAAGTCTTGATGTTTAGGAAATACTTTTATACAAAGAATCCCAATCAGCTTCCAAGAAACACATGCACACCACACACACAAACACACACACACGATACATAGACATACACACACACACAAATGCCAGTGAACACCACACCTTCTCCTGGAGTCTTTATCCACTAGCGACAAGTCTATGTACTATACTGTTGCTTTACATTGGTCTCTTTTTTTAAAAGACCCTTAAAAGAGAACCTCTCTTGTTCCAAGAAGTCATTTCTGGAAGGGAAGTTTTTCTTCCTATTCCTTTCCAGAAACATACCACAATTTCTCATAGGCCAGCTCTTCTAGAGTGCTGATGGGAAAGCCACTGCTTCAACAGGAAGCATGTCCATTGTTGTAGAGATCTGATTGTTGAGATGTTCTACTTGTCTAGAATTGAAGACTACATTCATGAGGCTATCAACCATCAGCGCCAGTGAGACTATATAACAAAGAAGTTCACCCTTTTTGCCAATTAACAGAATTTTCATTATTTAAAAATGAATATTCTGTCTCCATTGAAATTTATTTTCTCCAGGATAAAAATCTCTGGTTAATTCAACCCTTTTTTCTCAAGTGTTATTTCCCTTATAATATTTCTATCCTGGACCATACTCCTTGGATCTGTTACAATTAGGCATTGTCCATCTTAAAATATGTTAGTATGTTGTCCAAAAATAGACTAATCACCAAAATTTTTTTTTTCCGACAGATACAGAGAAATTAAAACTACCACCTCTCTACTAAACCTTCCCTTCTATTAATGCAGCTGAATACGCCAAGGATCATGTTTACAATATAGAAACATCATTAGAATAAAATCTGACGTGTTTGCAAATACCAGGCTTGCTGCATAAGAATAATGAGGAATGAACTAAAATAAAGATGCCAGGACTCCACCCTACAAATTATCATTCAATAGAACTGAAGAAAGCCCTAAACAATCTAATTTTTTTTAATTGGTATATATTCAGAATTAGAAAATTCAGAGATAGATGTCTGACCCAGCTCAATACAAGAGGGTCCCGGTTGAAAGCAATATCACTACTGCATGAGATTAACAGGAAATCTCTCTTAGAGAAGGTGAAATTTCATTTGAGCCCAGCATGGCAGAACTGTGGTTATTCACCAGAGTCCTTCCTGGCAAGTGAGAATGGAACCCAACCTCTACTTCTCTTACTAACTGGCTCATAACAACTCACCCTCTCCCAGCAGCCTCTGTGCAGATCCATGCAAATAGGTCTATTTGGACAAGAATTTAGCCGGAACATTCACTCAACACAGTATCCACAGCAAAGAAACAGTCTTCTCCAAGTTGTTGGTCACATCCTGCTTGTCCTCATTCTGGTATTTTGGTTTTCCTCTGGTAAGCATCTGGTTATTAATGAGCACTCCCTCTCTGTCATCCATAAAGTCTACGACCATACTTAGGGTAAAAAATGGTAAGTGCTAAATCACATCACAAAATTGTCTGATGGAAAATGGAAAATAGTTCTTAAATTGACTACGAATTTTAAAAACTTCTTGTCTGCAAATAATTTTAAAGAGCAAATTTTGATCCTTTTCACTGTTTTCTTCTTTTTTAGATATTCTTAGTGAGACCAAACATTAGTTTGAGTCTGTATATGATTTATCAAGTTTTGTAAAAGTTGTTTTAAAGCTATTGCATTCATTTAAATTTTTAAATCTTGTTTTCAAACAGAATTTTATCATTTTAAAACATTTATTTGTATTTTTTTAAATTTTATTATTATTATACTTTAAGTTTTAGGGTACATGTGCACAATGTGCAGGTTAGCTACATATGTATACATGTGGCATGCTGGTGTGCTGCACCCATTAACTCGTCATTTAGCATTAGGTATATCTCCTAACGCTATCCCTCCCCGCTCCCCCCACCCCACAACAGTCCCCAGAGTGTGATGTTCCCCTTCCTGTGTCCATGTGTCCTCATTGTTCAATTCCCACCTATGAGTGACAATATGCGGTGTTTGGTTTTTTGTTCTTGCAATAGTTTACTGAGAATGATGATTTCCAATTTCATCCACGTCCCTACAAAGGACATGAACTCATCATTTTTTATGGCTGCATAGTATTCCATGGTGTATATGTGCCACATTTTCTTAATCCAGTCTATCGTTGTTGGACATTTGGGTTGGTTCCAAGTCTTTGCTATTGTGAATAATGCCGCAATAAACATACGTGTGCATGTGTCTTTATAGCAACATGATTTATAGTCCTTTGGGTATATACCCAGTAATGGGATGGCTGGGTCAAATGGGATTTCTAGTTCTAGATCCCTGAGGAATCACCACACTGACTTCCACAATGGTTGAACTAGTTTACAGTCCCACCAACAGTGTAAAAGTGTTCCTATTTCTCCACATCCTCTCCAGCACCTGTTGTTTCCTGACTTTTTAATGATTGCCATTCTAACTGGTGTGAGATGGCATCTCATTGTGGTTTTGATTTGCATTTCTCTGATGGCCAGTGATGGTGAGCATTTTTTCATGTGTTTTTGGCTGCATAAATGTCTTCTTTTGAGAAGTGTCTGTTCATGTCCTTCGCCCACTTTTTGATGGGGTTGTTTTTTTCTTGTAAATTTGTTTGAGTTCATTGTAGATTCTGGATATTAGCCCTTTGTCAGATGAGTAGGTTGCAAAAATTTTCTCCCATTTTGTAGGTTTCCTGTTCACTCTGATGGTAGTTTCTTTTGCTGTGCAGAGGCTCTTTAGTTTAATTAGCTCCCATTTGTCAATTTTGGCTTTTGTTGCCATTGCTTTTGGTGTTTTAGACATGAAGTTCTTGCCCATGCCTATGTCCTGAATGGTAATGCCTAGGTTTTCTTCTAGGGTTTTTATGGTTTTAGGTCTAACATGTAAGTCTTTAATCCATCTTGAATTAATTTTTGTATAAGGTGTAAGGAAGGGATCCAGTTTCAGCTTTCTACATATGGCTAGCCAGTTTTCCCAGCACCATTTATTAAATAGGAAATCCTTTCCCCATTGCTTGTTTTTGTCGGGTTTTTCAAAGATCAGATAGTTGTAGATATGTGGCGTTATTTCTGAGGGCTGTGTTCTGTTCCATTGATCTATATCTCTGATTTGGTACCAGTACCATGCTTTTTTGGTTACTGTAGCCTTGTAGTATAGTTTGAAGTCAGGTAGCATGATGCCTCCAGCTTTGTTCTTTTGGCTTAGGATTGACTTGGTGATGCGGGCTCTTTTGTGGTTCCATATGAACTTTAAAGTAGTTTTTTCCAATTCTGTGAAGAAAGTCATTGGTAGCTTGATGGGGATGGCATTGAATCTGTAAATTACCTTGGGCAGTATGGCCATTTTCACGATATTGATTCTTCCTACCCATGAGCATGGAATGTTCTTCCATTTCTTTGTATCCTCTTTTATTTCATTGAGCAGTGGTTTGTAGTTCTCCTTGAAGAGGTCCTTCACATCCCTTGTAAGTTGGATTCCTAGGTATTTTATTCTCTTTGAAGCAATTGTGAATGGGAGTTCACTCATGATTTGGCTCTCTGTTTGTCTATTATTGGTGTGTAAGAATGCTTGTGATTTTTGTACATTGATTTTGTATCCTGAGACTTTGCTGAAGTTGCGTATCAGCTTAAGGAGATTTTGGGCTGAGACAATGGGGTTTCTTAGATATACAATCATGTCATCTGCAAACAGGGACAATTTGACTTCCTCTTTTCCTAATGGAATGCCCTTTATTTCCTTCTCCTGCCTAATTGCCCTGGCCAGAACTTCCAACACTACGTTGAATAGGAGTGGTGAGAGAAGGCATCCCTGTCTTGCCAGTTTTCAAAGGGAATACTTCCAGTTTTTGCCCATTCAGTATGATATTGGCTGTGGGTTTATCATAGATAGCTCTTATTATTTTGAGATACATCCCATCAGTACCTAATTTATTGAGAGTTTTTAGCATGAAGGGTTGTGGGGGCTGGAGCCAAGATGGCTGAATAGGAACAGCTCCGGTCTACAGCTCCCAGCGTGAGCGACGCAGAAGATGGGTGATTTCTGCATTTCCATCTGAGGTACCGGGTTCATCTCACTAGGGAGTGCCAGACAGTGGGCGCAGGACAGTAGGTGCAGGGCACCGTGCGCGAGCCGAAGCACGGAGAGGCATTGCCTCGCTCAGGAAGCGCAAGGGGTCAGGGAGTTCCCTTTCCTAGTCAAAGAAAGGGGTGACAGATGGCACCTGGAAAATCGGGTCACTCCCACCTGAATACTGCGCTTTTCCGATGGGCTTAAAAAACGGCGCACCACGAGATAATATCTCGCAGCTGGCTCGGAGGGTCCTACGGCCACGGAGTCTCGCTGATTGCTAGCACAGCAGTCTGAGATCAAACTGCAAGGCGGCAGCGAGGCTGGGGGAGGGGCGCCCGCCATTGCCCAGGCTTGCTTAGGTAAACAAAGCAGCTGGGAAGCTCTAACTGGGTGGAGCCCACCACAGCTCAAGGAGGCCTGCCTGCCTCTGTAGGCTCCACCTCTGGGGGCAGGGCACAGACAAACAAAAAGACAGCAGTAACCTCTGCAGACTTAAACGTCCCTGTCTGACAGCTTTGAAGAGAGCAGTGGTTCCCCCAGCACGCAGCTGGAGATCTGAGAACGGGCAGACTGCCTCCTCAAGTGGGTCCCTGACCCCTGACCCCAGAGCAGCCTAACTGGGAGGTACCCCCCAGTAGGGACAGACTGACACCTCACATGGCCGGGTACTCCTCTGAGACAAAACTTCCAGAGGAATGATCAGACAGCAGCATTCGCGGTTCACGTGATCATTCGCGGTTCACGTGATCATTCGCGGTTCACGAAAATCTGCTGTTCTGCAGCCACCGCTGCTGGTACCCAAGCCAACAGGGTCTGGAGTGGACCTCTAGCAAACTCCAACAGACCTGCAGCTGAAGGTCCTGTCTGTTAGAAGGAAAACTAACAAACAGAAAGGACATCCACACCAAAAACCCATCTGTACATCACCATCATCAAAGACCAAAAGTAGATAAAACCACAAAGATGGGGAAAAAACAGAGCAGAAAAACTGGAAACTTTAAAAAGCTGAGCGCTTCTCCTCCTCCAAAGGAACGCAGCTCTTCACCAGCAATGGAATAAAGCTGGATGGAGAATGACTTTGACGAGTTGAGAGAAGAAGGCTTCAGACAATCAAACTACTCCGAGCTACAGGAGGAAATTCAAACCAAAGGCAAAGAAGTTGAAAACTTTGAAAAAAATTTAGACGAATGTATAACTAGAATAACCAATACAGAGAAGTGCTTAAAGGAGCTGATGGAGCTGAAAGCCAAGGCTCAAGAACTACATGAAGAATGCAAAAGCCTCAGGAGCCGATGCGATCAACTGGAAGAAAGGGTATCAGTGATGGAAGATGAAATGAATTTTAAAACATTTTAATGAGAATTTCTTAATTTTATTCTCTGTGATAGGATGGACTGGTGCAATTTTTTTTTTTTTTTTTAACAAACGAGGGAAATTAAGCTAGAAAGCATAGGTGGGGACCTAGGATTAAATGCCATATATTCTAATTCCAAGTCCAAGTCCAATCCTCTTTTCATTATGCCACCCTGATTTTCAACATCAGTATGGTATCATTGACTTAAAATCTAGGGAAAATAAGTTATAACTAAAATATCTTTACATTATGTCTAACATATGACCTGTATGAGCAAAAATCAGTTTTGAGAAAGCATCAATGAAGCTGAGATCTCCCCAAGTCATTACTTACCCACAAAGAAAAGCATTGTTTCCCAATGAATAAATAATTGCAGGAAATAGTTTGCAGTAATCAATTTGTATGAGTAAAAATAAAGATATTTTATATTGAGTATTTCCTCACAATGACTGTATACTACTCAAAAGCCCTAGCAATTTTTTTTGTCTAACTTTCAAATAATCTAAGATAATGATGGCTAACAGTTGTTTTAGACTAGAACTTGTGAAATATGTTTTATGTTTGTTATTTCATTTATTTCTCTCAATTATACTATGAGAAATTTCCTGTTATCCACTGAGATTTGGCAAGAAGGTATTTATAGAAAACCACAAAGTTAGTTAGCATTTTTGCCTTGATGATTTGACTTTATACCCCATATGTTTAATCACTATAGTCTACAGCCTGTGTACATGAAAGCTTGCAGGTAAATTGTAATAGATATATTGATATGACACAGGTATACTCTGTAATAGATACATTGATCATAACACAAGTATACTCTGACACTGGGAGCTCATCTTTACCCCTGTGTGTGGTACACATAGAAAAACTTATGTCAATCCCTGCCAACTGTACATGAAGATCAGGTAAAGATATCAATGGAACAATGATATAGAATGTGCACAAAATATACGTCTTTACTTTAATAATTCCTCACTGTCAGGAATGGAAGAGAGCCAGTCAACAGCCTCATTTTATGGATGGAAACACTGAGCTCCAAAAGCTGAAAATGCTTCATTGCTTATGTGGAAGTCCAAGAGAAGAACCCAGGTCTGCTTAGTCCCAATCAATTCAGGGACCAAATACTATTTCCAGAGTTTTATCCACTATATCTTATGATACCTGGAAATCAAATTCCTTCTACTATGATATGACCTAGTACGTATATCTATAAAGAACTTTATAGTTTACAAAACACTTTCATAGCCCAGTTGTAGGGCTGTAAGTGGCAGACGGGTCTACTGGCTCAGGGTCTAAATAACGTTTGTTCTGCAGACTTACATAAGAAAGCTAAGGAAACATCTAGCTTCATAGGAGACCAGGGCAGGCTTAGTTCTGCAATCTATATGACATCCAAAGTAGACACCAGACTGTTGATAATGCTGACCTTTTTCTTCCAGCATTTATCAAAACTCACGACCTTAAAAGTATCCCCAATCTTTCTGAAATTGAAGTCTAGATTTGGTCTACAATGGATACATTCCCAGAATCCTTTTAATATTTATAAATGAATTTAAAAATAGTTATTGCTGTTCAAATTTTAAAACCCGCCTATAAGCAAAATATAGAAGATACAATTATGGAATACAGAACAGAACATGCATATTTTTAATGTATGAAATATAAAAGTAAAAATAGAGGTGAAAAATCGCTAGACAAAAATGCTGATTGAGGGAAGTGTATGGAGACAGATGAACTACTTATTGGGTTATGAGATACTGTCTAAAGATGATGACATAGAAATAGTGACTAAAGTACATTACTTTAGGTTACAAAGTTAACAAGCAGAATTTTAAAAAGTCATGATATGCCTATCAAAAACTGGGATGAATGAAAAGGAAATGTAAATTAATACTTTTTTCCTCCATAGGTGGGAGTCAACAAATAATTTTAGCTTGTAAGGCAATAGATGTATATTATTAAGAATTATGATGGCAATAATCTAAAAACAGAAATGGTTCAAATGAGTTCCCACTGAAGTGTGATGCTGATGATAAAAGACTGGTTTTTCATTATAAACTGTTTAATGTCAATGGAATTTATAAGTATTTCTTACAATGACATATATATTAACTTTATTAACTTTCTTTCCTTCTTTATTCTTAGGAAGAGTAAATCATTCCCACATGGGAAGCTGCTAACTTGCCGTCATATGAATGTGAAGTAAATTTGTTTTTAAAATTTTACCTTTTGAAGGTTAGGTATTGGAGAAGAAGTGATTTCATTGAGATTTGTCTCTCTGTGTGATCAATCAGCATTTGCATCTTTATGGTCTTTATGAATCCTTCTCATCATTGTTTTCATTATAAAACTCCACCAAGCAGCTCAGGAGAACACAATGAACCCAGGAGACTCATGGGCTTAACGCAACCTGAACATTTACAAGGTATGTAGCCCGCGAAAGTAATTTAATGTGTATCTAAAGTATTTCTTTCCTTACTTATAAAATAAAGAGAATAATCACCCCTAATTAGACATGTATATTGTGGGAGTCAGATGAGATAATGCATGCAAACATGCTTTATAAACTATAATGTCCTACAAAAATCTAAAGAAACAATTATGATCTGAATGCCCATCCTTCTCCAATATTTACTAAGGCCTAAAAACATAAATCACTTTCTTTGCAACATGCATGGCATATTAAAGAAATACAACCAGTAATTTTTCAAGTTTTTTTCCCCTTGCTTGAAAAATGAAAACATTTCTATTCGTTAGAAATTGATATTAGAAAGTGAAAAGGAGAATGTATAACTTGGAACATACAAAGATTATACACATTCGTTTACATAGTTTATCCCATTAAAACATGGCCTATTGAGCTCAATAGTATGGGTTTGCAACATAAAATGAGATATTTACATAATCTCAAAGAATCTCGTCATAAAGTTTATTAATTATGAAAGAAGAGTAACTTTATAGTAGAAAAATCATTCAGACACTGCCCTTACTCAAGTGATCAAAGTTGACATCATTAATGATAGGCAAATCAACATCATATATACTGGCTGAAAAGATACAATATGCAGAACACAGAATAACGTTTCGATTTCTCTAACAAAAATGCACAACCTGAATATAATCATTATGAGATATCAGACAAACTCAAATTCAGAAACATTCTACAAAATCACTGGTCTATAACTTCCAAAACCAAGAAAGCACTGTTTCAATGTTATGCCTTGAAGAAGACTGAAGAACATGATAATGCATGATCCTGAATGGGTCTTATTATTATTATTATTATTAATGGGAAATAATTTACAAAGCATAAAATTCATGGCTTTTTGTACCCTCAGAGAGAGAGAGAGAGTCAAAATTCATGTTTTTAAAATATAAATTTCAGTAGTTTCTGGTCTGTTAACAAAATTGTGCAATCATCACCGCTATCTAATGCCAGGACATTTCATTATACCAAAAAGAAACTATTCCCTTAGCAGTCACTCCTATCTACCCCCCTACTATCCTCCCAACCCCTGGGAATCACTAATCTAATTTCTGTCTGTGGACTTGCTATTCTTGACATTATATATAAATAAAATCATGCAATATGTGCTTTTTGTGTCTGGCTTCTTTTACTTAGCATTAAGTTTTCAAGGTTAATCCATGTTGTGGCATGTATCAGTATTTCATTCCTTTATACAGCTGAAATATATTCCATTGCATGGATATATGACATTCAATCATTCATAAATTGATGGATAGTTGGGTTGTTTCCAATTTGGGGTTTTATAAATAAGGCTGCTATGTACATTCATGTACAAGTTTTGTGTGGACATGTTTTCAATAATCTTGAATAAATACCTAAGAGTGGAATTGCTAGTAATTCTATGTTTAACTTTTTGAGGAGCTACCAAACTATTTTTCAAAGCAGCTTCACCATTTTACATTTTCATTTACATTTATACCAGCGATGTATAATGGTTCCAATTTCTCTACCTATTCACCAACACGTCACCTGTCTTTTTTATCTTAACCATCCTAATGGATGGGGAGTGATAACTGATGTTGATTTTCATGTCCCTAATAACTAATGGTGTTAGCGGTCTTTTCATGTGCTTATTGACCTTTTGCATTTCTTTGGAGAAATGTCCATTCAAATCCTTTGCTCATTTTTAATCAGATTTATTATTGAACTGTAATTTTTTATATATATTCTAGATACCAGTGTCTCATAAGATACATGATTTGCAAATATTTTCTCTCATTCTGTGAGCTGTCCTTTGAGGCACAAAATCTTTCAATTTTCATAATGTCCAATTTACCTATTATATCTTTTGTCTTGTACTTTTAATGTCATATCTAAGAAATCATTGCCTATTCAAAGGTTACTAAGATTTACACTTTGGGTTTTTTCTAAAAGTTATTTCATTTTTAGATTTTACATGTAACTCTCTGATCCATTTTCAGTTACTTTTTATATGTGGTATCTTATGTTATTTTGCATGTGGATATCCAGTTGTCCCAGCCTGAATTTTCGAAAAGATTATTCTCCGAAGAATTGTCTTGGCACCCTTGTCAAAAATCAATTCGCCATATATCCAAAATATACAAGGAACTCAAACAATTCAGTGACAAAAAAACTATTAAAATTGGGACAAGGACCTGAATAAACATTTCTTGAATGAAGACATACAAATGGTCAACAGATATATGAAAAAATGCTCAACATCTCTAATTACTAGAGAAATGTGAATTAAAACCACAATAGTATATCACTTTGCACCTGTTAGATTGGCTAGGATCAAAAAGATGAAAGATAACAAGTGTTGGTGAGAATGTGAGAAAAAGGAATATGTACACTGTTGGTGGGATTGTGAATTAGTACAGTCATTTTGGAAAATGACATAAAAGTTTCTCAAAAACTAAAAATTGAATTACCATGCTATCCAGCAATCCCACTTCTGGGTATACATCCAAAGAAACTGAAACTGGTAGTCAACGAGATGTCTGCATTTCCATGTTCATTGCAGCATTATTCACAATAGCCAAGATATAGAAATAACCAAAGTGCCCATCAACAGAGGAATGAATTTTTATTATTATTATACTTTAAATTTTAGGGTACACGTGCACAACCTGCAGGTTTGTTACCTATGTATACATGTGCCATGTTGGTGTGCTGCACCCATTAACTCGTCATTTAGCATTAGGTATATCTCCTAATGCTATCCCTCCCCCTGCCCCCACCCCACAACAGTCCCCGGTGTGTGATGTTCCCCTTCCTGTGTCCAAGTGTTCTCATTGTTCAATTCCCACCTATGAGTGAGAACATGCGGTGTTTGGTTTTTTGTCCTTGCGACAGTTTGCTGAGAATGATGGTTTCCAGCTTCATCCATGTCCCTACAAAGGACATGAACTCATCATTTTTTATGGCTGCATAGTATTCCATGGTGTATATGTGCCACATTTTCTTAATCCAGTCTATCATTGTTGGACATTTGGGTTGGTTCCAAGTCTTTGCTATTGTGAATAATGCCGCAATAAACATATGTGTGCATGTGTCTTTATAGCAGCATGATTTATAATCCTTTGGGTATATACCCAGTAATGGGATGGCTGGGTCAAATGGTATTTCTAGTTCTAGATCCCCGAGGAATCGCCACACTGTCTCCCACAATGGTTGAACTAGTTAACAGTCCCACCAACAGTGTAAGTTTACCTATTTCTCCACATCCTCTCCAGCACCTGTTGTTTCCTGACTTTTCAATGATCGCCATTCTAACTGGTGTGAGATGGTATCTCATTGTGGTTTTGATTTGCATTTCTCTGATGGCCAGTGATGATCATTTTTTCATGTGTTTTTTGGCCGCATAAATGTCTTCTTTTGAGAAGCCTATGTTCATATCCCTTGCCCACTTTTTGATGGGGTTGTTTTTTTCTTGTAAATTTGTTTGAGTTCATTGCAGATTCTGGATATTAGCCCTTTGTCAGATGAGTAGGTTGCAAAAATTTTCTCTCATTCTGTAGGTTGCCTGTTCACTCTGATGGTGGTTTCTTTTGCTGTGCAGAAGCTCTTTAGTTTAATTAGTTGCCATTTGTCAATTTTGGCTTTTGTTGCCATTGCTTTTGGTGTTTTAGACATGAAGTCCTTGCCCATGCCTATGTCCTGAATGGTATTGCCTAGGTTTTCTTCTAGGGTTTTTATGGTTTTAGGTCTAACATGTAAGTCTTTAATCCATCTTGAATTAATTTTTGTATAAGGTGTAAGGAAGGGATCCAGTTTCAGCTTTCTACATATGGCTAGCCAGTTTTCCCAGCACCATTTATTAAATAGGGAATCCTTTCCCCATTGCTTGTTTTTGTCAGGTTTGTCAAAGATCAGATAGTTGTAGATATGTGGCATTATTTCTGAGGGCTCTGTTCTGTCCCATTGGTCTATATCTTTGTTTTTGTACCAGTACCATGCTGTTTTGGTTACTGTAGCCTTGTAGTATAGTTTGAAGTCAGGTAGCATGATGCCTCCAGCTTTGTTCTTTTGGCTTAGGATTGACTTGGCAATGCGGGCTCTTTTTTGGTTCCATATGAACTTTAAAGTAGTTTTTTCCAATTCTGTGAAGAAAGTCATTGGTAGCTTGATGGGGATGGCATTGAATCTATAAATTACCTTGGGCAGTATGGCCATTTTCACAATATTGATTCTTCCTATCCATGAGCAAGGAATGTTCTTCCATTTGTTTGTATCCTCTTTTATTTCATTGAGCAGTGGTTTGTAGTTCTCCTTGAAGAGGTCCTTCACATCCCTTGTAAGTTGGATTCCTAGGTATTTTATTCTCTTTGAAGCAATTGTGAATGGGAGTTCACTCATGATTTGGCTCTCTGTTTGTTACTGGTGTATAAGAATGCTTGTGATTTTTGTATATTGATTTTGCATCCTGAGACTTTGCTGAAGTTGCGTATCAGCTTAAGGAGATTTTGGGCTGAGATGATGGGATTTTCTAGATATACAAGCATGTCATCTGCAGACAGGGACAATTTGACTTCCTCTTTTCCTAATGGAATGCCCTTTATTTCCTTATCCTGCCTGATTGCCCTGGCCAGAACTTCCAACACTATGTTGAATAGGAGTGGTGAGAGAGGGCATCCTTGTCTTGTGCCAGTTTTCAAAGGGAATGCTTCCAGTTTTTGCCCATTCAGTATGATATTGGCTGTGGGTTTGTCATAGATAGCCCTTATTATTTTGAAATACGTCCCATCAATACCTAATTTATTGAGAGTTTTTAGCATGAAGTGTTGTTGAATTTTGTCAAAGGCCTTTTCTGCATCTATTGAGATAATCATGTGGTTTTTGTCTTTGGTTCTGTTTATATGCTGGATTACATTTATTGACTTGTGTATGTTGAACCAGCCTTGCATCCCAGGGATGAAGCCCACTTGATCATGGTGGATAAGCTTTTTGATGTGTTGCTGGATTCGGTTTGCCAGTATTTTATTGAGGATTTTTGCATCAATGTTCATCAAGGATATTGGTCTAAAATTCTCTTTTTTCGTTGTGTCTCTTCCAGGCTTTGGTGTCAGGATGATGCTGGCCTCATAAAAATTAGTTAGGGAGGATTCCCTCATTTTCTATTGATTGGAATAGTTTCAGAAGGAATGGTACCAGCTCCTCCTTGTACCTCTGGTAGAATCTGGCTGTGAATCCATCTGGTCCTGGACTTTTTTTTGTTTGGTAAGCTATTAATTATTGCCTCAATTTCAGAGCCTGTTATTGGTCTATTCAGAGATTCAACTTCTTCCTGGTTTAGTCTTGGGAGAGTGTATGTGTTGAAGAATTTATCCCTGTCTTCTAGATTTTCTAGTTTATTTGCTTAGAGGTGTTTATAGTATTCTCTGATGGTAGTTTGTATTTCTGTGGGATTGGTGGTGATATCCCCTTTGTCATTTTTTATTGCATCTATTTGATTCTTCTCTCTTTTCTTCTTTATTAGTCTTGCTAGCCGTCTATCAATTTTGTTGATCTTTTCAAAAAACCAGCTCCCGGATTCACTGATTTTTTGAAGGGGTTTTTGTGTCTTTATCTCCTTCAGTTCCGCTCTGATCTTAGTTATTTCTTGCCTTCTGCTAGCTTTTGAATGTGTTTGCTCTTGCTTCTCTAGTTCTTTTAATTGTGATGTTAGGGTTTCAATTTTAGATCTTTCCTGCTTCTCTTGTGAGTATTTAGTGCTATAAATTTCCCTCTACACACTGCTTTGAATGTGTCCCAGAGATTCTGGTATGTTGTGTCTTTGTTCTCGTTGGTTTCAAAGAACATCTTTATTTCTGCCTTCATTTTGTTATGTACCCAGTAGTCATTCAGGAGCAGGTTGTTCAGTTTCCATGTAGTTGTGTGCTTTTGAGTGAGTTTCCTAATCATGAGTTCTAGTTTGATTGCACTGTGGTCTGAGAGACAGTTTGTTATAATTTCTGTTCTTTTACATTTGCTGAGGAGTGCTTTACTTCCAACTATGTGGTCAATTTTGGAATAGGTGTGGTGTGGTGCTGAGAAGAATGTATATTCTGTTGATTTCGGGTGGAGAGTTCTGTAGATGTCTATTAGGTCTGCTTGGTGCAGAGCTGAGTTCAATTCCTGGATATCTTTTTTAACTTTCTGTCTCGTTGATCTGTCTAATGTTGACAGTGGGGTGTTAAAGTCTCCCATTATTATTATGTGGGAGTCTAAGTCTCTTTGTAGGTCACTAAGGACTTGCTTTATGAATCTGGGTGCTCCTGTATTGGGTGCACATTTATTTAGGATAGTTAGTTCTTCTTGTTGAATTGATCCCTTTACCATTATGTAATGGCCTTCTTTGTCTCTTTTGATCTTTGTTGATTTAAAGTCTGTTTTATCCGAGACTAGGGTTGCAACCCCTGCCTTTTTTTGTTTTCCATTTGCTTGGTAGATCTTCCTCCATCCCTTTATTTTGAGCCTATGTGTTTGTCTGCACGTGAGATGGGTTTCCTGAATACAGCACACTGATGGGTCTTGACTCTTTATCCAATTTGCCAGTCTGTGTCTTTTAATTGGAGTATTTAGTCCATTTACATTTAGGGTTAGTATTGTTATGTGTGAATTTGATCCTGTCACTATGATGTTAGCTGGTTATTTTGCTCATTAGTTGATGCAGTTTCTTCCTAGCCTTGATGGTCTTTACAATTTGGCATGTTTTTGCAGTGGCTGGTACTGGTTGTTCCTTTCCATGTTTAGTGCTTCCTTCAGGAGTTCTTTTAGGGCAGGCCTGGTGGTGACAAAATCTCTCAGCATTTGCTTGTCTGTAAAGGATTTTATTTCTCCTTCACTTATGAAGCTTAGTTTGGCTGGATATGAAATTCTGGGTTGAAAATTCTTTTCTTTAAGAATGTTGAATATTGGCCCCCACTCTCTTCTGGCTTATAGAGTTTCTCCATGGGCGTAGGACCCTCCGAGCCATGTGCAGGATATAATCTCCTGTTGTGCTGTTTGCTAAGCCCGATGGAAAAGCGTAGTATTAGGGTGGGAGTGACCCGATTTTCCAGGTGCCATCTGTCACCCCTTTCTTTGACTAGGAAAGGGAATTCCCTGACCCCTTGCACTTCCTGGGTGAGGTGATGCCTCGCCCTGCTTCGGCTCACGCACGGTGCGCTGCACCCACTGTCCTGCACCCACTGTCCAGCACTCCCCAGTGAGACGAACCCAGTACCTCAGTTGGAAATGCAGAAATCACCCATCTTCTGTGTCACTCATGCTGGTAGATGTAGACTGGAGCTGTTCCTATTCGGCCATCTTGGCTCCACCCCTCTAGAGGAATGAATTTTTAAAATGTGATATACACAATGGAATATTATTCAGCCTTAAAAGAAGGATATTCTGTCATTTGTGACAACATAGATGAAACTAGAAGATATTATGCTAGGTGCAATAAACCAAGCACAGAAAGACAAATAAATACTACGTGATCTCACTTATATGTGGAATCTAAAAGAATCAAACTCATAGTAGGAGAGAGTAGAATGGTTGTTTCCAGAAGCTATGGGTCGGGAAGTGGAGAGGGAAAGGGAAGACACTGGCCAAAGGGTGCAAAGTTTCAGTTAGAAAAGAAGAATCTGTTTTGGTGATCTATTGCACAGCATGAGTACTGTTAATAATAACGTATTCTATATTTCAACATAGCTAAAAAAGTGGATTTTAAATGTTCTCCAAAAAAATGATAAGTATTTGAAGTGATTGATATGTTAACCAGATTTGATCATTCCACAATGTATACATCCATCAAAACATCACATTGTACTCCATAAATGTATACAATTATTATTTGTCAATTAAAAATAAAATAAAACTATATTTCAAAAAATCAATTCACCATAAAAGAATTTATTTTTGGACTATCCTTATGTCTCTATTATACTGTTTTGATTACTATAGCTTTGTAGTAAATTTTAATATTGGAAAATGTGAGTTTCTTTCTCAGATAGCCAACTGAGACTTTGATAGGGAATATGTTGAATCTGTAGATCAATTTGAGGAATATGACCATTATAACAATAGTGTATCTTGCTCTTTGGGGTCAGTTTTCTATAAAGGCATTGATGGCAAATGGCACAGATGGCAAAATTTGAATGTGGCCTTAAGGCAAAGAGTACATATGAAGTTCTTTGGTCTATTCTTGCAATAGAAAATTCAAAAGAAAAAGTTATAAACTTAAAAAGGTGTTCTTCCTGACTGTTGTGTAAAGTGGGTACTAGTAACGTGATAAATCTGTTCCTATGAAGGAGGTCAGCCTCCAAAAGAGCAACCTCAAAGCACAGCAGTTACTTCAGAATGTTAAATGCCATAGAGAATCTGAGGGGATTTGCCACACAGGCTGAGTTGTTCAGTAAATTCTCAAGTAAACCATAAGGCTGTGCTCACTTACCCCATTCCCAACACACACATATTACAAATTAAGTTGTTTAATCTGAAACCTTGGAAATGTGATTTAACCTGAGACTCATTTACCTTCTGTAAAATGGAAGTAAATAGCGATACCAATAGGTTTTTCTAGGATCTGTGCTAGATGAGCATTCACGACAGATAAAGTGGGGGACATCTGGAAGATTATAATTGGAAAAGTGGTGCAAAAGCAGTAGTACATAATGGGAACTCAAGTTCACCAGGCTTTTTGAAATATTTCTCAAGAACAAAATATCAATGTTAAACAGGCTTTCTCCCTCTTTTTCAGTAGCTGTAATTTTATTGGACTCTCCTCAGAAAATACCATGGACTATTCTAAAGTTCCACTAAAGTGAAGAGCTGGACTCATCATAGAGGGAAAAGTGGGACTGACAATGAGGCTGCTAAATAACTCACATTAACTTGGATTTTTCTACTTGCTCTCTGAGATGCTCCCTGACAAGTCAGTGAATAAAGGTCATCTTCACTCACTGTCAAGGAATTATACCCACTTCAAGTCAGAAATGGGACTCTAGAGATCATCTTTACCTCACCTGAGAAACTTATACAGTAATTTTTTTTTAATTTAAAGATGAGTCTTAAATAAGGTTCCCAAATAATAAGTTGGTAGCATTTAAAAATTTTTCATATTTTGCCTCATAATGACAAAAACTTTATCACAGTCCGGATTTTGAAATTTGGGAACTTCTCATCTGGACTAGTGATCTTCCCATTACTCCAAGTAGCCAAGAGGACTCCATGAGCATGATCCAGGGGTCATTGTGGAAAGAGGAGTACAAGGAAACCAGGCTGCCACATACCCACATTCCCACTTCATCTAACAGCACACTTCTTTTATCGGTTTAATATGTCATGTTTTTACATAGCATTTTCCAACTCTACTGATGCAGGACAGGCAAGCCCCAAAATTGCGGCTTAGCCAAGGAGGGTTCTTGGTTTCGTGCAGGAAAGAATTCAAGGGCGAGCTGATGGTGTTACACAGCATCTTTTACTGAAGTGGCAGTATACAGCAGCAGCACAGCTACTGCTCCTTGCTGAGTTAAACGGGGCTAGCCCATAGGCAGTGTGCCCAGAGTAGCAGCTCAGAGGCAGTTCTGCACTCATATTTTACCCACTTTTAATTATATGCAAATTCAGGGACAGCTTATGCAGAAATTTCTAGGATGAAGGTGGTAACTATGGGGTTGTCAGGTCATTGCCATGGAAAGGGGCAGTAATGTCTGGGTGTTGCCATGGCAATGGTAAACTGACATGGCATACTGTGAGGCATGTCTTATGGAGAAGTCCTTATGCTCTGGACCTGTTTTGGCTAGTTCCCAATTTGTTCCAGTGTCCAAGCTCTGCCTCAGGAGTCTAGTCCCACCTCTTCCCTGACTACTACTTACTCTTATGACCTTGAAAAACTTATTTCTCTGTACCTCACTTCATTCATTTTTAAATTCTTGATTGTAATAATACTTGTCTCATTAACTTGTTTTGAAATTTAAATGAGTTAGTATACTTATAGCAGTTACACTAGTACCCGAGGCATAGTATGTGCTCAGTAAGTATGCTTACTGTTATTGCTATTATCATCACCTTTGCAGGGTGATTCCTTTAATTCTAATATAATAGAATTATTATAATAGGAAAGAGAGATTGGGCTCAACTCTGGACACAACAGGGACAAGTGGGGATTTATAGCCAAGAAGAATAATGAGGGGGTCAGTGCATAGAAAACTTAATAGAAGACATTAAGGGTAGGGGGGATTCTTGATAAAAAGACCTAATAGGATTCTTACTAAAGGCAGGCTAAGCAATTATATGTCAGAGGTGGAGGATAAGGAACTTTATCAGATATCAAGGGTGATCAGATATTAAGAATTGGGGGGGATGATTATGATTTAGTAGGATTCTTTACTAAAACTAAATTTAGTAAGTTCTTTACTAAATTGGGAGCTGGGGAGGCCAAAGACAAAATGAGGGCCAATGCCAAGGCCTAGTCAAGAAAAGGGTCCAGAGGACCTTAAATAAGTTTGATCAAGAAGATAAGAGTCTTTCGGTTGGGCACAGAGGTTCATGCCTGTAATTGCAGCACTTTGGGAGGCCAAGGCAGGCAGATCACTTGAGGTCAGGAGTTCAAGACCAGCCTGGCCAATATGGTGAAATCCGGTCTGTACTAAAAATGCAAAAATTAGCCAGGTGTGGTGGCATGCTCCTGTAATCCCAGCTACTTGGGAGGCTGAGTCAGGAAAATCCCTTGAACACAGAAGGCAGAGGTTGCAGTGAGCTGAGATCACGCCACTGCACTCCAGCCTAGGTGATAAAGCAAGACTCTGTCTCCAAAAAAAAAAAGAAGACGGTCTTTCTCAAACTACATGAGAGCAGTCAGTTTTTCATGGACTGTGGCATATTCAAGATAAAATACAGTCTCTAAGACAGAGTAAATGCTCATTAATATTTATGAGATGATCAAATGAAGATTAAAAAAAGCCAAGGCTTATAGCGGATAAATAGCTTGTACAAGGTCACATGGAGAGTGGTGTAGCTGGCAATTAGTTCAGGTGTGCAAGATTCCCAAAGTTTCAGCTCTCAGAGATAGTATGATGATCTTGTCCCCAGATCATACCAGAATAAGTTTCAGCTATCTCTTTACTTTAGAAGGGAAATAAATGTGAAATTCAGCCTTAGATACTAATACTTCCATTAGTAGTATAAAGTGTCCTCCAATTCTACCTACAACACCTGCAAGAGCTTCTTCCAGAGTTTTCTCATAGTCACTCTATCTGAAACCTAGCCCATTCCAAAATCAGCACTTTTGTAGCCTTTATTAAAGAATTCAAATGACTCATGGTTTAATTAAGGAACAATTAAAACTTATTAAACCATGGCCAAAAGATTGCTGGCTTGTCTATTGCAAGTTATTGTATGAAATGAAAAATGCCACTGATTATGTACGTAATTGTAGTTCAAAGCAAAGCTACCATCTCATTCTTCATCCATCAGCCTGGGTTTGGGGACTAGCTATTAAAATGGCATGTGCAATTACCTGTCTTTCACAAGAAAAGAATCCCCATGGCTCGCAGACATTTCTGACCTCTTTCTGGAGTTGTACTACTTAGAAATTGCTATTTCACAATTGAGGCAGGAATTCTTGAAAATATATAAGGCAGGATCAAAGTGAGCTGGACGGACACCAGGTCACTTCTTTTCCCTACATCTGACTGCCTTGGCCACTTCAGTACTATGAGAGCAACAGCCATAGTCCTACTCTTGGCTCTGACACTTGCAACCATGTTCAGTGAGTATCTCTGATAATACTGCCCCTGCCCTTGTACTAATAGCTCATGCAGTCTTCTGCCTATGTAATTCTGGGATATATGTAATTCATCACATAAATAATAAGGGAAACTTTTTAAAATGAATCTTTTGCCTCAACCAACGAATTGCTAAATCACATCACCTCAGGGGTAGAGTGGATGTTAACAGTCATCTAAAGTCAAATGCTTATTCATGAGAATACTTTGTATAATTTTTTAGGGAGAGGATCATCCAGACTCTGCTTTGACTTGATGTCACCATTTACAGGGAACTCATTTATTCATAAAACATTACAATCAATTGTTTGGCACCATGGGCTATTCTTCTATTATTGAGTTAAAATTGGCCTCCCTAGAATTTTCAACCACTGTTCCAACATCTGTCATCTACACCTGTCCACAATAGCACATCTCCCTAAATATGACTCACTTATTTCTTCTGTCTCTACTGAGCTCTGGTTATGAAGTAAAAAAGATTAAGACAAAATTCTCATTCATCGTGGCATCTTTTCCATTTCTTTGACTAGATTCCACTCCCACTCCAAAAAAGAAAAAAAATTTAAAGATACGTGTGAAGAGCTTCAACCTTTGATACAATGCTGATACACAGTTGTGAAGAGAGACTTACATTTTTATGACAGGCTGAAAGCTAAAGCATAAATCAAAGATTCTTTTTCTAGTAAGATTAGGTTCTTCCAGAGTTTAATATTGCCTTGTCTTTGTTTTTCTTCCAGGTATAGAATGTGCCAAACAGACGAAACAGATGGTCAGTACACCCATCCTACTTTTATGTAATTTTAAAGTCAATATCAGTAAGGAAATATTTGATACTACACAGTAATTAAATTTCTATATGTTTGAATATTTACTTTATGTGTATGAAAACTGGTTTTATTTCAAAAATTGTAGGCAGATCTTTCTAAAATGGAGAGAGTAGAACAAGGTGGTGAGACACTAGCAACAAATTTAGAAAGGCCTGGTCTTTAATTCCACGTTTTTGATCACGTGGCCATGGGCAACATACTTATAACATTATTCCAAGACTTGAAGCCATAGTATTTGAAAAGAGCTTAGCACAGTGCCTGGCATAGAGTGAAACTCAATAAGGGCAAGTCATGATTCTTATAATTTTTAAATGGGTCACACATATCTTTGTTCTCTGTCTTAGAAAATAAGGACTTTAATTTAGCCTTCCATTCATGACTCAGGTTACAGTAATGAGTATTGTTGAAAAAATCTAGGTGTGGTAGCAAAAATCTTATTTGGTACTCAATTTGAGTTCCACTCTAAACTCTGTTGCTTATTAACTGTGTGACACTGGGGCCTGGGAAATTTATTTTATGTCTTTGAGGCTTCTGTTTTACCTATTAAAGAAAATAATAGGGTTAAGGATATAAATTTTGGAGTCAGATGGGCCTGAGTTCAAGCCATCCTTCATGATTTAGTAGCTGTGAGAGGATGTAAAGGATTACTGAAAGTTACGAGCTTGGTAGTTTCCCATCACATTGTTGAGTATCACATAAACTCTGTCTCCCTGGGATTTGAGCAGGCAAGAAGAGGAAGTGAAATCACGCTGGCATATACTTATCATCAGGCACTGCTGTTTCTATTCTGCTGCACTAGCCTCTAAGGTCCTCCTGCCATTATGCCATGCATACCTATCTTTGCATCAGCTCCACTAACCTTAGCCCGATAACAGGAGGTGTATGGAAGCTGATGAATGAATGAATGAATTAATTAATGAAGCACATCTGGAGGGAAGGAAGAATTCAACTTTAAGTTTGAGTATATTCCAAGCTATTCAAGTAGAGATAGTCCACAATTAATAAAATATCATGCCTAGACCTCTCAGACAAAACAAGCTGGAGATGCAGTCTTTTGTATACAGCTGGAGTTTGTGTAGACCTGAAAGAGAAATCAAAAGATAAAAAATTGTGCCTATTATTCATTCAATATTTTCCATGCAATGTAGTGCTAAGCATTGTACACATATCTTTTCATTTACATATTTTTTACTTCCACCCTACAATGTGGTTATTATCTTTATTTTACAGATAAAAAAACTAAAGTTTAGAGAGGTAAAAAAATTTTTACAGGGTCACATAGAATTTGCATTCAGATGTGTTTGACTTTACTCTATATGCTCTTCTATATGCTCATAGATTTTTTAAAAAATATGAAAAACTTTTCTTGGGAATTGCCTACCTACTTCCACAGGCTTTGCTCTAGGAATTTAGAACACTGGTTCCCAACTACAATATTAAGATATATTCATCTATGTGCTGGTGAAGTATATAACAAGTAAATTGTTACCAATAATTAGTAGTAAAAATCTGTCAGTAATGTACTAGTCATTAAAATGATAGTAGTTATCCCTACATTTCACACTTGCATTCATATTGAGCTTTTTCAGTGAAAGACAGAAATAGTAGGATAATTCCTACAGAAAATATATCACACTTCTGAGTACTCCCATGAGAATGGTTGCATTTGAGAATATGCCATGTATTTTAAGAACTGATACATCAACCAGTATTGTGAGAA
Organism: Homo sapiens; assembly: GCF_000001405.40. Taxonomy (NCBI): domain Eukaryota; kingdom Metazoa; phylum Chordata; class Mammalia; order Primates; family Hominidae; genus Homo; species Homo sapiens. The sequence goes on from NC_000005.10 coordinate 148,338,232, forward strand.
AAAAATCTATTTTTACATTAAGGTATGATTTGGGAACCAACTATGGTAAAGATGTTTATCAGTCATGATTTTATATCTGACATAAAACATCTTTACATTTGAAATGTCTTGAAGGGGGTAGATGAGAACCAACAATTGTAATAAGAAACATGCATTGAGAGCCCTCTGAGCTTGCTTGAAAAATCCTAAATCCTGATAATAAAGATTTGGTTGAAAGAGTTGAAGGTTTTTAATATGTTTTTTCAGGTTGACTGCAGTCATTATAAAAAGTTACCACCAGGACAACAGAGATTTTGTCATCATATGTATGATCCAATTTGTGGATCTGATGGCAAAACTTATAAAAATGATTGCTTCTTCTGTTCTAAAGTTAAGTAAGTATTAAAATGTTTTCTTTTTCATATTTAAGGTAAAAGTATATATTAAGACAAATTAGAAGGTGTGATGTAGGGCCTAAGGAATATGTGAATCATATCATACTGTCTCTAACAAACAGAACCTTCCAGTTGGTAGAATTTGGGAGTCCCTGATATCACAATATCCCCACATATTCTGGAAGTAAGAGTGAATCAGAGAATTCTAAAATCTCCAAGTTGAAAGGAAATATATGGTCATCTAGTTCAACTTCCACTTGATAATCTATTGCTTAAACTTCCTCTACAGAAAAGTTACCAAGTAGTCTCACAGTCCACCTGGATTATTTCCAGGGTCAAGGAGTATCCTCCCTCCTAAGCATCCCATCCACATCTGGTAGAATGAGCCATGTTTTTGTTCAGCTTTAGCAACTAGGCTTGGATATGTTAGAGCCCCCTAATGCCTGGTACAAAGGGGATAATATCTGCAAAATCTGAAGAACTTTTTCTGTTTCAGAGTATTATATCTCAACAGAATATATGTTGGTGCTATAGTAAAAATTACACTTAAAAAATCAGGTAGCCAAAAGTAGTTTAAAGATTATAAACTAATCATCTCCAAGATATATTAACATTAGTTCAAAAATTATAAAATAATGAATGATATACTGGAATGTATAAAAACATATGGGTCATTTTAAATATTTTAAAAAATATAGATGAATTAGATGAAATACAAACGAGCATCTAACATATGTGGCATATTGTTCTGGTTCTTTTTTTAATAAAAGAAAAATAACAATTTTTATGAAAAGAGACTTCTAAATGTGTGTTTCCCTTAAATTAAAAAAAAATTAAAACATTTCTGTTTTCAGGGATATAAATTGTGATGTATTTGAGCATCATCCTTATATAATCAGCACCAGTTTCAAAAATATTTCTAAATTGCAGTCACTCCTTTTAAAAACATCAATAAGCGGGGAAACTTGAATACATTTTTGGGATTCATTAGTGAAGTTTGGATGCTAATGAAATGCCTATGGGCTCAGCATTTCTCATTTGTTGCTATATTCTCTCCACAGGAAAACTGACGGCACACTTAAATTTGTACATTTTGGAAAATGTTAAATCTATCTTGTGAGTCCAAAATATCTTTTAATGCATCTATTCACAAGAGTCACATTTCTGTTCCCATATTATCTATGCCACATTGCCTACTCATCACCATATGTAGATTTCTTTGTAGAATAAAGCAGATATAAGGGAAATAAATGTGCACCTGACTCTTTTTTTGGGGGGGAACTGAGTTGAATTTTCTAGATTTGTTTTTTACTTTTGGGTGCTGTCTAATAGATAATTTTAGGGAGAAAAAAAGGGCCAATTAAGACTAGTAATAGGAACTAGAAAATTAAAGGCCCTGAAGCTGATGCACTGTTCTTACCCAGGCTAGGAAAACACTCCATGTACATTACTCAGTTATTGAACATCCATGAAATGTGAACAGATAAAGAGAGACCCTTCAGGCACAAGAATCAGAAAACACTGCTTTGCTAGATGTCTCTTGGGTTTAAGACACTGAGAATTGCTCTGGATTGGGACTGCTCTCCAACTGTTTCCTACCAGAGAATATGTTTGTAAAATGCGGCTGGTAAAAAAAAATGGTTGGTAAAGTTGTGCAATTTCTCACATATTAGTTGACGTCTCTGATACTTTTCTTTCTTGAATGTTTGATCTCAGGTCTGAGACCTGAAATTTAGCTTATCCTACTATTATATCATAAGTTTCTTAAAGACCAGAGAATATGCCTTGTAAATCTTTGTAATCCATTTGTGCATATATTCAATCACAAGTATCTATTAAGGCCTACTTTGTCAGTGTCAGTGTTCTGCCTTGGAGAATACAATGTTGAGCAGAGTAGATATGGTCTCGCCACCTTGGAGTTTATATTCTGTGAAGAAATTTCCTATGCTTGGTACAGCATCTTGCATAAAACTGATATAGAAACATGCTCAATAAATTTAATTGAAATTAAGCAACATTTTCATTAGATTATAACAGAGTCACCCATGAATTTAACATATGAAAACCTACCTATATATTATCTATAAAGAGGGAGAAAAAGAAAATGTAGTCAATCCATTTTTGAGCTATGATCTGGTCTTGCAAATTCATCAGAGATTTAGGGAACAAGACTGTCTATCAGAATGACCCATGTTAACCTCCACAGAATTCAGGTACAATGGTGTTTGTTGTTTCTTTTCTTTTCTTTCTATTTTACATTTTTTTTAAACTTTCGGAATGATGCAAGACCATCACTAACATTACTTAAAAACACTCTCTTTAAAATTTGTTGATTGGAATTTAGGGAGGGAAAAAAAGTGCTCTTCAAAGAAACTCTTTAAAGGAATTAAAAATATTAACCTAGAATTTATTCATCCATCTTTTCACCAAATATTTATTAAATATTCACTCTGCCAGATGCTGCTAGAAATGAATCAGAGAGCAAATAAATATAAACATTAGTCTTTTCTTCATGGAGCTTTAAGTATAGAGGGGAAGAACTATGTTAACAATACATCAATCTTAAATATACATATTTGAAAAAACTAGACTTAGACTGGGTAATCAGGAAAGACTTCCCTGAGAAGGTAACTTATAAGCAGAAACCTGAAGGATGGATAGAAGTCAGCAAAAGAAAATGGTGGGCAAGAGCAGTGAGTTGGAGTTGGGGGAGGTTGGCCATGGGGTTGAGAAATGAGAAGCAGCCAGGCACAGTGGCTCATGCCTGTAATCCCAGCACTTTGGGAGGCCAAGGCAGGAGGATTGCTGGAGCCTAGAAGATAAAGACCAGCCTGGGCAACACAGTGAAATGCCATCTTTACAAAAAATAGAAAAAATTAGCTGGTGTGGTAGTATATGTCTGTAGTTTCAGCTACTTGGGTGGCCAAGGCAGAAGAATCAATTAAGCCTGGGAAGTCCACTTGAGCCCGGGAGGTTGAGGCTGGATGTCAAGGCTGCACTGAGCTGAGATTGCATCCCTGCACTCTGGTCTGGGTGACGAAGTCAGACTCTGTCTCAAAAATAATAATAATAATAAAAGGAAAAAGAAAAGAAAAAAAAAGAGAGAAGCATCATTCCAAGCAGAGTGAACACATGAGACTGCAATGTAGAAAACCAGCATAAAGAGTTGTTGGCCAATTCATGTTTTCCAACCACTCTTCCTTGTTATCCTCTCTACCACCCACTTCCCACAATCCATTTTCTAACAGCCTTCAGAGTGGTATTTCTAAACATAGACCTCATCATCCATTCCCCTGGTAAGGTTGCTTCAGTGAGTCTCACTGCTTACAGCCCCATCAATATCGGCCACCTCACTCTGCAAACTCATCTCTCTCCATTCCACACTTTGCCCCAGACTGGTCACCACTCTCAGAACCTCCCATGCACTCTGAAATTTTGCACATGCTCATCCCTCTTTCTACAATTCTCTTTCCCACTTTTCCATCTTACCAATTTCCACATCATCTTTCAGCCTTAATGTCATTATCTTTAAAAAGTATCTCTTATGTATTTGGTCCTCCTAAATTAGCATACTTTATATTATTTTCACTTTAGCTCTGTAACCATCTGTTTCCACTGGCATACTGCAGGCTTGCAGTTGGCATGCCATAGGTGTTCAATTAATACCTTATAAATTAACTAAGTTAAATTAAAATGAATTGAATTTGGCTTCTGTCAACAAGTAAGCAAGGAAACCATGATGTCTTTTCCCAGATAACTCTGAAGTCAAGTGTCTTCACTCCCGATCCAGCTCCAACATTAGAATATATATCTATTTGCATTCTGCATCAACCCAAACTCTGCTTCTTCAAGCTCCCTATAAAGAATCCACAAACATACAAACAATAGAGAGCAATAAATGCTTTTCTGGAGATTGTGGAAGAGTCATCAAAATGGCCATTACCTTGCACAGCCCACAGCCCAAGATTCCTTATTACATTGCTTTCATCTCTTGCAAAACCACCTCGTAAAATCCTTGTCATTTGTAACATGAAAAAAATTACCATAAATTTTTAAAGATATACAAATAAAATAAGATGAAAACAATTAAATAATTACCAAAACCTGTTGCTAGAACTGAAGCCTACACAAATTCTAAGAAATCTCATTTTGTTTCATTTTTAATTAGCTCTTCCTCACATTTAAGCAAACCACACATTACTATATCCAATAAACCAGTCCTTGTAAAACAGGTAACTCATGTCTGTCAGAGAACAATTTTAAGCTAAAGTATTGACTTTGGAATGTTGATTAACAATAAGGGTGCAGATCAAGGAGATGGAATCCAGAGTTATAAATATGTTCCTTAACAAAACACATCCACATGGACACATTCTGGAAATATTTCAGAACTTCCTTTAAAAATAACTCTAAATCCAAACACAGCAGTCAATAAAAAATTAAGCTTTTTAAGAGCACCTGCTTAAAAATAGGAAAAAGGTTACTGGAGTTCTGTGAGATGCTTCTGGAGAGTTCAGGAAACTGGTGCATCACTCCCAGTTGCCAGACTCGAAGTGCTCCTTTCTAGGACATGAGGCATTTCATGCTCACAAATAGGTGTGGAAGTTAAAACAACTGAGGCCCCACCCAGCCAAGCCCTGCATGACTAATCAAAGAGTAAGCCTGGCTTTGGGTTTCTTTCTATCCTTGTGCCCAGTTTCTGAATCTTATTCTGCCTGCCCGTGAAACCCCTGGTGACTGCTGCATCCCCAGCCTGAGCCCCTGACTCTGTAATGTGCCCAGGAGCCTAGTCCTCTGGTACTTTGCACCTCTAGGTTGTGCTCCTTGCTTCTCTCTTCTCCACTTTACTACTTCTAGAATGGCAGCCCAGTGGCAAACACTCTTAAAACACTGGCCACCCTACTTCTGTTTTGGCTGCCTGTCTGGGCTCCAGTTGTTTCTTATACATCTCTGAGGCCCACCAATTGCTTGAACTACCATCTGTTTGCTGCCACACCCTTTAGATATTAACTTGTCCTCCCTGTGAAACTAAAATTATTTGTGAAGCCTGTAGAATATAATGGTTAAGAACTAAGGGGTTTTGGGCAGAGAAAGTCCTGGGGTCAAATTTAGGTTTGCCACTTCCAAGTAGCCTTGAGTTAGTGGCTTAATCTCTTGAGTTTCGGTTCCTGCATTTCGAATGGAGACAATAACAGTTCCTTCCAGATTAGCATGAACTAATATGTATACAGCACATAATATTGTGCCTGGCATGTAATTAGCTAACAGGAAATGGTAGATTTAAAATATAATAACAAAAATCTGTAGTTGTAATAAGTTTGCCTCGTAAGCCTATGGGTGGTTCTAATTTAGGTTCTGGCACTTCCTAGTATTTTCTGCAACCCCACCCTATCGCAACCACCACTCCCACTTGACCCTATCCTGAGATACAGCACTGAGAGCCTCCTGTTAGAGTAGATACTCACAGGGACAGCCACAGAGGTCAGCAGAGAGGCTTGACTGCAATGAAATGAAGACACAAACCTCCATTAGGGCTTCTGGAAGGACATTTAAAAAATTATCCTAAGTGTTTTTTAGAAACAAAATAAAATTATATATATATCTTCTGGTTTTGAGCCCTTTAAGAGTAGGGAATTGGGTCTTGTTCATCCTTGTGTCTCAAATAAATATTCATCTCTTCTGCCTGACGCATAGTAGGCAACGCCTGACATATATATGTAATTTTTAAACTGTCAGGGTAAACGACATCAAAACAAACTCTACTGTGAGGGAAAACAACATCAAAACCAACTCTAGGATAAATATATTTAAAAACACATATGTAATATCCTAAGGGCACAAAGAGCCCCATAGTGAATTCTACATTGCCTGAAAATTACAAAAGAGACCAGTATTATTTAGCCAAGGCCAGAGAACACCACCAACTGAATACCTCCACAGATGAAGAAATGTTTCTAGAATCTGTGGTTGCGTGAGTGTCCTTCCTAAAAGAGAGGAAGATGGAAACAGAATTAGAGGAGAGCTGGTAGCCTGAGCAGCAGTAAAGAATGGCAGCTGGAGGGGAGGCATACAAACAGTTTAAAAGATAGAGCCCACGTGCTATTTCATAAACTGACTGATAAGACGTATGAGCATGTGTATTGTCATTATCATTATTATTTAAACTGTATATTTATTATATACATTGTGTATATACAATATATGACGAAACAGAGAAAAGATTAGAAGGACAAGGAGAAAATAAGTAGGTGTTCTCAGGAATAAATTGGCCATGAATTTGAAAACATTTGCTTTGTGAAAAGCATCAATATATTTGCATTTAAGGTATTTTCTTAAAGACACCTTCTCTAATATCTTCAGTCCTCTTTGATCACAAGGACTTTTTTCCCTCAAGGGAATTACTTTTCTACTAAAATAGTATTAAGTTGACCAGGAAATCCATCCACATAGGGGCCCACTTTACAAAGAATATAATGCAGACTGGAGTAGGGCATTACGTTGCTTAACTGTGGTGAATATTTCCACTTTCTCTGTGACAGCTTCCACGAAGAGCAAAGCAAAGCATCAAGAGCATTTTCTGACAGAAACTTTTGGTCAAAGAAGACACCTTAAATATTGAACCAGTGATTCCGAAATCTAAAGATTTCTGGATATCACAGACCAATTACATTTTTTATAATTATTTATTGTAAAATAAAGCAAAAACCAAAATAGAAATTCTATTTGTTGCAAGACAAAAATCACCCACAATTTTTAGGAAACTATGTCATCATTTTAGCCCTTATCTATATAAAGGCACAAAATTCACATATTGGCAATAATATAATAAATAAATGTTGTATTCCCTTTGGCTTAATGTTAAAATGCAAGAATACTTGCATTTTTGGGTCTGTTTTTCTTTCCTCCCAAACAGTAACCTCCTAAAATAACTGAAACAAGCAGTAAACATAATATTTATATAAAGTAACTACTGGAAGAGTAATAGTGGCATTTAACAACCACCGAGGAAGACCAGTGGTCCTCAAATGGCATTCTAAGGAAATTTAGGAATTCCCAAGTATGCTGCAGCAGCTCAGTAAAGAAAAAGCAGGACCAACAAACTAGACTTCTCTACTCCAACTTCAATTCAGAGATGCATCTCTTTTATATATTTTTTATACTGGGTTATGGTTAGATTCCCAGCTTCACTACTGGCTAGCTGTATGAACTTGTGCAAGTGTTTAATTTCCGGGATTCAGTTTCCTCTTCAGTTACATAGGGATCCTGTTTGTGCCCACTTCATAGAATTTGTGTAAGCATTAAACAACTTCATGAATGAAAGTGCTTAGAATATTTATGGTACATAATTAGCATTCAACAAGTATTAGTATTACTGTTAAAAAGTACAAAATACTGATGGCTACAATCCTCACACTCAATGCAGGAATTGTCTCCATGGGATTCTTAACAGATATTCATGTACCTTCATGGATCCCTGGAGTGAGCAGGAGCTCATCATTTCTGGAGGCAGTAATTAATGAGGAATTTTACTACCAAAAGGTCATCAAGTTAAATTGACCATGTATTATTTACCCCCTCATGTGTCCTAAATGTAGCTCTTGGGGCCACAGAGAAAAAGTCTAGTTGAGAACACTTTTGGTATTTTTAAGATAGTTCTCGCATGCCTCCTGAGTTTACTAACATTCATTGAAGAATATCTGATACCAGGTTCTTACTAAATGCTTTACATCATAATCTTATTTAAATCCCAAAACAACCTTATGAATACAGACCTTTTAATGTCACCAGCTTGGAAACTTCCTTGAAGACAGTGTTTATAACATTTACTAGGGTATATCTAACACCTAATATAGTAATGAACGTAGTAGGAGTTCAAAAAACCAAAAACCAAAAGTAATAAGTTAATGAATGAGTCCTCTTTTTTCTCACTTGTGAAAAATGAGATTCAGTGAAGACAGACTATGTTGTTCAACACAAATAGGAAATTATGGAATTGTGATTGGCAAGGGCATTTACTGGGTCCAGAACCCAAGCTTTTAAACACTGCTGTACTCTGTTCCCTAGGCAACATCATAATTCCTATCCCCACAGCAGCTCATCTGAACAGATTCTGGCTGTTTTATTGATTTACAGGGAAATAAATGTAAGTAAGCTCTCTGTAATCCAACCTTTTCAGGCTGTAGGTGCTACGTTCATTAGTGTCACAGAGTGCCTTCCTGCCCATGAACACAAAGGGCCAGAGGAACTGCCAGTGGTCTTATTGTAAAGCCATAGAATGGCTCTTTGAAAATGCCATTTTGCACAGTCAAAGCCAAAGGGCATAAATAAAGAATATTTTCTTGAAATCTTCATTCCTGGTAACTAAGTTATTTCCTAATGTTTGGCATAGTGAGAAGCGCAAATGTTGCCCTTCCTTTAGAAATGGCAATGCAGTTGATGATCACTAGCTAAGTATGCCCCTTGAGACTGAACACAATGGAGGTCTCTGGTTCTTGATGCATCAAAATATATGTGGCCTCTTAGAGTTAGCCATGTTTGGAGATATGGCAATCATGGTCAAAGCATCAGGGACAGTCCAGCTTCTGTACCATCTGATTCTTAAGATATACACATGGATCCTTATTCTAGTGCCTGAGAATGCTACTGATCTTCCCTCTAAGGAAACTTATATAAGAAACTTCCAACAGAGAACAGGTAGATTCATAGCAGGTGTTCAGTTAGCTCTCTCCCTATCTCCATTATTGCACCACCAAATTCTACACTCTTAACAAAGTCATTCTCTGTTAAGAAGATGGGTTACTAGTTGAGCCTTGTCAACCAAGATCAGTGAATGGATTCCTCTGCTTCATGACCAGTGTAGAACTTGACCTGACAGGGTTCCAGAAGAGGGATCTGGGTAGAGAACCAAGACAGCTGGTGATGAGAGCCTTACTGATCATTGCAGCAGACTCACATGAAAATGGTGCCATTGTAGAAAATGAGTTCTGAACCCAAGAATCTATTTTTAAGACTTATTTTAGAAATTTACTAGTTATGAGATTTTGAGCAAGTTATTTAGCTTCTCTAAGGGCCAATTTCCTCCTCTATAAAATGGAGATGATGGTAATATCCACCCCAGACTTATATGTGAGTCTAATAACATAACATAATATATGTGAACACAGTAAGAATTATTCATGTACCATTCAAATGTAACATAGCACTAATTTGGGTCATATTATGTAATAATATTCCACAGGAATTATTTCCAATGATTCATTATTTTAAACCTGTTCTAGTGCCATGATCGGGGAAACAGTCATTTCTTAATAGAGATGACACATCTAACTAGGACATAATTCAAGCCTTTAATGGGCTAGGTTAATAACAGCAGGTTACTTCTTTTGCCTCCACCTTTAGCCACTTTCAGCATCATAGAAGCAATAATCTCTCTTGATCCTACCACTTTGATTTATCTTCTGAACTGAGAACCTGAGTCCAAGAAATTCTAAGATTCTTTCATCTCAAAAATAAGCAAGTCTATTTTGTTTTTGTTTTTGTTATGCATTTTTCTCTCTCCATCAAGAAATCACTGAATCACACTGTCTCAGGAGTGGAGTGGAGCATAAAGCTCATCTAACCCAACTTCTTACTGTATAAGAAAGTTTCCTGTGGGATCCCTGAAGGTGATCACAATCCAATCTCTGCTTTGATGCAACAACTCTCTTGTCAAAACAACAACAACAACAAAAAAAAAAAAACCCAGCCCATTATTGACCCGTTTGTTTACAGAATATTCTTACTTTATTGAGTAGAAATCAACGTTGATTCAACTCATCATCTGTGACTGACACAAGATTTTAAAGGTTTAAAAATATATCATGCTTTTATCCATTCCATATTTATTGAGTACTAAATATGGTCTGGCATTATTTACTAAACTCATCTCTCATGATGATGATGGTCACTTTCCCAGGCCAAGGCCCTTTTTCCTGTGTTCTATTCTCCCCTCAACCTCTCTCAAAGAGCAACCATAGCATTCCCACACTTGCTGAGCGAATCAACCCTGATAATTATTTTAATTCAAAGCCTTGAAGAGAACCCTATTTCAGTGGCACAGACTAATAACTGAAGCAAATAACCATATTTTTTTCAAAAAATGGTTTTTATTTTATTCTAGATGTAAAACGTGTGTCCCAGAGAAAATGGTCATTCCACAACATGTAGTATATATTATTTTTATGTAATCTAAAAGTTGGGGTAAATTTTTCCATCTCAAAAATCAAAAGCCCTTTCATATATTTTTCAACATGTAAAATACATGATTTAGAGTCACCTATCAGAAATATATTTGATATGCCATATAATTTTGTTATGTAGCTAATATTTACCCATTTGAATATCAAAGCTGGTTTCACTGAAAGTATTTTAGATTCAAATCATTATTAAATGAAGTTAATAGAACATAGTAGCCATACATGTACTGGCTTTAGAGTCAGGCAAAATTCTGTTGATTCCCAGCTTTGTCACAATGTGGCTAGAATAAATGACTTTTTCTGGACTTCAGTCTCCTCATTTACAAAATGAAAATAATTATAATACCTGCCTCAATGGATTGCTAGGAGCTTAAATGCCATAAGTCTTACAAAGAGCTCAACATAGCCCTTTGCACATTGTAAAAATTCTAGGAGGGCTCCCATATTAGGCCATTCTTGCATTGCTATAAAGAAATACTTGAGACTGGGTAATTTGTAAACAAAAGAAGTTTAATTGGCTCATGATTCTACAGCCTATATAGGAAGCATGGTGCTGGCATCTGCCTGGCTTCTGGTGAAGCCTCAGGGAGATTTCAGTCATGGTGGAAGGCAAAGCGGGAGCAGAAACATCACATGGTGAAAGTAGAAGTAAAGGACTGGCGGTGCCACACACTTTTAAAGGACCAGAACTTGTGTCAACTCAGAGCAAGAGCTCACTTATCACTAAGAGCTCACTTATCACTAAGATGGCCCAAACCATTCATGGGAGATCTGCCCCCATGATCCAAACACATCCCAGCAGGCTTCACCTCCAAGACTGGGGATTACATTTCAACATGAGATTTGGGTGGGGACAAATACCCAAATTATAGCAACTACCTTGTATTATTACAAAATGGTCATATATGTCTTTACTTACCCATCAAGGGATGAAGAACATGATTTAGCCTTTCTATTTTGATTCATTGTGAAAATTGTTAATATATTTTAGACAATTCTCATATAAGGCAATAAAAACTTTCAATTAGTGGGCAAGCAACCTAAGCATCACACTTAGTTGTCTTTGAGGCTGAGACTTGTAAGTAAAACAGTATAAAATAAGCATACAAATCAAGATTATTGACTTTAAAGTCATAGGGTTGGGCTCAAGTAATAGGTTCATCAATTAACAGCTATATGATCCTGAAAATTTTACTTAACTTTTCTGTTTTGGTTTCCTTTTCTTTAGGAAAATGTATAGTATTTACCTCAAAGGATTACAAGAGTTAAGCAGTAACCACATGTAGGGTTTTCAGAGGGCTCCTGGTAGCTGGCCAGTGTTGGATAAATGTCAGCTATTGCCATTTTGTTTTCCCAAGATGCATGCGTTCTGTAAAAGAAGTGGCAGAGGAGTGTTTGTGAAATGATGAGTAAGTTGGTTTTGAACAATAAGTAGGAGTTTTTTTTCTAAGCAAGCAATGAGAGGCTGCAAATCGTAGGGATTAAAGTACTTTACCTTGAATTGGGAGCAGTGAGAATTTGACTGGAACTAAAATGAAGTATTTGTCTGAGGGTTGTGGGTACAGGTTTGGTAGTGGGACTCAAGAGCTCTCCTAGCGCTATGAAGAGCCCTGAGGTAGCTTGGGGTAGTGAAGACCACTCCACAGTGTTGGAAAAGTCAGCCTCCATCTTGCAGCCACAGCAGCATACATATTGTTAATAGGGAGTTTCTAGCAGGCCTGTGCTTGAGAAAAATTTCTTTCCAGACAGAAGTAGTAAAAATAATGATAGAAAATACATATAGTCCTTTTTTACATGACAACTACTATTCTAAGTGCTTAATTCATATAAATGCATTTAATGTTCAAAACAACTATATGAGGTAGGTACTATTCCCCCATTTTACCTAAGGAAAAGGTCACATAAAGGTTAAGCAATTTGCCCAAGTTTAGGTGAGATTTGAAACCAAAAATTTAGCAGCACAGTCTCTACTTTTAAACACTACACCATACTGCTTCTGCATAGTAGTGAGGTGAAGAGATGCTGAGAAATAAAAAAAGAAAGGAGAGGAGAGGGCAGCTCTCTGCTGAGTTATGGAGGATGGAGGATGGGTAGAATGAGGAGAGAGAGCAAAGGAGAAAAGTTAGGATATATTTGGAAATTATAATGTGGATCTAAATAAAATTAGTCAACAGGAGAAAAAAGCAGGGCATGGAAGATTGGAGATAAATTTCAGAAACAGAACTTAAAAAGAGTTGGCAAACTATTTATATGCATGATTAGGAGAACTTAAATATTTAGGATGGTGTTGATGTTTTTGGTTTGGACCATTGCTTACACGATAACGTTATTACTTCTCAGTCAGTTTTCTATAAAACTAGGTGCAGAATTTGTTGTCCTTAATGTGTTCCAACCCTTCCTACTTAATGTGCAATGCTGCCTTACATTGTGCAAGAGATTTTGTCATTCTTGTCTCCACTAGAGTCTGTGGTGGTATTTGGCCAGCATTGTGTCTTATATAATCTCAGAACCCTTCCCAGTGCCTTAAAAACAATAGGGTCACAACATGTAGAAGAATAAGTAAGTGGTAGGAGCAGGTTGAGAGGAGGAAGACGAATTAAATTTTGGACACCTTAAGTCTGCAGATACTGCAAGATACTCAAGTAGAGATGTTTGGCAATTGATTAGAAATTCAGAGTAGGTACTCTGGGATAGTAAAAAATACTGATGGAAATTTTGTAATCATCTGGGTGGATAACTTAAGACAAAACTAAATATAATGACTAAAATTTAGCCCTTACTGTTTGTAACACACTATACCAATCCTAAACATGTTTGATTTCTTTTATTATTCCTCACTACAAATACATGAGATAGATGTGATTAGATCCACATTTTATAAAGAACAAGAGCTTTGAGAAGGTTAGCAATTCACAGAGATTTGCCTCTTTCATTTATCTCATAGGAGGTAGATAAGACAGGATTTTTTGTACTTACAGTCTGACAGATTTAATTGAAAAATCCAAATCCCTGAAATTAATAATAGCTCAGAACAGTTAATATCCATCATTTAAAAATATAAAAATATCTTCTTAGAAGAAGCTGTCACTAACAGTGGTAATTTACAAAAGATGACAAACCTATAGGCAAAATCTATTCCAAAAATTAACATTTTTGCTCCAAAGTTAAATATATAAAGGGCTTATTTCCTATACTTAAGTTTTAAAGTAAACTTCATTTCAGAGATTTCTTTTAGAATTTAATGTGTCATATGGTCCCTCTAAGGAATAGTATTCTGCTGATGTACAGCAGGTTTAGAAAAATTATGTTGTTTTTCTCATAGCACACGCTGGTTACTAAGATGGGCCAGAGGATCATAAAATATCCTCTCATCAAATCTATTGCTTCAATTCTTTCCCCAGGAAGCCCACCAAGTTGTCTACCAGGCCACATTACATACTTCTAGTGACAGGAAACTCACTTTGTCTGTTTGCACAACACATTCCTGAACAGCTCTGACAGCTAGAAAGAGCTCAGATTTTTTGTTCTTATACGTTAAAAATTAGCAAATGGTTTAAATGTTTTGCTAAACCTAAGACACTTTCCTTGTGCTAGAAGCCTCAAAGGTGGATATGAAGGATTTATGATATAGACTGAAATTGTCTAATACTTTCAAAGTGATCATCTCAAAAGACACATTAATACTATATCAAAAAGTTAATAAAATTACAGTCAAATCTGAAGAAGTACATATCCTTCATTTTAATTATTTGCAAGACATAATATTTGTGAAGAAAAACAAGCATAAAATTTATCTGGCAGTTTATTCAGATCCTCTCACCCTCTACCTACCCCCTGAGAAAACACTAATAATCTAGAATAAAAGGAAGCTTCTAAGCTATTTTGATCACCTTGAAAATAAAAATTAATAAAAATGACAAAAGTTATTAATTAAAAGATATTTCTATTTAATACATTACATCAGTCGCTAAGATATTATTGGGCTGCAGTCCTTTCCATTAAAATTGACAAGTTGCAAGGAGTCTTCTGAGTCATAATGGTCAAGTGTAATGCTAAGAAAATGCTTACAGGCTTAGTATTCAGCATTTGTCTTTCTTTTCATGAAGCACATATTAATGCATGTAAGTGTTTACAAATGGGAAGGTAAAGAGGTTCTAAAATGTCTTACAGTGCATTCTGAGCACAAGAGGCAATTATTTTCCAGGAAAAGGATGCTTTTTTAAGTAAAAGGCTTAAAAATTATTTTTTAAGTAAGATGCTTTTTAAGTAATTGCACTTAAAGGAAATTCTTTTGAAGTAAAATGCTTAATTTTAAGCACTGCTTAATTTTATTTTTAAATAAAATGGAACTTAAGGAAATTCTTTCTAAAAATTTTGGTATGGAATTATATCTTTTGGATTTACTTTAGTCATAAATAATGGCTAATAGCCTCTTTCTGCCAGAAATTTCCCTCTTGGCGAATCATGGGAATCAGTAGCTCAAGAGCCCAAAACATGCTTTTTTCTAACCCAGGCCATGGAAATAAACCCTATGGTTTGCTTGCTTTGTGTAGATTCTTTACTGAAACCTGAAAAAAATAAAGGAAAATGTTTCATAAATAAGAAGATTGCAGCCTCAACTTCTGATAACCAGAAAATGTACTTTTACCAGCAGCAGCTGACATCCCCTGAAGTATGGCATAGAGAACTGCCCTAGATTAGGATTCTGACTCTTCCTAACCTCCCAAGTGGATTGGTCTGAAGTGTAGAGAAAGAGAATCAACATAAAGTCATGCATGTTCCATTGGGTCATTTTTTTTTTATCTTTCCACTACTTTTTAAAATTTTTGATCCCTAAGACCAGGTCTGAAATTTGTCTTACACCCCTAGTTGGATACATAATTTTTGGAGATCAATGAAGGTGCCTTGATCATCCTTAAAACTCTTTCATATATTAATCATCAAACAAAAAATCATTCAATTCCTAAATACATGGTATGGTGCTGACATCTGGGGATAAAACAATGAACAGCATCGACATTATTTCTGCCCTTACTGAGTTTTCTTTGTAGTTGAGAAGATATGATGTACTTGGAAGATATAACCTAAATACAATTCCTTACATTTAATTGCCAATCGATAAATACTTTTGAATGAACAATAACTGAGTTTGAGCAGCATTTTCATTGTGTTACTTCTTACTTGAAAATTTCCAATGGCTACTCTTTAGGAATTCAAAGAAACATAAAGTGTTCCTGACTTTATGGAACTTGCATTTGGGAGACAGGTCATTTGCAAAAAGAAAGAAATAATACCAAAATCCAGAGGATAAATACAAAATAACAGATTCTACATATCACAGGAGATCAGAGGATGAAACAATCACTAGCCAGGAACACTGGGAGAATGCTTTCGGAAGACATAGGCCTTACCCTGTAAATGTGACTGAAGACTGCTTCCCCATCCTTCAGCTAGAACCTCTTCTTTGATGACTTATTTGCTCACTCTCCTCCAACAATATTTGCTGTCTCAATTTTTGATACCACTACTATACTAAATGTTATATATTTTTCTGTTATTTGCCACATTGAAATGTAATTGTCTGCTGATAAGCAAAACTCCACTACTGGAGTATGGACCTCTTGAAAAGTGGAATTGCATCTAAATTATCTCCTGCTCCCGTGGCCTAACATAGAATGTAAACAAACTTAGAGGTCACATTTAATAAACACGTGTTGAACAAATGTTAAAGATTATTCTAGAAGACACACTCTGAAATCACCACAGGATATCACTGGACCCAGCCATGTATTCAATAGCCTGATAAAATAGTTCATCTTCCTTCCATAATGGGTTCCTAAACACTTGATGATGGGGTTAAAGAAATAAATGTTAGTGAGTTGCCAAAAAAAAAAAAAAACAAACACTGAGAGTGTAACTGTTACTTGATTACTCCACAGGCAAAAAAAATATTAGGGTCCTTAATGAGATGAGGTCTCCAGAAGTAAGGTAGGACTAATAAAAAATAAAAGCTAGGTAGTTTTCATATCTTGGCTATTGCAAATGATACTGTAATGAACATGGGAGTGTAGATATACCTCTGAGATCCAGATTTCAGTTTCTTTAGATACATATCCAGAAGTGGGATAGCTAGATCAAATAGTAGTCCTATTTTTAATTTTTTGAGAACTCTCCTACAGCAGATGCACCAATTTCCATTCCCACTAACAATATACAAAGGTTCCAACTTTTCCACATCCTTTCTAACACTTCTCTTTTCTTTTTGTTTTTTCACTGATAATAGCCATCCTAACAGGTGTGAGATGGTATCTCATTGTGGTTTTGATTTGCATTGCTCTGATAATTAGTTATGTTGAGTACCTTTTCACGTACCTGTGGTCCAGTTGTTCCTCTTTGGAAAAAAATGCCTATTCAGGTTATTTTTCCCATCTTTAAACAGGTTATTAGGTTTTTTGCTATTGAGTTACAGGAGTTTCTTATGTATTTTGGAATTTATTCCTTATTAGATATATGGTATGCAAATATTTTTTTCCTATCGTGTAGGTCACCTTTAAATTTGTTGTTTCCTTTGCCATGTAGCAGCCATTTAATTTTATTTAATTCCACTTGTCTATTTTCCTTTTTGTTATCTGTGCTTTTAGTACCATTTCCAATCAATTATTGCCTAGTCCAATGGCTATAAGCTATTTCCCTATGTTTTCTTCTAAGAGTTTTATTGTTTTGTCTAACATTTAACTTTTTAATGTATTTCAAGTTGACTTGTGTACATGGTGTGAGATAAGCGTCCAATTTTATTCTTTGCAAGTTGATATCTAATTTTCCCTACATCATTTATGAAGGGCATTATCTTTTCCCCATTGTGTATCCTTGTCATCCTTGTCAAAGATCAATTGACTATATATGTGTGGGTTTATTTCTGGGCTCTCTACTCTGTTCTATCAGACATCAATAAATGAATGAATTTTTAAAATGTGCTACATACCACATATATAATGAAATATCATTCAGCCTTTTAAAAAAGAAGGAAATGCTGCCATTTGCAATAACATGGATGACCTGGCAGACATTATGCTAGTTAAAATAAGCCAGACCCAGAAAGACAAAATATCACATGATCTCACTCACATGTATAAACTAAAATAGCCAAACTCATAGAAGCAGAGAGTATAATGGTTGTTGTCAGGGAATGGAAGGAGAAGGAAATGAGGAGATGTTGATCAAAGGGTACAAAGTTTCAGTTATGCAAAATAAGTAAGTTTTAAAGATCTACCTTACAACATAGGGCCTGTGGTTAACAATACTGTATTTTTATATTTAAAATTTTGCTAAGAGGATAGATTTTTATTTTAAGTGCTTTTATCAGAAAAGGAAAAACAAAAGAAAACAAAGCACACAGTAAAAGGAGGCAGAAGGAAACTTTTGGAGATACTGGATAAATGTATTGCATTAATTGTTATGATGATTTCAGAAGTATATACTTATTTATCTTCAAATACACTGTTCTATATTTTAAATATATACAGATATTTATGTCAATCATATTTCAATAAAGCAGTTTTAAAAATTTTAGTCTCACTTTATGATCATAAGAAAGTTACTTGGTATCGATCTCAGAATTTTTAACACACTTTTAGAGTTAGAGTAATATCCAGGCCCATTCCTAACATGTGTTGGGCTCCAGGCAAGAATTAAAATGGAAGCTCTTGCATTCTATATCTACAATGTATTTAGAAACTATTTAAAATTTATAGATAACACATTTAAATACAACTCTATTCTTATATCTTGGCAAATATGTCTTCATTGCAACATGAAAGCTCAGACTCAAATTTAAGATTCTCAAACTCCTTAAGTGTTTCTTGTGGGAATCTAGCAGCATGAGAGAAATTAGCTACAGAGCATCAGTCTCTCTCCTGGTCTGCCACTGGTCTCTATCCAACTCAGTTCTGTTATGCCTCATAAGAGCAGTGTGAACATGGGCCTGCATACCAAAGCCTGCATGTCCAATCTTCATCCAAACTACTGTAAATATTCACCCTTAGGTCATACTTTGGAGTAAAGAAGGTGCATATCAGAAACATAGTCTTCCTTGAGGGAGATGACCTGAAGAAGAAGTTTATATAGGCCCTGTAAGCAGGTTAAAGTTTGCTTAGGAAGCGAATTCAAAAGTTTAGGATTCCAAGTTATAAACAAGAAGGGGATTAAAGTCTTGTGCTGGGCAGATGTCCTTGACCTACAAGCTCCAAGCACTTTGGAGAGAGGCATGGATGGAGAAGACCTGGAGGGAGGCTCTTTAAAACAGGGCTCTAGGGCAAAGGAGACCCTCTTGCATAGATGTAAAAGTGGTATTGGTGATACCTACTTTTCAAAACTATTATGAAGATTAACAGATATGGAAGGAAAGTACCTAGAAAATATAACAATTTCAACTTATGTAAATGATGTTGTTTATGTTGTTGTTATTGTTGGCATTGTTATTAGAATATGCTTGCAAAACCATTAGGTGATACAGGAACACAGGTAGTATTTCAATAAAACTAATTACTATGGACCCTATAACACATTGAAAGACATTTTCATTAGTTATTATATGAAGGTGAATCTACATTTGTGATGGCTGTTGATTTGAAGAAGCTCTCCAGATCAGCAGCATAGGGGGTATTCCTGAGGGATTTGAGGTCATGTATACCCATATCTGTTTTCTGGTTCTAAGCATTCTTTTTCTAAATGAAGCCTTCTCATAGGTCCGCAAATATAGTTGGCCCTTTATATCCATGGGTTCCACATCCATGGACTCAACCAATTGCATATCAAAAATATTTGGAAAAATAAAAGATGATTATATCTGTACTAAACATGTATAGATTATTTTGTTTTTATTCCTTAAACAATATAGTATAATATTTACATTGCATTTACAATGTATTAGGTATTATAAGTAATCTAGAGATGTTTTAAAGTATATGGGAAGATGTGTGTAGATTATATGCAAATATTACACCATTTTATAGAAGGGACTTGGGCATCTGTGATTTGGGTATCTGTGGGGAATCCTGGAACCAATTCCCCATGGACACTGAGAGACAACAGTATTTCTAGCGTGTGTTTTACTACCTTGAATTACTAAAAGGTAATTTAATAATCGACATGGAATCTCTTGCTTGAATATAATGGGAGTATGGGGATTTGGCTGATATTACCAGGTCACCTCTTTTGAATCCACCTTACCACCATGGTCACCTCAACGCAAGAGAGTGGCATTTGCCTCCTGTCCCTTTCTCTTTGCCTTTGCCTCTGCCTCTGTCTTCAGTGTATATCTCCCTTCCACCATTGTCATTACCCTTCCCAAGGCAACAGCAGTCCCTTGAATACCTTCTGTCCACAGAGTTTAGAGATACTGTCGTCTCACAGATGGGTGAGTATACTTTTCAGCTGGAGGGAATTTTGGAAATTCATTTCTATGACTATTGAGAAATCTTGAATCATAGAATCACAGCGTCTGAAAAAAGACTATGTAAAGACCTTCTGCTTCAACTTTTCACTCATAAAGAAATCTTATTCCACATCTTTGAGAGATCATCATTCACCTTTTGCTTCTGTCGCAATAGCCCTGAAGACGAGGTATTAAGGCCTCCATAAGGCAGCTTGTTTTAATTGTTAGGCATCTTGAGTGTTCAGAAAATCATTCCTTCAAGACACCGTGGCTTGCGCCTATAATCTCAGCTACCTGAAAGAGTAGGTGGGAGGACTGCTTGAGGCCAGGAGTTTGAGAAAATTGCTTATTCACTTAATCTTTTAACCCATATAATGTGTCAGGCATTGGGCTAAGAGCCTAAGATGCAATGATAAATAGAATAGTCTGTATCTTCAATGAACTCTTTCTGTTGAACCAAAATGCTAAATAATATAGTAAAGTTGGCAAGCTCTGGAGTCAGATTTCCTAGGTTTGAATTCCACTGATAACATTTGTTATCACTGTGGCCTTGAGAGAACAATTTAACCATTTTTGCCTCAATCTTCTCATCTGTGTATTGGAGATACTTATATTAATAGTAACTACTAACAGAGTTTTTATGAGAAATAATGTAAATGTTAGCTATTTGTCCTAATCTGTGCCTGGAGACCAAAAATGAGCTTTTTATTCTACTTGAAGGCCCTAAGGAGCTGAAAGACACCTCATGTCTTCCTAAATATTTTCATCTCCATAGTAAATTATCCCAGTTCTTTTATCCATTCATGAGACTTAGTGCCCAGATCCATCAACATCTTGATCTCCCTAGAGCTTCACTCCAGGTGTAGCATTGGAACTACTCCAAATTTGGTCTGATTGGAGAGTATTTTCCTAACTGGTCTAGACATTATGCCTTAGAATTTTTTTTTTTGGTTTAGTAGTTGTTCTTTATTATTATTATTATTATTATTATTATTATTATACTTTAAGTTTTAGGGTACATGTGCACAATGTGCAGGTTTGTTACATATGTATACATGTGCCATGTTGGTGTGCTGCACCCATTAACTCGTCATTTAGCATTAGGAATATCTCCTAATGCTATCCCTCCCCCCTCCCCCCACCCCACAACAGTCCCCGGAGTGTGATGTTCCCCTTCCTGTGTCCATGTGTTCTCATTGTTCAATTCCCACCTATGAGTGAGAACATGCGGTGCTTGGTTTTTTGTTCTTGCGATAGTTTGCTGAGAATGATTGTTTCCAGTTTCATCCATGTCCCTACAAAGGACAAGAACTCATCATTTTTTATGGCTGCATAGTATTCCATGGTGTATATGTGCCACATTTTCTTAATCCAGTCTATCATTGTTGGACATTTGGGTTGGTTCCAAGTCTTTGCTATTGTGAATAGTGCCGCAATAAACATACATGTGCTTGTGTCTTTATAGCAGCATGATTTATAATCCTTTGGGTATATACCCAGTAATGGGATGGCTGGGTCAAATGGTATTTCTAGTTCTAGATCCCTGAGGAATCGCCACACTGACTTCCACAGTGGTTGAACTAGTTTACAGTCCCACCAACAGTGTAAAAGTGTTC
The DNA here is from genome assembly GCF_000001405.40 of Homo sapiens. Classification (NCBI taxonomy): domain Eukaryota; kingdom Metazoa; phylum Chordata; class Mammalia; order Primates; family Hominidae; genus Homo; species Homo sapiens. The sequence continues at coordinate 148,359,890 of NC_000005.10, forward strand.
CTATCACTCCACATCCTCTCCAGCACCTGTTGTTTCCTGACTTTTTAATGATTGCCATTCTAACTGGTGTGAGATGGTATCTCATTGTGGTTTTGATTTGCATTTCTCTGATGGCCAGTGATGATGAGCATCTTTTCATGTGTTTTTTGGCTGCATAAATGTCTTCTTTTGAGAAGTGTCTGTTCATATCCTTTGCCCACTTTTTGATGGGGTTGTTTGTTTTTTTCTTGTAAATTTGTTTGAGTTCATTGTAGATTCTGGACATTAGCCCTTTGTCAGATGAGTAGGTTGCGAAAATTTTCTCCCATTTTGTAGGTTGCCTGTTCACTCTGATGGTAGCTTCTTTTGCTGTGCAGAAGCTCTTTAGTTTAATTAGTTCCCATTTGTCAATTTTGGCTTTTGTTGCCATTGTCTTTGGTGTTTTAGATATGAAGTCCTTGCCCATGCCTATGTCCTGAATGGTATTGCCTAGGTTTTCTTCTAGGGTTTTTACGGTTTTAGGTCTAACATGTAAGTCTTTAATCCATCTTGAATTAATTTTTATATAAGGTGTAAGGAAGGGATCCAGTTTCAGCTTTCTACATATGGCCAGCAAGTTTTCCCAGCCCCATTGATTAAATAGGGAATCCTTTCCCCATTGCTTGTTTTTGTCAGGTTTGTCAAAGATCAGTTGGTTGTAGATATGCGGCATTATTTCTGAGGGCTCTGTTCTGTTCCATTGATCTATATCTCTGTTTTGGTACCAGTACCATGCTGTTTTGGTTACTGTAGCCTTGTGGTGTAGTTTGAAGTCAGGTAGCATGATGCCTCCAGCTTTGTTCTTTTGGCTTAGGATTGACTTGGCGATGTGAGCTCTTTTTTGGTTCCATATGAACTTTAAAGTAGTTTTTTCCAATTCTGTGAAGAAAGTCATTGGTAACTTGATGGGGATGGCGTTGAATCTATAAATTACCTTGGGCAGTATGGCCATTTTCATGATATTGATTCTTCCTACCCATGAGCATGGAATGTTCTTCCATTGCTTTGTATCCTCTTTTATTTCATTGAGCAGTGGTTTGTAGTTCTCCTTGAAGAGGTCCTTCACATCCCTTGTAAGTTGGATTCCTAGGTATTTTATTCTCTTTGAAGCAATTGTGAATGGGAGTTCACTCATGATTTGGCTCTCTGTTTGTCTGTTATTGGTGTATAAGAATGTTTGTGATTTTTGTACATTTATTTTGTATCCTGAGACTTTGCTGAAGTTGCTTATCAGCTTAAGGAGATTTTGGGCTGAGATGATGGGGTTTTCTAGATATACAATCATGTCATCTGCAAACAGGGACAATTTAACTTCCTCTTTTCCTAATTGAATGCCATTTATTTCCTTCTCCTGCCTAATTGCCCGGGCCAGAACTTCCAACATTATGTTGAATAGGAGTGGTGAGAGAAGGCATCCCAAATATTCTTTTAAAAGACCATAAAAACAACAATACAACAAAAAAAAATGGTACAAATAGAAAATACAACATGACAAATATTTACACAACATTTACATTGTATTATGTATAAGTACAGTCATCCCTCATTACTCTTCGGGATTCAAGGACCCCTGTATATACCAAAATCCACTCAAACTCAAGTTTTGCAGTCGGTCCTGTGGAACCTGCATATATCAAGTAGGACTTGTATACTCCACTTTCAGTTGAAGTTTGATTGCAGATGTGGAATCTGTAGAAATGGAGAGCTGATTGTATTGTTGGGAAAAAAACCCTGCATATAAGTGGACCCATGAAGTTCAAACCTAGCTTGTAGAGATGATTTAAAATATACAGGAGGATATGTGAAGGTTATACGCAAATACTATGCCACTTTATATAAAGGACTTGAGCATTCACAGATTTTGGTTATTTACAGGGTACTAGAACCAATTCCCTACAGATACTGAGGGAGGACTATATATATTATATATATGCAGTCTGAGTCATACTCAGAATCTACCAAATAAGAATCTTGAGATTGCTGGAGCAGAATTAGAAGGCAAACATGTAAATTTTGAAAACCTTTCCCAGAATTACTCATACTAAGTTAATCTTTTTCACATTTGTTTCTTGCAAGAAAAAGCAGAATGTACTTCCATAGAACTGAATAATAATCAAACCATCAAACAAAACAATGTTAAATCACGCTGTCATACCACAGCGCTACAGCCTGTTAAGGATGAAATATTTTCCCCTGGAAGCCTTCTTGGTCTTTGATGGCCTGATGCTATGGTATTGATGTGACTTGTCCCCACCAAAATTCACATTCAAATTTGACCCCCTTTGTGGTGGTATCGGGAGGTATGGCCTAATGGGAGATGTTTGGATCATTAGAGTGGATACCTTATTAATAGATGAATGCCCTCTCTCAGGAATGGATGAATTCTAGATCTCCTGGGAATGGATTAGTTCCCTCAAGCTAGTTATTAAAAAATCTGACTTCCGCAACTTCTCTCACTTGCTGTCTCCCTCAACATGTAATCTCTTTGCACAAGTTCACTCTCCTTCCATTTTCCACCATGAGTGAACACAGACTGAGGCTCTCCCCAGAAGTCAAGTAAATGCCAGCACATGCCTCTTGAACTTGCCAACCTGTAGAACTGTCAGCTAAATAAATCTCTTTCTTTAAAAATTTATAAACCCAACCTCAGGTATTCAGTTATAGCAACACAGAGCAGACTAAGACAACTGGTGACTTTGTCCTAAGTGCCACATGTAAATAGATCATTTGCCAAGTGACTTCATAATGGGGTCTGAGGTTCTCACAATAGAACCGTAGTCTTAGATTCAGCAAGAGAACTCAGCCTTTAGGAATTTGCTAGAAAACTCTGGACTAAAAAAACTCAGGTGGATGAATCACTTTGTTCCTTATGGAAAAGATGGAAACATTCGTCATGGTTATCTTGGCTACTGGCTATTTTTCATGTAAGGATTTGTTAAAGAAACTTGGGGAAAGAATAAACATTTGATATTCCAGGGGAAGTAACAAGCTAACAATAACTGCTTTCTAGATGTTGTAATTTTCGAAACTTTGAGACTTTTCTCAGAGATGAAAAATTCTCTATCTTAAATAGAGTAACTATCAGCGGTTTAATCCATTTTTAATATTCCAAGAATTCTGCCAAAGATAGCTTCAGAATTGAGATATCTTAAGGAATGATCTATGAAAGTTGTACTCAATATCTGACTAATAATTTGGCCTTCTAAATTCATAATCAATTTTGGTTCTGCTCCCTCTTTTTCCTAATTATTTGCCATCATACTCTCACACACACTGGTATTTTGTTGTTAGCCTGTACACAGAAATGCATTCTATGCAAACCAGTGTCAGTTTTTTACATGGCTTACTATTAGGACACCACCAGATGTTATCAAATTCCAAGACAGCACTCGACTTTTTCTAATTAACTCCAACAAAATGGCACCAATAAGGTAAGCCCATGTAAGACTCGATCTGCTAGCTGAATGGTGCAGGTTGAATGAGGAAGCAAGGAGAAAGCTCATCTGCAGTAGCTGAAAGAAGTCAGGGCTCTCAAGTAAAACATCAAATATGAAGGTTAAATACAGTGTTAATAGTTTGGGTAAACAGATTTTGACACAGAGGTCCCCAGCAAAAGAGGCTTCCTTGTATGCCAGTTGAATTTAGAGAAGGGGTACATTCAAGATGCAATAATCTGAAAACAAAAGCAGGTATCTAAGATTTCTGTCAGTAAATAACCAAGATGACTATGAAGAATGAAACCTTTCTCTAAAATGAGACTGCATGATGTTTGAACAGCTCAGCAATGGATGATACTGCTGAGCCCCAGAGGATAATGCTTGGGTTTAAATACCCCCTGCCTAAGGTCAACATTAAACCTAGGAACAGGATAAGGTTGAATTCCCAGGTAAGACATTAGATGTCTCAGTAGGACATTAAGAAGAAGGAGGAAACAGTGTTTGGGTAACAGAAGACATGGCCAGATATTTTTGTGTGTGAAGAAGCCACTTATTTTTTCATGACTTTCATGGTTATTAATTTATCTGTGATTACTTAATAGGGCTAGTTAGCTATACACATTTCAACACTGCATTGTTTAATATTTTATTCTAAACATTTTTATTTCAGATATTTTTGGTAACAATCCTTTTAAGATAAGTTTTCCACTTTCTGCCTAAGAATAATTTTTTTAATCTTAGCCTTATAGAATTTCTATTAGGTTGAACATACAAAACTGCGAATATCTGACCGTTTTCAGTCTACATAATGGCAATTTCATATGGCTCAATTTAAATACCTCTGTCAAAATAGGTCCTGAGAAAATCAGGACACATCTCTGACTCTTACTGCTTCTGCATTCCCTTAGATACCACTGGCAATTCAAGCTCCTAATTTTTGTTTTTTAATGTATTTTCTTTCCTCTTTGTAACTTCAATACTTTTGCCTAGGTTAAATCCTCCTTGTTACTTGCCCATAGTGTTGTGATATGCATCTAGTGCATCTAGATACCATCTAGTGGTTTCCTTGCATTTAGTCTGATTCAGGAGTTGGCAAACTATTGCCACCTGTTTTTGAAAATACAGTTTCTTGGAACACAGGCACACTTTGTTTATATGTTATCTATGGCCATTTTCAAGCTGGTACAGAGCTGGGTTGTTGCAACAGAGGCCAAATGACCTAAAAATTATAAAACATTTACTACCTGGCTCTTAACAGGAAAAGTTTGCTAACTCCTGCTCTAATCTCTATAACCTTGAGAATGGACTTTCTAAAATCCAAATCTCATTGAGACTTCTCCTTATTTAAAACAATGACTCTCAGTATTCTCAGGATACATTTTTTGTATGTTTTACAATACCCCCCAACTTAACCCAGCCTCTTTCTACCTAAAAGGATAACTTCCTTAATAGTTAAACTATTTTGGAGTTCATGCTATTCCAGTTTTGTGTCTTGGTGCATATAATTCCCTCTAATTAAATATCCTTCTTTCTATATACATATTCAATTTTCAAAGTCATGTGCATCTCTTAAAAGCCCAGTAAAGCATCTAGTCTTTGGTAAAGTCTTTCCAAGTCTATATCATGTAGGCTAAATCACTAAAACAGGAGATAAGAGACATACACTGTTTCTCCAAAGAATGATTTGAGTACCTTCTGATAGTATTAATAATAATTTTAGTTAATAGGCCAATGAATCTCTTTCATTTCAATAATTGCAGCTGTTCTTTCATCTGTTAGAAAAAATATGTTTACAACTTCAAACCCAAGATATCATGGACATTCACATTTAGGACAAATCTAAGATTGGTAGGCAAATTTAATAAGTGAGCCAATTTAAAGCAAAATATTTGTAAAGAAAAATGACACACGAATTTTGAAGGAATCATAAACCAAGTTACTGAAGTTTGGGAAACACTGCTGTGATGAGAGGCAGTGAAGTCTTACAGCCTGATATACTGGATAAATGGACACACTGTAATCTGAATCACTAGAGTAGGAGACTGTGGCAGCTCATTCCTAATCTCGTTATATAATAATTACAAACTTTCCAAGCCTCCTCCCATCCACAGAAAAATAATTCTAATATTCAAGGTCCTCTAACTCTGGTGATACTGAGAAAAGCAAAATAAAATGGGAAGATTTAGGAAAACATAAACCTGGTAGCTTATTATTCCAGAATCCTAATCCCCAGAGGACTAAAGTACACTCAAAGCTAGAGTGGGACCACAAAACACATCCTTTTCCAGGCACCACAGTTAAAAGGGGGAATTTGATGAACCAAAATGATTCCAGAGGAACATGGACAGTGCTTATAGTAATTCCCAGACAGTAGTTATAGTCATTTTTCTCATTTCTCAGAATGGTTTCTTTTTATTCTAACAAATTGTAGATATGCGTTACACAACCAAGGACCTGGGCTGTACAGCCTCAGTTACCCCACAAGATAGAAACCCCAGCAACCCCAAAGGCTCTGGTTGCTGAACTTAAGATAATATAGTTTTGATGCTTGAGGTTTAAAAGATATTTTATCATTATCTCCTCTCTACATAAAGTAAAACACCAGAACACTTATATTAGAAGCCATTAACAGATCATTGCAGGATACAAAGTTTGACCTGTGAGTTTCGTTTTAGGTCCGTCAGTGCAGTCATTATCAAAAGAAGTTTACACAACAGAAACATATATGCTCCATGAAAGTCAGCCCATTATGTGCATCTAATAACATTATTAATCCTAATTCCTGAGTGTACTGCTTCCTAATATGTAAATGAAAACATGAAACCAAAAATAGAACCCTCTTTTGAGAATTTAACATGTAACTGACTGCAATCAACTATTTACTGTTTTGGAAAATGTATGTGAATTCCTCAAAATGTGATTCTGTAAACTAAAAAGAAAAAAAAAGTCACTGAAATCTCAGTTCCACTCACTGAACCTGAGGGAATAGGGGGACAGGCAGTAAATAAACGGGACTTCGAATTCCATCTCCAACTTTAGAAGAGAAGCCTCCCTTTATCTGTTTTAAACATTAATTTCAACATGGGATTCCATGAAAAAAAAAAAAAAGGTTCTTTTCCTAAAATGTAAATCACAGCTGTAGGAAACATTACTTTTTTCAAGATAAGACTAAAATAATAGGTTTCAGCACTTGAGGTCAAAAGCCCTTGGGTTGAATCCTGCTCCTGTGTTTGAGTGATATTGGGAAGTCTCATAATGCTTCCAAACCTCAAGTTGTCATCTATAAATCTGGAATATTTGGAATGATATTTACTGCTTCACTTGCTACATATGCTCCATCCACATTATTGACTCTTCTTTTCCGATATTTTCAAACCTGGAAAGCTCTTTCCTGCTTCAGAAACTTTGGGCAATCTGTCTTCTCCTACAAGAATGTTTTCCCATCCACTTCACAGGGCTAATTCTTCTTCATCATTTGGATTTCAGTCTAAATATAACTTCCCACGGATGGATTCCCTGACCATTCTATCTAAAATATATTCACCTCTGATATTTTTTATGTTAATTTATTTCTATTTCCTTTGTAATACTTGTCATAATGACCATATATTTTAATTTTCTGTTTATTTTTGGTCTATCACCCAATGTAAGCTCCATGAAGTCAGAAGGCAGGTTTCTGATTAATTCCTAGCACTTAACACAGTATCTGCACCAAGTAAGACCTCAACAAGTACATTTTGAATGAATGAATAATTCAAAGGGTTCTTGGGCAGAATGAATGTGATAGTGGATATAAAACATATTTGTAAACCTAAATCACCCTTTATAGGTAATTTTTTTAAAAAAATTCACTACTTATTTTGGCTCAAACTCTCTGAATGGAATGTGGGTTTAAGAATGAAGACTCTGATCCTATAGAACTAGATTGGGACCTCAGCTCTTCTGCTTAAACTTATGTGACTTAGGGCAGAAAACATAATCTCAGTCATTATCTTAGAGGTTGGCTATGAGGATTGAAAAAGATAATGGATCAAGAGGGCTTAGCATAATCCCTGTCACATAGCAAGCCCTTAGTAAATAACAGATGACTGACCTTTGTTGCTACTAACTAGGGGACCAACCATTTCAGTTTTCCATGGACTAAGGGTTTTCCTAGACATGAGACTTTGCATATTAAAATAAGAAAGTCACAGACAAACCAGAATGGTTGGTCACTCTATCATAAACACGCCTTTGTACTCAGCCCCTAGTGCTCCTTCCATATTTCCCAACTCACTCAGACCAGATAACCTATACCATAGTCAGCCTTAGCCAGTACAGCAGTATCTTCCAAATGATCTCAAAACCTCATCTGATAGGCCTTCATGTTGTGGTCATAATTCGACGGCATACAAAGGGATTCCATAGAAGGGAGAGAAACTGCATGGATGATTGCTACTTCTTCTCCCAAATGTTTTATTAGCTAACCACATTTCATCCTTTCTCCAAATCTACTGTCTTACCCTTCTCTGCAATCCCAAGGATTCAGGGAAATAAAAAATAACTCTCAGTGCTAAAAATGTATTCTTAGGATTTAAATTTTAATAGGATAAATAATAAATGTACTCTCTTAAACTATACAATTCAGTGGTCCTTAATATATACAGAGAGTTGTACAACCATCACTGCTGTTTAACTTCAGAAAAATTTTCATTAAAAAGAAACCTCTACCCCTCTGTCATCTCCCCCACCCCAGTACCTGGAAACCACTAGTCTACTTTTTGTCTTTATAGATTTGTCTATTATGGACAATTCATATAAATGGAATCATATAACATGTGGCCTTTTTTGTCTTCTTTCACTTGGTATAGATTTTCAAAATTCATCCATGTTGTAGGATGCATCAGTTATTTGTGCCTTTTTATGGCTGAATAATACTTCACTGTTTAGATATATCACTTTTCATTTATCCATTCATCCATTAATGGACATTGGGTTGTTTCCACTTTTGGCTAGCATGAATAATGTTGCTATGAACATTCATTTACCTTGGGTATAAACCTAGGAGTTAAATTGCTGGGGTATATGAAAACTTTAACTGAGGAACTACCAAACTGTTTTTCAAATCAGCTGCAGCATTTTACAATCCCAGTAAAAGTATATGAGAGTTCTAATTTTTCCATATCTTTACCAACACTTGTTATTGCTCATCTTTTTAATGATAACCATCCTAATAGGTGTGAAGTGGTATCATAATCATGAAAACCATGGTTATGATTTTCATTTCCCAAAAGATTTAATGATGTTATATATCTTTTCATAGGCTTCATTGAAGAAATGTCTATTCAAATCCTTTGCTCACATTTTACTCAGATTATTTACCTTTTTATTGTTAAGTTGTAAGAGTTTTTTATATATTCTGGATACTAGTTCCTTAATGGATGTTGACTTACGGATATTTTCTCTCATTATGTGGGTTTCTTTTCACTTTATTAACAGTGTCCTTTGAAGTGCAGGAGATTTTAATTTTATAAAGTACAATTTATCTATTGCTGCTTGTGTTTTTGGCATCATATCTAAGAAAACATTGCTTAATCCAAGGTCACAAATATCTCCTCTGTTTTCTTCCAAACGTTTTAAGTTTTAACCGTTACATTCAGATCTTTGACTCATGTTGAGTTAGATTTGTATATGGTGTGAGGCAGGGAATTCAACTGTATTGTTTTGTATGTAAATACACAGCTATCCCAGCACTGTTCGTTGAAAATACTTATCTTTCCTCATTTAATTGTTTTATAACCTTCATTGAAAATCAATTGACCACAAATTTAAGGATTTATTTCTGAACTTTCAATTTTATTCTATTGGTCTATATGTCTATCTTTGTGCCAATACCACACTCTCTTGATTATTGTAGATTTTCATAGTAAGCTTTGAAGTCAAGAAGTATGGGTTCTTAAAATTTGCTCATTTTCAGACTGTTTGGCTATTCTGGGTACTATCCTCAGGAAGTATTAAACGTATTGTCAAAGAATAATGCATAGATATGTTCTGCACAGTAGTTCTAAGGGTAAAATACAAAAAAAGATCTAATAACATATAATTAGTTTCTAATAATATAATACATAATTATAGCACATCTATAATTAATACTTTCTGGAAAAGAGTTAGTAAATGGAATTGTGTCACTGTCTATGGTAATGCTACAAATATCAATGCTCTAATGCCCACTAACTTTATTTGCATGAAAGCCAATATTTTCCAAACTTTCCATTTTCCAAATAGTTCTTAGCATCTCCAGACACAATAGTGGAACTCGAGGGAAGTACAGTTTTCTTACGTAAGATCTTCTTTTCCCATTGTTGTGCTGCCACTTAAATATCCTTGTCCATGATTCTCTGATGTTTACTACACCTCCACCCTACTGCTCAGCTTCTTCTTATTCCAGGTCAGTTGTGAAATCCATTTTGCTTCCCATGCCCACTATTTCAGAGGGAGTTTATGCATAAGACTGATCTGGTTCCTCAACTTTTCTACTTATCTCTGTTAGCCTGAAGTTGCTTTCTTCTAAGATTATCAAGGCATTCCAAATGTGTGGCCAGGTCATGTTCATAACAAAGTGAGGGGGACAAGCGTATCTTTACACTAACTGTACATGTGCCTCCCTCCATCCTTCAAACCCCAGCTCGGGTTCTAACTGGTACTGTGTTTCTGCATCTTGGGGAAGTCAAAGGTTGATCCACTTTAGTGCACCAAATCTCTCTGGCTTTTTGCTTATAGGCTCATCCTTTTTTAGCGCTATATGATTTAAAAAAAAAAAAACTTCACTAGACATCACCTATTAACTTTTCAAAAAATAATCATGACCTAACATTAAGTTTACAAAATGTATCAAATGATGCATATTGTATGATTAAACTTTAAAAAATGTATTTATTGTATATACTCAGAAACATAAAATATTTAAGAGAATAAATAATGAGGAAACTTTTGAAAACCTACAAATAGGCCTGATTTCAATTTAGTGCTTATTACATACCAAGCTCTGTCCTTGGTACCACATAGAAATTATCTCATTCAGTATTCGAAACAATCCTACAAAGCTGAAATTGGCATTACCTTTCATTTTATAGATGATGAAACTGACACTTAGAGAGATTTAGGGACCCAAGATATAATTGCTTATAGGGAGAAAAACCAAGAAACAAATCTAGGAATTTGACTCCCAGAGCCTACAAGTTTAAATTCCTATTATCTTATCTTATGACTAGAAACTTTTATTTGGACAGAATTTTAGGAGTTTTCAAAACAGGTTCTTATATTTATCCCAAGAATGTTTAATAAACACCTAGAAAGTTCCAGACACTCTGCTAGGTGCTGAGAAAACAAAATAAAAAATAAGATACTATTATTCTCAAGCTACTACTACAAATAATATATGGTTATAAGCTTACGACAGTTAGAAAGTACTTTCCCAAACAGGACCCCTGTAAGTACATGGAAGGCAGGGGAGAGATATTTCCTTTTACATATAAAAATGAAGTACTCCAAAGTTGATTGCCTTGCCCAATGTCAAATAGGAAGTATGTACGGAAGATGAATAATATTCCTTATAACTTCACAGTAGCTCCTATGTGGCTATTGTTAAATTTTTTAAAAATGGGCCACTTTTTGAGAGGATCACTTGAGGCCAGGGGTTTGAGACCAGCCTGGTCAACATGGTGGAACCCCGTCTCTACTAAAAATGTATATAAAAAAAAAAAGCCAGGCATGGTGGCAGGTGCCTGTAATCCCAGCTGCTCGGGAGGCTGAGGCAGAAGAATTGCTTGAACCTGGGACGTGGAGGTTGCAGTGGGCTGAGATTGCGGCATTGCACTCCAGCCTGGGTGACAGAGTGAGACCTTGTTTAAAAAAAAAAATAGGCCACTTTTGCATGAAACACGCACACAAAATTTCATTGACTATAACTTAGTATAAAATTTAGTATTTTGCTTGGTATTGTTATTACATTTCTGCTGAAGAAGACAGATATTTTTCATTTATGTTTTCTACACTCCTGAGTTTATCCTGTTCTTAACCATTATGGTCTTTGCCCCAGTAATGCGTATGCTTCTTGTATTATGGTCTTTGTCTCAATAATAAGTATTCTTGAAGTTCATAGAGCATATCCAAAGTGATCCTCAAAACAGCCTATTTCCAAAGTGATCCTCAAAAGAGCCTATCTCAGTCGGTATCCATCATTATGGTCATTTTATCAACAAGGTAATTCTGATTCAGAGAAGTGAAAAGATTTTCCCAAGGTACCTTATCAATTTATTGATTTCCTCATGCTCTACTTTTTAACATACAGGTTTACACATTCGTTAAAAGCTCTAATAATGTTTTGCCATGATTACAAATCAGAAGCATCTCCAGGGTGAAAGTGCATAATGAGGGGAGAGGAAAATCTTTGTAGCTATGGGCTATTTGTAAGCCAGGAGTTTACAAATCAAGTTCTCTCTCCATTTATCTATCTATCTATCTATCTATCTATCTATCTATCTATCTATCTATCTATCGGGTCTCACTCTGTTACCCAGGCTGGAGTTCAGTGGCATGATCTTGGCTCACTGCAACCTCAACCTGTTGGGCTCATTCTCTCTCCTTTCAAAAAATTATTATATAATATAGAGATTATAATATGCAACTAGGCCGGTCAAGAAAGATTATATTTCATTTTAATGGTTTGTAAATATTTATATCAATTTCTCTTAGAGCTTTGAATCTCACTCTCAACATTCAATACCATGGAAAATGCAGAAAGTCCCCTGCATCTTGAATATGAAGTGATTTTTCTTTGTTTTTCATGAATGAAACCATTTGAAATAAGCATCATCTCTCATTCATAAAGTAGAATTCATTATATTACCTTATTTTTTAAAGAAAAGCAATAAATCTTATCTTATGGAGAGTTCCTCTTTGACTCGAGATATATTTAATTACATACATCAGAACTGTTTGGTTCTAGAAATACAGAGCTGAATAGGAAGTAACCCCTGACATTGGGCAATTCACAGTCTAATCAGCTAACTGGACAATTCAGTCACTTACTCACTAAATACTCTTTAAGTACTTATGAGATTGGGAGACTTGTCTAGACTCAGTCTTCAGTGGTCATCAAAACAGGTTTGTGCACTCATGCACTTTACAGTCCAGTGAGGGAGCAATAAAACAAAAGATTATTAAACAATATGATAAAATGTGAGAAGGAGTAAAACAACCCATGGCATGCAGAAGCTTGCCTTAGCATTGTAACACGTTGGTCTTCTACTTACATCTGGGCCTTCATGTTCTCCATTTGAGATAAACAATTTCATAGAATGTTTACATCTGACAAACTACTCTGTGACTATGAAGAAATCAAGACTAAGATAATACCACTTAATAATCATGACTAAACACAGGCAAAACATGAACATTATCAAAGTCACAAAATACCAAATATCGACTTATCTAGACTAATGTGACTGCTGCTTCTTCACCAATTACAACTTTAGCCTTAAGCTACTCTTCCCTCCTCCTAAATAATTACTCCCACTTTCTGAGGGCATTCAAACCAAAGCAAAGCCTCTTTTCCTTAAGCCTTCCACCAAATTAACCTAACAATCTCAAATCCTACAATAAGACCTTTCTAATACCCTTCTATTGACATGCCTTATGGCTCCCAGGGGTGTGTGTTCTCACAGGCTGCAGTTAATCATAAGCCCTGTTTGTACAACTATAGGTGTGTTCCTAGTAGTCTTTGGCTGGAAGAGTATGACAAAGGCAAAACTTGAAGGCAGCAATAATACCATTCTTGTTGCTCCTTTCCTCTCTTCTCCACAGGAATTCACAGGGGCATGAAGAAAATGAAAATAGATGGTCATGAACTCTTAAATTAAGGGGTAGGAAATATTTTACTCATGTATGTATTTATTCATTGAGTCATATGTTTTCTTCCAAAAATAACTTACAGTGGCTGATCTTATTCAGTGGATTCAAAGGTACAGAGTAGAGGGCAGCTCCCTGAGAACTGTTATATAAAGACAACATCCTGGCAAAAGAAACACCCAACAATAATGAAAATGGTAGGATAAGGGCACTCCAAATGACTCTGATGTTTAACAGGATACCCCTTTTTCCCACAGCTGAGGTTCCTCCTATGCTTTTCTTAACCAGGGATGATACATTAATCACCTACTGTCAGGTTCTACTTGGCTCCTGTCACCATAAGTATCTTCTCCCCTTCAACAGAAATTCTTCATTCCCCTCCCCATTCTCAGTCCCTATTCCCTACAGATAGCAAGCTCAGTCTGGTCTCGGGATCTAGAAAAAAAAATCCTCATTTTTTAGTCTTGAAGCATTTAAGAAGCTCTAGTTCAATCCTCAGGCAAATCTAAATCAATCAAGTCACTCTTGGCTTAACCTAATAATTTTCTAATAGAGCAGTACTATTCCCATAAAGGGTATTTAAAGTATGTGGGGACTTAATTTTTACTTGTCACAATGACTGTCCTGCATAGGGAAAAATTAACCCATCCAGGATCCTGATAGTGCTCCTATTGAGAAACATCTCACCATAGATGTCACATGTCTATCACATCCAACCATCCTGCTTCTCCCCACGCCCACATTAGATATCAGTAATCAAATAGTACATGCCACTGAGCTGTATGTGGCCTCAAAATGTTTATCAACATAGTAATCCAGGCATGCCTTGTCATCAGATTTGATATGGAACATAAAACCTATTTGCGATTCCTGCACATAACCTTTTAAAAAATGTGCTATTTTTTGTGGGTACATAGTGAGTGAGTATATATATTTGCGATTCCTGCACATAACCTTTTAAAAAATGTGCTATTTTTTGTGGGTACGTAGTGAGTGAGTATATATATTTATGAGGTACATTAGACATTTTGATACAGGCATACAATGCATAATAATAACATCAGGGTAAATGGGATATCCATCACCTCAAGCATTTATCCTTTCTTTGTGTTACAAACAACCCAATTATGTAGTTATTTTTAGATGTACAATAAATTATTGTTGACTGTAGTCACTCTGCTGTGCTATCAATACTAGAGCTTACTCATGCTATCTAATTATATTTTTGTACCCATTAACCATCCCCTCTTCCCTGCCCCCAATACTCTTCCCAACCTCTGGTAAACATTATTCTACTCTCTATCTCCATGAGTTCAATTGTTTTAAATGTTAGCTACCACAAATGAGTGAGAACGTGCATAATTTGTCTTTCCGTGCCTCGTGTATTCCACCTAACATAATGACCTTGAGTTCCATCCATGTTGTTACAAATGTCAAGATCTCATTCTTTCTTATGACTTTTTCTTTTTAAGACAAAAATAGCTTCATGGTTAAGATGAAGTCCTTCATCCTGCTCTATTTGCTATGCCTGTAGTCAGGCCTTGGTCATGTGACCACTCTTCAAGTCCTTCTGAGACAGGGCCCCTTTCAGGGATGTGAGCCCTGTGGCTGAGACCTTGCAACATTTCAACAGATCTCTGACAGTAAATGCCTCCCAGCATTACCTCTCTGAACATTCCTTGCTCCTAATGCACAGTGAGCTACACCCTCTAGTGGGCAAACCACATGCAGTACATTGAACTTTGGAAGAGTAACATCCTCTGTCTACTACCAACCACCTCCAGTAATGATCAGGCTCCCCAGATTTCACAAGAAAAAAAAAGCAGGGGATAGGGGGAAGAGGGGAACGGGAGATTTTATGGCTCTTCTGCCTGACAACTCCAGGTGAATCTGAATTTAGTAACAGCTGGATTCAGGGTCTCCAAAACTTCTGCTGGAAATTTCTTTCTCCAGCTCTTGGATCCATCCATTCTTTCTCCAGTGTGGTTTTTATTCATAGGCAGGCTTTCCCCACCCCACACCACCTCTATCTGCAGTGGTAGACCCTGGCAGCTTAGAGTTACGATGTCGTCAGTGGAAGAGAGCTTTCCTTTTCCAAGAAGTCTTCTAACAAAAGGTTTGAGTCTTATTACACTAGTTGGAATAAAAGGCTTATTCTTGAACCAGTCATAGCTACAAGCATGCTTAATTCTCATTGAAATGGACCAAATTATAAGGTCCTACAGGAGCCAGAGGTAAGTTGGCCTTACTGTATGAACTAGAAGATGATAAAGAATTGTTCCCCAAAGGAATATTGAAGAACTACTGCCAGAGGAGAAATAAACGCAGGTCAAGCAAACAACAGATGCTTCAACACTATACTTTCTATATGCTATCTTTGAGTCTAAGATTGTTCTCAGGCCTGGCCCAAGCTCAATCCCTTGCTATACTGCTGTCCTTATTGCAGTAAACTGTTTTGCCTGTTTTTGCTATAATAAGACTTGATACTGCCAGGATCAGAAACTTTTTATCTTGGTAGAAAGCATGAAAATGTCACCTAGAGATCTTAGCCTTCTGATGCCCACACTTTCATATCCAAATGACATGACTTGACCTTCCATTCCACAAATCACAGGAAGTCTGGTGTCCTCCCGATTGCAGAGGATCCCAGGACCTCTATGTCCTTATGGTAACTACTTGCTCTGTATCTCTAATTTTGCAAAGTTCTCCATCGGCACCTCATTTCATCTTTGGATGCTGCTGCCTCACTCCCCACCACTTTGGTGCAGATGACTCCACAGCCACTGCACACCCGCTATCTTCCTTCATTCCTCAAGCACTTTAAAGGCTATTTAGGGTAACAAATGTTTTCTGAAGGTTTGGAGTACTGGAGGAGGACAATGGCTAACACGGCCTATGAAATATGTCAGGATACTTTCAGTTAAGAGAGATGAAAATCTAAATGAAACAGCTTAGGTCAAGCAAGAAATGTGTAGGCTCATGCAATTAGGAGGATTCAGGGTGGGTCGTAATTCAGGCACAGCTTTATCCATGGACTCAGGTATTGTCAGAAGTCTCAGTCTCCATCTCTGCCCTCTGCTTGTCTCTGGATTTTATTAAATGCTGGTTTCATCATCTCCCATACAAACTCTATCTACCAGATAAGAAAAATGGCTGCAGCCACTCCAGTCTCATGTCCTTACAGCTCATGATTAGAAAAAAAAAGGCGGGGGTGGGGTTGGGAATGGGAAGAAGAGAATCCTGGAGCCCAGTCAAACATTCCCCGCAATCAGTATGCAACTGCGGTCCCCAGATAAGAGAAATAGAAGGTTTTCTTACAATGTCTATGCCAAAAGGTCAAATTTAAGCAAAGAAATGAGGATTAAATCATATCTATTATTATTATCTGGCACTAAGAAACAGTAAATGAATAATTAATACATAAAATGTCCTATTTTCAAAAACTATAGCATGTTAAGGAATTAGATAGATGAGCCTTATCATTGAAATTTTAAACTTTTAATCAAGTATTGGCTTAAACTTAGAATATTAAGTTGAAGAGATGAGAATTTTATTAAGACTAAAGATTATTGGCTGTTTGAGAAGTCGTCATTTGCCATATGTGTATGTTTAATAGAGTTATGAGTTTTATTTAAATATTTAGGAAGGTTTGGTTTATTAAACCATTGAAATGCTTAAAAGGAAAAATCGAGTGTATTATATTTATCCATTTATTCATTAATTCCTTTACTGGACAAAACTTAACTATGTATCTATCCCTATCTGTTTATTTTTGAAAAATTGGTCTATCAGTATGGTTATTTGATTTCTGTTCCCAAACTCCTCAACCAAACTGAACTGCAGGTAGAAACATATCTACTTCTCATCATAATTGTTTTATTGTACCTAACAGTGTCTGGCCCTAGAGCAAGCACTCAGAAAATACTTGCTGAATGAATGAATGAACCATGTGAGGCTCAAAATATAACCAACTTACATAAGAAGCACAACTGTTTTATCCCAGTTACTTGTGGAACACAAGGACCATCAGTTTCTGTCCCAGTATTATACTCACCTAGATGGGCCCAGCTCACCAGCATCTTCCTTCTCTTTCCTTGCAAGAGCTGAATAAGGTTGATCCACCTTCTGCCTACAGGGGAGCAAACTGTTCACTCGCCTAGGGCTACAGAGTCATCAGGTATATGAGGGGAAGCAGTGAGTCCTACGCTCAGCTGAAATATGCTATGTGTGAAGGGAAATAAGACTGAAAAGGCAGGCTGAAACCAATGCATATTGTACATGGGAACTCTGATAAGCAAGTTATATATATATTATTTAAGCCTCAGTTTAAGCAAAAAAGAGACATTGAAAGTTTTTTCTAAAAAAAAAACTACTTTATTGAAGTATGATTGACATACAAAAATTACATATATTTAATATATAAAACTTGATGCGTCTGAAGATATATACCTGTGAAACTATTACCACAATCTATGCCATGAACCTATTCATCACCTCCAAAAGTTTCTTCCTGTCTTTTCATTATGTTATGTGTGAGTAGAATACATAAGATGTATCCTCTTAACAAATTTTGTAAATACACTCTACAGTGTTGTTTGATCTCTAATCTTGTATAACCAAGTTTGTACCTTGTGACTAATACCTCCCCATTTCCCCTTCCCTCCAGTCTCTGGCAAATACCATTGCACTACCTTACTCTACGAATTTCATTATATTATGCCTCTCCTCTGTGCTACTTAGGCATCCTGGTATTCCACTGTGACAGAATTTCCTAAATTTTGCTGAAATGTTCCTTATAGATCGTGTCTCCCCACTAACTTGAGAGTAGAGACTGTTTCCTAGTCATCTCTGCAGCCCTGGTGCCTAACATATTCCCAGGTCTCAAACAGACGTTTAATAAATGTTGGCTGCCTGAAGAAATGATGGAATTCAGAATTTTTGGCATTTCAGTGTACTTTCTTTCCTAACATCTTTGCTGTCTTTCCTCTGGTAATCAAACTAAAACATCTGAACTAGAAGTAGTGACAGAGAAAATATGATTAGATTAGTCTTAGTCTGTTTTCTGCTGCTAAAACAGAATACCTGAGACTGGGTAATTTATAAAGAACAGAGATTTACTTCTTACAGTTCTTGAGTCCAGGAAGTAAAAGTTCAAGGGACCTGCATCTAGAGACTGCCTTCTTGTTGTGTCATCCCACAGCAGAAGGTAGATGGGCAAGAGAGCAAGAAAGAGAGAGAGAGTGTGCACGTGAGAGAGAGCATGAGAACGAGAGCAAGTGAGAGAGAAAGGGCCAAACTCCAAACTCCTTCTTTTATCAGGAACCTACTCCTCTGGTAACAGCATTGATCTATACATGAGGGAGGGCTCTCACGACCTAATCATCTTTTAAAAGTTCCACCTCTCAACACGATTGCATTAGACATTAAGTTTCTGTATTAGTCCATTCTCACACAGCCATAAAGACATACCTGAGACTGGGTAATTTATAAAGAAAAGAGATTTCATCAGGTCATGGTTCTGTGGGCTGTACAGGCTTCTGCTTCCTGGGAGGCCTCAGGAAACTTACAATCATGGCGGAAGGTGACAAGGAAGCAAGCACATCTTCACATGGCCTGCAGGAGAGAGCAAGCAAAGGAGGAAGTGATACATGCTTTAAAAGAATCAAATCGCATAAGAACCCACTCACTTTCGTAAGAACAGAAAGCAGGAAGTCTGCCCCCATGATCCAATCACCTCCCACCATGCCCCTCCTCCAACACTGAGAATTACAATTCAACATGAGATTTTGGTGGGGACACAGACCCCAACCATATGAGTTTGCAACACATGAACTTTGGGGAACACATTCAAACCATAACACTGAAGGGTAATTTTTTAAAAAGAAGTTTACTGAATTTGCTTTTTCACTCTTAACCTTTTCACTTCCTTGTCACATAAACATGATCTTGTGCAGTATAGCACAAATTAAAAATGAACTGCAGTGTCCTTAATTTTTAATATTGTTTAATGGTCACTCAGAGTTCATGCTTATGGAAGTGTAAAAGTCTTCAATGCAGGCTTTTGTTTTTGTTTTCTCTTAATCTACCACCATGTGTTGGTTTTGAAATTGCAATTCTCTATGTATACACCTACATACAACAGCCTTTCACAGAATTTTCTTATGTAACTTGGGAAAAATTAGGGCACTTTGAAAGTAAACTTCAGAAATATCATATGCTAAGAATTCAGCCCTTATCACTTCAACTATCTAGAAATAGCTGAGAAGCAGGAAGGAAAAGAGGTCTCTGAACAATCAAATAATAACAGCTAACATTTATAGAGTGTTTGCTGCCTGCCAAGCACTGTTCTATCTGGATTACAAACATTACCTCACAAGAAACAAATGAGGGTGAGGATGTGGAGAAATTGGAACCTTTGTACACTGTTGATGAGAATGTAAAACAGTGTAACTGCTATGGAAGAGTATGGTGGCTCCTCAAAAAATTAAAAATAGAATTATCCTATGATTCAACAATCCCACTTCTGCATCTATATGCCAAAAGATGAAAACAAGATCTCAATAAGATATTTACACTCTCATGTTTATTCCAGCATTATTCATAATAACCAAAATGTGGAAGTAACCCAAATGCCCATTGATGGATGAATAGAAAATGTGATATATACAGGCAATGGAATATTATTCAGCCTTAAAACCTTGAGGACTTCATACTAAGTGAAATAAGTCAGTCACAAAAAGACAAAGTGTGTGAAGCTACTTCTATGAGGTATTTAATGTAGTCAAACTCAGAAACAGGATGTAAAACTGTGGTTTCCAGAGCTAGGGTAGGAGAAAATGGAGAGCTCTTGTTCAATGGACATAGAGTATCAGTCTCGCAATGAAAAAGTTCTAGAGATCTGCTGAACAACGTGAATATGGTTGATACTACTGAACTGTACACTTAAAAATGGGCTCAAAAATTTTTTTAGCTCCCACATATGAGTGAAAACATACAGTGTTTATCTTTCTGTGCCTGAGTTATTTCACTTAACATAATGTCCTCCAGGTTCATCCATATTGCCTCCAATGACAGGATTTCATCCTTTTGTATACATATTTTGTGTATATGTTCCACATTTTCTTTATTCATTCATCTGTTAATGGTAGGGTGAATACAGTTAATGATAGTTTATTGTATATTTTCAAGAAGCTAAAAGAGAGGATTTTGAATGTTTGCAACACAAAGATGATAAATGTTTGCGGTGAATGGATATGCTAATTAGCCTGCTTTGATCATTATAGATTGTATACATGTATTGAAATATCACTCTGTATCCCATGAATATGTACAATTATTATGCATTAACTAAAAACTAAAAATGAATGGAAATACATAACTAAAATGGTAAATTTTATGTTATGTGTTTTTAATCACAATGAAAAATAAACAACAAATAAATAACATAAAGAATGAATTGATAAACAAAATGTGAAATATATATGCAGTGGAACATTATTCAGATTTAAAAAGGAATTAAATTCTAAATACATGCTACAACATGGATGAACCCTGAAGATATTATGCTAAGTGAAAAAATTCAGACATAAAATGACAAATATTGTTATGATTCCACTTATATGAGTACCTAGAGTGGTCAAAATCATAGAGTCAAAAAGTAGAATGGTGGCTGCCAGGGACTGGGGGAAGGAGAGCATAGGGAATTGTTGTTTAAAGAGTTTCAGTTTGGGAAGATAGAAAAGTTATGATGATTGGCGGCGGTGGTGTTTGCACAATAATGTGAATGTGCATAATTCCACTGAACTGTATACTTAAAGAGGTTAAAATGACAAATATATATATTTTGCCACAATTTTTCTTAAAAAATAATGTATGACATTATTCATGCACAAATGCAAGACTGGGCTGGAGGGACTACAAGCCTTACTTTTTGATGCTTGTGCTAATATTCATACATCCAAAAATCTAAAAATTAAAAACAATGAGGTAGTGTGGTAAATTACAGATGGCCACAAAGTCTTTGCTACATCTTCAATTAAGAGGTGGACTCTTATTCTTCTCTTGAATCTGGGCTGGCTTAGTGGCTTTTTTGACCTAACACGACGTGATGGAAGTCACTCCTGGGACTGCAGAGGCTACATTATATGAAGTTTTGTAGCTTCCTCCTGTTTTGCTTGGAACAGCTCCCTTTTTTCCCATTCTACCTCCAAGTGCTCCCTGTCAAAACCCAAACACCACGGTATAAGAAACCCAAATCAGAGGGAAAGCCCAAGTGTAGGCACTCTGATAAATAGCTCCAACTGAGCATCTAGAGATCAGCCAGCCTCAACTGCCATCAATATAACATCTATTAGAGGCTGACATTAACTACAGCCCCAGTTTGATATCTGACTGTAAATGCCAGAGACTGCAAGCTAGGACTGCCCAGCCTAACCCAGTTACCCTACAGAATCAGGGCAGATAAAATTTTTAGCCACTAAATTCTGGAGTGACTTGTTACGTAGGTACCATAATGTCTATTTTAAAGAAACCTGAACCTTAGAGCTGAAGTGATTGCCCATTGTCTCTCTGCCAGTAAGCAGAGGAACTCACAGTTAACCAAGTCTTTCTGGTTCTAAAGCCTGCATTGCTGACTACTAAATACACAACTTCTCAGTCAAAACAGCTACAATAGTTTTTTTTTTTCCTTTTTACCTTCAAAAAAAATCCTGTATTTGAATTCATAGTGGAGTTCTGCCATATACGCCAAGTCTAAGGGTAGTTAAGAATAGCCTTGATATGCATAGCACCTTCTGCAGTTGTGCACTGAACAGGCTCCATAGCCATATGAACCTGTCCTGAGCAAACTCCAACCACTATCCCTGACCAAAACTTCTCTTGAGTATTAGTCATCATTTTAACAAAGGGATTATCTGTTGTTTAGGTACCTAAGGAATTTCAAGGAAGAACACGGGCTGATACTAGAACTCATGGAAGAATGAAAAGAGATACTTTAGAATTTAATTAAAAAGTGGGGATTGAAAATTAAAACAACACAGCGGTTTAAGGTCATTTACTGTAGGGCAAACTTTCCTGCAGCGCTCAGGGACCCCATGATGGTGCCACTGTACAGGAGAAATACTAACTCAGGACCTTTTTAATGAAAACCTGTAACATCAAGGTACAAATAAATCCTAGAGATGAAGGGATACATATAACATGCTCTACCTGAAAATGTTAAAACTAGTTTTGATATCTTATTATATATAACACTCATAGCAGTGAGAAAATATCTTTAACATTTATTACAATGATTTGTGGTAGGAAATTTTCTAAACTTGAGGTAGGAAACCTTTCTTACTCATGAGTATTCATTTCAGGTCCCACTACAGTGCTTTTTACAAAAGGAGGAATGCTAATAAAATGAAAATCATATTCCATTGAATTAAAAATTCAGGCCAATTGTGCTGAAATAAATCTTACTGAATGCCTTCTAAATATGCCATGCCCTGCACTAGAAACTTTCGTAATTCCTATTTATTCTTCAGAATAACCTGGGAAACAGAAAAAGCTAAAGTCTGTTTCCTTTATTAAAGTTTGAATATGAAGAAACCGACAGAAGCAAATAGCATAAAAATTCATTTTTGTCTTCAATTACAGGAAGAATGTAACATGAAAGCTGAGATTACAATGAATAGTACATGAATATGATGAGGTTTTGTTTTGTTTGTCCTACCAGAGCTCCAAATAAAAACACAGATATATGGTTTGACATACGGAATGGGATAGCTAAAACTGTGACTGCCTAAGACAAGCTGAAACCTAAGGTGCCGAACCATATTGGGGAAAGAGGGGAAAAACCAGTAGGTCTGCTATCAATCAAGAAAAGAATAAGAAGAAATGGGATTCCCAAGCCTTCTTCAGCTTTTTCTTCTCCAGCAGAATAGCCTAGTCAATGCTACGTCTTGTCAAATTGTGTCTCACATGGCTTTAATGCACACTAACTTTCCTAAGAAGTATTTGTATCTATTTAAATCTAGGGATTTTAGCCCATATTAATTACATGTATATTAGGGCAAGAACACAGGATGTAAAAGGTAAAAATCTGAATTTCAGTCCATCTGCGAGACATTGTGAAAATCAATTACACTCTCTGAAGACAATTCCTTATCCATTAAACAACAGAAAAGGTGATTAAGTTGATCCTTGCCTACATGTCAGAGTCGTGTAGAGTTTTTAATGACACTCATGTGAAATTCCTTTGGACTGTAAAATACTATTACTTACGTGCAAAGATAATGTCCCGAAATCACAGAAGGGATGACTTAACATTAACATCTTTAACTGCGCCCCCGTCCTTCCTCTCAAAAAAAAAAAGTTCTCTATTTTTAGTTGAATGATTCTGGGAAAATCTCTATTGGAACCTATCGACTTCGCAAATGACAAAGGCGAGGTCCAGAGACTTATCCAAGACCCCAGAGTACCAGTGGAAATCAAGACCAAACCACACGGTGGAGACTGGTTCCGACGTATCAGACTCAGTGCTTCCGGCATGGCGCTTTAGTGTCAGGTGAAAGAACAGCAACCCGCCCCGCTTCTCCACCCCTGACAAGCCTTCCGAAATGCCACGCTGAACATGGCTGCCGCGCTTCGATGCTTCTTCACACACACAATATGGACACGGGTTTGAGGCTCCAGCCCCGGATGACAACACTCCGGAAATATGCGAGCGGCGGCGGAAGCGGAAGTGCCTCAGCGGTAGGGGCCGGGGAAGTGTCTGTAGCGTCCCTCCCTCTCAACCACAATAACAGGCGGAGGGTCGGCGTAGGTGAGGCGGCGGCTGAGTGGGCCTGGGGACCGGGAGCGGGGTGG
Organism: Homo sapiens; assembly: GCF_000001405.40. Taxonomy (NCBI): domain Eukaryota; kingdom Metazoa; phylum Chordata; class Mammalia; order Primates; family Hominidae; genus Homo; species Homo sapiens. Next base: position 148,384,084 of record NC_000005.10, read on the forward strand.
CAAAGCCCGGAGTGCGTGCGGCAGGGCTGAGGTAGCTGGGTGGGGATTCTGGAACTTCCGACCGCTTAAGCTCGGCCTCTGGCCCCCTTGGGGCCTAGAGCTCCTTGAGAGATCAGGGGTTGAATTTGTAGTTCCTGGCCTTCTAGGCCGTGCTTGCGGGGGTTGCCTGCTTGTCTGAACCTGGCCCCAAAATCCAGCATAAAGAACTCTCTCTGGGCCCCAGTTTCCTCAATGAAATGGGTGAGGGTGTTGGACTGGACAGCTTCTGTGACTGTCTCCCACCCCGGGCGTCACGAATTTCATGATTTTAATGTTAAGTCGGTGTTTCGGCCAGTAAAGTGAAGGAGGTCTGTGTTCAGCGTAGTGAGGAGATGTCCCTGAGCAGGAAGCAGTGAACACATCTTTGGCTGCCACGCCTGAGTATCAGGAGCCCTGAATTCTAGTTTCACCCCTTCCACCTACACACCGTGTGACCTTGTCTAGGTCCATTAGCTTTTCTGTGCTGCAGTTTGCTTATCTGTGTTGGATGCCTTTGATGTCCGTGCCCTAGCTGTGGAAATCAGATTCTTAACTCCCTTTTCATGGAGTCTTTACAGACCTGAAAAGCATATTCTCCCTGCACTCTGCACACCCAGAATTTGACTAAGAGATGTCTACCGTGTTTCTTTGCAGACACCAAGCTGGCCAAGGGCAACTGGTCACTTAGGAAGGTTCCTGTGCAATGAGAAGCTCTGTCCAGAAAACTTTGTTTTATACACCTAAACCAGCAGTGTAAATCACTACAAAGTGAAAAACAGGAGACCTTGATTTTTGTTCCAAAGTTGCTATTAACTTGATGGTTTACTTTGGCCAAATCCCTTCCTCTCTCTGAACTTGAGATTTTTTTATCTGCTAAAGGAAGACGTTGGATTAGGTCACTGGTTTTTAATCCCCTTTCCCATTCCCCCAGCACAAGTGAAGGATAAAATAATAGTTCTATAAAGCCATGATTTTCCCAGGGAAGGAGGAGGTCCAGTCTGGAGGGTATGTATTACATAGGCATAGACTGAAAAAAATCCGCTTGTAATTTTTAACTTTCATTTTGAGAATTAACATTTTAGATTATCTGTAAGCCTTCTTTCCCCTCTTTAAAATATGTGATGCTGTAATTCTGATGTCCTCCTTGGGTAAAGAATGTAGAGTTTTGTGTGCCTCTTTGTTTAAATGGCTGTGTGCCCAGAGGTACACACTTTATATTTAGTCAAACAGATACTAATGCATAGCAGAGGAGAAAAAGGGACAACTAGATTCCAGTAAGATAGGGTGATATAGTGAAGTAAAATTGGTGGTATACTAAAATGAAATAAGGTGGTATAGTGAAATAAAATTAAAAAGGAGTTGAAGACCTGTATCCCTGCTTCACACTGGTACATCCTGCCTCTGTGACTTTGGACAAGCCATCTAACATCTCTAGGCCTCACTTTCCTTATCTGTAAAACGAAGGGTTGAGCTGGATGATTCCTAGGCCTTTTTCAGCACCATCATCCTGTTGGGGGGTTTTTGTTTTGTTTTGTTTGTGTGTGGTTTTTATCTGAGCAGTTTGGTTTATGTGGTGTGGTATTTCTTTAGACAAGAGAGGCTGTCCTGGTCAGTAGATACACAAGATAGTCTATGATGTCAATTAAGGTCTGTGAGGTCAAATTAAGTGATATGCAAGATTACTTTGATATGAGCAAGCTGAAACCAATAGAAACTAAAGAAAGGCATGAGAAACTTGAAGGGCAGGGAAGCCCTTGACCAGATAGGATCATTGAGAATATAGGGAAGTTTCAAGTGAGAGGGGGTATTTTTCACGAGGGTAAAGAAAAGTAATTTGAGTTTGGGATGGGAAGGAGATTTGAATTGACGAGATAGGAGAACACTTTTTGGAAACAACTCTGGTTTAAGAATGTGCTTGCAACACCAAGACAAAAGTAATGCTTCCTGTGGCTAAGGTCAGCTAAGCAGGCAGCCACAGAGTGACTGTAATATACCAAAGGTGGCCATAGACCACTGCATGGGAGCCTAAATTAAATGGACCATAAATCCTAATTGGTGAAGGTAGGGTGTGGTCAGATGCAGTTCTATCAGAGCATCTAGAAGCCTTTCTCCAAGCACTAGGGCATTGCTCTGGAATGCAGGAAGACAACCACAGTGACAGAGGACTGACTTGATGATAGAATGTTTACTGTAACCTGGGAAGTCTGTATCCCAGCCTGAACCTTGACACTATTTAATCTTGGGCAAGTGATTTGTCACCTTATCCTCTCTGGTTCTGTTTGTTCATCTTAAAAATTTGGGATCACTAGATGAGCTTCGATGTCTGTGAATATGAACCCCCTGAAATCGTGTATGTATTTCTGCTTGCATGAGTCTGGAAAACGGATGTGCCACTTTCATCGTATTCTCAGATGGGTTTGTGACCCACAAAAAATTGAGAACTGTGTGATTAGGTAGTGTCTCTGGTCCTCTTCAACTTTTAACATTCTGGGATTCTGTAATTCTGTCATTTCTGACATTTCCTTAAGGTTCAGAGTCTTAGGGTCTAGAAGTTGCTAAGCCTATAGGTAACACCTGGTACCGCAAAGTATAGTCTTTATATATAATACTCTCCTCCTTATTTATTCAGGCATAGCTCAGAGATACTGCAGGTTTGGTTCCAGACTACTGCAATAAAGCAAGTCACAAAGTTTTTGGTTTCCCTGTGTATATAGAAGTTATATTTTACAATGTAGTATAATCTATCAAGTGTGCAACAGCATTATATCTAAAGTAATGTATACGCCATAATTTTAAAGTACTTAATTTAAAAAAAATGCTAACAATTAATCTGAGCCTTCAGCGAGTCATAATATTTTTGTTAATGGAAGATCTTGTCTCTGTCTTGGTGGCTGCTGACTGATCAGGGTGGTGGTTGCAGAACATTGGGGTGGCTTGGCAGTTTCTTAGGACAACAGTGAAGTTTGCCTCATTGATTGGCTCTTCCTTCTAGGAAATATTTTGTTGTAACATGCGATGTATGATAGCATTTTACTCACAGTAGAACTTCTTTCAAAATTACATTCAGTTCTCTCAAACCCTGGTGCTGCCGTATCAACTGAGTTTATGTAGTATTCTAAATCCTTTGTTGTCATTTCAATAATGTTCACAGCATCTTCACCAGAAGTAGATTTCATCTCAACAAACCACTTTCTTTGTTCATCTATAAGAAGCAACTTCTCATCTGTTCAAGTTTTATCATGAGATTGCAGCAATTCAGTCACATCTTCAGGCTCTACATCCGATTGTAGTTCTCTTGCTATTTCCTCCACATCTGCAGCGACTTCCTCCACTGATGTCTTTTGTTGTTTATTATTTCAATCCTGCTCCTCCTATAACCACAGAAGTCTTGAATCCCTCAGAGTCATCCATGAGGACTGGATTCCAAACTCTTGTTAATGTTGATATTTTGACCTCCTCCCATGAATCACAGACGTTCTTAACAGCTTCTAGAATGTGTATCCTTTCCAGAAGGTTTTGAATTTAGTTTGCCCATATCCATCAGAGGAATCACAGTCTATGGCAGCTATAGCCTTAGGGAATTTATTTCTTTTTTTTTTTTTTTTTTTTGAGATGGAGTCTAGCTCTGTTACCAGGCTCGAGTGCAGTCGTACGATCTTGGCTCACTGCAACCTCTGACACCCTGGTTCAAGCAATTCTCCTGCCTCAGCCTCCCAGGTGGCTGGGATTACAGGCACATGCCACCACACCCAGCTAATTTTTGTATTTTCAGTAGAGATGGGGTTTCACTATGTTGGCCAGACTGGTCTCGAGCTCCTGACCTTGTGATCTGCCTGCCTCGGCCTCCCAAAGTGCTGGGATTACAGGTGTGAGCCACCGGGTCCAGCCAGGAAATTTGTTTCTTAAATAATATGACTTGAAAGTTGAAAGTTCTTGATCTAGTTGATCTATTAGCTGCAGAATGGATATTGTGTTAGCAGGCATGGAAACAATATTAATCTCCTTGTGTATCTAATGGACCTCTTGAATGACTAGGTCCATTGTCAATGAACAGTAATATTTTAAAAGGAAACTTTTCTGAGCAGTAGATCTTAGTAGAAGTCTTATTTAGTATACTATACTGTAAACAGATGTGCTGTCTTTCAGGCTTTGTTGTTCCTTTTATAGAGCACAGGCAGAGTAGATTTAGCATCATTCTGAAGGGCCCTAGGATTTTCAGAATGGTTAGTGAGCATTGGCTGCAACTTCATGTCACCAGCTGCATTCTCTAACAAGATAATCAGCCTGCCCTTTGAAGCTAGGCATTTACTTCTCCCTAGCAGTGAAAATCTGATATGGAATATTATTCCAATGGAAGGCTGTACGTACTGAAAATCTGTTGTGTAGTGTAGCTACTTTCAGCCGTTATCTAAGTTAGATCTTTTGGATAACTTGTTGCAGCTTCTCCATCAACATTTGCTGCTTCACCTTGTGCTTTTCCGCTATGGAGACAACGTCTTTCCATAAACTCATGAACCACCCTCTGCTAGCTTTCAACTTTTCTTCTAAAACTTCCTCACCTCTCTCGGCCTTCATAGAATTGCAGAGACTTAGGGCCTTGCTCTGGATTAGTCTTTGGCTTAGGGAATGTGGCTGGTTTGAACTTCTGTCCATAAAACTCAGACTTTGTGTATATCAGCAATAGGCTGTCTTGCTTTCTTATCATTTGTTTATTCACTGGAGTAACAATTTTCTCAAGAACTTTTTATTTGTGTTCACAACTTAGCTAATGTTTGGCACAAGAAGCCTAGCTTCTGGTCTGTCTTGGCTTTCAACATGACTTCCTCACTAAGGTTAGTCATTTCTTGGTTTTGATTTAAAGTGAGAGATGCTCAACTCTTCCTTTCACTTGAACACTTAGAGGCCGTTGTAGAGTTCTTAATTGGTCTAATTTAAATATCATTGTGTCTCAGGAAATAGGGAGGCCTAAGGAGAGGGACAGAGATAGGAAGAACAGCTAGCCAGTGGAGCAGTTAGAACGACACCATATTTATCAATCAAGTTTGCCATCTTATACAGCATGGTTTGTGGTACCTCCAAAACAATTAAAGTAGTAACATCAAAAATCACTGATCATAGATCACCGTAACACATATAATAATAATGAAAGGATATGAAATATTGTGAGAATTACCAAAATGTGACACACAGACATGAAGTGAGCATGTGCTGCTGGAAAAAGGGCACCAATAAACTTGCCTGACGCAGTGTTGCCACAGACCTTCAATTTGTGAAAGACACATTATCTTTGAAGCACAGTAAAGTGAATCACAATTAAGGTATACCTGTATTCACCTGTCCCTCATGCTCCATGACTTCTCAGCAAGACTTCCTCCAAGTCATCTTTCTCTAATGCCGATAACTGGACTTTCCCCTCCTTTACTCTTTCTTTTTTAACCTACTACTGCTTTGTACGTTCTCTGCATTACTGAGTTTCTCAAGTGAGTTGAAGGCAGGGTGTTTAGTGGCAAGTGGTATTTTGGAGGTAGGAGTGAGAAAAAAACACAAGGCTAGTGATGGCAGTTTTCTCCTCACTTTCTTTGGTTCCTCTTCCAACTAAAAAGAAAAGCAAATAAGAGAAAGGGTGCACATTAAAAAGGGATACCGGCCGGGCGTGGTGGCTCACGCCTGTAATCCCAGCACTTTGGGAGGCTGAGACGGGTGGGTCACTTGAGGTCAGGAGTTCGATAGCAGTCTGGCCAACATGGTGAAATGCCGTCTCTACTAAAAATACAAAAATTAGCCGGGTGTGGTGGCATACGCCTGTAGTCCCAGTTACTCGGGAGGCTGAGGTGGGAGAATTTCTTCAACCCAGGAGGCAGAAGTTGCAGTGAGCCAAGATCGCGCCATTGCACTCCAGCCTGGGCAACACAGCGAGACTCTGTCTTAAAGAAAAAAAAAAAAAAAGGTACCATCACCACTTACTTGGGACTTGTGGTGTGTGAATTTCAAGTGTTCTTTCTCATATAGGGAAACCAGGTCCCTATTCATCAGTACCTGAGATGAAATACTCAGCATAGCCCAGCTGGGTATTTCACTTAAATGAAGATGAAGCCAACTTTAGCTGAAGCAACTTTGTTGTCCTTTATCAAGACTGAGTAAGGGTGGGGGAAAATAAAATATTTTTTGACCGAGGAAGCTTTTTATCTCCTGAACATTTTCAGAGACATCTACTTGGACTTGAGAAGGCTGCTAGATTTCTCCAGGCTATAAGTCCTGTCAATCTCCTATATATAAGATAGAGATGTTTTCTTTTACCCTAGTGTTTATCTCCACAAGTTCCTTCCCCACGATAGGCTTAGGGTAGGGGCCTCACTATTCACCTGCCTGGTAAGAACTAAAAGACCCAAGTCTTCAATTCTAGCCGTGATGTAAGAAACAGGAATAGTTTTACCTAAAATTTTGTCAGTCCTGCTAATTTAAAATTTAGGCTTTTTGCTAGTTAGTGTTAAAGGATATTGTAGGTTAAGAAGGTTTTTGTCAGCTTCCTGGAGATCTAACCTCAGTATAATATTGTATAACATCATTTCTGTGAGTAAATATTTGTTAACTCTCAATAAGTGGAGTTTTATAAACTCAATGATATTTAAGGTGCAGGGTATTTAGTCTAAAAATTTACGTATAGTTTGTGCACTAGGGCTACTAAATCTAATTCACACAAAAGCACCACATTGCAGAATCCTAAGGAACAATCAAAGGTGGAATCAGTAGAGGAAGGTGTTATTAGGTGGTGTGAATTTGAGGAAGAAAAAGGAGGAAGAAGGGATTAAAAAAAAGCTTTTTATTAAAGGAATAAAGAATCGAGCATCATCTCGATGAAGGATTGTCAAGATTCTTAAAGCTGAACATGTGCTAAAGTATAACAACTGGTGGATTGGTCTGAGCATCTAGGTAATTTGTGGGTGGATTAGTCTTTGCTGGTTAATCGTCCTGTTGAGGCTTTTACATGCTACAGAGTAGCTGTTAGGTGTGTCACTGCAGTAAAATCTGATTGCATTATTGTCTAGGTTATAAGTTTGTTGCTGAGATCATTGAATGCTGTGGTAGCAAACGTCTCATAAGAGCATGAAATGGTTTTTAGCAGCAGCCTCGAAGCTACTGGATGTATATAGAATAATGGAAAGACTGGTGGATATTCATACATTAGATATTTGAGGATATATTGTGAGCAAGGACTTGTTGTCACCTAGAGGCAAGATTTTTTAGCAGAAACATGACTAATAAATCACTACACAAACTGCTGTGGAAGCATATGTTAAGTCCCACAGGGAGCTCAAATGAAGGAGTCAGTAGGGGAAGCTTTTACAGAGGACTTACATTTAAGCTAGATTTTTACAGGCAGTTTTCTAGGCAAAGTAGGGAAAAGAAGGACATTTCCAGTCAGAGTTAAAAGCATATTAGGAATGAAACACCAATGGTTGTTTGGGGGAACTAAGAAGATACTGGTCTGCTAGAGTGAGTATACTGAGAGCAAGTGGTAAGGATTGGAAGAAGATAAGATTGGAACATCTGGTGTTTTGAGATTAGATTGGAAATATTTTATCCTCTGAACCAGGATTCCTTGTAGGCCGATTGTTTTGTTTTGCTTGGCCATGTATATTGTACTTCTTAAAAACAATCTGAAAATTTCAAATGATGGAGAATAATATGAAGTGAAAAGTAAAAGTTTTTTTCTGCTTTCCTAAACCTCTGTTATCACTCCTCAAAGGTTACCGGTTAATATTTTGTTGTCTTCTTTCATAAAATGTTGTATGCAGACACAGTATATTTGTCTTTTTTATCATACTTTTTAAAAAAAGTTTTAGGGGGTAATCTTTTTAATTTTTAAAATTATGTTGTTGTTAGAATCATACTTTAGATGTAGTCTGTGTTTTGCTTTTTTCACTTAACACTATAAATCAGGAGACTGTTTTAAAAAGATAACTGGCTTCAGTATAGAGTATAGCATGGTAAGCATTTATTCAATAAATTACTTATGGCAGGCATAGTGTCTGCTAAGCTTTTCCTCGACCCTGAGGATACAGTGATGGGTATCATTTAGGAAGCCATTTCCGTAGTGCACGTGAATGTTAATGGAGTCCCAAAAGGTAATGGGAATGGATGTAAGAACTGTATTGAGATAAAATTGATAAAAATAGCCCATCAATTGTCTGTGGGAAATGAGAAATCAGAATATATTTAGGATGATTTCAAGGTTTACAATTCAGGAATTCAGTAAAACACATTAGGGAAATAGGTGTGTTTATTTGTATATATCTGTGTATCTTTGTTTTGGGGAGGGGGAGGGTTCGTGATATGAAGGAGTTCATTTTGAACATAGTGTTTTTGAAGGATGTTCAAGTTATTGAGGTGAAAATTTCTGATAGGCAGAGGAAATAAAGTTCAGAGCTCAGGAGAGGTAAGAAGTAGAGTTGGAAATTTTTTCTTTTTTTGCTTTTCTTTGTGTGTGTGTGTGTGTGTGTGTGTGTGTGTGTGTGTGTATTTGTAATAGCTAAATCCTTGGGAATGAGTACAATTGCCCAGGGAGAAGAGGGCTCGAGGATAAATTAGCAAAGGAGACTGAGCAGTGGTCATAGAGGAACGACAAGAATCGAGAATATCACTTTCGGAGCCAAAGGATGAGAGGGTTTCAAAGGAGTGGTCAGCGGTGTCCCATAATACAAATGGGTCAGATGGGGAAGCACTGGAAAGAGGCTATTGGATTTGTTGACTACATGTTCAATGTAACCTTAGAGGTTTCAGGAGCTATCATAAGATGGAAAGATTCATTTGGAGGAGGCAGGGCAGTAAACAAGAAAAGGTGGGCAGTGGTTAATCAGAAGCAGGTGAGTTTATTTATAGCTTTTCTTTTAGCTTGGGCAGTTCTGAGTATGAACTTTATTTTTCCGGAGGCCTCTTAGCCAAAATGTGATAGACAACATAGGAGTAAGCTTCTGAGAAGTTAAGACACATGTCACAAATTCAGGGTAGCATAGCCCATATACCAGTCCACACACATTGATTTCTCTGGTTTCTCAGGCCGTACTGGTTAGAAACAACAGAAGAGGGGTGTGTGTGTGTGTGTGTGTGTGTGTGTGTGTGTGTGTGTGTGTGTGATGAGAGGCAAGCATGCTGACAGCCTCAAGAAGTAAATAGCACATAACCTTTCAGTGAGGGAAGAAGAGACCAGAACACACACACACAGGCAGAAGAAATGATGAAGATTTACTTAGCCTAGTAGAGTGTCCATTTACTGCTGAGGCAAAAAAAACCTCAGGAACTGCATATACTTAAAGTACCCTCTGCCCACCAGGTGCCTTTCTCCTAGTGAGTTCTTTCCTACTTTTTGCAGTGTTAATTCCTGCTCTCCCTTCAGTTATGGGCTCAATTGTCTTTCCCTCAGGAGAACCATTAGTGACTCAGGCCCCTTTGTTATATGAGGCTTCACAACTGTGTTTACTGTCTTTGCAGCAGTTATCTCCGTGTGCAATTCTGAGCTCATTTGCGTGGTTATTTAATTGTGTATCTCCACTTAACTCTGGGCCGTTTGTTTACAATGGGCCCAGAGTACATAAGTGGTATTCAAAATAAATGTGCCAAGGCATATTTAAATGAATCTGAATGCACCTCTTTTCAGCTGTCATCCTGTGCCTCCTCCATCTACAAAGCCATTAATATAAAAGAGACCAATATTTCCTATAAACTTCCCTATATCTGTACCAACATTATTAAAATATTCCTAGACAATTTGACAATCAAGGTGTTAACTCCACATGCTGATCAATAGAACAGAAAACCATCTGGGTGCTCATGCAACCCATTTTCTCCCTGCTTTCCCTCTCCATTCCTCCTCTCTCCCCTCTTTTCTTTCTCTTTTCATCCTTCTCTAAAGCTTATTTTAAAAACAAAATATGCATGTGATGCAAAAGTGAAATACCATGTCAATATTCACAAGAGAGGGAGAAGGGATGTTTCATTCTTTCTCTGAAGTTGTATATAAGCTTGTGTTTATTTTTTAGGAGTTCTCTAGTTTTTATCAGATTCACAAAGGGGTCCATGACTAATCTAATCTCTGACTTTATAGGTGAGAGAATGAAGAATTTTAAAGATTGATGCAAGTTTATAGAAATAATTTGGGGCAGAATCAAGATTAGAACCCAAGAATCTCTTCTCCTTTCCACTATGTTAGGGTCAGTCCTAGAAAGAACCACAAGCTCCTGGAGCTGGAAGAGGTTTTGATTCCTCATTTAATGATCACACGTTACATATGAAGAAATTGATACTTGGAGAAATTGAGTGAATAAGCTAAGAAGCAACAGTACAAATTAAAGCACAATACTCATGATTCCTGGATTTTTGCTCTTTCTAAGTAATGCATATTTATATTATCTTCAGAAGTTGATTATCCACTCATCTTGAGAAAAAGATGTTCTGTGCTTTTTGCACAGAACAAATTAATATTTTTATTAATTTGAATGTGATGTGTACCATTATGATACCTCTGCTTGTGTGTGTTTGAAAATAAACATTGTTTAACCTGGGTTTTAGTAGGGGGTGTGTTTTTTTAGTCTACTTCGTTCTGTTTGCTTTTCAGGTACTTTGAACTCAAGTAAACAAAAGGGAAGATTTTCTCGTTGATACTGGAGACTGCACAACAATGGGGCCACGAAAGAAAAGTGTGAAAACATGTATCATGAATAATGAAATTCCAGAAGAAATGACAGCAGATGAAACAAAGGACTATATGAATCAACTTTCACATGAAGTACTTTGCCATATTTTTAGGTAAGATTGTGTTTGGTTGGCTTACCTGCCTGGAATGGATAAGAGCAAACCCTGAGGCAGTGCTGTCTAATGTGGTAGCTACCAGCTACATGCAGCATTTACATTTCAATTAAGTAAAAATGTAAAATTTAGTTCGTCAGTTGCACTGGCTACATTTCAAGTGCTTAGTAGCCATATGTGGCTAGTGGACACGGTGTATAGGACAACAGAGTATAGACAAAATATTTCTTTTGTCACATATAGTTCTGTTGGACAGCCTTTCTCTAGACTGTTAACATTTCTAGGCTTCTTGGGATTTTTATTGGCTAATAGATTTGTTGACTTTTGTTACTGCATTATAACAGTACTGTGTGTTTACACTGCACAATATAAGGCAGTGTTTCTGACTTTTTCTGACTACAACCCACAGTGAGAAACATAACATGTAAGTGATTGTAACTAAGTTTTCTGAGATAATACCCATCATAACTAAATGCAGTGCATACATTAAAGTTGTTTTATGATGAACACAACACAAAAAGACTTCTAAAAAAATTATATTTTTACCCAAACCGCATTATAACAACTGTTTTTTTTTTTTTAAAGGGAAAGCTGTCATTCTAGTTTCCACTGCTCTCTTCTTTCAATTATTGTCCTTATTTATATAATTCAAATAAGCAAATTCTAACATACTTTGTCTCTGAAATTAGAGACCTGAGTTTGAATCCTGGGTCTATTATTTGCTAGCTCTAGACTAATGATAGACATAATAGCAATATTATTAGGATTCAGTGAGATAATGCATTAAACACTTAGCAAACTGAAGCATAAATGCTTGGTAAATGTTAATGGTTATTCTGCTTTTTTTCATATTGCTACATGGTCTTCATAATTTTTTTTTTACTGCTTACTATTCTATGGAATGTATAAATAACATGGTACTTATCATTTCCCTTGTCTGACATCTAGATAGTTTTCAGTTTTTCTGTTTTCTGCAATTATGGTTGCAATAAACTTCTCTAAGCATCTGGATTTTCCATTATTTTAGGTAGTTTACCTATGAAAAATTTCCATATATGAAGTTCTTAGGAATGTTTTGAATTTCTACAAATGAATATTTGCAGATTATGAAGTTTTAAAATAGCAATAACAGTTATTTTAGGAGATCCTAAGCACTGTATTTTTTTTTCTAATATAAATGTGTATGTCATTATTTCCTGCAGTTCGTTATTCTGTGACACATTGTAGTTTTTGCTAGTTCAGTTCTGTCTGGGATTAGAAGACCAAATTAAAATGATAGATTTTTTTTTTACAGAACAAAATGATATTAACGTTCATCTGGCAGAAAAAAAGTCTGTCAGAATAGCCAAAAATTTTCAGAAAAAGAGTCTTGCAACTACCAGATGTTCAATTACATTCTAAAATGTTTTGGAAAAGAAAGCTGGACAGTTGGGTAAAGGAGACAAACATAGGCTCCATTCAAATACATGTGGAGATCTAGTTTATGACAAGGTTGTATTCACATCAGTGAGGAAAAGTTGGGTGGACTATTCAGCAATGATGTCTCAACCTACAAACCATTTGGAGAAAAAAATAAAAGCACATTTTTATCTCATGTCTTACAGCTAAATTCAAAATGGGTCAGTGAATTAAACAAATCCTTCAAAATTCTTTAAGAACACATAGGTAAAATTGCATCTAGGGATAAAGTTGGATAATGCTAGGATATATTGTGAAAAAATTGGACAATATATAATATGTATATATTTTTGAGACAGAGTCTCACTCTGGCTGGAGTGCAGGGTATGACCATGGCTCACTGCAACCTTGAACTCCTGGGCTTAAGCAATCCTTTTGCCTTAGGGGCGCACACCACTGCGCTTGGCTAATTTTTTCATTTTTTGGTAGAGGCAGGATCTTGATTTGTTGGCTAGATTGGTCTTAACTTCTGGCCTCAAGCAATCCTCCCATTTTGGCCTCCCAAAGTGCTGGAATTACATGCATACACCACCACACCTGGCCATTGGACCATAATCTAAATTGAAAATAGATCATATAACATTGTGCAGTTCAAACAGAATATTCAAATGGAAAGGGTAGAATCAAGTCAATATATAATGGTAGTTACAGTGGAGAAAACAGCATTTGACAGCACGTAGAAAGAACCATGAACTTAGTTCTTGAACTTCATGTGTTTATTCTAAAAACAAACAATTTTGTTTCATTTTTTAGTCTTCTAAAATTTTGATTTGAGGATTCATTGTGGTGGTGTAGTAACTACATAGCATGTCTTCATAAAACAAGAAAAACTATGGCCTTCCTTAAAAGAAACCTAATCTTTGCTGTCCCTGCTATGCTCTCTTTTCTAAAGTGTTATATTTGATCTGTCTTCTGAACTCTAGTCCTTTGACTATATAACTATGAAGAAAAAATATGCTACTTCTTAGGGAAAATATGATGTAAAATAATCTTGATTTTGTGATTATTGGTCTGTTTGTATTTAAAGGGAGTAGAATTTTAACCTAGGCAAATACATTGGATAACAATATTTAGGAGAAAAATATTACAGTGGCAAAATTTATTTAGAAAGCAAATTTAATGTTTTTCATTGTTTATAAAATGTGTTGTCATGTTTCTGAAAAATTCTGCTTATAATCTAAGTTATAGAGTAAATTAAGTTATGGCTAGCAGTGATGATTTATTTTGTATAATATTTGATTTAAATCATTTTAAAGGGGTAAGAAGAGGGACGAGAAGTAGAAAAAATAAATGGATCTGCTAAATATTCAACAGGTATATGTGGACTTTTCTTTTAGAATTAGCAGTGTTGTTAAGAGTTAGTGTCAGACAAAACTGTGTTTGCCATTCCTGACCCTTTCTCCCTCTTACCTAGCCATGTGACATTTTGCAGGTTTAATTCTTCTGAGCTAATTTCAGCACTTATAAAATGGAGTAATAATAGTGTATACTATGTCAGTGAAGTGCCAGCAGATAACAGAAAATACACTTACCTGGAATTTGAAGATAATTTAATGAAGGGACTATTTACAGAGATGTAGATGGAGTTTAGGGAACAAGTAAGGGATGATGAAGAATTTGTCTAGGGGATTAGCAGCAGTAGAAAGGCAGCATTGCCACCTGGAGCCCTCCAGCTGGTGCATCTCATTGGCTAAAGTTAACAGCCAGAGAGGGGTAGGGAACACAGCAGGTCAGAGAGGGGGAGATAAAGGACTGGGAGAGAGTTGTATGCCAAACAGGAACCAGCTAGTTACCTCTTAAGGTTGTTGTGAAACAATGAGTAGAATGTGACGCAATACAGGTTCAGTAGGTAAAGGTAGCTTTAACTTTTCAAAACATTTAATTAATCTAGGCATGTGTGGAGGGGTCTTAAGAGAAAAATAGACCTTTCAGAATATATAACAGAACAAAAGTCAGGATTAATTGAAAGTTTCAGGAAAAGATAATAAAGAAGAATGGAAAAGAGGAAGTTGTAATTCACATGAGGTGTCTTAATACTTTACGCAATACTTTTATCAGTGTATGTGACCTTAAAGGTTAAAAAAAAAAAAAAAATGGGAAAAGAAATTGTGTACTATATGACTAGTATACATATTTGTTGATGGAGAAGATAGTAGAGTTTGCAGGAGCAGGATGGTGGAGTTGAGAGGGAGCAGAATGTCCCTGCAGGAGTAGATTCTGTAAAAGATACGAAATAATATTGTGCATGTTCAAATTGAGTAATTCTCTCTGATCTTTCTCAGGTTCCTTTCTCATCACATCTTGAAAAGCACTGTTTTTTTTTTTTTCTTCTTTTCTTTGTTTTTCTGGTTTGTTTTTAGATTTTCTTTGTCCATGAAAACTCAAAAGAAGAAAGGCAGGTTTTATCAAATGACCTGTGGAGGGAGCTCAATACCTTATTTGGATACTCAACTATTTGCTGACTTACCTTTGTAGTAAAAAGCTGTATGACCGTATGTGTGGTAGCTTTAAATCTCTGTCTTAAGATCTTATTTCATTTGAGTGGTAGGAGATTGGAAGAAGGAAAAAAAAATAACTTACTGGTGAGAAGTAATACTTATCCACTTGATAAATACGAGTTTCTTTCTCTCACAAAGGTACCTCCCTCTGCAGGATATCATGTGTATGGAATGTCTTTCCCGGAAGCTAAAGGAAGCAGTGACCCTATATCTGCGAGTTGTGAGAGTTGTAGATCTCTGTGCAGGGCGGTGGTGGGAATACATGCCAAGTGGTAAGTGGATTTAGTCTGTGAAGTACAGTAGTGTCCTACTGGAAAGTAGTAACAATGGTTTCATAAAAAGTTACTTGTTGTCTTGAGAAAGGCAATCTAAGTCACCTTGTAGGCTGGCAAGATTTTGTCTAAATTATTTATGTTGGGTTTTAGGTTGTAAAATGCGTTTTACCTGAGGCTTTATTGTTTTAATAGTCTGCTCTTTTCATTTCCTGTCCTTAAGTAACTATATCAGCCTGTTCCACACATCTGTGATTGGAGAACATGAGCCTTTGGTTAATTGAGTATATGTGTATCACATTAGACACTGTGTGTCCTTTACTGTCTGATGCATGTTTTCCGGTGAATGGTAACAGTTTTCATCATAGATTTCCTCTGCAACTAAACTGCACCCTTTAGTTAAATAAATACTTGCCATTTTTGTAGAATAGGCCACAGAACTCCAATTTCTTTAGAAGACCTATAGTAGGTCTTGGAGATTCTCGAATAAGCCACTGACTGACCTTACAGGTGAAGAACTCAGTAGCTTCCTAACCACAGCAAATTGTTCCCAGTTGAAGAGACCACCTGAAAAGAAAGTTAATGGCTTTAGCTAAGCAAAGCATACTTGAAAGAGTTAAAATAAAAGGCAATTAAGGCTTCTTTTCACTTAACGCCAATCCATTAATTGGTAAAATTTAGTTACTATTGTTTTGCAATTATGAATCTGTCTTTTAAAGTCATCCTTTTTCTATGATGTCCAGATTATGAGACTTCGAAAATGGGATAAGGCTGAGAGGGGAACCAAAAAATAAAAATAAAAAAAAAAGCCTTAATAGAAGTGAAGGGCTGGAGGAGATAATTGTCTTGTTCTGTTCTATAGAACAGAACAGATTAGCTCTGGAATACTGGAATTGTGCAGGTGGATGCTGCATCCTTTCAAGAGAGTCATCAAATCAGTTGGTAACTCTTATCAGCTGGCCATAGTAGTTATCAATATATACTTTCTTATAAAGAACATTGCAAACACCTGAGGCTGGAGCTTATTAATAGGTTTGTGGGAGGCAAACCACGGTTACTTTCAGATATTTAATAAAAGCCATTCTAAGGGCAAAAGCCTCATCTCATCTTGTTTCAGAATGATCCTGTATGTCAGGAAAGAAAAAAAATTAGGGCAGTGTGAAAATGATTGTCTTATTCCTTATATTAGATTTACTTTTGCAAAGGTTAGGCCAGCTGGAATTCTGAAGACGGGATTAACACAGTATATAAAGACAGGATGGCAGAACTCCCATGTGATATAGTCTTACCATTAACATCACTACCACTTACCAATTAGAGAAGAATTTGACTGCATGTTGCTGACTTTTAGGCTATGATAAATAACCTGTGAGCCCAAGGCTTCCCATCTTTGCAATGAATGTAAAAGAGAGTTGAAGCAAACAGTCTCTAGCCTAGGATAAGATCACACTAACCTTGCTCACTAATGCCACCTTGGCCTATTATCTGGCATTTAACTCAGATCCTTTATATAATAGTACTTTATGGTTTACGTATATGATCTCTTTGGATTCTCACTCCATCTCTGTAAAGAAGATAGAACTTTCCCCATTTCTCTCGTGGGAGGCAACATGTATGACAAAAGAGGATAAACATTGCAGGGGTTACACTTGGTTTTAGATTCCAGCACTGCCATTTGGAAGCTCTTAAACTCTCTCAACTTCATTTTTTATGCTTGTATATGGGGTGATAACCTTTCTGATTTGGTTGTGAGAATAAATGAAAAAAAATGATTAACACATTGAATCGTTCAGTCATTAAAAGTTACTATACAAGAAAGTAATAAGAACTGTTATTATAATTAGAGACCAAGTAATCTCTGGTCTCTCCTTACTCTTCACTAAAGTTAGCATGTCTGGACTTTACATGTTAAATGAGATAACTTAAAAATAAAACAACTTTCAAAAAAGTATGTAAGACTTAAATATTTGGGGCCTACTTTTTGTTCTTGACAGTTAATGTTTTTCTTTGTCATTAATAAGCAGACAGTTGGCTTTCTGACCACTTTCATTAAAAATAAAAAAGCCCTTGTAACAGATTAAAATAGGATCTATATGAGACTTGTCTCCCCACTTACTTAACCAACAGCTCCTGCTGTGGAAGTAACCTGCCTCTCTCTGTTCCCATCTTGTTGATTCCTACTATGGTCTCCTGGATAGATAGCTTCCTATCAACAGCATACCCTGAGATTGGATCACTCTGGTTCTCTTAGCTAACTTGCATCTGTCTTTTTCAAAAGAATTAATTGTCTAAAATGGCGGGGGAGTAATAGTTAAACATATGACAGAGTATCAGAGTAATTATTAGAAAATGGATAGAATAATTTGAGATAGGAATTAGGTCAGAACTGTGAGCTTCCTAACGATGAGGATCATATCTTATTTATATTTTTAGTTATGTGTTCTATAGAGTCCTGAAGGTTTTACAGACGAGAGTACCCATGGGGGAGGAGGAGGGTGGTGGTGATCAGGTGGGTGGTCCCACTCCATCCACCAAATAGGTCCAAGTTATCTGGGTTAAAAGTGTGTTCTTTGTTGAAGATTTCTATGCCTTAAAAGCAACAAAAACCAAAAAGTCAATAATAAAAGCCTCCTCCATAAAGTATTAACTTAGATTAAGTGGAGTTTCTGACTCATTTCCTCTGTTACTAAAGGAGTATATTTTCTGTTATGTTTATTCAGCTTTAGTGTTAGCTTTACGGAAATTTGAAGAGGAAGTCTTTTTTAACTTTTGGTAAAAATCACGAGTGCCTAGTAAATGTTAATGAACAGAAAGATGAACCTGGCTCTAAATACTTCTGAACTTCTCAGGCTTTACAGATGCCAGTTTTCTAACACTATTAAAGAAGATGCCAGATGTTGAACAGCTATATGGCCTTCACCCTCGATACCTTGAGAGGCGAAGAGTAAGGGGCCATGAGGCTTTTAGCATTCCAGGAGTCCTAGAAGCTTTGCAGGCATGCCCAAACTTAGTGGTGAGTGCACCTGGTTGAACATTTTGGCATCAACTGTTTATGAAATAATAGACCAAAGAATGATAGACGTGTTCACTCACATGCAAATCTCATCTGTCACAAACTTTTAAGTTCCATTGTGTACTTAGCATCTTGTGGTACATAAAGCTTTGGATGCTAAACTAAAGTCTTTTCTTATGCTTGCTTTGGCATTATTTTCTAGGGTGTGGAAACTTCTCATTTGGAGTTGGTAGAATCCATTTGGACATATATGCCCCATGTTCATATTTTGGGGAAATTTCGTAATCGTAATGGAGCTTTTCCAATTCCTCCTGAAAATAAACTGAAAATTCCTATAGGAGCCAAAATTCAAACTTTACATTTAGTTGGTGAGTACATGTTTCTTGGGTCACTTGTAACTCCTTGAAATGCCATAAAATGTGAATATTCACTGAAAAAGAATAATGAGAATTTTAGAGATGGCTTTGTTGATTGATGATTGCAAAATAAATGTTTGCAAGATCTGTATAAAAATTCCGATTTCCCATTAAAGATCCACTGGTGTGAGGGAAATACTGCTTCACAAGTGTACATTCTCCATCTGAATATTCTTTGAAATTATATACCAGTAACTTCAACTTAAGTAAAAAGTGTAAATATTTTCTCAAATTTGTCACCTTTGGCTTAGGCCACTGAAAGGAATTCGGGGGTCCCTGTTAATATAGCTGGCCTTTAATATTTGTTTACTACTTTATTCTGTATATATACACACACATACACAGAGAGAGAGAGAGTATATGTGTTTTAAGCATTATTCTAGGTATTGGGGATGGTCTAAAGAAGTGGAAATTTCTGAAACTCAGGTGGTACAGGGAGAGCATCAGGAATGATAAGGAGTAGGTCTTAAATAAGACTTAGATACACAATTATGGGAGAAGAGTAAAGATTTCTAGCAACCCTTCATTTATAAGATCAGGGAGTGATATCTAGTTTGAAATTGGATTTTTAGATGTAAAAGGATTCTGTAATATCTGGAATTTATAATATAAGCTCCTTAAGGTCAAAGACTTATTTCCATATCTTTATATTTTCTACAATGCCTGTCACAGTTCATTGCAAATATAAGTACAGGGTAAGTTTTATTAAAATGCATTAATTTATGGGAATCATTTAACAGTTTAACACTGTATTATGGTGATGCAGAGGTGTGGTAAATTAATAAAAATAAACATTACCAGGAGAATGGGCAGTTATGTCCTTTGTTTATAGAGTTTGTTTGAGACAGAAAGTGGTTTGGGCCTGGGGTATACTGTCTTCTCTGCATCTGTCTCACCCTTCTTCCTTGGGTTTCCTAATCAGTACAATCAGTACTACCATCTTCATAGTATTACAATATATGCTAAATTTAACCTTTGTGACTTCTGCATCTTACATCTCAATCTGTACCTCACTTCTGCTTTTTGTCCTTTTGTCTCATCCTTAATTTTACTTCCCATTTGTTGCTATACAATGTGTGTGCATAGTTCAAACTAAATTTAACTCTGCTATTTTGAGAGGAACAAGTTAAGGGGTAATCCTTGTAGGTTACAATAAGAACATTTGGTAGAATTTAGCCTTTATAAACAACTGACCATTCAAGTACTGCAATTTTACATTCTCTAGTTATTCTTGCTAGCAGAGCTCCTATTGTCTCAAATTTAAAAATTGCATTAAACAGTTTTGCCAACTACTGTTTGTTAAATGCCATCATCCTGGATCCTTGGATTTCTTTAATAAATTTGTGTCCCTTCCTTGGCTTTTATCTTCTTTCATCCATATTTCCTGTATTTTTTCACCTCACGCTACACCTCCCTTCTTCTGGTCATGGTCCTCTGTGGATATGATTCCTAGTATTAAGCCACTCCTGGATCCCATGCATCAAATTACCTTTACCAATTTGAAATTCTAAAATAAATGACTGGCAGGTTTCTGCTTTTCTCAGAGCCATGCTGGCTGGCTTCTCCCACACATTTACAAATTCTTAAGATTCATATATTTATAGAAAACAGCTTTTAAAGTTCTGTGTTTGGCTATCTTCCAGATATCTATTTGCATATTTAAACCCATCTAGCTGACTTTGCTCTGAGAAATATAGTTCTCCTACTAGGGGGCAGTGGATGTTGGTAGTCAAATAGTAAATTTGTGTGTTCCATCTCCATCGTTATAGTTTTGCTTTCAGTAATCCATTTTCACTTTACCTCTTCTGGGAAAACGTATCCTAGAAGAGTTGTAAGATTATGAGAAAGACTTACATGTCTAAGACATAGAAATACTTTTTAAACTCTATCTTCCCATTGGCCTTTCCTAAAAAAGTTAAGTCAGTTTATGGTTTACGTAAACTGTTCTTTGTAAGCCTGTTTTAAATAAGGCAAACTTGATAGATTTTGTATAATTTGTTCGGATAAAAATCCTTGAAGGTTAAGCTGTTAATATGAAAAATAGACTCTTGAACTTATAAGCAAAATATAGTATATTTTTGTGATTTTTTTCTTGTTTGTTCTTTTTTATATTTGTGTTTTAGGGGTGAATGTTCCTGAAATTCCTTGTATCCCAATGCTAAGGCACCTTTATATGAAGTGGGTAAGACTCACTAAACCACAGCCATTTAAAGACTTCCTTTGTATCAGCTTAAGAACTTTCGTCATGAGGAACTGTGCAGGTAATGGTACACAATTATGGTGGAATTAAACATAAGTTATTCTAAAAATATCCTGAAGCAAACTCTAGCTACATTTGTAAATACAATTATATTATGCTATTACTATTTATGTCTTATAACATATTCATCTTGTGAAGATAAATGTACTTTTTGTTTTAAAGACATTAGAAAGATGATTTGTGTTTGACCTCAGCAAAAAAAAAAAAACAAAACTCAGAATATCTCTATTTTTTACGGGTACTTTTTACTTTTCCTAGGATTGTTTTATTAAATTTCAGTCTTCTTACTTTGTTTCTGGTCTCCGAATCATTCTGCATGTAAATAGTTGGCTTCCTTAATCTCCCTTAAACATAGCTTTTATGGTATTATCCTTCTAAACAGAAATCTTTAGTGTCCCTGTTGCCCTAGAGCAAGCTTGTTCAACCCACGGTCCACTGGCCACAGCCCACATGATGCCCAATACAAATTCTTAAACTTTCTTAAAACATTATGAGATTTATGCATAGGCTTTTTCTTCTTCTTCTTCTTTTTCTTTCCTGCTCATCAGCTATCTTTAATATCAAGACAATTTTTCCTCTTCCAATGTGGCCCAAGGCAATTTTTCCTCTTCCAGTGTGGCCCAGTGATGTCAAAATATTGGACACCGCTGCACTAGAGCATTAAGTGGGAACTACTCTGCTTAAGGTCATGATAACCAGGACCCCTCTTGATAACCTTATTCTGACACCTTTCCAAGATATATCTTCTTTTATCATCACATTTGACTATTCATTGTTCCCTGGTCAGCCATACAGCTTTCCATCTCAATGTCTTCTCTTATGCTGTATTATTGTTTCGTTATCCTGAGATGTGCACTTTCTTCCTCTGTTTTTGTATGCGTTCTTCAGGTTCTGCCTTTTCCAACTTACTTTTCTCCTCTTTCTTTTTCTTTTTCATGGAGTATGGCAGATCTTATTTTTACACTTGATGCAGTCTGCCTTCTTATCCTTCTATAATTACTTATGTTAGTTCTAGCTCCATGTCAACTGCAGGTTTTTTGATGGACAGGACCATATCTTTTGTGATCTTCTATAGTAGCTAATGCAACACTGGTCATAGAGATGATTAAATGATTGAGCTGTTTACTTGAGTGAAGGATCAAATTTTTATCTTGACTTTTTCCCATTAGTTAGTTTGAGTTCAAAACTATTGAGCCTTTAGAGAATTTACGGAATACTACATATCTCTACAGTGTTACTGAAAAACCTTTATGCTGAGTAAGTGTATGGTTAATAGGCTAACACTTTCATTTGTAACAAGAACCTGATTTCAGAGAGCCAATTTGGCTGTCATTTTAAGACTTAGAGTTTATAAGTTATACATGTCTTTCACTGATTTGAAATTCATTTTAAGGCACTTTACATTGTTCTATCAAAGATTTTTTTTTTTTTCCAGGACCCACAAATTCCTTGAAATATGTCCCTTTAGTAACAGGCTTAGCCTCTGCCCGAAACTTGGAACACTTAGAAATGGTTCGAGTTCCTTTCCTTGGAGGTCTTATCCAACATGTTGTTGAAGACAGTTGGAGATCAGGTATTCATTTTCTTTAATTACTAAATATTTTTTAAAAATCAACTTAAAATAATCATTAAGCTTTTATTTAACTTCCCTGGCAAGTCTTTAAAAAGAAAATGCTCGTCAGTAACTGCTTTCTTTGTTGTATTTGATGGACAGTAAGTAACCATGAGCATAGCTAGTATTCATTTTCTTTTGGTGCACATTAAACTTTCTTAAAATAGACAGTAGAGTGATAAGACATGTTTTCTGGCTTGTTTTGACTTTTATGTAGCTAATAATACCTCCTCTTATGTATGGAATCTTTCTTAGAAATGTTAACAGGGATTTCTAGCGTTCTTTGGTGATGTTTTACAACTTGTACAGCCGAGGCTTCCAAAAAAAATTTAGGCATTAATAATGTTAATCTCTATCACATAATACTTTATAATATAAAAAATACTTTTATACATATTACTTGGATATTGATTTACCCATCAGATGATGATATTTAAAAGAAAAAAGTTGTTCTGTGTATACTTAACTATAGATAAATAATACGTAACAGAATGTGCTTTGTGTTAAACATCTCATTGCAGAAAAAAAATAGTGGTTTAGCAAAATGGATGATTAATAGTTGGAAACCAAAAACTTAACTTTGGCTCTCTAAAATAAAATGGAAAGTCATCAAGTACCATTGTTAACAAACAGACATTATAGTTAATACTGTTGAAATATAATGAAGAGTAAACACTACATTTCTAGACATTTTGTCAGTCAAGTGTGGTATAAGTGTACTTTATTACATTTAGCCAGTGGGATGAAACAACCCCTTAAAACCAACAGTATTTTGATTGATGGCGATAGTTAACAAGATAAAAGTCAAAAACGAAAAGAAGGCTACTGGTGTATTCACTAGAGAGAAGACCTGTAGAGAGGTGCTAAAAGCTGAGTTTGTATAAAGGTCCTAAAAGAAAAACAGAGACTTTTCTTCTCTAATCAGTTTTTAAGGGTGACCCTGCCTTGTATTTTACTCAAGAAGTCAACATACCTCACACAAAAATTTATTCTAGATGGGTCATAGATTCAGATGAGAACAATTTTGAAATGAAATTTAAAAAAATAACTTAGAAGAATGTCTTGTTGACCTTGAGTACACAAAGACATCTTAAACAGGACACCAAAAAGCATTTACCATAAAGAAAATATTGATAAATTGTACCAAATTAAAATTAAAATTTTTTTTTTTTTGTCCATCAAAAGGCATGATTGAGAGAGTGAAAAACCGGCCGGGCGCAGTGGCCCACGCCTGTAATCCCAGCACTTTGGGAGGCCGAGGCGGGCGGATCATGAGGTCAGCAGATCGAGACCATCCTGGCTAACGTGGTGAAACCCCGTCTCTACTTAAAAATACAAAAAATTAGCCCGTCGTGGTGGCGGGCACCTGTAGTCCCAGCTACTCGGGAGGCTGAGGCAGGAGAATGGCGTGAACCTGGGAGGCAGAGCATGCAGTGAGCCTAGATCGCACCACTGCACTCCAGCCTGGGTGAGAGAGTGAGACTCTGTCTCAAAAAAAAAAGAGAGAGAGAGAGTGAAAAACCAAGCTACAGAATGGGAGAAGCTGTTTGCAATACAGATACTGGGTATTGGGAAGATATAAAGGACTCCTGGAATGAATAAGAAAAAGGCAGGCAACTCAATAGAAAAAATGGGAGAAGACTTGAATAGAAAAGTTTGCACACAAGAAGCCAATAAACATGAAAAAACGATAAAAGTTTACTAATCGTTAGGGAAATGCAAATTGAAACTACAGTGTGATATTCAAGCACTAAAATGACTATGCCTACTCGTGACTAATATGAAAAAGATAAAAACAGTAATGTTGGCTAGGATGTGAAGCAACAGGACCTTTCATACACTGATGGTCAGAATATAAATTCATACAACCACTTTGAAATACTGTTTGGTAGTATCTACTAAAGTTGGTCATACACATAGCAACAGTTGCATTCCTGGCTTTAAACCCAACAGAAATGTTTACATATGTTCACCAAAAGACATTTTTAAGATTGTTCATAGAAGCACTGTTTCTAATCATCCCAAAATGGAAAGATGCCTATTGGCAATAGAATGGATAATTAAATTGTGGCATATTCATATAGCAAAATACTGTACAGTAATAAGTGAACAGACTACAGCTACACAGCGATATGGATGAATCTCATAAACAGAGTGTTTAGTAAAAGAAGCCAGACACAAAAGTATACAAACTTTGTGATTTTATTTATACAAATTTAAAACAGATAAATCAGTCATTTCTTTAAGCTATATATTAGTAATTTATGTTCTTTTTTGTAGGTAAATACAAGTTTCAGAAACATTAAAAAAATCAGTTAAAGTGGTTCTGGTCTTGTTCCATATGATATTTGGAGGTTCGAAATTTGGCCAGAAATGGCAGGGTTTCTTTTTTTACAATTCTCTCATCAGCTTCTGACTTTCTAAAAATCCTTACTTAACAATGTAAATCTTTTAGAGTAGTTTTCAGATGCCATCAGTGTCTTTGCAAAATGAGGGTCTGCTTTCATTTCCTTTTAGGTCACCAGTAGTTATAATTCATCTTAAGATATTAATTTCAATGCAAAAACAAAGCTTAGATTTACTTTTAAATCAGTAATTATCATCTCAGATAATACTTTATAATGTATAGTATATAAATACTTCACTAAAAATGCTATGGTCAAACACTTGTTTTTGTTCCTCGTCTTTAGGTGGTTTTAGAAATTTGCACACTATTGTTCTGGGAGCTTGCAAAAATGCTCTTGAAGTAGATCTTGGTTACCTCATCATTACTGCTGCCCGTAGGTATGTTTCCTCTTTGTATTGTGTCTCTCACTTTAGAAGTAATTATGTTTTTCCCTATTTTACAAAAAATTGTGGAATGTGTGTGTATATATGTGTGTACATTTGATCAAGCCTTGTTCAAATTTAAAATACGAAGAAGTCCAAATAACAGATAAGTATAACATCATGGTAGTCTTAATGTTATAACTGGTAACCAGTTGAGCTGCATACTAGCAAGCTCCAGAGTGGCATGGTCTCATATCAGAGAAAAGCAGTGGAATTTCTGGAAATGGCTGAGAGTCCAATAGAAGTTAGCATTGAAGCTCTGGTGTCTGTAGCCCTCTCAGGACCATTGTCTCCATCTCTGGATGATTTTCTGAATTGTTCTAGTTACTTGGTGATAATATTTGCTATTCAGAAATCAGTGTTTTAAATCAGCTTTTCCAAAGTCTGACCTTGTAACACCTCTATATTTTTTAACCAAGTGGTTATATCACTTTATGCCACATTTACTATTTCTTACATATCAATGGTCTACCTCCACTTTTATTTTATAATATTTTCTTTAAGCATTTTTAAAATTTATTCAGAAACAAAGCTTTTTCCATCAAGAGACTTGATTAGGATTATAAATAAAAGTGTTTCTAAGTTTAGGTAGGTATTGTTACCTACTACAGAATTATACTCTTTGTTAAAATGCAACATTAATAGCTAGCCTAAGCAAAATGTCAAATACCAGCACCAGATGCAGATTCTCACATTGACTCTTCAGGTTTAGTAAAGCACTTGAAAGGATATAAGATTCTTACCTGTAATTAATTGTTATTTAATGTATAGCTTCAGTGTACTGCTTAAGATTTCCTTACACTTTGCAGATACTCCTTTGAAGAAAATATTTTTTTTTTCAATGGAGGAAGTGGGAGGGAAGTTGTTGACATCTGTGACACTTCACTAAAGTCATGAACTTCTTTCAGAGTCTTACTGATATGGTTTGGCTCTGTTTCTCCTCAGATCTCATCTTGCAGCTCCCATAATTCCCATGTGTTGTGAGAGGGACCCAGTGGGAGATGACTGAATCATGGGGGTGGTCTTTCCCATGCTGTCCTCATGATAGTGAATAAGTCTCACTAGATCCAATGGTTTTAAAAATGGGAGTGTCCCTGCACAGCCTCTCTTTTTTTGCCTGCTGCCATCAGGCAAAAATGTGACTTGCTGCCATCAGTCAAGATGTGACTTGCTCCTTTTTGCCTTCAGCCATGTTCGTGAGGCCTCCCCAGCCATGTGGAACTGTGAGTCCATTAAAACCTCTTTTTCTTCCCAGTCTCAGGTACGTCTTTGTCAGCAGCATAGAAACGGACTAATACACTTATATTAGGAGGAATCTTTGATTCTGATGGTTTTTGTTTTACTCTGATATGTTCTCTGTCTTTATTCACAGGTTACATGAAGTTCGGATCCAGCCTTCCCTAACCAAAGATGGTGTCTTTTCTGCCCTAAAGATGGCAGAGTTGGAGTTTCCCCAGTTTGAAACCCTTCATCTAGGATATGTAGATGAGTTTTTGCTACAGAGTAAGATTTATCCCATTTTAATTCCTAGAATTACTGTAAGAAATTTACTTGACAAACTGAAATCTGAATTGGGTTGTGCCATGTCTTTTTGAACATAAGACAACTTAAAATCTTAGGTGCTCTCACGTCTTGAAAAATAAACTTTTAAATTAGAAATGTCAGTGATTTTTTTTTCCATATTGCCTCTGATTTTAGCATATTATAGAAAATATAGTTACTAACAATACACCAGAAAAAGAACCTTATCTACATTTGATATTGTCTCCACTTTACTGCCCAAGTTTCTTTCCCATTCTGCTTCATTTTTTTCACAGAATGTCATCCTTGGTTCCATTGTTGAATTTGATCTGCCACACTTCTTGAAGCTTTTGATGGTCCTCTCAGATGAGGTCCCATTCCCTGCCCATGCTCTTCATTTCCATAATAAGCCCGCTGGGGGTTCTGGATTTTCCAGATAGTGTGAGCACATAATGGTCAGTATTCATTTAATGATGATTGCTGTTGGAAAGCTTGTTCACAGCATTTTCTTACCCATTTACAATTGAGAACTCATTTCTTTGGGTTTGAATGCATGTCAATTCATTACTCAAACTATTTTTCCATATGGCATCAATAAGATATGAAAGAAAATTTTCATCACCAACATGCTTTTATTTATTCAAGAATTCATTTTCTTCCCACCTGATTTGCAACAAGTCTTTCTTGAACTCTCATCCTCATAGCAGATAACATTTTTTCTTTGGATCTAGTTTGTATTATAGAAGAACATAAGAAGGCTTAATTCTTCCATTCAGGACAATCCAGCTCAAAAAACATGACTGTTTTTCATTTCTAATATATATTACAATAATAGTTGTGGGTTTTTTGTTTGTTTACTTTTTTGTTTTTCACAGTACTCATTAATATAGGTGATTACTTTAAAAAGTCAAGCCATCCTTTTCTAGACAGTTTACTATTAGAATCATGTTAAATCTGTATAGCTTTGAAAAAGATCAGCTTTTCTCCAAAATAGCTTTAAAATGCTAATGAGTACAATGATTTTATATAAAATTAATACATTTGATATCAAGCTTTTCTGGTTTTGAATGAAGTATCTAACATTCCCTATGTTTCTGCAATGTCTGTATAGTAACAAAATTATTAGCTTTGAAATTGATATTCTTTCTATAATTTTGTTTTCTATTTTTCCCAAAAGCTCAGAACTTGACAAATTGTGTACCTTCAGGATGGCCAAATTTAGGTCTACTGAAGAATTGTCTTCAAGTGTTAACTTCATAACCAATTATTTTCCTGTAGTGTTTCTTTCTCCTCAACATATGTTTTCAATAGCATAAAAATACCTTCTTGACTACCATTATCTCGTAGTTTTCAACACAACTTGTTTCATGTTCTGTTTCATACTTAATAGTCTGTTATGTTGAACTTTGTACATTCATTTTCTTATTTGCCACAGTTTAACCATTTCTTCCATATGCATACTATCTTCTGTCCCTCCAAAGATGACCTAGGATTCTCTGTTTCAGAATAGGTGCCTGGTACTTGTTATGGACGATATCATGAGGTCACTGCTCACTCACACTCTCTCACTTAGTTTCTCTCTTCTCAGTAATTTAGATTTGAAGCATCTCTCCAAGAAGTGGTGGCTGGCCTCTGGTAAAACTTGAGTCACTTTCTTGTTATAAAAGGTCTGGCAGAATAAATAAATAGAAACATCACCTTTGTCTTCTGACAGTGACCCAAAGATGAATCTTTAGAGAGTTCTTTGTTCATGTGGATTTATGATCTGTAAGCTTTATATAATACTGATAGAGACGTATAACTCAGTGAAAATTTCAGAAACAATATAGTCCTAGCCCTAGAGTTCTAGCAATTTAGTCCTAGAGCTTGAGGGAGAGAGAGAATTGAGGCCTGTCTGCTACTAATCATGAGACCTAAGCAAGTTAATTCTCATTTTTTAAATGAAGATAAGGTGGTATCCTGCTTTTCTCTTGGGTAGCTCTGAGGAACCAAGGGAAAAGTGATGTATACATTTACAGTAATCTCTGACACTTAGGAAGTATTCAATAAATGATAACTTTTACCTTTAGCTCACCTGTGGGCTGAAAAGAAAAACAAAAATGAATCTCAAGTAATATCATCAGGATTTTGAAAGGAGTGTGTCAAGCAGGAAGCCCCAAGAGTAGAAACATGGTGTTCATCTCAAAAAACTAAATGCAAGACATCGATTTGTCATGTTAGGTTACAGCATTTATTCAGATAGTGCCCAGGAAACAGGGTCAGTTCAAGGTTTACCCTATCTTAAGGAAAATGGTAAGTTTCATCTGAAGTCCTAAGAGCAGGGAAATGATCCTTACCAGGAGCTAAAGAAAATAGTTCAGCTAAATTGTAAAGGATGGATTAAGGTGAAATTTGTAAGATGTGCCAGGAGATACCAAATATAGGAACTATAGGAGAAAGACTGTCAACTATATGGAAAGTAAAATTGGAAGTTTGGAGAAGATGGATTGTTTTTAACATGTTGTAGCTAAAGTTGTAAATCCCTGTGATATTCAGGGCAGCTTCACCAGAGTGGCAGTGTTTTTTTTTTGTCCTGCATATTGGTTGATTGCAGACTGTGAGAGACGTATTCCCATGAGCTCTTGTATCCCCAGCACTATGCTAGACACTAAAGATGTAACTATGAACTAACAGAATCTTGGAGCGTGAGGGGGCAGGCAGATGGGAGAAATGATAAGAGGCAAGGGATGAGGTGTGATTCTTAGTGACATGATCTAGAATAAAGGATCCTCCTTTACTTATTCCCAAACCCCTAGTTTGTGACCAGAGAGTAGGCACTAAAGCCCAGTGGCATGTGTTTGAGTTAGAAGTGCACTTTTAGGGTATAGATAGATGTTACTAACCAGTGCCATGGGTTCTAACAATGAATCTTAAATTCTCAGAGTTTACCTTTCTCTACACATGTCCACACTGGGCTCCAAGAACATCATTTTATTGTAAGGGAGTTGAGTTTTTAAGATTTTGTTTTCCTTTTAAATGATAAAGCTAAAACTTTACCATGGTATGAACCAGTATGATAGATCCTTCACTTATGCTTTAAGAATTTTTGCCTTTTCTCTTCTCTAAACAATTGGAAATAATTTTTCCTACTAGCTGTCCCTTGACTTTTAATATAATTTATTATTTTGTACAAGAAGTGCTACCATATGTACGGAATACCTAACCTAAAATTATACCTGAACCCAATGATAAGCAGATGATACAGAATGATGGTAGAGACTTTTTATACTGACTGGTAAGATACAAAGTTGGTAACACTCCCTAACACTTAAGAATTTGACTTTTTTTTTTTTTAATTGATTGCTCTTTTTAGGCAGAATGGCTAATGCGGATCTGGTGAAGTATGGTTTGGCTGATGTGGTAGAAAATCCTGGTATCATCACTGATATAGGGATGAAAGCAGTCAATGAAGTTTTTTCCTGTATCAAATATCTGGCAATTTACAATTGCCCTCATCTACACAACCCATACAATTGGATCTCAGGTATTACAGACTTAAAAATACAGCTATGTTTTATTGATACTGAAATAATACAACTTTCCATGTTTTCTATGTGTGATATGATTGCATTCCTAATGTAAAATGTAGGTATTTCATTTGGATTGTTCATACAAGTTCTGGTAACCTTTGATAACCAAGTTGGAAGTATATTCAATGCCTCTTTAAACTTCTGACGTTCTCTGCCTAGAAGTGTATACTCTCCAGGTTGTGGATTCAAGTGCCCTGATTTTTATATGTACTTCTTTGGGCTAGGAACATAAAATTAAGGTTAGTTCATTGTTACCTAGGACTTAGGATATTGTAGTTATTTTCTCAGAATTATCTTCACAATAGCACATCATCTGAAAGGACAAAGTAGGTATGTATGTTGAACTTTAATTAAGTGACATTAACCTGAGATAAAAATTTCTATTGACTAGAAATCCCAGTCTATTTCAGATCTCCCCCTCCAATCTCCTATATGTAGAAGTGTGACTTTTGCACTTGATATTTTTCCCTTATGGTGGGAGTTCATTTTCCTCTCAGAGTAATGTCATCTGTTTTCTTAAAGGCCCTTCTTAGATACCGAAATTTACAAACCATTAAATAAATTGAGAGCCTGAAAAAGTTGTACTTGTGACAAAGCCTCTCACTGACACCTACAGAACAGCCTCCTCTGCTATTGAGTCACTTGACCGGGATCTGTATCTCCTCACAAAGCTACTATCCAGGCCTATTTTAGGGCTCTGGGACCTCTGCTGAGATCACTCGTTAATATAGTCATGTCTCATGTGCCAGCAGCAGTTAAATTCTATCCCTGGCCCTGCTGAACCAAGAAGTTATTGGGAAATATGAACTTTAGGATGTAGCAGGCGTAGATGACTTTAAAAAAATAACATTTATTGGGTTTTTGGTTTGTTTGTTTTCTTAAATACAGAAGAGTATAAAGAAGAAAACAAAAAATGGCCTATAATCCCATCACTCAGAATTCCTGTTAACACTTAAAAAAATAAGTAATACATGCACTTGATAAATTTCAAACAGTACAGAAAGGTACAAAATGAAAACTCTCCTCTTCTCAAAGGTAACCATCATCAACAGTTTTTTGTATATTTTTCTGGACAAATTATGCATATTGCAGCATATATATGTGTAGCATTTAAAAATGATTTATATTATACCAAAGGATCTTACTCTGTATACACTGTCCTGTAGCTTGTTTTTTGTACTAAGTATAATTTGGAGAGTTTTCCATGTCAGCAAGCATATTAAGCTCTCCTTAATTCTTTTGAAATAGCTACATAATGTTCTATTAAATAAATATGCCATAATTTTTTAATTCAGTGTCCTATTGTTGAAAAGCCATGTAGGTTGTTGAGTGGATCACATTTAAATCAGGGCTGATTGGATTCAAATTAATGTTCCCCAGGCCATTTAGTTCTCACAATGGAATTAGGTATGTAAACATCATAATTTAGAATCATCGGGTTTTAGAAGTCATGAAAAAAAGGAAAAGTTATTTTAAAAAAAAGGATTTGAAAGTCTTTGTGACCTGTATCAAAATTCATCAGTAATGGGGAAAATGTTACTTAGATTTTCTCTGGTCATGTCATTTCTTTAACAGACCACTCAAGATGGACTCGATTGGTTGATATCAACCTAGTACGGTGCCATGCTTTGAAGCTGGACTCTTTTGGCCAGTTTATTGAATTATTACCCAGCCTAGAGTTTATTTCACTGGATCAGATGTTTCGTGAACCACCCAAGGTAAGATACATTTGAGGGAGTTTTTGTTTATTTTGATAGGAAAGAAAATAAAAACAGCCTGTGATTTTTTTTTTTTTTTCTTTTCAATGATATGCCTTTACGGTGTTACAGTCGGACTTTTTACTGCCAGCCTCAGTGAAGGCATAAAGGTTGTAATAATGCATAGCCTCTCATTCTTCTAAATGAGAATTAAGGGTTCTCTGGGGAAGGGTAAGGAAAAAATAAGTGGAAGCTGTCTGTTAGTATATAAACAAAAGGTAAGGTAAGGGTGAGGCTGGAAATTTAAGACAGAAATTATTACGTGGGATAATTCATTGGTGGATTAAATATAATTAGGTTGGTAGATTAAATCTAATTAGGAATCCAAAGTATAAACAAGAATTAAGGATTTATTTGGGGAATGTTTTACTTTGCTGCTATCTTTCTGTTAAGTTGTATAGCCTGGGAAATCTGAGGTAGCCCAGTTGTACAAAATGTTATTTTAAAACTGCTTAACATATAGAACTTTGTACTCTTAAGGCAATTAAAAACTTAATCCTTCAACCATTTATGTTCTCTCTTGTCAGTTATTAATGGTTACATTCCCACTGTTGAAGCAGTACAATATAATGGGGAAAGCTCAGGATTTAAGGTCAGAATCCTGGTTTCAAATTGCGGCTCTACCACTTACTGGCCATGTGCTGTTGGGCAGATCTCTTCTCCTTGCATGACTCCTCATCTGTAAATCAAGCCAGTAACCCTTTATCTATCTTGAAGTGTTGCAGGCCTTAAATGGGATTTTCTATGTGTATGTGAAAGCATTTCATAAATAAGTACTATATAAATATTAGTTATAATGTAAAGGTGAAATGAAGGGATATTAAAAATGAAGGGATATATACTAACCCAAATTAATAAACGTATGTGTTTTGGTTTTGCCTTAGGGTTGTGCTCGAGTTGGTCTGAGTGCAGGCACAGGAATTGGTGTTTCATCAGCTCTTGTTAGCAACCAGAACTCCAACAATGACGATAATAATGCCCAGAATAACAATGCCAACATCCACGACAACAATCACCATCATCCAGATGACTCAGACGAGGAGAATGACTTTCGGCAAGATCTGCAGCCAGGAGAGCAGCAGTTTGCAGCTGACGGTAACCCAGATCTTTTATGAGCTCCAGATAGAAATGATTTTCACTTTGTATTGTATTTCTGGCTTTATCCTGTTCCCTTTTTCCCCTGTTTCAACTTGTCACTTTCCACATTGAGGAAAGCTAGTTGATAAGGAACATGAGGGAGTAGGTGAAATTTTTCTCTTTTCTTGCTTGTTTCAAAACTGCTTTTATCCACAGACCCTATAAGAATACCTACAGAATGGGAAAGATTACAGATGCCAGGGGAATTAGGGTAGAGTGGTAACTCTTGAGGTCTGAGACTTAACTTTCAGGATTTAGACAAAGGAGTATCTTTTATTGTCTCCTAGACCAATGGATAGCATGAACATTAAGACCATTTCTGGATATTTGAAGAACTGAAAGATTAATACCAACCATGGGCTAGACATTGGCACCTTTCATGTACCTTTAATCATTAGGTCTTCACTTCCACCCTGCAGATTAAGTACATTAGCTAAGAAGGACCTATTCTATTTCATTTATGTAATTATCTGTCCAGTTCATTAATATATATTGAATACTTACGGTGTGCCAACCCATGTGTGAAGGTGCTCCATCCATCCTTCTGTTGATGAGTGAAGTGATGTGAGATTGTTTTGTTACCAAATTTTCCAGTTTCCCAGTTGACGCTTAGGAACTGGAAAAGGAATCTTTTCTAGCCATCCTTTTGTTGTTCCCCATTTGCCTACTCTTGCACACAGTAATTAATGAGAAATAGGGTGCCCTGATATGTACCTGCTTTTACAATGAAATGTACTGTGTACAGGGCATGATTTCCTTTAGGGGCACTCTGAGTATACAGTTCCTGACAAAAGAATCATCTGTAGGCAATGTCTTCACTTTCTCATCTCACTTGGTCCCTATAGAACTCTCCACTTTGGCTCTTGGCAAAGTCACTAGTGATTGTCTTACTGAATCTGGAGGTCATTTCGCCACTTTCATCTAATTTGACATCTCAGCAGCATTAGACATTGTTGCCTAGACTTGTACACTCTTGAGACACTTTATTCTCTTGGCATCTCTGAAACGATTTTGCTGGTTTTTCTCCTACCTCATTTTCCTTTGCTTGTAGCACCTCCTGTATTCCACTTTTGTCCATGATATCTTTCTCTACACATTTTCACTCAAGCTCAAGGTTTTAGTACCAACTATATGGTATTAAATCCAAATCTTTGTTTCCAGCCTTAACTTGTATACTTTTCTGAAGTAAATGCAGCTATATCTAGCTCTGTACTTTATGTCCATGGTATACTCTTAAGCATTTCAAACCTAGGTAAAATCTTTCCCCAACCAGTCTCCCTTAAAAATGCAAAAATGAAAGTGCAGAGCCAACAGGTGTTAAGGGAAAGAGAGGGCGAGACAGTCACGTATTGTCTCTTTGCTTTGTTGTCCTGAGTGCTATGGTACATAGTACAGGTTACTACCACTATAAAGATCTGCACTTCAGAGGACATGGACTGTACGTGGGAAACTTACAGCAGCTGCCATTCAGAACTACCCAAATCCTGTGAACTCATTTGTGGTTTGAGTTGACACACAGATTGTAGACTTCACTGGAAGATTACTTTGCCATGGACTTCTCAGTACAGTGGAGAATGCCTGCCATTGTGAAATCATATATTGTTGCAACAAGGACCAAAAAGATATTCAAGAACATGTTTGATTTAATTTGTATCTGTATTTGATTTAAGAGAGGAAAATGGAACTTACATCTTAATTTGATTTATAAATACGGTTTCAGAAGATGAGAGATTTGGCATAAAAACCAAATACACAAGACATAGGATAAGCTATTTTGATTTAAGAAGCCATAATTACTATGGAAGGATTCAGCTTCAGCAGTTACCTAGGACTGTTGTCAAGTATAGTATCTTCAAATACTGTTAAATGCTGAGAAGCAAAGAATAAATACATAATGTATAAAGCATAATTGTATAAAGCAATACGTAAATGCCAGAATTGAAGGATTAAACAGCTTCAACAAGAGGAAGCCTAAGAAAACCAGAGGCAATGGCTGCATTTGTAGAGAAATGAAGATTGGTAGAAAACATTAGATTCCACAGGTCACTCCCACATGGTA
Source organism: Homo sapiens (assembly GCF_000001405.40). NCBI lineage: Eukaryota > Metazoa > Chordata > Mammalia > Primates > Hominidae > Homo > Homo sapiens. The sequence goes on from NC_000005.10 coordinate 148,419,306, forward strand.
GTGTGTTTAGTTGTATCTGTTATTAAACATGTATACACACACACACAACACACACACACATATAAGTTAGATTTTTTTTTCCCGCAAACTAAGGAACTAGAAAAAGACTGATTTTTGGTTGAAACAAAGAAATACAGGGCTTCATAATAAAAGGGGTAATGGGGAATTATGTTAAACAGTTGACTAATATTGATGGTTCAAATCTTCAAGTGAAAATAATAATTTTAAAATTTCTTTGAAACTGGTATTAACATGTTGACTCTCCTTGATGTACAATTTGAAAACTTTTCACGTCTGGGCCAGGTGCAATGCACATGCCTGTAACCTCAGGAGGTTGAGGCGGGAGGATGGCTTGAGTGGGGAGTTTTCAAGGATGTAGTGAGTTATGATCACACCACTACGCTCCAGCCTGGGTGACAGAGGGAGACCCGGAGTCTTAAAAACAAATCTTTACATGCATGGGCCTTTACTTGGTTTTGGACCAGCCCCAGAATGAAGTAACACCAGTCTTTATTGCTGTATTGTATTTAACTTCTTCAGCTTGCATGAGGTAATTTACTGTAAAAGAGGGGCATTGTATAATTTTAAAAGCTATTTAATTTGTATAAATTAACTCCAACAAAACTATGATTTTTTGTTTCACAGTTACTATATTTATCAAAATTTTATAATTTGGCAGGATATTATCTTAAGTTTGTATTTTGAGAAGTCTTAGAACTTAGAGTACTTAATTGTGAGCTAGTTAGCTGAAAATATAACTTGATTACCTGAATTTTGCAACATTCTAAAATAAGAATAAATGATTACAGTTTTTTTGTGGGGTTTTTTTTTTTTTTTGAGACAGAGTCTCACTGTCACTCAGGCTGGAGGGTAGTGGCATGATCATAGCTCACTGTAGCCTCAAACTCCTGGGTTCAAGTGATCCTTCCACCTCAGCCTCCCGAGTAGCTGGGACTACAAACGCGTGACACCACTCTCAGCTGATTTTTCAAAAAATTTTGTGTAGAGATAGGGTCTTACTGTGTCGCCCAGTCTGGTCTCAAACTCTTGGCCTTAAGTGATCCTCATGCCTCAGCCTCCCAAAATGCTGTGATTACAGGCATGAGTCAGTCACTGTGCCCCACAATGTTGCTGTTTTTTTAACAATTTACATTTGCCTATAAGTGTCACAATTATGCTTCTGTAATTGCTAAAGCATAGTGTCTATTTTTATGTAACTACTTTCTAAGGAATTACAACTTTAAAGCATAGTTTTACCTGTACATCATTTAACTAATTTTCTATTTTGATTTAACATACATTCCAGTTACTTAATGCTTTTAAATACAGCGTCATTCCCTCATCCCTCCACCCCATTAGCCTGAATTAACTACCAAGTGAAATTGCTCTGCAGCTTTATTTATGGCAGTGGTTTTCAGACTTGAGTGTGCATCACAATCACCTGGAGGAATCAGCACATTGCTGATTTTTGCCCTCAGAGTTCCAGTTATTCGGCTGTGTGAGGCCAGATAATTTGCTGTTTTTTGTTTTTTTAAATAGAGTTGGGATCTCATATGTTGCCCAGGCGGTCTCAACTCCTGGGCTCAAGCAATCCAACCAACTCAGCCTCCCAAAATGCTGGGATTACAGGTGTGAGCCACTGCACCAAGCCAAGAATTTTAATTTTTTTTTTTTTTCTTGAGACAGAGTCTCACTCTGTCACCCAGACTGGAGTGCAGTGGCATGATCTTGGCTCACTACAACCTCCGCCTCCTGGGTTCAAGCGATTCTCCTGCCTCAGCCTCCCGATTAGCTGGGACTATAGGCGCGTGCCATCACACCCAGCTAATATTTTGTATTTTTAGCAGAGATGGGGTTTCACTGTGTTAGCCAGGATGGTCTCCATCTCAACCTCACGATCCGCCCACCCTGGCCTCCCAAAGTACTGGGATTATAGGCATGAGCCACCACGCCCGGCCAAGAATTTGAATTTTTGAAAAGTACCCAGGTGGAGCTGATACTGCTGGTCTGGGACTATACTTTGAAAACCACTGATTTTGTAAAATTTTTATTTTTGAAGCCTAAGGGCAAACTACAGTCTGAAAAAAAATCCCAGTAAATGTATTTTGTTTTACACTTTGGGGCAGGTAGTTGTCAACCACTAAATATTATATCTGATAATAAATTTCTATTAATTTATGCAACAATTTCACTGCATAAAAATTATTTTGTTAAGAGGCAATGAATTCTTTATAAGACTTTTTTACAGCTGAAATAACATTTCAGCTAAACAAAACATTTGGTGAATATTGATATTTGATTCTAAGTTAGCATACATATATATGTATACATATACATATATATATAACTTTCTGTAAGTTAAAACTGTTCTGAAAAAGATGTACTACCTTAATGATAAAATATTTTCCAACAAAGGAAAAAAGTCAAAACCATGAATCATTTGTATCTTCACTAGCCCAGGGGCATCACCATCCAATTTAATTACCAGAGACTAAAATCAAGACATTATGCTTTTTGTCAAAACCAAGAATCACTTGTATCTTCACTAGCCCAAAGGCACCATCATCCGATTTAATTACCAGAGACTAAAATCAAGCCATTATGCTTTTTTTCTTTACTTCCTACCTGCTCTCCAAGACGTTGAGTCATTTACCAACTCTTGTTGAATGTCTCTGAAACATCTCTCCAGTATGCCTACATCTCTCCTTTCCCATTGTACTACCACTACATCAGACCTTTCTCTTTTTTTTTTTTTTACCTAAATGTTTTAATAGCTTTCAAACTGGCCTATTTTCTTGCCCAGCTAAAATTAGTTCTTATAGCAACCAGGGCAGTCTTTTAACAACAAACCAAACAATATTGATACCTTACTCAAAACTTTTTAATAGCTTCCCATTGCCTTAGAATAAGATCCAGCTTCTTAAATTGGACCACCAAATGCTGTACGATCTGGCCTGCCCTCATCTTGTACTACTTCCACCACTACATCATTCTTGAACATGACAGCTGGTGCCTAGCATTGCACTAACTACTGCCTCCTAGAATTCCCTCCTTCCATGTTTTCATGGCTGGCTCCTTCTTGACTTTTAGTTCTTAGCTGAAATGTTAATCTCAGAGATGTCTTTCCTTGCCATCTGATCTTAAGCAGCCACCAGTTTATTCTCTGTCACATCACACTTTTTGTTACATAAGGCATTACTATCTGATGTTTTTATTTTTATTTTTAAAATTTTTTCTCCCCCAACTAGAGTAAGCCATGAGACTAGGGATCTTGAATTTCACCACTGTTTCTCAGCTCCAAGGAATACTAACAAATTGTAGTAAGATGCTCAGTAAGTATTCAAATGAATGCAATGAAAGAAATCGTTTAAACAACTTTTGGGTATCATATTAAATGTTTGCACAGGCTATTCTGGCAACCTAAAAGCAGTTGATCAGCAACTTTGGAAAACCTTATCACATTGATGTTTGAATGTACTTCTTTTCATGCCATTCCCTGCATAAAAACCTAGTGGTTTCCCTCTGCCTACTGCAAACAATTCTAAGCTTTTTAGCAAGGCTTTCCAAGCTTTTAACAATCTGGGGCCCAGGCTACCTTTTCAGCCTTGTTTTTTCTTTCGCATCTCTATCACAACACAGATAACTGGTTTGTTTGTTTGTTTGTTTGTTTGTTTGTTTGTTTTAACCACTGGACTACTATTCTTCCAAAAAATGTAGCATTCTTGTATGGTGGTATATGAAATGTCACCTTATTTCAGTGAACCCTTCCTTGACCCAATGAGAGAATTAGTTGTTTCTTGTCTGTGTTCCCTTTGAACTTTTGAACTGTTATAGCTCTTAGCAAGTATATTCTGACCTTATTCTATGTGTCTAACATCTTTGCCAGAATGTGTGCATCCTCTTTAAGAGCAAGGAGTATAAATTTCCCACTTGCTCATAGTTCCTGTAGTGCAGTAGGCTCTAGAAACTCCTCAGGTTAAATCCTAGCAAACTGTTAAAACCTCTAGACCTCCATTTCCTCAACTGCAAAAATCAGGCTAGTAATAATGCCCTCACACAAGATTGCTACGAGAAATAAATAAGAAAATGTTTCTATAAACATTTAGCATAGAGCCTGCCATAGAGTATGTACACATTAATTACTGCTACTCATAATTGTTAGTCAATTGAATGAAAGAAGAAAATTGATTGGCTTTTATCATGAAAGGTTTCTAGGCAAGGTCATTTCTCATTTTGGCAATAACCAAAATATAGATATTGCAGGCTAGAGCTGGGCAATTATTCAGGGGGAGGTGTGCTGTTGTGCTTGTTTAAAACCAAAGCAATTCCCACTGTCCCTGTGAAATTTCAAACCTCTCCCATATAATTCAGTGACATTAATCTGAATGGCATCTTTTTGGCTTAATCATATTTTGCCTTGTTTCTTTGTTAACTGTTTGAGTTTGTATGAGTTTGATGGGCTTTCTCCAACAAATGATCCTTTCCCATCTGTGATTTTCTCTCCTGTAGACTGATTAAATACTTCTTAATATCTGCAGTAACAAGCACAGTGTATGCAGTATATGCTGTTCTTTCAGGGCAGGCCTAGTAATCAGCGGGACTGTTCAGTTCTTAGGGCGGCCACAGTTTTGCCTGCCATTGTAGTTCTTTATACTTCTTTTGGTTTTTACTTTGTGTATATTTTCGTTGAAGCATTAAATGAGATGGAAGACATCGTCCAAGAAGATGGAGAGGTGGTGGCCGAGAGTGGAAATAATACTCCAGCTCACAGCCAGGCAATTATTCCTGTGGATGTTGATGAGGAACAAGCAGGTAATCATGTGATCCATCCCACATTCATCATTCTGAAACTACGGCCTAACTGTAATGAAGTACATGAGACAGCGAGAATGATTGTTTTCTGACCTTTCAGCTAATGATACGTTTTATGCTATTGATTACTGAGAACTGTAATACATTGCTGGTATTCTTGTTGCATGTATCTTACTAAAGTTTGTCTTTTATTATTTGTGACTGCAGCAACAACTGCTTTTTCTTTATAGCCACGTGTGCATGAGTTTGTCCATGTATGTGTAGAAAAAGAAAACACTCAAATTGTTGATGGGAAAATAAATGACCTGATTAAATATTCTGCTATTGCCCTCCCCTCAATTCAGTTAGAGAGGAGGAGCAGTTGAGAAGTTGACCTGGTTTAGTAAACAAACCAAAACCTAGCGTCTGTTTGCCATTGGCTGACTTAAGACAGGATATAGAGTCTTAGGCCCTTAAAGATTAACTCGCATAGCCTTTCATTTTGTAGATGGGGAAATTAATTTTCTTTCAAAAGTTTAAATGATGTGCTCAACACCACTCAGCCAATAATCAAGGGACAGAATTGAAATTGAGAAAACTGAAGTTTTCTCATTCTCTGCCTGTTAGAATGCTACCTTGTCTTTGAATCGAAAATATGCTACCCTGTTTTAAGAGTGTTAGAGATGCAGTCACTCATTCAACAAATATTTATTGAGTGCCTACTCTGTGTCAGGCATTGTACAATGTGACAGGAAAAAAGCTAGGTTCCTTGGAGCATACGTTTATTGATGGAGCTAATATTGGTCACTTGTCAGAGAGAATTAGGTTATAAGAACTAGGTTTAAAAGCTATACTGCCAAGCAGATAAAACATTTTTTACATAAATACACATATTCAACCAAAATGTAACATGCGTCTAGCCTTCAAAAATGTATCTGCTACATCTAATGAGATAGATCTATACTCAAAGAATATGGAGTCTTATTTACCAGTCCCATATGTTTCTGAGTTCATCTTCATTTACTAGCCTTGGCTCATATGTTTGAAAAATTGAGAAAATATATAGCTTAGTTTTAAAATTATTATCACTGTTATTTAGATTATTTTTAGGATGATTTTATGATACTCTTTGAAATAGTGAAGGTCCTGCAAGGGGATGCTGTATCATTTTCTATTTTAATTTGCCTTTGGAAATGCATCAAGTTGGTTGGCATATTAATCATATTTAATGTTGACATAATGGTTTAGAGTTGAGTTGCTTTCACAGTATCTTATCCAAGTGCATTATCAGTTAAAATGTGTGCCAGGGGAGGCTGTATAGAGCCACAAAGCATCTCTGTTGATTCCAGATCCCTGGAAACAGTACTTTGCATTAGATCCTTTCTTGCGCAAAAAGTAACTGTTAGGCCTGTGCTTTTTTTTAAGGACCCAGTGGTCTTCAGCGTGTAGTAAAACCAACCTCAATTACTGTTCATGATTCAGAGAGTGATGATGAAGAAGATAGTCTAGAACTCCAAGAAGTCTGGATTCCTAAGAACGGTACTCGGCGTTACTCTGAACGTGAAGAAAAAACTGGAGAGTCAGTGCAGTCCAGAGAATTGTCAGGTGAGAAATTGTCTTTCTCTGAACTATTAATGAGAGTCACTATCAGAACTGACACACTTGGCCTTAATATGACAACTTGGGTGCAGTTAACATATATTACGGAATGTGACAGGAAGCAAGAAATGCACTTGCCCAAGTAAGGGAAATCTGGGTGGTGCTCTTGTAGGCAATACAACACAACAGTGTTGTGGAATGAGGGCTCAGGGAAGAAGAGAAGTAAGGATTATAAGTCTACAGTGGAGGCTTCAGTTGTGGCATCAGGGTGTCAGAGATTAGTGAGCGAAAAGCCTGTGCCTTATGTAAGGGATGACTGCTGAGTCATCCAGAGCAATGAAAAGCAACCATTCCCCAGTTGATAATCTGTCCAGTTGTGCTTAATGAATATTGGTGGCTAGTTTGGTGCTGGAAGGAGTCCTAAAGCATATTTTTATAATCCCTCACATCCCTTTAAATCTAGGCAACAACCCTCTGCAGTGCCTCACCAAGAAACTGTACTTCTCTCTTAACTTTGAAGTTCATACTTCTTCCTTGTCTTTCCTTCCCTTTGGTTTCGCAGAACCACGTGCTTACCACTTTTAGCAAAAGATGGATATTTTGCAAATTGTGCAGTCATTTTTCCTTGGGTACCCTTACTCCTTAATATTTTTGAATGTTCAAAACACATTTAACACTGACCCTGGAACATTTATGTAGTACTATTATCTGGAAAGTTTAGTTCTTTGGACTTGAAATAATTTGCTAATCATTGACTCATTATTCAATTTTTATTTCTTTTAAGAAATTCAGATAACTTTATAATGTGGTTGAAAGAAGGTTTTATGGAAACTGAAATTTAGGAAAAGTAATATGACCAGCTGACTAACCTACCTTCCCAGACAGTGCAGTTTCTAAATTTAGCAACTAAATCCTCTGTTGGCCAGACAAAACCTATTTATTCCTTTATATCTTCATTGAGCCTTACTATGCCCCAGGTACTGTGTTAGGCACTGTGAGGGATACAGAGATGAGTAAGTCATGGTCTGTCTTTACAGAAGTTCTAGTCTAGTTGAAGAGTCATGTCAAAAACAATAGGTAGTAATATTACAGGGCATATACTACAACTACAGTTGCTTTGGGGTGGGGGTGCAGAAGAGATGGAGTAGAGGACCAGGGAGGACCACAGCTGACAAATTGGTGAGAACAAAGCCCCTGAGGTAGTAAAGCAGGGGTATTTTGAGAGAAAAGCTGGAGCTGGAATGTAGAATGTATATGGAGGGTACGACATGGAAAGATGGTTTGGAATCAGATCATAGTGAGGTTTGAAGGCATAGCTAAGGAGTATAAACCAGATAGACACTAGGGAGCCATAGAGAATTTTATAGCAGCTCAGTGATGTGATCACAGTTATACTTTAGGAAAATTAGTGTTTAGTATACATTATTTCCTGTTCCAAATTTACTCTTGCGTTTTGTCCAGAATTTATACTGAAATCTTTTCTTTTCCTCGGGCCGTTCTTCTTTTTCTATAAGCAGTAAGTGGAAAAGGCAAGACTCCACTTCGAAAGAGGTACAACTCCCATCAGATGGGCCAGTCGAAGCAGTTTCCCCTCGAGGAAAGCAGCTGTGAGAAAGGCTGTCAGGTCACCAGTGAGCAGATCAAAGCCGATATGAAAGCAGCTAGGGATATTCCTGAAAAGAAAAAAAACAAGGATGTTTATCCCAGCTGCAGCAGCACCACCGCCAGCACAGTGGGAAACTCCAGCTCACACAACACTGCTTCTCAAAGCCCCGACTTTGTAAGGACGGTGAACAGCGGCGGCTCTTCCGAGCCTAGCCCTACAGAAGTGGATGTGTCCAGGCAGTGTGCCTGCTCCCCCGGTGGGTCAGAGGACTCTGAGGCCATGGAGGAGGGAGATGCAGAGAGTTCTGTCTGCCCCAGATGCTGCTGTCACAGGCCCCAGGAATCCCAAAGGAGAACTAGCAGGTGTTCTGATGAGGAACGTCCTTCAACCAGCCGAGCCTGTGTTGTGAATGGCCCGGATGGTACGAGATCCGCCTTTTCCTTTAGGACTCTGCCACAAGGGGGGTCTTCAGGCCCAGCACATGATGAGAGGACTAATGGGAGTGGCTCTGGGGCTACAGGTGAGGACAGGAGGGGGAGCTCCCAGCCTGAGAGTTGTGACGTGCAGTCTAATGAAGACTACCCTCGGAGGCCCCTAACCAGGGCCAGGAGCAGACTGTCCCATGTACTGCTGGTATCTGAGTCAGGTATGACAATGCTCCTAGGATTAGCAACTGCAGGGTAGGGCTGCAGAAAGGCATGAACTTGTTTCATGAGTTTTCTTACAAAAAGCCAGTTTGGCAAATTAAATTCTATTTTGGGGTTTTGTGGGTCATGTGAATTTTGAACTAATTTCAGCAATGGTTTGGAGGGTGGGTGTGTAAAACAGTTTATAAAATGTCCAACCTGGAAAGCTCAAAATAGTTCAGCTTTTAAGGAAAATGTCATTGTGTATATTTACCCTAAATATAACACTGACTGACACCTAAGCCCCAGTAGATGAACTCTGCTGCCATCACACACTTAGAGAAGTCTTAACTTAGGAAAGTTTTAAACTCAGCCAAAAGGCAAGGACTTGACGTTGCTGGGGCTGGGGGAACACATCTCAGTGCAGCTTCCTGTGTATACCCCTCTTTCTGTCTCTGCAGTACTTAGTAATTTTTTCAGAAATCTAGTTTTGCTTCAAGTAAGATTTGCCAGGAGATAAGCAGGTAAGTAAATGGTTTGGCTGAGAATTATTTTGGTGAAAATACTCAAAACATATATGTGTATTTAATTTCATTAATGTTTATAATGTGTAGCCATGGATTGGGTGTAAGCATATTTATTAATCATAAGTCTGTTACTGTTTCTGACCTTATTTTTAAGTACTCTTTCCTGCCTTTATTATATCATTACTGCCTGACAGTGATAATAATGTATTTTAATTTTCTTCAAGTAGCCCTCAGTTTTAAAATCTTAAAATCAGTCCCAGAACATAGGCAGTCAGTGCTTTTTGTATATTCAAAATAGAACTAATGGATTCATACAGAGCTAAACAGAACAAAAGTAAGCTTTCATGAGATACATTTGAGACCTTAGTTATGTGCTAGTTACCATAGTTGCATAAACTCATTGAAATATATGAGTTTTATTTGAAGACTTTTTTATGCTTTGCAAACAGTGGTTCTGCCATATGGTGAAAGTACTTTTCCCAGCTTAAATTGTAAATGTTTGATAATATCTTTTTTTTAATTGGTGGTAAAATATAACTTTACCATTCAGTGTACAGTGTATAATTCAGTGGCACTAAATACATTCATCTTGTTAGGCAGCTGTCACCACCAACCATCTGAACTTTTTCATCATCCTGAACTGAAACTCTGTGTCCATTAAACAGTATCTGCCTCCTATGACACCTTTTGTTGTGTGGTTTTTCGTATTTGCAAAGTCAGATATGCATGTTTTCCTTTATGAGTTTATTTTTATGCTGCGAAAGGCCTTTCCTACACTTGGTTCAGATAAATGTGCGCATCTTCTTATTCCTTTATTCATTGATTTCAGTTTAGTTCCTTAGTTCAGTTGGAATTTTATTTCAATATGTGGGAGCTAATTTTTTTTTTTTTATTCCAAACTATCACCATCTTGTTTCAATATTGGTTATGGATGTCCATTCTCGTGCTATGATTTTGAAATGCTCTTTTATCATCTACTAAATTCTTTGACATACTTAGGTTGATCTCTGGTCATTCTATTCTGTTCTGGTGCTCTGTCTTCTTTCATTATTCTTTTTCAAAATTTCCTTGACTAGCCATGCATTTGCCATTTATTTTTATAGATGTGTTTTGTAATATTTTTATCAAGTTCCAAAAACTAAGCTTGGTTTTTGTTTGAAATTGCATTCAATTGATAACTGAAACATAATTGTCATTTTAACAGCACTGTGTCTTCCTGTTTAGGGACTGTTATGTTTGTCGTTTTACTTATGTCTCTTGATAAAATTTTACCGTTTTTTGTTGTTTTGTTTTTAATACAGAGCCTTCATATTAGCCATTGAAGTTTTGATGTTATTTTTTGCCTTGTGTTCTGCTTATCCCTTAACTATTTTATTCTTTTTTCATGTCTAGAACTTTTTCTTAAGTTAAATCATTCTCTGGATTTAAAATAAAGAAAATATCATTTATGTAGTGCTTTTTATTGCTTTTATTATGTGATTTTTTTCAATTTGAGAAGACTTCTAATGTCTGTAACATGGTCATAGTAGGTAAATTATTTGCTAATGTATTTTAGATTTATAAAAATGTCTGTTTACTTTCAATAGTATTTTTTTGGGGGAGATATCAAAGTACTGATTTTAATATTATTAAAGTCCCTTTTGGAAAAAACAAGAAGTTATTTGGGTAGCTTACAAATTATAATTATAATTATTATTATTATTATTTTTTTTTTTTTTGAGACGAATTCTCGCTGTGTCAGCCAGGCTGGAGTGCAGTGACACCATCTTGGCTCACTGCAGCCTCCGCCTCCCGGGTTCAAGTGATTCTCCTGCCTCAGCCTCCCCAGTAGCTGGGATTACAAGCACCTGCCACCATGCCTAGCTAATTTTTTATTTTTTTTTTATTTTTTTTTGAGACGGAGTCTTGCTTTGTTGCCCAGGCTGGAGTGCAGTGGCGCGATCTCGGCTCACTGCAAGCTCCGCCTCCCGGGTTGACACCATTCTCCTGCCTTAGCCTCCCGAGTAGCTGGGACTACAGGCGCCTATCACCATGCCTGGCTAATTTTTGTATTTTTAGTAGAGACAGGGTTTCACCATGTTGGTCAGGCTGGTCTCAAACTCCTGACCTGAGGTGATCCACCCGCCTCAGCCTCCCAAAGTGCTGGCATTACAGGCATGAGCCACCACACTCGGCCCAAATTATTTTTAATCCGGCATGTTTTTTAAAGAGAAAAATCCAAACTAATAAAGGAAGAAACTTGAATGTTAAAGATTTTTAAAAATCAGTTCAAAAAATGTAACGTTTGAGTTCTTTGGTTTTTAATTTATGGCCCTGTGGAGTGTTAAAGCCATTTTAGAAGCTAATATAATTGTTTTGTGAATTTATATTTTGGGAATAAATAACTAAGTTGCTTTTAATCCTCACTGTATAACAATTTATAAATATTAGAGAAATATATAATTGGATTGTCAAAGAATAACATTTAAGATTAGTTGCTATAAATATTAAACACTTTCCCTGACACCCCAAGACTGGATTGATCTGCCTTTCTCTGTTTCTGTAGCATCTTCAACATTAATGTGAACCACACTCTGTTGTAATTTCTTGTTTTACTGTCTTCCTTTCCAGTAGACTGTGAGCTCCATGAGGACAAGGACAGTCTCTGCTTTTTCACCAGTATATTTCTATCCTTTAGCACCATGTCTTACACATGGAATGGGGCTTAGATAATAACTATGAACATAATAAGTATAGAAACCATCATATGAGGTATTGTTGATACTAGCGGATGTTTTGAGTTACTAAAAAATGTTCCTAAACAAAATTAATTGTCTCTAAACAGGGAGGGAGGCATAAGAGAATAATAACAAACACACAAACTTTCTTCCTCATGCATCAGAAATGTTTGTTTTTCAAGCTCATGTATGTATGAAGTGTGACTTCATTTTATAACTTTGCCTAGAAAATGTAAACTACCAGTTTGGGTACCCTGGAGAGCAGGAAACTTTACCTAATTTTGAACCCCATGCTCTGATAAATTAAAGGGGAAGGGAGAGAGCAATCCAGGAAGGTGAGATACTTGAAAATCAGATCATAAAAGTATTTTACTGAGAGATCTTTATTAGAACACTGTCATGTAGTGGAAACAGGCTTGCTTTTTGTTTGTTCATTTTCATTTTTGTGGTACTGGGAGAGGGAACCAGGACTTACTAATGAGGTTTTAAAAGGATTGTGAATTTTGGCTATCAGGTGAAATGTGCTGCCTTTAGAAGGTTTCATGTCAATGAAGATTGTTTGATTTTGGATGAAGTTCCTTCAGGATACTGTGGGAGAAGGCCTACGTTGTGTTGTGTGGTCAATAGTCTTCATGTTTTGTTGGAACTCCAGAATTTTGCTTAGTTTCAAGGTCCTTGGAGGAAGTTTGATGGGTAGAGCTCTTGGGCTCCTTTTCTGCCTTCAGCCAAAGCAGCTGCTTTGAATTGTTTTACAGGGTAGAATTTCACAAAGACTTCACATGGTGGAGAAAGGATTTGGTGTGTAAAAAAATCACTTAGGCTAAATCTCTGAAGTTCCCATCTGACCCCAAGCCTTTAGGAATTTGCAGTATTTGTTCAATTTCCTTGTCTTTTTTTGTGATCTTTCATGTTTGAGATTACAGAATTACTGATAGTACAGAATTACCAATAGAATGTTTATAACTAGCAGTACTATCTAAAAAAGCAGTATAGTGGTGATTTAATTCATGAAAGTCAGTTGTATTCAATATATGCTCTGCTACAATATGATTAAGTATCAAAAACAAGGACAATGACTAATGTATTTTCTTAGAATATATATGTGCTTAAGTTTTAGCTATTAGCACTTGTTTTTAAATTAAATAAGGACAATATTTGCTTATTTTGAAGTGTATTGCTTCAGAACAATACTAGTAAATAAGTTAGGGCATTATTAACCAGGGTTTGACAGACGAAAGATTGCAGGTTTTCTAGCTTAGTGACTGGTGCTAGATTTCCTGGGTTTGACTCCTGGTTCCCATTTAACACTGTGGCAAGTTCTTGTACCATCCCATGCTTCAGTTTCCTAATATGTAAAACAGGGAGAACAATAAATCCATCTCAGAGCTATTATAAGGATTAAATGAGTTAATACGAGTAAAACCCTTAGAACAGTGCCTGACACACAGTAAGCGCTCAGTAAATATTTGTTATTCTGTTTTACCTGTGATGCATTCATTCATTCTGTAAGTGTTGAGTGCCAGTTCATTCAATAAACATTCATTTTATCCCTTTGCTAGTGACTGACATTGAAACAAAGATGAATTAAGAGAGTGTTGTTGCCTTTAACGAGCTGTTATGTGAATGGACCAACAAAACAAGTATAAAAGGAACTATAGGACAGTATGTAATGTTTGAGGATCCAGGGTGCTTTGTTAAAACTAAGTGCTTGAGTTGGACCTTTCATAGATGGGTCGTATTTCAAAAAGTAAGGTCAGAAAACGTGTTCTGGGCAGAAGGAGCTAGAGCAATTGATGACTTCAGAGACATTGGCAGTGGGAGATGACTAGAGTATGGTATGGAGAGTGGACAGAGCTGAAGCATAGCTCCAAATGTGAAGCATTGAAACATTCACTAAGCTGCAGTCAATAATTTAAAAGTTTTTTAGTAGGAAAGATAGGAGTTCAATTCACCAATAGTATTTAGGATGGGATGAGTCAGAGAGCCTAGAAGTAGGAATGTTTATTAGATTATTAGGATGACCTAGGCATGAGAAGGGTTGTTATGTTTGATGTAGATATGTTTGAAGTAATGGAGGGTGATCCTGTTTTGAAACAATCCACTGGAAATACCAATGTAACTGTATTCCACTGGGAACCAAATTGTAGATTTGGGAATTACCTTGATTATGTTCATACGTATGTGATTGAATGTGCTTGAGGGAAAGAAAGCAAGGCTAAAATTTGGATTTTCTTTTTTTTTGCCTTTTTTAGAAGTAGCCAAAACAAAGCCACGTCACGCCATGAAACGGAAGCGGACAGCAGATAAATCCACTAGTACAAGTGATCCTGTGATCGAGGATGACCATGTGCAGGTAGAGAAAAAACCCTCACTTACCTTTATCACAGTCTAGCCCAGTTCCTAAATAATGCACATAAACTAAAGTTTGTATCTTTATATAGTTTCTAATTTTTCTGCTTGTAGGTTCTTGTATTAAAATCCAAGAATCTTGTTGGAGTCACTATGACCAATTGTGGAATCACAGATCTAGTGCTAAAAGACTGTCCAAAGATGATGTTCATCCATGGTATGTATTTGGGCCCATATTATACAAGAGTATCATGAATGAGTTAAAAGAATTAGGAACTCATAAATACTGTAATAGCATTACTGTCTTATTTTCTTAAAGGAAATATTGTGTTGGGTTATCTTTAGTTCCGCCTTTGTTCTAGTTCTCAAATTATTACTCCATAGTATTTCTGAGCATCATATATAGAAACTTCGTTCATCTTTTAAAATAGCCTGTCTCCAAAAGATAATTACTGCCTGATCTGGCAGAGTAAATAACAGCCTGCACAGGCTTTGGAGTCAGATAGACCTCAGCTTGATTGCTGGCTTGGTCATTTACTAGCTGTGTGACTTGGGCATGGTTTTTGAGGGAAGCAGCGGTTGGGCCTCAAGTGTATAACTGCTCTGTATTTGATTGAGATGATTAATTGTATCTTTACTTTGTGGCCCATTATCATTAATCCAAGCCCCTTTTTCTTTTTAGTCTCATGTCCCTCATTGTTAATCTCATCTGCTCCCACCATCTACACTCGTGTATTAAATATATTAAATATATATCTTTCCAGTGCACCTTTTATGTCTTTCTTTATATATGTGTCTGTCTCAAACATAGGGCATTAGTTTTGTGCTTTCTTAAAATTTAGGTACATAGTGTATCCTATAATTGATCTATTAATTTTACCTTTTTTATTCAAAATTATATTTTAGATATCCATCCATGTAAAATTATGAAGATCTGACTTATTTACTTGCCTTGGGCAAGTTATATAATTTTCTGTCTTCATTTTTTTCAATCTGTAAGCCGTGCATAATTTTGCTTAACTCATAAAGCATTTGTGAAAGTTAAATGCAGTGATGGATTTAAATGTTAAATGTTTGTGTATGTGTATGTATACAGGCACACCTCAGAGACACTGCAGGTTTGGTTCTAGACCACCATAATAAAAGGAATATCACAAAGTGAATCATAAGAATTTTTTTTATTTTCCAGCACATATAAAAGTTACGTTTATACTATAGTCTATTATATGTGAAGTAGCATTGTATTTTTTTAAAAAACTTTACGTGCCTTAATTTAAAAACACTTCATTGGCCAGGCACGGTGGCTCACGCCTGTAATCCCAGCACTTTGGGAGGCTCTGGCAGGCAGATCACCTGAGACCAGGAGTTTGAGACCAGCCTGGCCAACATGGTGAAACTCCGTCTCTACTAAAAATACAAAAATTAGCCAGGCGTGGTGGCTCATGCCTGTAACCCCAGCTACTTGGGAGGCTGAGGCAGGAGAATCACTTGAACACAGGAGGCGGAGGTTGCAGTGAGCCAAGATCACGCCACTGCACTCCAGCCTGGGCAACAAAGCAAGACTCTCTCTCAAAAAAAAATAAAATAAAATAAAAACATTTTATTATTCAGAGATGCTAACAATCACCTGAACCTTTAGTGAGTCATAATCTTTTTGCTGGTGGAGAGTATTGCCTGAATGTTGAGGGCCTTGCCCTGGGTTAGGCTTTGGCTTAGGGAATGTTGTGGCTGGTTTGATTTGTCTAGACCACTCAAACTTTCTCCATATCATCAATAAGGCTGTTTTGCTTTCTTATCATTTGTGGGTTCACTGGAATAGCACTTTTAATTTCTTTTGAGAATTCTTCCTTGGTGTTCACAACTTGGCTAACTGGCGCAAGAGACCTAGCTTTTGACCTATCTCAGCTTTCAACGTGACTTCCTCACCAAGCTTAATCATTGCTATATTTTTATTTAAAGTGAGATTTGTGGCCGGGCGCAGTGCTTTACGCCTGTAATCCCAGCACTTTGGGAGGCCAAGGCGGGCGGATCACGAGGTCAGGAGATCAAGACCATCCTCGCTAACATGGTGAAACCCCGTCTCACTAAAAATACAAAAAATTAGCCGGGCATGGTGGCGGGTGCCTGTAGTCCCAGCTACTAGGGAGGCTGAGGCAGGAGAATGGCATGAACCCGGTAGGCGGGGCTTGCAGTGAGCCGAGACTGCGCAGCTGCACTCCAGTCTGGGCGACAGAGCAAGACTCCATCTCAAAAAAATAAATAAAAAAATACAGTGAGATTTGTGACTCTTCCTTTTACTTGAACACTTAGAGGCCATTGTAGTGTTATTAATTGGCCTAATTTCGACATCATTGTATCTCAGGGAGTAGGGAGACCTGAGGAAAGGGAGAGAGACAGGGGAACAGCCTGTTGGGAGAGCAGTCAGGACACACACAACATTTATTAAGTTCACTTATATTGGTGCAGTTTGTGGCACCCCACAATTAAAACAGTAACATCAGAGATCATTGATCATAGACCACCATAATGGATAAAATAATAATGAAAAAGTTTGAAATACTGCAAGAATTATTAAAGTGTAACCCAAAGACTCAAAGGGAGCACGTGCTTACTAAAAAAATGGCACCAGTAGATGCTCAATTCATGGTTGCCACAGACCTTGTGTAAACAGTGTAATGTCTGCGAAGCACAATAAAGTGCAATAAAATGAGAAATGCCTGTATATGTATATATATACATGACATATGCACACACCCACACACACAGTACAGGGTCTGACCTCTAGTAATGCCTAGTGATGTTAATTTGTATTATGTTAGTGCACGTTGAGCATCTCTAATCTAAAAATCAGAAAGCCCAAGTGCTTAAAAATTCAAAACTTTCTGAGCACTAACATGATGCTCAAAGGAAATATTCATTGGAGCAGCATTTCAGATTTCAGATTTTTTTGATTAGGGTAAGTATATAATGCAAATACTCCAAAATTTGAAGAAAAATCTGAAATCTAAAACACTTCTGGTCCCAAGCATTTCAGATAAAGGTTCGTCAACCTGTATTGCCAAAAAATATTGAGGTCTATTTTGTTTTATATCTCCTACCATATTAGTAGTAAACAAAGAAATCCCATTAAAAGGTATTTACCAAACATATTGTCATAAACTGAGGAGAACCCAAGAAAGGAGAGATGAAACTGAGATTCAAGCACTACTTCTCCTCTGAATTCTACAAAAGTTCAGACCTTGGGGACCCCAGACTCTATTGTTTACTCTGAAGTAGTAGTACTTTTCTCTATCCCAGCCAATGTGGTCTTTGGTCCTAAAACATCTTAAATTACTATCTCCTATTGGAGTTTCCTTTTACAGTGGAGAACACAGGCTCTTCAAAAGCTCAGAGATTGTAACAGTAGGGGTACTCACCCTAGCCTTACAGTAGCACTGGAAGAACTTTCATTCTGTCAGTACCTACACCCTTTGAGCTCTGAGAATGTAAAACTCAATCTTCAGACTCTGCCAGTCGGCATCTCGTTCCATTCCTTTCTCTACTCTGAGCTCTCCGAGAATCTGACTAGTTTTCTTCTTTTTACTTTGATGATTTCTCCTGTACCTTCTCTAACCTAATGATGGATCACACGGCCTCAGGCCCAACCTTCTCCCCTTTAAACCAAATTGTTTGGCTCAGCTTATCGTGGTGAGAGGATCTTAGCTTAGTCTGTAGGTAGTGGCTAAGTTAATGACAGCGGAGATGATTAAATGAGATTAGAACTGACCTTAGTCATGTCGGATTTTATAGCTAAGAACCACTGGATCCTTACTGTCATCTAGCGCTCTCCTTTCCTCTGTTGCTGTCCTCAACAACAGTTCCCCTTCTTTCCACCAAGTCACAAAAGGAGAAAATGAACGTGAGAGGCGGGAGTCTCTCTCAGTGTTTAAATGTCAAGTTAGTTACATTAGATTGCACAAGACGATGATGACATTTGGGTCAAGGATGTTACAGATGTCTGTGAAATGTTAAGATCAGACAAATGAGCCTGTGGTTTTATAATCTTTTCCATTTGATCTCTCTCAAGTTGGACCTGGTTGAAATCTGCAGTGAAAATTGGACCAGGTTGAAATTGGAGATTAAAAAAAGAGAAGGAAATATTTTTCTGAAGTTGATATACTAGTTCAGTTAAATGTGTTTATTATATCAAAATTACTTTTTTCTGACTTCATGTTTTATATGTCAAACAGAAAAACTAATCATGTTTTAGATGAGCATTTCAATAGAACTTTAATGTTCTGTGTCTACACTGTTCAGTATTATGGTAACCACTAACCACATGGCTACTAGATTGGACTGAATAGCTTTAGACCAAAGTATCCAAATGTGTTTCTGGGTCTTTTTTTTCAAGGTTCTACTTTTACGTTTGTGACAGGAATTAAAATCCAACTCTGCTCATTCCTGAGAGTGAATGTAAGGTAACATAGGTGAATTATTTCAGGTCTGACTATTGACTATAAAAATGTATAATAGTTACTCATTTTTTAAATAAATATTTCCTAAACAGTTTCTGTCTGGGCAAGTCATTTTCTGAGACTTGGTTTTCTTAACAGTAAAATCTTAGAAAAAGGCACTTTAATGCCCCTTCTACCTTCTTTTGAATTGAACAGAACCACATTTTCAAATTTTTTTGTTAACTGTGATTTGTACTCTATGATATTATTTGACCTCTGTTAAAGATGTTTGTTACTGCAGTATTTTGTGCCAACAAAAATTAGGCCATCTCTCCAAAGATGATATGTACGGAGCTTACCATTGTTTTCATTTTGTAGCTACCAGGTGCAGGGTACTAAAACATTTAAAGGTAGAAAATGCACCAATTGTAAACCGATTTGACTATGCACAGTGCAAGAAACTGAACATGGATCAGGTACTAGACCAGATACTAAGAATGCCACCCGAGAGAAACCGCATCATATACCTACGCCCAATGCAGCAGGTAACGAGCTTTGCTTCTTTCCGATGATACACATATTGTGGTGTTTTTCTTTTTCTTTTTCTTGTTAGTCTTTAGCCTTTTGGATTTGGCATTCATTCACTTGCCCAACCTACAGTAATGATATTTTAGTTTTTACAGGTTATGTATGATATAGGGAGTTGTTATTCAACAGGTTTTTATACTTATTAAAAGTTACCTGTGGTTTAAGAGCACAGTCTCTGGTTCAGACTGCCTGATTAAATTTCTGGCTGTCTGACCTGTAGCAGATTATTTGACTTCGATGTCTTAGTTTCTTCATCTGTAAAATTAGAATAATAATGATATACCCAGGATTATTGTGATATTTAATATATGTGAAACTCTAAAACATGTGCTAGTATATAGTAAGCCATCATATAACTACTGTTAGTGTCATTATCATTATTAAGAGTATATTGTATATAAGGTTCTGTGCTTAATGCCAAAAGAGGGTTTAAAGGAAATTTTAAATGCCTCTTTGTAATCAGTGTGTAAGCCTGGCCTCAAAAGAGTCAGTTCATCATATTGTCAAGTGTCTCAAAACTTAAAATATGCTGGGTGCAAATAAAAACACAACACATGATCCTTCCCTCAAGGAGTTTGCCTTCCCAAAAAGGAGACAAACACTTATGCCACGCAGATGGCCGAGTGAGATTTCATAACTAGAGATGGGGGAGGGTATGCCATGAGAAAAAAGCAATGTTATCAAAGGCTCCTAGAAGACAAGAAAATGCATTCTCTCTTAAAGACTGGGCAGCAGTCTCATTTGAATAGGGTATATGTTACTACACATTCACAGTTCTATAATGCAGTCAGTACTTAATAAAGGACATACACAGAAGTGGATTCTGAGTTGACTGACGTCATTTATCTCAATCAGGATTCTCTGGTTTAGTAGGCATTTAAATATAACAGTGAGATATAAATTGCCAAGTTCCCTAGACAGAAGAATTTGCAAAATTATTCCCAGCATGACAGACTGTTTTCAGGTCTGAATGTGACTATTTGATTTTCAAATCAGCCAGAGATTTCAAAACTGAAGGTCCATGGAAAGATTGTTCAAGCTCTCGGAGAGAGATTTCTAAGGCATTCTCTTTGTTGAAGACATCTCTTTATGATGTCTTCCACAGGTGGACACTCTAACTTTGGAGCAGAAGCTATTTAGTGGTCCCTACCCCTATCACATCTGTATTATCCATGAATTCAGTAACCCTCCCAATGTCCGGAATAAGGTGCGCATTCGCAGCTGGATGGACACTATAGCAAACATCAATCAGTAAGTAACTTTGTGGCCCTTAAAGGCCTTTTGAGTCATTTCTCATAGCAGGGACTCCCAGAAGCAAATCCCAATTTTTCTTTATTTTAAATGATTCCATCTAAGCTTTTCAAACAAGCTTATCCTGAAGTTAACGTAAGTAAGAAACTGAGGGAAATGAGGACTTAAAACTAAAAAGCATGTGTATATATTTATGATCTTTAAAACTCAGGTAAAAATTACAAGAACAGATTGCACATGTACTTGTAACATTATTTAGCCTTGGGGCATGAAAAAGAGATCAACTTGAAGAAGATCTTAAGACTATGATATTCTATATCATCAGAAAATTTGACTTTTATAAATTTGTTATATAAATGTTGCATTAAGCACCTTTTGTGTAGAAGACATATGCTTAGAAAGTGACTTTCTTTCCCTGATATGATTTTGAAGATAGTGAAGAAAGTAGTTTTGACCTGACTACACTTGGATTCTCTAGTTTGAGTGTATCCTACTTCCGTTAGGTATTTGATGTTTTGTTTGAGATGTTCGGTAGAATCTGTGTCCGAAACAGTTTTGATGGTTCCTTCCTACCCGACACTAATTATTTCCAGTTTTGTAATTTTTACTTAATTTTTCCTGTTGCTTCCAGAGAGCTCATTAAATATGAATTCTTCCCTGAAGCCACTCGAAGTGAAGAAGACTTAAAGAAATACCCCAAGTACCCCTGGGGGAGAGAAATCTATACTTTAGAAGGTGAGTATTTACAAATGTTTAGAAAGTTAAATAGCCTGTGCAGTACTTACCTCTGTAATCCCAGCGACTCAGGAGGCTGAGGTGGGAGGATCACTTGAGCCCAAGAGTTCAAGACCGGCCTGGGAAACAAAACCTGGCCCTTTCTCATTCACGGATGAATGAATGATCCATCAATCAATTAGTCAAACTGGTTTGGGCTTACAGCAAGCAGTAACCCAAATGTAGAGAATTACACTTTTTAAAAAAAGAAAGTTGAATAGCTATTAACTAGATGACCGAACATGCCTTAGGGAAGATATGAATGGGGGTCCTACAGTTCTTCAAAATATGGATGATTTTAATACCTGCAAGAAGTGGGAGCCAGATGAAGATTGCTTTGCCTGTATGAGTCTTTACTATTTCTAGGACAATCAGAACCAGTGATGAAACATAAAACGTAAACAGAAATTACAAATTAGTTTGATAGCTGGAAATGATTTGAGGACACCTGACTCACTCTCTTTATTTTATATTTTACATTCTGCTTACAAAATACTGCAGAATTTGGCTCTGTCAGCACTCCCACGCCAGTTAGCAATGTTACATTTGTCTTTTAGGTGTTGTGGATGGAGCTCCATATTCCATGATTTCTGACTTCCCTTGGCTGAGGTCATTACGAGCTGCAGAGCCCAACAGCTTCGCTCGATACGACTTTGAAGACGATGAAGAAAGTAATTATGACCTGACTTGACATCTATTCTCTAGTTTAAGTATAGCCTACTGTGTTACATACTTAATATCTTTTTGTGAGTTAGGAGCAGTGCAGTGTTAAATGGTTTCCCATAGAAATAATTTGTATTTACTCACTTCAAAACAGTTCTTTATTTGTGCAGTAGATGTTCAGTGGACTTACTAGGGATATATAAAGGCTGGTAGAAAGGATTCCTTTAGACAGATTTTCCTACAAGATTTTTATATTACCTAAATATTTATAATCTTATTTATTAAATAACTTCAACTATATTGTTTCAAAATTGTTCCAATTGTATTATTCTCCTGCTAGTTATGAGCTGCTTATTGTGTGGAAACTTATAATTTAGGTGTAGAAATTAGGGGAGAAATTTTTGAATGTAGTTTCTCTAAGTGGTAGCATACTTGAATATTTATTGTTAACCAAAGGTTTTTTAAAAATACTTTATAAGGAAATGGATTTTATGAACTACATGTGCATGTGTCTGACTTGCCTTTGGTGCAGTATTTTTACCTTGAGACTTTAAGCATGTATTCTGTCTTAGGCATCAAACATAAGAACAAACTGGTGGTGACCCATTCCTTGACCTATTCATGCATCAGTTACATTATAGTGCAGTATATGGGACTGTCCTATGGACCAGCTTATCAGTGATTTTCCAAATGATTCTGATTATCATATGTATCTCTCCTTTTATTTCTAATTTCAAAGGCACTATCTATGCTCCTAGAAGGAAAGGACAGCTGTCTGCAGACATCTGTATGGAAACAATAGGAGAGGAAATTTCAGAGATGCGTCAGATGAAGAAGGGTGTATTTCAGCGAGTAGTGGCAATTTTTATCCACTATTGTGATGTCAATGGAGAGCCAGTTGAAGATGACTACATTTAATTGGTCCCTCCTCCTTTCCAGCTATTTTGTCAGAAAGCAAGTAGGGCCATCCAGCTGCCAGAGTGCTCCACAGGGACTTGAGGCATGCAGTTGGGAGGTCCTGGCTCGGTTTGCTATATAGGGAATATATAAGGAACATCGAAATTGTATACAAAGATTTGTACATAAAAAATATACAAAGACGCTTCCTAAAGTACCAACTTTATATCATATGTTTATACAATTTAATTTAAAAATTCATTTTAAGGAAGACAGATAATTTGAAAGACTTTTGTTTTTCTTGACTTAATTCATGAAGTATCATTTTTTGACTGAGTCTCCATTTACTTCATTCTTAATGATTATTGTCATCCCTTTAAATCTGTGCCTTTTTCTTCTTGAGCGAAGCTGTTTGAGTAAACCTGTTGAAGAGTGTTTGTGTCTTTTGTGCTTTTTTGTTGTTATTAAAACACCAACTAAACCTTATAGTCAAGACAAGGCTCTATGTTTCTGTACAAAGCTGTAGTTCTTTCTTAGTATTATAGTTGCCATGTTTCTTAAAATCAAGTAAAAAGACTTATGAGCTTAAAAAAAAGTGAGTTTGAGAGGGAAATGGAAAAGTTTCCAGAGTATTTCTAGTAATTTATTTCCACATTGAATTGTGTATATGCTTTATCTTGAATATAAAATAAAAGTTTATTAAAAACTTTTCTCTTGCCTTGGACCTGAATCCCTCTTTTTAAAGAAGAGTAGCAAATACTGCACAGAAAAGCAGTGTATATATAGAGTTGTATCTAAGGTAAGATTCCAGTGTAATCCAATTTCTGATCTCTGAAAGTTTTTAGCTACAAGATGTTCAACTCACATAACTTTTTTTGTTTGTTTTTTTTGGTTTGGTTTTTTTTTTGAGATGGAGTTTCACTCTTGTTGCCCAGGCTGGAGTGCAATGGCATGATCTCGGCTCACTGCAACCTCTGCCTCCCAGGTTCGAGTGATGCTCCTGTCTCAGCCTCCGGAGTAGCTGGGATTATAGGCACCCGCCACTATGCCTAGCTAATTTTTGGTATTTTTTAGTAAAGGCAGGGTTTCACCATGTTGGCCAGGCTGGTCTGGAACTCCTGATCTCAGGTGATCTGCCTGCCTCAGCCTCCCAAAGTACTAGGATTACAGGCAGAGCTCTTTAAGGCAATACTGGGAACAGCAGAATTTTCCAAACTTCTTGTCATCAGGAGATGGCCTTTCTCCCCTTTCAAGGTGAGGAATTAATTGCCCTGATAAGGCAGTGATATACATAGTATTACAGTGTCAAGGGTCGTCAGCAAAAGCTTTAACACCTGCAGAGTCATGGCTTTGTCACTTGCCAGCCAAGTGACCTCAGCAAATTACTTAAACTGAAGGCCTGTGGAACATTTTTATAAATTTTCTCTAGACATGAAATTATGGTCAAAGGTGTAAAGTTTCTTTGAGATTTGTTCAGCCCCTTCATTTACAAGGGCTTAATTGAAGCCCAAGGGGGAAAATTGCTCACTCATAATTAGGACCTGTTTTTAGGCTAGGTAGGACAATAATCCCAATTTCTGATTCCCACTAGGCTGCCTCTGTTTTTCGTGACAGAAATACAAGGATGCCAGCAAGTTTTTCTAACACAAAATATTCCGCGTTAATCAGTGTCTTTCCTTAACGTTCTCTTTTTTTCCCAGGCTCTAAAAATTCTCATTACATTAGGAAGAGTGATTCAATTGGGTACTTCATTCTATTGTCTCCTTATTACATTATTTTTAACTCAGCTAACTTATAATTAGACAAGTGTGTTTCACTATACAGATTACAAGTGTGGTAAGAGGCAGGAAATACAGAATATCCTAGATATTTCAAAGTAATCTGGGATTCCCAACCCTGAGCGAAGACAATCTAACTCTAGGTTTTCACTGTAACCTGTTAACCAAATTATCTAAGTAATGCTTACATTAGCCACAAGAGGCCGCTGCTTTGTAATTTTTGGCTTAGTCATGTCTTTGTCTAACCTAACCTAAACTGTTAGATCAGTGGAAGTACAGCTGGCAGCGCTAAAATCATTCAAAAGTTGCTAAGACTGGAATAGCTGAAAAAAAATCTGGAAGATGCCAACTACGATAGTCACTCTGAATATATATATAATACGAAGGGCTGGAGAGTGATTGCTCTACAGCAAGGGTCAGCAAACTATATAGGTCCAAATGGTAAATATTTTAGGCTCAATGGGCCACATTCTCTGTGGCAACTGCACAACTATTGTGAAAGTCATAGACGATATAAACGAATGGGCATGGCTGTGTTGCAATAAAACTTTATGGACACAAATTTCAATTTCATGTAATTTTCACGTCACAAAATAAAACTTTTTCCACAGCCATTTACTAAAGTAAAACACCATCCTGAAGGCTCATAGACCAGATTTGGCCTCCAGGCCACGGTTTGGCCACACCTGCCATAGAGAACTGAGATATCCTATTCATTCATTTAATTATATCACCAGCTGTTGGTGCAGTGCAGTGCCTGGCACATTTTTTAAAGGCCTTAAAAATACTGCATGGATGATATATAACTTAATATCAGTGAGAGAATTGTGTCTCATTGCCAGGTGTGTAGGTCTAACAGTCTCCCTAAATAATAGCTAGTACCACAATTCTTACAGGGACTTCATATGTAGAATCTGAAGACCTGAGTTCAGTTTTTGACTTCCTCAAACAACTGATGGGAGAGCTGGAGATGGTTGGAACCCCTACCCTTCAGCCTCAGTTTTCTTTTCTGTCAAATGGTAACAACTAATAATATAACCACCCACCCCATAGGGCAGTGGTTAGTTTCCAATAGGAGCCGCCAGTAAACTGGACAGTGTGATGCCAGTGGAGGTAGTATTGCTTCCAGTATAATTTCTTTTATTATCAAAAGAAGTTTGGGTGTTGCCCAGGCTGGAGTGCAGTGGCACGATCTCAGCTTACTGCAACCTCTGCCTCCTGGTTCAAGCGATTCTCCTGCCTCAGCCTCTCAAGTAGTTGGGATTATAGGCACCCGCCACCATGCCAGGCTAATTTTTGTATTGTTAGTAGAGACGGGGTTTTGCCATGTTGACCAGTCTGGTCTTAGACTCCTGACCTCAGGTGATCCACCCGCTCGGCTTCCCAAAGTGATGGGATTACAAGCGTGAGCCACCGCGCCCAGCCAAGTTTGGTTTTGTTTGTTTTTTGTGGCGGGGGGGGCGGGGGGCGGGTGCTGTGTGGGGTTTTTTTGGACTCATCTTTCCATAACCTGTTCCTCATACCATATTCCAGGATAGTAGGAAACAGAACTGGTGAGGCTGTTGAGAAAGAGGAAATCATGACAGTATGAAAGCTAGCATTTTTAAAAGTGATCATTACTAAGTGCTTTCCATACCTCCTGCAATAACACTTTAAATGTATGATCAATATGTTCCTACTTTACTGGTGAGAAAACTCGGTTTTAGAAGGTTACATAACTTGCTCAAAAGCACACATCTAGGAATTGATGGGAGCAGGATGCTGTCAAAGGATGACATCCTGCAGGATGAGTCCAAAGCCTGTGCAACTTGGGCAGTTTCTTGGTCCTTCATAATGAGAGGAGGCCCATATAAGGGTGGGCCTGCCCTAATAGGGAACCTGCCAAGTCAACTTACTGCTGCCACTTAAATTGAAACCACTCCAGCTATGTTTAGCACAGTCCCAGAAAAACAGAGGCTGATTTTCTGATGCGGGAGATGTCCCATTTACACATGGGAGGCAGGTAGAATGCAAAAGAACACTGCAATCCATACAATGTCTATAGCAAGAAATGGATACGCAGCAGCTAAAAAAAACTATATGTGTTAATGTGAAATGATGTTTAGAGTACACTGTTGAAAACGCAAGTAGCAGATTATTATATACCAACATCATTTTATTTACATATAAGAAAAAAAGCCATATGTTATACATGTACATTTATACATATGTAAATGCATAGAAAATTACATTTGAATTACATAAGCCAAGTGAAAAAAGCATTTACTTCTGGGGAGGGGGGTAGCATTGAGTTGGAGTCAAGGGGTATTTTCTTGTATGTATTAATATATATAACAAATTTTTACAGTGGAAATGGATTGCATAAATACATCATTTATGTAACCTATTATTTATATAGTCTAAAAATGTATAATTTATATATTTAGAAATAAAATAAACTTAAGAAGGAAGCACTTTGTTAGAATTGAGAAATCTGAATGTTTTCAGTCCTCTGACTTCAGCCTCATATCAGCTCTTGTTCTTGGACAAATCACTTTCCCTGACAAAGTCTTTCCTCTTCTGTAAAATGAAGTCAACAATC
Source organism: Homo sapiens (assembly GCF_000001405.40). Classification (NCBI taxonomy): domain Eukaryota; kingdom Metazoa; phylum Chordata; class Mammalia; order Primates; family Hominidae; genus Homo; species Homo sapiens. The sequence continues at coordinate 148,446,486 of NC_000005.10, forward strand.
CCTCTTTATATACTGTTATGAGAGACTTAGAGATCTTATAAAAGTGCAGAGAAACTGCACAAAGCTTGCAATGGTAGGCTGATGCTTAATGAGACCAATGGGAGCATATCCAAATAGTGTTCCAGGTTCCGACCAAGAAATATGGGGAAGGCAAACTGCCTTTTTCAGGGGCCACTCCTACTATGAGCAGCCTCTCTGATGGCCTGGAATATAAAGGACCAATGCTTTCTTTGACTCACATCTTGTTCTCACAGTCTATTGCTGGTTATTCAGTAATCCCAGGTTGCTGAATACTAGACAGACTATAAAAGATCAGTGCAGAGGGCCTTTCCTGTTGATCAATAATTTACCAGAGTCTTCCATGGTTTAAAGATGGAAGTTGAGGCTCAGGGAGAGGAAGCAAGAGCAAAGGAAAACAAGAAAGCAAATGAGTGGCAGAGTTCAAACTGGAATAGGCATTCCAGAGTTCCTCTTCGGGTCCCAGGCTGATGTGGAAAGGAAAATTCTTAAGCAACATTGTTCATTGCTCTCTCCTAGCAGTGTCTAACAGGTGAAGGTGGAATACATACATCCCCATAATGACCACAGTTGCACATGCTTAGGACTGTGGGCCTCATTTAGAATAAGACTGCCTGGGTTTGCATTTCAAATCCACACTTCCCAGGTCTGCTACCTTGAGCTAGTCGCCAGATGTCTTAGCTGAGGTTTGCTCAGCTGTAAAGTGGGGGTAATTTTCATTCTAATCTTGTAAGGATTTCATAAGGATTAAATGAAATAGTTCATATAAAGCACTGACCACAATGCCTAGCAGAAAAAAAAAACTCATTAAATGTCAGTTTCTCTTATTGCTATTTTATTATTATTTTTATTAACAAAGATATAGATCTGGGGCAAACTGAAAGAAAAGGTAAAGAAGGAGAAACCTAATCTGAATCCACTGTAACAGTAGTTAAAAATGTATGCAGTTTCTTATCCCTTCTCTCCATGTTTCCAAAAGTGTAGAATGCAGCTTGTAGCTAAATCACAATAACTCCTAAAGCTTGGAAGCTTCTCTTTTGTAAATTCTCTTTTGACCCTCCCAATTAACTGAAAGAGCCCCAAGCAAGAGGTAGGGCATTTCTAACAACTCTCCAACATTCACTTGTCTCCCTTTTAAACACAGAAACAGAGGTTGCACTTTGATCACTGGCATCTAGTTAAAACTCATTAGCCTTTTTTTCTATTTTGAGTACTGATATAATGTTCCCTTCAAAAATAAATTTAGGTAAGTGAAAACTTGAATGGACTTAAATAAGGATATTAAATAGGTAACAGAACAGGCAGAACACATTTGATAAAAATCCTAACAGTGGCCCTCAGATGACCCATGTTGGAGCACTTACAACAATCGTACAAACTCAGAAATTATCTCTATTTTGTAGATGAGACAGGTGAAGTTAAGTGTTGGGTAAGGCCCAAAGCAATGCGTTGTTCATACTTAGGACTTCAAATCCATTCCTGAATTGTTTGACTTCAAACCAAATATTCAGCCTCAGTTTTCTAAATTAGATGGAAAAGAGATTACAAATTTTGGCCAGAAGAGGTAAATGCATTAGTCTTTTTTTCCTTCCTAGACTAGATGTTACAAGATTTTGACCACAGCAAAGTGAAGAGACAAAAAGAGAGGAGTGACAACGTTTTCTCACCAGAGAGATCCAATACCAAAGAGATAAGTGGGTAGACAGCACAGCACCAAGAAGACATTATTTTTGTTCTTGCTTGAAGACAATATTAAAGGCAGTGTAGTTATATCCACTCCCCAGCCCCTCCCTAGGTCCCCTCCCTCATCCACCCCATGCCCACCCCCGCCCCCCCACCACTCTCCAGCTAGACAGCAATTTGCATCAGGACAGAGCAAGTTAGCAGCACGAAGTGGAAATGTTGGCAAGACAAGAGGGTGGGGCCTCAGAAGGAAAAGGTTTTTTTACAAGCATATACTTGGGTATCAGTTTAAGAAGTTGGTTTTTATTTCTTTTGCTTTCTAGCAGTTAATGGTGAAGGCTAGAATGGTGCATCCCTCTCTGGTTTCAGAGCTGAAGAGTCTTGCAGCCTGGAGAGTCAAGTGGAGAGGAGGCACAGTGAACTTCCTTTGTCCCAGACATGGGGATAGTCTGCTTGTAGCATTTATCAACTCCAGTGATTGTCAAGGCCAATCTGTTAGATATGTCTGCAGCACATCATCCTCTTCCTCAGATGCTTCTCTTCTTGACACGGCAGGCTTCCTGGAAGAGGGTGGCCTTCTTAGAGAAGAGGGCAAGGTATACGTCTCCTCCTTCCTTGGATAAGCTATAAGTCTTCTCTTTCTGAGTCTTTCATACACATGCTAAATTACCTGGATTCCTAGACAAGGCTAGTAGCTGCTCACACAGAACAAGTCTGACCCTGTCCTGTAAATCACCAATGTTGGCATTTGAGGAATCACTCACAGCATCCCAGCCCTAGTCCAAAGTGGTAGCAAAGCAAGCTTGTAAGGCTCTCCTCTGCAAAGGAGACCAGTTTCTTGACAATGACAAGGAGTACTATTCTTGCAATTGCTGTCTTTCCCTGGTCCAGGGTGCCTGTGACCTCTACAGACACCAATCATGGGCTGGCTCACAAGCACATCTAGAGAGTTAAGAAGAGTCCTGTGATGTAGTGAGATCTCATTTTCCTCCCTATGTTGTAATCTTTGTGTCTCTATTGAATCCAAGTTCCCATTTAATATGGAAGACCTGCCACTGAGAAATAATATTTTACATAAGCAGATATGCTTACTAAGCTCCTGGGAAAGAAATATTTCATAAGGGAGAAATCCTACTGTAGTTATGTATATGTGTATGCATGTATGTATTAAGTAGTAGATCCTGCCAACAATGGTGGCATTAAACAAAAGTTTACCAGCTACCTCAAAGCACTATTATCTGGTTCTTATTATCCCTGTTTTAGTCCTTCCCTAAGAAATGCTTTGTTGTTGGAGGGGAAGAGAGCCATTTTCAGAAAGGAGAACTGTGGACTTCCAAATTCACTAATCTTTGCTTTTTCCATGAAAAAGAGAAGAAAGAGAATCCACTCTGAGGAGGGATGGGTATTAATCCTCAACACAGAGAGGTCCCATCAGTGTGGTGACCAACGTTCCTTAGTTTGCCCGGGACCATGGAATTTCCTGGGATAAGGGACTTGAATGTTAAAACCAGAAGGATGATCACCCTAGTCTCCTCTGTGGTGTCTGACTATCCCTTCTCACCATACCTGGGCACAGAAAGAAAAGAGAGGGCTGGCTAATGGGTTCTACCTTCATGGAAGAAATAAGGGTTAAGGAGGCAATTGTGGCATCTGATATCAGTTAGGAAGAAGAAGGATCAATAGACCAAGTAGAAGGGCAAAGAAAACTTGTGAGGTTTAAACTCCTGGCACATCTTTATCTTGCTGTTAAACTCCTGGCACGTCCTCAATCAGAAGTGTGTTACATATCAACCTCAACATCGCCCACATGCCCTGTTCCCTTTGTCTCACTAAGGGAGGACCAGTAATAAATCCTTTCAATAGGGTTTTAAAAAATCAGCTCAGCAGCCGAAAGAAAGGCAGTTTTAAAAATTTGCCCTCAGACCCTCAAGCTGAGTATATAATTTACCCCAAGATGAAGGAAGATGGTGATTGCTTTGACTGAGAAAAAGAAGCATCTCCATAGGTATTTCGAGAGGATAAGATGCTGATAAATGTGAAGAAAAGTCAGTTTCCCTCCCAGACTCTGGGTTGTAAGGTCATTCTCAATCAACATTCTCAGGAAAGAAGTAAGATCCTTTTCCCATTGCCATAGAAATGAAATGAATTCCTAATGACCTCAACATAAATATGCCAATAAGAAAATGCCAACTTTAAACACACATATGTGCATGCACGCACACACATCAGACAAGCTGCAAAGATGCCTTTTAGTAATGGCTCTGAAGCCAAAACCTAGGCAGAATCTCCAAAACCTATTCCCAAGTAGGAAAAGGAGGAAAATATTCATGGCTATAAGCCAAAAATCTTGACACTTCACTTGTCACTATGTCAATGCTTCTAGATAGACATATTGGCATTGATATCAACCTAACTTTATTAGAAGAACCATGATTAATTCACCCACCAAAGCATGTCCAGAAGAAGATGGCCACAATGGAGAGGAAACTTGAGATGTTTCAGTTTATAAAAAAAACTGAAAGGCATGGTGACAGATTACTCTCTTCCAGTATTTAAGGGCTGTCACGGGAAAGTGGGGCCTAACTGCATGGAAGTTGGAGCAGCAACAGGTTTGTGTTCCAAGAAAGGAAAGAAATTCCTTATAATGAGAGCTTCTCCAAAATAAAAGGGCCTGAATTAGGAGGTAGTGAGCTCCTGTCCCTGGAGGTGTATAAGCAGAGAATGACCAACTTTCAGGGATGCAATAGAAGATGCTACTCCTGCTTTGCGTGGGAGGCTGAATCTGACAATGCCTGAAGTTTCTTCACAACTCTGAGACCCTCAAGGCTCTGGCCTCAGCTACCCCCCAACACTGTCCTCCATGTACCTCCTCTGGGCTCTCAGCCCCTACTACCTGATGCCTCACTGGTGGTGATGAGGTTCAGAAGTGATGCCAGGGTGACCTGTTCATGCAAACATGAATGCGAATGAATGGCTAAGTTGTGAGCCATGTCCTCAATCAGAAGCATGATTCCAGGGATTCTGGGTCATTGTGTATGGGCAGTTTCTCGAGTTCCTGATGATGTCCCCTGTGCAGAACGGTGTACCTAGAAAGGAAGGAAAGAAGGCATGAGAATTCAACAGGCATGCTCCAACTGCACCGAAGTCAAGAGCACTCCTTCTACTCTTGACTTCCTTTCTTTGCATACTTCTGAGGGTATGGTGAAGTGGGAGTGGGGATGGGGTGATACTTCATAGAGATAGAAAACCAAATGAACTGCACCCAGATTACTCATATTAAATGTGGAGAAACAGTCCTGGAGGAAACGACAGGCCTAGGAGTGCATAGGGGGTAAGTGGCAGAGCTGGGACAAGAACCCAGATTTCTTACTGCCAACAAAGCCTGGGGTTCTTGTGTCACTCATCAGAATGAACCCTATGTACCACCTCAAGCTGTACCTGAATATGCTATGTCCTATCTACCAGGGATAGTTTTGGGTTCTGACTGCTGATTGAGATGAATAAACCACTCAGAGCCTGAAATACAATGTAACTGTATTTGTTACTTTCATTCCTTTTGGTGCCATTTGGAACAGTAAATCAATTAGATGAATCAAACAGCAAGTTGACACTAAGCATCACAGTGAAATTTACTACTTGACAAGTGTTTATTATTTTTCTGCCGTATCATACAATTGCACTCAATATCTTAATTGCCTTTAAATGCATCTCAATTGCAGGCGAGTCTCATCATCAGTTACCCAGATTCCAGCATCTGGCAGCCATTCCTATGAAATTTCTACAGATTTTAGAAGCATGTTCACCACTCATTTCTCTGAGGCCAGTGTCAAGCACTTTCAGTGAGACAAACAAACAAATACCATTCAGCTATTTGGCATCATATGTTGACAAAACAACTTGGTGGTAGTTTCTCATGACTTACATTGATGCTTTGCTTTGAATTACAATAATTTATTGTTGATTTGTATTGACAAATTGGTTTGTACTAAGCCCTCTCCATAAATTACTTTATTTAATCCCCATAATTGCCTATTAGATAGTATCATTTTCATTTTACATGTGAGCAAAATAACGCATAGTCAAGTTTAGTGATGCCCATGGGAATATAGGTCATACATGAAGACACATCCAATCAAACCCACTCTAGCTCATGCCAATACCCATGTGTTTAACTGGTTCTCACAAAGCCCATGGACTAGGTATAAGTCTAGAAAAGTGGTTCTCAGCAGAGAGCATTTTGTGCCCCAGGGGCCATTTTGGAAGCATTTTTGGTTGTCACTGAAGAGGTAGCTCTACTGGCACCTAGCGGGTAGGGACCGGGGATGCTGATCAGTGTTGTACGATACATAGCACAGCCTCCCACAACAAAGAATTATCTGGCCCAAAATGTCAACAGTGCCAGGATTGAGAAACCCTAATCTAGAATAACTAGTCCCTTTAGCTGGCTAGAAGCAGGTGTTGATTGAAGAACAGGGCCTCAGTGAAGGGCATGAGTCCGAGTTCTCACAGAACCGTCCACCGCAGCTGTTGTTGAGAGAGAGCTAAGCCAAGGGGATGTGACATACAGAACCAAAGCATCTGCTACTACTTGCCAGATAGGTCAGTGTTAAGAAGAATAAAATGGGAAAAGAGATAGAAAGGGCCAGATCAGCCACTATTAACTAGGGTGGCCAGGAAATGTCCCAGTGAGATATGCAAGACCTTAGGGAAGCTAGAGTCCCAGCTAGTGAGTCGTAGATGCTCAGCCTCCAAACCATGCCTTGCGTACTTGGCTTTGCCATTCTGCAAACCAAATGTCTGCTTTGTTGGCTGGCTTCTTGTGCAGCTCCATGAACACAGGGTGTCACAGGGGAGTGGAAGCTGGAGGAAGGAAAGGGGCTCGCTCCTGTGAGCTTTCTGTCTGCTGTGGTTCCTATATACGTCATTCCTGGAATGCTTCTTTACCCCTCAGAGGCAGTGCTTTTCCGGAGCAGCAGCTGAGTCCAGGTTAGTCTTTCTAACTCTTGCAGAACCAGCCTTACAGCAGCCCCTCAGAAACATCAGGTTCATCTGGACAGTCCCTCTTTCTCAAAGGTCTAAATTTCTGCTCAGTAGGGTCCCTATTCTAAGTGTCTAAGTTTTTGTGATTATTTTATCTATTTTCTCAGCCCTAGAGCTAGTAGTTGCTCCCTGCAGTTGCTAACTCCATAATACTGCAGAGCATTCTTTCAGTGTTAACGACTATATGCCTAGTTAGCAATATTTTATGTTAAAATGGTGTTTAAATACTCAGGCCGTTTCTGTCTCCTGACTGAGCCCTGTGAGATATAGTGAGAAACTGAGGCATGTGCCTATCTGGGAAAATAACATTCTAGGTAGAGGGAACAGCAGATGCAAAGGTCCTGAGGTTCGATCCTGCCTGGCATATCTGAAGAACCTCAAGGATGCAGCTGGTTGAGGCAGAAAGAGTAAGGGGAGGAATGAAAGGAGTTGACGTCAGCAAGGCAGCCAGGGCCAAGTGGGCGGGGGTGGGCTTGAAAATCCCTATAAGGCTCTGGCTTTTACTACATGTGAGGGGTCTGAGCAGAGCACCAACATGGTCTGAATGGCCTCTCAGCAGACTCCCTCTGGATGCTCTATTGTGAATATATGGGATGGAGGTAAGGTGTGGACAGTGAGACCAATTAGGAGTTTACAGCAATAATCCAGGTGAGAGAAGACAGTGACTTGGTCCAGGAAGTAGCTGTAAAGGTGGTGAGGAATGGTCAGACTCTGGATATAGAAATATAACTCCCAGTAGCCATTGTCTGATGTATTTAATTCTGCAAAAGGTTTAGCCTTCACAACTTTTCTCAGGCCCTGTCATGTGTGGTTATTTCCCTTTGCCTTGTCTTGTCAGCTAGAGGGCTGCGTTATGCAGAATAGTAACCATGACCCTCACTTGAGTCAAGCAAACCTAGTTCCCATTCAGGCTCTACCACTTGCCAGCTTTGTGACATTTGACAACTTATTTAATCTCTCTATGCATCACTTTCTATACCTCTGTAACTGAGGTTAATGATACCTACCACATAGCTTTGCTCTGTGGATTAAATAACATAATGTAAGAAAAACATTAACACAGAGTCTGCCACATAGTAGAAGCTCAATATGTTGAAGCTAAAATTATTTTTTTTACTTTTTAATCTTAATTTTACTATTTTATTGAGATTAAAAAGTACCACTTACCAACTTTGTGACATTTGGCAAGTTATTTAATCTCTCTATACCTCACTTTGCTCCTCTGCATTGAATGAAGAGTATGTAATGATAATGATGATAATGATAATGATGATGATGATGTACACATAGCCTTAATGGCTTAGAAATATTTTTCTCTTTTATTTCCTTTTTGGATGAAACTTAACTGGCCTCAAGATATAGAAGCCTCCCTGACTTTGCCTTTCCCTTCTCCCTTATCAGAATCACAAAGCCCTCTTTTGGCAAATATGCGTACTAAAGCAACACCAATTGATTTCCCTATCAACAGACTCCTTTTATAATCACAGTTGCTCTGCAGGCCAGGCAAGGCAGGTGATAAGACTGGTATTATACAGAGGCGAGAAGTGAGGCTCATAGCAGCTGAGTGAGTCTCCTGAGTGTCATGACGGGTGAGCGCAGGCCTGGCCAGGACCAAGGTCAGGAACCCCTTCCCCATTGCTCTTGCCCCTGAGCAGCATTGCTTAATGACTTATGTATGAGTCTTCAAACAAGGGCTCAGGACCAAACAGCCCTAGGAAATGGGGCTACGCTTTAGTATCTGAGGTGCAGGGATATCCCTGAAGTGGATGTTTGTGCAGGAGAAAACTGAATGACAATACTAAGAAATCATACACAGCTCAATTTATTAAGACATTAGGATGTGTGCCAGGTACCATTTTTGGAAGTTACATACCTTATTTCATGTATACAATTTACTTTTTATACTCACTAAGTGGCAGGTGCTCTACTTAGACTGTTCTTACAGATTAGAAAACTGAGGCTCAGAGCAGTTACGCAGTTTATCTAAGGTTACAACATGCATGGTGCCCGTACCCTTAACCTCAGAACACACTCCTGAACCTTTGCCCTGTTCTATGGCTAATAGATCACTTTCACTGGCAAGCAATGACACCTTCTCCTACACTGAGTTCGCATGAAAAAGGTATCCTAGTTGAGAAGGCAACCAGACATCTGTGACCACGTAAAAAGATGTACTGCCGTGGAATGCAGGCAACCTCTACAGCAGCCTGCTTTTCACACGTCTCTCCTCATAAGCATCTGTTTCTCATGTGCTAATGAGTCACTTGTCAGGAATAACTAGAAAAGAAGTGTGGGAATGGAGTGGATATTCCAAATGGAGTTTCCCTTTCTCCAGAGGGCAGTTGAAAGGCAACAGCTCTCTGTGGATATGAGAGTAAGCAGATGGGCACGTTTTCCAGTTACAGTTGATCGTTGAACAGTGTAGGAGTTAGGGTTGCTGATCCCCTGTGCAGTTGAAAAATCTGCATATAAGTTTTGATTCCCCCAAAACTTAAATACTGGTAGTTTACTGTTGACTGAAAGCCTTACTGATAACATAGTCAGTTAATGCATATTTTGTACTTATAATAAAGTAAGCTACAGAAAATGTTATTAAGAAAATCATAAATAAGAGAGCATATATTTACTATTTGTAATGTGGAAGTGGACCATCATAAAAGTCGTCATCCTCAGCATCTTCACACTGAGGAGGCTGAGGAGGAGGAGGATGAAGAGGGGGGTTGGTCTTCCTGTCTCAGGGGTGGCAGAGGCTGAAGAAAATCCATGCGTAAGTGGACCCAGACGGTTCAAACCCACGTTGTTCAAGGCTCAACTGTACAACATTTGAGTGGTTCCTCTCACCATGGTATGGTGACTGATAGACACAGGAAGGAGGAACTAGTCCAAGCTTTCCTTGGCAGGAGTCTAGCAGAGGACAGCACATCCCAACTGGAGTCTGGCTTATAAAGACATACCCTGGGTTTGAGTATTCCCAAGTCTGCATGATTCAAGCATATATTTTTAAGTTGGTATTTTCACTTTGGTAATAAATAAATAATAGGAGCAGATCTGGGGTCATCTGGTTGGCCACCTTATAAACTTACATTGCCTTGTGAATTCAGAGCTCACAGTTGCGTTCATGTACACACCGCTGTTGCTGGCTAACTTTATGCACTGTCTCTAACTGGAGGGTGCAAACCTCCAGCAGTCTGTAGGCCCATTCATGGGGATCTAAACATCCTCAATTTGGGAAATATTGAGAGAAAAGAAAGCACAGGGTACTGCAGGCAAACCGAATAGCATTCAAATCCCAAATTACCATCTACTAGTTATGAGGCATGGTCAAATAAGTTACTCCCACCTCCTTGACACCTTTGTTGTGAAAGTGAACATCTACAAATGCCTTAACAGAAGGGCTGGGCACACAATGGATGCAGTAATCTTCACTGGTAAGTAAGACGAGATTCAGAAAATGTGAGTTTCCTAGGCTCAAAGAAATAAATAAATCCGGAATCATTAAGAATACAGGTTCTTGAGGCAGAATGCCTTGGTTCAAATCCTGGCTCTGCCATTTACTAATTCTGTGAATTATCACAAATGTTCTGGCTTGTTGTAGACATTAAATGAGATAATGCACATATAATGTTTATTGGAATAGTGCCAGCCAAAAAGTATTGCTCTTATCTGATGATTGAGGTAGAACTTGAACTCAGTACAAAATTCCCAATTCAGTGCAGAAATCCTTTCCTCAGTAACTGAACAAACGTTTATTCACTTGTTAATTGATCACAGAGCTAAGGAAACCTTAACCCTGTGATCAATTAAGGTCACTTAGAGCAGCTTGGATTTGGGAACTAGTAGTACAATAATAGCCCCCCTCTGCCTGCCTAGCCTGGCATTATCTGTAAATGGCTTTACAAATTAACAGCTCTGGAAAGAGACAATCATCTGTCAGAGTGGCAAAAGTCTCCCTGTTCCATTTGGTGCGAGATCTTACTTGCCTTCTCACAGCTGCTTTGGTGGTAAGACAACTCTAGATGAGTGGGTATACCTGGGCAGTTTCACATCTAATTAAAAAACACTGCTGTTTCTCAAGCAACAGCAATGCAAGCGACAACTCCCTTCAAGCTGGGTTGCTTCCCCCATTTGCATTAATTTACTCAAACATGACGGGAGCCACATTAGATTTGGTAATTACCTGAGTCTACAATTCATTCACTGAGCAATTAGCATCGCACTTAGAGCAGCCTGGATGTGGTAATTAGTAGCGTAATAATAGCCCCCTCTGCCTGCCCAGGCTGGTATTATCAGGAAATGATTAGACTTTATTATACATCACCCCAGCCTTCTCCTGCAAGGCAGTGTTCACAAAGACTGGGTGAGGAGGGAGGTTTGCTAGATGTTTTAATCATCAAAATATATTATATATTAATATATATTTAATATATCATTAAAATATATTTTAATATATCATTAAAATATATTTTGATATATCATTAAAATATATTTTGATATATCATTAAAATATATTTTGGTATATCATTAAAATATATTTTGGTATATCATTAAAATATATTTTGACATATCATTAAAATATCATATATTTTGATATATCATTAAAATATATATTTTGTTATATCATTAAAATATCATATATTTTGATATATCATTAAAATATTAAAATATATTATATTTTAATATATATTTAATATATCATTAAAATATATTATATTTTAAGATATATTAAATATATATTAAAATATAATATATTTTAATGATATATTTAATATATCTTAAGATATATTAAATATTAAATTAAGATATATTTAATATATATTAAAATATATTATATTTTAAGATCTATTTAATAGATCTTAAAATATATTATATTTTAATATCTATTAAATAGATCTTAAAATATAATATATTTTAATATCTATTTAATATATCATTAAAATATATTATATTTTAATATCTATTTAATATATCATTAAAATATAAAGTGCCTTGGTTTAAAGAGATTCAACCCTAAGGCAGTTTCACAAAAGCCAGAGCTCTGTTAGCTGGAAACAAAGATTTTACAGTTGGTATTTTTTCCATGAACACAAATCCTAGACATTTATTCATCCAGCCACTTATTTACTAAAATTTTTTTTTTTGATTGCTTACAACAGTCCAGGCACAGTGCCATGCCTTGGACATATCAGAGTGGAGACACAGTCCCTGTCCTCATGGAGCTAGCAGTGTAGTGTGAGAGACCACAGCCAGCTATAAGATTATAGCTACAAGTAGTGTCAGGAGTGAGAGGTATTTGGTGATGCTATGAGAGCATGTCAGAGGGGGGATGAGATCTCGGTTAGTGTGTCAGGGTTCTGTCACTGAGGAAGCGACAGGAGATGAGAACTGAAAATTGAGTAGGGGCTCACCAAGCCAGGGTGGGGAGGATGCAGGCAAAAGGACCAGCAAGAGCAAAGGCCCACAGTCCTGGGGGCAGGCCCATGTGGTGAGAGGGGAACAAAGTAGGCATCAGCCTAAGATGAGGGCACAAAGTCAGCAGGGACCCACCACACTAAGGACTGTTGTCCTCGTCCTAAAAGCAATAGGATGGCAGCCAAGTTCATGAGCAGGGGAGGTTCCTGAAGATTTTATGTTTTTAATGAACATTCTGGCTGTGGTGTGTTGAATGGACTAGAGTGAGGTTGGAGTGAAAACCCAGGGGTAAATTAGGAGGTGTATTAGCTTCCTGTTGCTACTGCAACAAATTACCACAAACTTAGTAGCTTCAGGTAACACAAATTTATTATCTCGCATTTCTGGAGCTTAGAAGTCCTGTATGTTGGTATCAGTGGAGGTATTGAGATGTAGTTGGATTCAGGATATAGCTTCAAGGTAGAGCTGACAGGATCTGCTGATGCATTGACTGTAGGGGCAGTGAGGACATTCCAGGCATGGGCATGGAGTTGGCATGACTGTAATTGATAGACTGTTAGAGACTCTGAGTGGACAAGTATATGAGAGATAAGAACTCGAGGGGGGAGGGCAATAATAGGGGACCTCTCAATTTTGTGAGTTTCACCTTCAGGAACTCAACCAGATTTCACTGTAAATATCTGAGAAGAATCCCCTCATGCTTCTGACAGGGAGGAGGGAAGTAATTATTTTGAAATATTCCAGAGCATTCTGTTCTTAATGAGGTCTGCCTTCAGGAGAAATATGTAGCAAGCCTAACCTATGAGAATTTTATCTAGCCCAGCTGACCTTGGGGGAAGGGAAATATCCAACTCCAGCCCCCTTAAGCCACCCAAGAACCAAAGGGGGTGACAAACTAAGAAGCACGTGTGAAGTTCACTCACAGCCCAGAAGCACAGGATCTCTAGAAGACAGAGAACTAATCACAGGACTACAAACCATTCCCCTCCCCGCATACCTTAACACCATATGGGTAAATAGTGTGCCTGTTTACTAAAGTGTCTTTACCAAAGACATCATGTGTAGCTATCAAGAAAAAATTACAAGGCATAGTAAATGGCAAAAAACAAAACCAAACCAAAACAAACAAACAAAAAAAACCACACAGTTGGAGAGGCCAGCTTAAGCATCAGAACCAGAATCAGATATGGAAGGGACATTGGAATTATCAGACTGGGAACTTAAAACAACTGTGATTAATATGCTAAGGGTCTAATGGAAAAAGTAGATGACATGCAAGAACAGATGAGTAACGTAAGCAATGAGATGGAAATTCTGAGAAAGAACCAAGTAGAAATGTTAAAGGTCAAAAACACTGCTGCAAAAATGAAGACTGCCTTTGATGGACTTATTAGTAGACTAGACATGGTTGAGAAAAGAATCTGTGAGCTTTAGGATATCTCAATAGAAACCTCCAAAATTGAAAATAAAAAAAAGACAGAAAAAAAATACAGAGCACAGTTTCCAAGAACTATGGGACAACTAAAAAAAAAAGTGCACCACAAGTATACAAGAAAAAGAAAATAGAAAGAAACAGAAGAAATATTTCATGGAGAATAAATAATCATGGAGAATTTCCCTGCAAATGAATGTCAGATGCCAAACTATAGATCCAGGAAGCTCAGAGAATACCAAGCAGGATAAATGCCAACAAAATTACAACCAGGCATTTCATTTTCCAACTAAAGAAAATCAAAGATAAAAAATTCTGACAAAAAGCCAGAGTGGAAAAATACTTATAGAGGAGCAAAGATAAAAATTACATCCAACTTCTCAGAAACCGTGCAAGAAAGAAAAGAGTAGAGTGAAATGTTTAAAGTGTTGAGAGGAAAAAAAAATGGCAACCTGGAATTCCAACCCTGTGAAATTATCCTCCAAAAGTAAAGGAGAAATAAGAACTTTCTGGGACAAAAAGAAATTGAGGGAATTTGTTGCCAGTATACCTGCCTTGCAAAAGGAAAAAATCTTCACAGACATTATTTAGATGGAAGGAAAATAAATAGGCCAGATTCTCAGTTTTACATAGAAAAAGGAAGAGCATCAGAGAAGGAATAAGTGAAGTAAAATAATAGCTTTTATTTTTCTTATTCTTAATTGCTCAGGTAGATAACAGATTGTTCAAAATAATAATAGCAATAATGTATTAATTATGCATGCTTTTATGCTCCTCAATGGAGTTACATCCTGATAAATCCATCATAAAGTTGAAAAATTGTTAAGTTGGACCATCATAAGTTGGTGACTATCTGTACATATGTTTATGTGTAAATGAAATGAATGACAGCAATGAAATAAGGGATGAGAAGAGGAATTATGATTATTTTGTCATTATAAGGTATTTGTACTACCAAAAAGTTGTATAGTATCATTTGAAAGTGGACTTGGATTAGTTATTAAATATGTTTTCCCAACTCTAGGGCAACCACTAAAAAAAGTAAAAATAGAAGTTAAACTGATATGATAGAAAAGATAGAAAATAGAATAATATAAAATGCTTATTTAAAACCACAAAAGGTAGAAAAAGGGTAGAAGGCAAAAATAAGAACAAAGAACGAGGGCAACAAATAGAAGACAAAAAATTAATTTAGCTTTTTTAAGAATCACTTTGAATGATAATTGGCCTAAATACACCAATTAAAGGACAGAGATTGTCAAAATCGATCAGAAGTAAGACCAAACTATATGTTGTCTACAAGAAACCCACTTTAAATTTAAAGACATATAGATTAAGAGTAAATGGATGGAGAAATATATACCAAGGTAATATTAATCAAAAGAAAATGAGAGCAGTTATATTAATTTTAAACAGAACACACTTCAGAGCAAGAAAAGTTATCAGAGATAAAGAGGTGCATTACGTAATAATAAAGGTGTCAGTTCTCCAAGAAGACATAATAATCCTTAACACTGCATACACATAAGAACAGAACACCAAAATACAGGAGGCAAAAACTAAGAAGTGCAAGGAGAAATAGATAAATTCACGATTATAGCTGCAGACTTCAACACTTCTCTATCATAAATGAACAGATACAGAAGGCAGAAAATTAGTTAAGGGCATAATTGAACTCAACAGTACTATGAATCAGTAAAATTTATATCAATAGACTACTTTACCTAACGATGCCAGGATAGACATTCTTCTTAAGTTCATATGGAACATTTACCAATATATTACACATTCTACATAAAACTTACCTTAACAAATGTAAAAGAATAGAAATTACACAATGTCTGCTCTCAGGCCACAGTGGAATTAAAGTAGAAATCTATAACAGAAAGATAGGTGGAAAATTCTGAAATACTTGGAGATTCAGCAACACACTTCTAAATAACATATGGATCAAAAAAGAAATCTCAAAATAAGTTATAAAATATTTTGGACTAAATGAAGAAAGATCTAAAATCAGTGATTTAAGTTTCTAATTTAGGAAGTTAGAAAAAGAAGAGGAAACTAAATTCAAAGTAAGTAGAATGAAATAATAAAAATTAAGGGAGAATTCAGTGAAATTGAAAATAAGAAATTCATAGAGAAAATCAATAAAACAAAAAGCTAGTTCTTTGAAAACAATAAAATTGATACATCTCTAGCCAGTCTAAACAGAAATGAAGAGAGAGAGAAAGAACAAAAATTATTAACATAAGAAATGAAAGAAGCGACATCACTATAGACACCATGGGCATTAAAGGGATAGTCAAGAATAATCAAGTACTACAAAATATGCCCACAAATTTGATAACCTTGATGAAATTGACCAATTCCTTGAAAGACACATTCTGCTAATACACAAGAAGAAATAGACAATATGAATAAGCTTATATATATATTAAAGAAATTGAATAAAAATTAATAACCTTTCAAAACAGAAAGTACCAGGCTGAGATGGGTTCACTGGTGAATTCTGCCAAACATAGAAGGAAGAAATTATACCAATTCTCTAAATCTGTTTTAGAAGATACAAGCAGAGAGAATACTTTCTGACTCATTCTATGAGCATTATCCTGTACCAAAACCAAAGACATTACAAAAAAACAAAAAACCCTATAAATCAATACCTCTTGTGAACATAGATGCAAAAATCATCAACAAGATATTAGCAAATCAAGTCTAACAATGTATACACAGAATTGCCCACCCAACTAAGTGGAATTTATCTCAGGTATGTAGGGCAAATACAACTTTTGAAAATCAATTAAGTAATCCATCATATCAATAGGCTAAAAAAGAAAAATCACATGATTATATTAATAAATGCATAAAAAACATTTGACAAAGTGTAACCTCAATTCATGATTTAAAAAGCTCTCGGTAAACTAAGACTAGAGGAGAACTTTATTAATTTGATATCGAAAATCTACACAAAACCCACAGCTAAAACCAGGCTTAATGGTGAGAAACTCAATTATTTCCCCTAAGATCAGAAAGAAGTCAAGGATGTCCGCTGTCACCACTGCTTTTGCTTTGCTTTGCTTTTCATTTCTTTTTTTTTCTTTTTTTTTTTTTTTTTTTTTTTTTGAGACGGAGTCTCACTCTGTTGTCCAGGTTAGAGTGCAGTGGTACAATCTTGGCTCACTGCAACTTCCATCTCCCGGGTTCAAGCAATTCTCTTGCCTCAGCCTCCCAAGTAGATGGGACTACAGGCATGCACCACCATGCCCAGCTATTTTTGTTTTTTTTTGTATTTTTAGTAGAGATGGGGTTTCACCACGTTGGCCAGGATGGTCTCCATCTCCTGACCTCGTGATCCACCCAGCTCGACCTCCCAAGGTGATGGGATTACAGGCATGAGCCACCACACCTGGCCTGCTTTTCAAGTTTGTACTGGAATGTTGTAAAATTGTAAAATATGTACAAGATTTATATGAAGAAAAGTACAAAACTCTGATGAAAAATATCAAATACGAACATAAATGGAGATATATTCCATGCTCATGGATAGAAAGGCTAAATATTGTCAAGATGTCAAGGCTTATAATTGATTTATAGATCTAATGCATTTCCAATCAAAATCTCAGTGAGGTTTTTTTTTTTTGTTTGTTTTTTAACAAAGAATAACTAATTCTAAAGTTTATATGAAGAGACAAAGACCCAGAACAGCCAACACAATATTGAAGGAGGAGAATAAAGTCAGAGGACTGATACTACCCAACTTCAAGACTTAATATAAAACTGCAGTAAATGAAGCAGTATAGTTTGGCCAAAGAATAGACAAAGAGATCAGTGAAACAGTATAGAGAGCCCAGAAGCAGACCAAGGTAGATATAGTCAACTTATCTTTGACAAAGAAGCACAGGCAATACAAGGAAGAAAAGATAGTCTTGTCAACACATAGTGGTAGAACAACTGGACATTGACATGCAAAAAAAAAAAAAAAAAAGAATCTAGACACAGACCTTATATCTTGCAGAAAAATTAACTCAAAATGCATCATAGAGCTAAATATAAAATAAAAACCATGACAATTCTAGAAGATAGCTTAGGAAAAAATCTAGACAACTGTTGGTTTGGTGACAACTTTTCAGATATAACACCAAACGTACAATTCATGAAAGAAATAATTGATGAGGTAGACTTTATTAAAATTAAAAATTTTGCTCTTTGAGGTTAAGAGAATGATAAAGCAAGACATAGACTGGGAAAAAATATTTGCAAAAGACATACCTGATACCAAAGGCATACTATTATCCAAAATATACAAAGAACTCTTAAATTTCAATAATGACAAAATGAACAACCTAATTTTAAAAATGGGCCAAAGACCTTAACAGACATCTCATCAAAGAAGATATTTAGATGGCAAATAAGCAAATGAAAAGATGCTGCACATATATCATCAGGGAATTGCAGATGGAGATGAGACACCACTACAAACCTATAAAAATAATCAAAATTCATCATACTGATAGCATCAAATGCTAGCAAGAATGAGGAGCAACAGTAATTCATACAAAATTGGTTGGAATGCAAAATGGTTTAGCCACTTTGGAACACAGTTTGTCTGTCTTTTTACAAAACTAAACATATTGTTATCATACAATCCAGCAATTGAGCTTCTTGGTATTTACACCAAGGAGTTGAAAATGTTGATGCAAAAACCTGCACACATGTATACAGGAGCTTTATTTGTAATTGCTAAAACTGGAAAGCAACCGAGAAATTTTTAGTAGGTGAATGGATAAATTGTAGTGCTTCTGACAACGGAATATTATACTGTGCCAAATCGAAATGAGCTATCAAACCATGAACAGACATGGAGGAATCTTAAATGCATATACTAAGTGAAAGAAGCCAATCTGAAAAGTTTATGCACTGTATTATTTCAAAAATATGACATTCTGGAAAAGGTAAAACTATGGAGAAAATAAAAAGATCAATTGTTGCCAGAGGTTGGGGTGGGGGAGGAGGAGGAAGAGATAAACACGCAGAGCACAGAGGATTTTTAGGGCAATAAAATTATTCTGTAAAATACCACAATGGCAGATACATGTCATTATGTGTTTGTCCAAGCCCACAGAATGTACAGTACTAAGAATGAACTCTAATGTAAACTATGGACTCAGGGTGATAATAATGTGTCAATATAGGTTCATCAGTTGTAACTAATTTACCACTCTGGAAGAGGATATTGACAATGGGGGAGGCTGTGCCTGGGGTAAGGAGGCATATAGGAGATCTCTGTACCTTCCCCTCAGTTATGCTGTGAACCTAAAACTGCTCTAAAAAGTAGTCTCTTTAGAAAACTTTTTTAAAAAGTACCTTATTTAGTCACGATCAATTGTTTAAGAAGTATGAAGGAGTCCACCACTTACAGCCAAGGAGATAAAGAAATGAATTGGAGCACTGGGGGTAATCCAGATGAGAGGACTTCTAAGAATCACAGTTATACTGGGTGATTTCAGCTCCATCGCAGTGCTCATCTCCCACAGGGCTTGTGAAGGCCGTGCTCCCAGAACAGGGAAGAAGCCAAACCCATCATTAAAACATTTAAAAATAGAAAATTAAATAAACCACTGAAACTATATTAATATGGGCTCTGCAGTTCTGTGCCAACAATTGTGCACCCTTAACTTTGTCCTGTGAGGACAGAAGTATAAACAGACACTTAAGGATATTTTGTATAAAGAAATAAATAGGCAGACACAGACAGACTCACAACAGACAGTGACAGACTTACAGAGCACTTTCAGAGTTAGACAGGAACTGGTCTATTGCAGAAGAGCAGGAGGAAGCTGGAGACAGGGGAACAGCCACTTTTAGTTGAAACAGAAAACAGCCACAGATGAGGGAGAGCCAAGCAGAATTTGGGAAAGAAAAAAGAAAAAAAAAACATAGAGATTAGTAGACACATGATCTCAGCCTAAATAAGCTTGCCAATATTCTTAAAGTGCTTTTAGAGGAGGATAAGGAGGGGAGCATAATTATTGCACAACATGGTTATGCCACAGTGTACGTCTAAAAAGCACACTTAAGTTAGTGTTTCATCTGAGTCTTGCAACAACTTGGGATGTTCACAGGACACATTACTACCTTAATTTACCAAGTAAGGAAACTCAGCCTCTTCTTCCCTCCTGTAGCTAATCTCCATGATATGTCTATGTTGAAGGATCTTTGAAAATATAGTTGAATATATATGGCCACTTCCTCCATATAGTCATCTCTGACCGTCTCAATGTGATACTCCCTTTCCTTCTTTTAAACAAACAGCACTTTCTGCTTCTGCAATTCATTTAACAATACAAACCGCTGTGGCTTGTTAAATGCAACTGCAAGTGAATTGAAATAGCACGTTTTCAGATAAATTACAGACCTTTTGGGGAAAGGAGCCATGACGTACTCATTCAGCACAGTTAGATATGTCACTGACCATTAACTGAGCAATGGTGGCTGAGAGTTAAATGTCCAGAATTCTAATCCCAGCTCCATTACTAAGTAGCCTTGCAACCTCAGTCCTCCCTACGGTTCAGTTTCCACATCTACACATAGAGACATTACCAGTACCCTCTGTCAGAGTGTTACAGTGAATAGCAAATGAAGTAAGTCATGTTCATCATATATAAATAATTCCTGGTATAACATTTATAAATATCAGCTAGCATCATTTTAATGCAACTTTAAGTTAAATACATGATTAAGTGGTCATTTAGACCTCCAATTTTTTCTTCCTTCAACTTGATTTGTCTTGTATTTCATTAGCCTGATGATATGCCTTGGTATCCTGAACTAACAAAGCTCTCTTAGTGTTACCATCTGAAAACTACGTCTATTTTATGAAAATTTCCAATTTCATAATTCATAAGCCAGTGTGAAAATTTAAGAAAGAAACTCAAACATTTTCAATGGGCTCTAGATAATCATTTGAAAATTTAAATATCTGGGTATCTGCATGTCATGCTTCTCTGAAAATTAAACTTCAAGGCAATAAGGATCCATTCACTCAAATAGCAGGATTGTTGAATTTTAGTGCACAAAGGGTAGCCAAAACCATTCCTTCACTCTTGATCTCCCACAATTAAGCGGTGTTGAATGTTCCTGCGTGGAGCTAGAATTACACATGAGATAATATTATAAAATTATTACACATCACCAATATCTGGCATATATATGTTATTTTATTAGACCTTAATAATTATTTAATTATGATCCTAACAACTTTTACATGCCTATTTAATATTTCTTCCTAAATTCAGGTAACAATGGTGGGTTTTTTTGGATGCAACCCTTAAGGAGTTAAATGACTGAACTTTTGAGTGTGCACCATGTAGATAATATAGACATGTCTGAAATTACTGAGCAAATTCTGGCAAAAAATAACCACAGCCCTTTCCTTGTGAAAATTTCAGAAGAGGATATAATGCTTATGAACACTTGTTTCCACCACAACATGCTTAAAAATGATAAATGTGATTAATGTCACACAATAATGTTAAGATGAAATCTAAGGTATTACTATAAAATAAAAATTTAGATTTTCAGAAACTGTATAATTTGTATAACATGCCTTATCCACAGTCTCCTATTCATGTCAGCCTTGCTGGATTAACAGTATAGTTTTCCTGAGACCTCTGGCTGTTTGCATTTTTCACTGGCTCGAATGACCATGTAAAACCACACCAACTTTAACATATGTTTTTACATACAGAGATTGTCACTTACATTTGTATTGCAAACCATAATTGTACAAAGCCCTTGGACATCCATTATTTTGTTTTCTACTCACCACAAACCCTTGAGGTTGGTATGGTGAAAAGGAGTGTTACACATTTCCCCCAAACCCCACTTCCCAGACAATGTAGAAAACTTTAAATGACCATGGCACAGCCTATTCTAGAAGGTCAGTCTTCCCATTCTTAAGTTTGGATATGTTTGGTACAGGTAGGGCCTTAGCCTGTCAGCCTGGGATAGAGCTGAGGTAGGTCACAGGCCTAGGAAGCAGCGCAGGTGGCTGTTGTGTTAGCTGTTGTGTGAATGGTGATGTGACAGGCCAGGGATTGGTTGGTGGTTAGCCAACTGCCTGGCAGCAGGTGTTAGGAAAACTCAAAACCAGGAAGAGAGGGCTTATGTAGCCAACAAAGAGAAGAGGTCAGTAGAGACATGGGATCCCAGAACATTGGCTCAGAGTGCTTCAAACACCTGGATAGCTCCCAGACCTGCTTTGAGTTTCTAAGAACCCCAGCTTTCCTCATTACTTCTATCTCCTGTACTCTGGCAGGAACTCTTGGCTACTTAAAATGGTCTTATTTACAAATATTGAGTTATAAGACCTTACACTTGTTTGCCTTTGCCTTAGAAGGAAGAACTGAATCTATCCCACCATAGGGATCCATAGGGGTGTCTTTCTAGGAAGGGAGGTCTTCTTGTCCCCTTCCTCAGACTGAGAGCTCTGTGTCACAACAGTTGGGGAACAAGTCTCAGAACTGCTTCTAAGCACAGCTTACTTCCATCGTTGGAAGCAGATGTCATTTGCTTATCCTAGCATGGCAAAACCCTGTCTACAAAGTGTATTTTATTTATTCTGCCCTATACATCAAGGACAATGCTGAAGAGTCTTGATATGGCTGGCTGTGTCCCCTCCCAAATCTCATCTTGAATTGCAGTTCCCATAATCCCCATGTGTCGTGGGAGGGACCCAGTGGAAGGTAATTGAATCATAGAAGCAGTTACCCCCATGCTGCTTTTCTCATGATAATGTGTGAGTTCTCATGAGATCTGATAGTTTTATAAGAGACTTTTTCCCCTTTTGCTAGGGACTTCTGCTTGCTGCTGCCAAGTGAAAAATCATGTATTTACTTCCCGTTCCGCCGTGATTGTAAGTTTCCTGAGGCCTCCCCAGCCCTGCAGAACTGTGAGTCAATTAAACCTGTTTCCTTTATAAATTACCCAGTCCTGGGTATGTCTTTATTAGCAGTGTGAAATGGACGAATACACTTCTTAAACATAATTTTTATTATTTTTGCAGCAACAATACCAGGAAACACAAATTTACATACTGCTCCACAGTAAAGTCTATTTGAATCTCCTGACTTAAAAAAAATCTGAGCTAAAGCTGGTTTAAGTACTATAGAAACAACGGGGTGATATGAAGATATGATGACTCCTTTTATAAACTAACTTCAAAATGTTAGCTTTTTTTATAGTCATCAGCTCACTCTAACGCTGTACCACTGTGATCTTAACTTTGTTTAAACATCAATCCTTGTGCACACTGTGCTTAAATGAGTCTTGCCATAGCCTTTGGCCTACACCAAATAATAAAACGGTTCTGATCTGACTACACAAGATCTGCTGTCAAAAATGTCTTGCCTCCTCACCTGAACATTTCCCCAGTCCAAAAGCTCTGCTTGTCGTAGTGGCAGTCTGAGTCCTGGCACATTCTGAAGCCAGCTCTGCAGCATAAACAATAAGTTCCTACACGGGGGTTGTGTTTGTTTGGTCAGAGCTTTATCCACTAGGCTTGGTCATCAGCAGTTGGCTGGTTACAAATGCAGTCCTGAGACCAAATGGCTGGAATCCAATTATCCCAGCTTCCTGTCTGCATAACCATGCCAGGGAGGAACATAGTCATGTTTGCCTGCCTTGTCAGGCTCCTAGGATGCAAAGTATATCATTTGGAGAAAACTAACAAACAACAGATCCTCAGATATTTTGATGGAGAGGCAGTATGATGTGGAAAGAGGACACATTGGTCCAGAATGCAAAATCTCTGGCGCTAGTCCACATTCCGCCTCTTCCTGGCTCAGTATCTAACTCTTCATTTCTCCAAGCTTCATTTTCTCATGTATCAGAGGGAGATCACAACAGCAACAACAGGGTGGTTGGGAGCTTCTAGTGAGATGATGTACGTGAAAGAGCTTTGAAAATTATAATGATGATAATGGTGATGGTGATGGTGATGACAACAGCAATGATAGCTGACAGTTATTGAGAACCTATTGTGAGAAGGGCACTGTCCTATTTGTTTGATGGTCACTATCTTATTTAATATTCACAAGTATTTTTGAATAACTGATGACAGTGGTAACGGTGCTATTAATAAAGATAGCTAACATTTCTTAAATATTTACTATATATAAGCCTCCTTTTTCAGCATTTTAAGCATATTAACATATGCAGCTTCCCATCATGTAAAATAAGTGCTATTATCATCTCTACTTGACATATGAGGAAAATTAGATACAGAAGTTTGGCAATTTGCTCAAGATCATACTGACGGTAAGAGGCCATAAGGATTCAAATGCAGGCATTCTGACTATAGAATAGGAGTTGCCAACTTTTTTAGAGTTAGCAAACTTTTTCTGTGAAGGGCTAGATGTAAGTATTTTAGGCCTTGAAGCCACATAGAGTCTTTGTTGCATATTCTTTTTTGCTTTCCTTGTTTTCCTGTTTGATTGTTGTTATTTGTTTTTATACCCCTTTACAAATGCAGAAAACATTTTTAGCTCAAGGATCACACAAAAAAACACACATATGGCTGAACTTGGCCCACAGAGCTGTAGTTTGCTAACTCTTGCTCTAGAAGTAATTTCTTTTTTTTGAGATGGAGTCTCGTTCTGCTGCCCAGGCTAGAGTGCAGTGGCAAAATCTCAGCTCACTGCAACATCCACCTCCCAGATTCAAGCGATTTTCCTGCCTCAGCCTCCCAAGTAGCTGGGATTACAGGCACCCACCACCATGACCAGCTAATTTTTGTATTTTTAGTAGAGACGGGGTTTCACCATGTTGACCAGGCTGGTCTTGAACTCCTGACCTCAAATGATCTGCTCCTTTCAGCATCCCAAAGTGCTGGGATTACAGGCATGAGCCACTGTGGGCCCAGCCTCTAAAAGTAATTTCTATTTTACAGATAAGAAAACTAAAGATCAAAAGCTTCAGGAATTTAACTAAGGCCATTCAATAAGTGCTGAAATCAGGATCTGAATCCAGTTTTGCTTACTTTCAAAAATTGTGTCAACCCACACTACACTGTCTCCGTGTATGCTGTTAAAATGTAGGATATTATTACTGAGTTAGGGATACTGTACTTTCTCCAGTCAATTTTCAAATTGAATATAGTTTCTCCTCTTGGAACAGACTTGGGGGCTAGATAGCAGGCTGAGAGCTAGCCGACCCCATGCCTAGTACAATGCCTGACACATAGCAGGCATATAATACATAACTCCCTGTTGAGTGAAATAATTCTGATTTCTGATTGAATTCAATCATTCCCCAATATCTCAGCCATTTTCCCAGACTCTTCTGTATTTTGCATTTGAATCATGCCTTCCTTGTAAAGGAAGGCAATAATATATTCCTTAATCCAGTTTCTAGGGAACCTGGAACAATTTATGAGATAATTTCCATAGAACTATGTGGAGGAAAGAAAGATGTTATACGTAGAAATATTATTTTTACAATGAGTCATTGTGCTCACAAAAATGGCACTAGAAGACTGTACTTATGACTTCTAAATAAATACATCACTAACCACAGGCAGGAAAATAGGGAGAACCTAGTGACTTTATTATAAATCACTATTGTTGTATCCACCAATACAGATTCACATTAAAGCAGGGATTTTAATTGTTATTTAACGTTGGATTTTTATTTCAGGGAATAAATGAACTTCTTAGAAATGTGGCAAAAATTGTGTGCATATGTCCAGATTTTTAGGGAAAAGATCATGGATTTCATCAGACTCTCAAAAGGATTTTTTATGCCCTAAATGTTAGCACTACAGTAGAATTGTTTCAGTGTAGTTTACCTTTGATGAGAAAAAGGGAAACACAAAAAGTTGCTGGTGTGTGGTGATCAGTACTAGGTTTTCCAGGTGTCCCTGTCCGTGTGATGCTTTCTTATACTCTCAGGATACTCACATAGGGTTCCACTCACCAGTTTCCCACTGGCATAGGTGTCTGGGTCTGCAAACCGGTCTGGAAGATTAATCACAGTCCAGGCTGGCCACAGTGACCAGCATTCAGAGCACCCAACAGGGTATATGCAACCACAGAAGGTGGCAATACAGAGTCTCTTCCATTTTATCTTCAGCCCCAAGATCAGGCCCATAGAGACTGGCATAACAAGCCCTGAGTCTATTATTTTGCATTACTAGCACTTAGCACAATGCCTGGCACACAGTGGGTGTCTCCTTAAAGTTTGTTTAAATGAAAACAAGCAAAATGGTGAAATTGATAGCATTTTTTCCTTACATTCCTGAGATGGTTAATTAGGTTGTTTCATTTCTGTTATCTCCTGAGATACTCTATCTATATGGACCCACGTGTCTTTGCCAATTAGAGAATGACTTTTACCTTGTCCTGTTTTTTGCTGGTGGTGCTGGTGATGTTGGTGTTGGTATTGTTGTTTAGTTTTATGTGGAGATAGCTAATTTGGATGCTTCTCTTTGGTATGTAGGCCTGAGAACACCCAGGGAGATTATGGTTGTTGCCCCAGGGAACTATGTCCTGTGGAAAAATGTATTAAACAGGTCAGGGTAGGCTCCATTAGGTTTCATAGACAAGGTAGTCAATGAACTTGGCCTTGGTTTTAACTGGCAGGCGATGGAAGAAAAGCATGGTTAGCAGGGAGAAGTTGCACACAGCCTGAGAGCTGAAATAGGAAGTGGGAGTTGGCCCAGTTTTACTTATTGTACTCTGAATTGGGCACTGTGTTGTAGGAGTGGATGACATATTGATGAGAAACTGGGCACTACTACATAAAGTTTTTGAGTAGAGTTGCTGAATATAGAAAATTTTAGGAGGGCATAACTTTATTTTTTCTTTTTGTATTTATTGTTGTGTGTGTATGTGTGATTTTAAAAACATCAGCCTGATGGAATGTCCAGATGTAGAGGGAAAAAAGGTAGAAGAGGCTGGGCGCGGTGGCTTGTGCCTGTTATCCTAGCACTTTGGGAGGCCGAGGCGGGTGGATCACAAGGCCAGGAGATTGAGACCATCCTGACTAACATGGTGAAACCCCGTCTCTACTAAAAATACAAAAAATTAGCTGGGTGTGGTTGTGGGCGCCTGTAGTCCCAGCTACTCGGGAGGCTGAGGCAGGGGATGGCGTGAACGCAGAAGGCAGAGGTTGCATGCAGTGAGCCGAGATCGCGCCACTGCATTCCAGCCTGGGCAACAGAGCGAGACTCCATCTCAAAAAAAAAAAAAAAAAAGAGGTAGAAGATAGCCGTAGTTGTCCTCATATGAAGTGGTGAGTAGTGAAAGACTAGATAAGTTGTATCAAAGTAAGAGAATTTGAAGAATAAATGTAAGAGACTTGGAAGATTGGAAAATAAAAAATGACTTCCTACCTGGAATATTAGACAATCAGTAATAATAACAGTAATATCTTGAATTTGTTGCCCAGTCCTACATATTTTAGAATATAGTATCTTAGTGAATCTCACTGGTCTTACTACTTTTTGCCTGGCTTTCTGTTTTTTGTGACTAGATATTTCTCACCTATTAACATAATCACTATCGGTGTTTGTTCAGTGGCCATTGAACAAAATTGATTTATGTATCTCTCCTCTAACAGCGCAAAAACACTTGTCAAGTGAATGAATAAAATTTGGTGAGGTAGTCTAGGGCATCTGTTTCATGAGAAAGCTGAGACCCAGAAGGTAAGTGGCTTACCAGAATTTACCCAGCTAGTGAGCGGCAAAATGCAAGGTGGAATCACAATCCATGTCTTTTTTTTCCCATTATTCAGTAAAATCATCAGCTGTAATAGGAAGGTCTGAATAGCAAAGAAATGCCAGGAAATTAGAGAATAAATAGAGAATGCTCTCCACCGAGACGGCTACTATTAGATGAGACAGAATTCAAGAATGATTTTGGCCTTTTAGTCTTACAAGTTCAGTGTTTCCAGATGGTTCTGTGCTGAGGAGAGGAGATGCAATAATAAGAGTGACCCTGATAAGAGTACCCTTTCCTAGTTCCTTCCACTGACTCATATCCCTTGACCAACTGCCCACTCTCTAGCTGGCTGGGACAAGAGGTCCCACCAGAAATGGTGCCTCTGCTCAGCGAGCCAAGGCCTTTTCACTTGAAGTTACAGAACCCTGGCTTGGGTTCTCTTTCACAAAGCCTTAGTAGCTGATGACTCACGACCTTCCCAGCGGCAAGTTACTGAGAATGATAAAAAGCGATCGCTATAAGGCTTTGGAGAAAGAATGTGGGGGTGGTGTGGGGGGGCTGATCTTTATCCTGGCCAAGAATTTCATCATTAAGCAGTGGCATATGGGTCCCTATTTGTACCCTATTGACAGGAAGGCCATATACTGATGATTGCCATGCTAATTCAGGGAATGAAATGACGTAACCCCCCTAATGACATTCAATACGGAGAAAGACTAAATCGAAATTAAATTATCTGATCTCGACCAAGTTTTTAAAAGTACAGATAATGTCTGCCCTTTCATTCAGGACTCCAGACCAATTTAAATGACTATTCATCCAGGCTACTAGACTACCCTCACGTATTGTAAAATATCTTCTAATTTCAGAGGGAGTGTCTCTTTAAAGTTTGGTGGCATTACTTCTGTCTCTCACCTTCTAGGCAGCCAGAAAATTAGAGCATGGATTCTCAACATAGACAGATCTAGGTTTGTAGCCTGGCTCTGCTGTTTATAACTTGCATGACCTTCGGTTAGAAACGTAGTCTCGGCGGGTGGATTACCTAAGGTCAGGAGTTCAAGACCAGCCTGGGCAACACGGTGAAACCCCATCTCTATCAAAATACAAAAAATTAGCCGGGTGTGGAGGCGTGTGCCTGTAATCCCAGCTACTCGGGAGGCTGAGGCGGAGAATTGCTGGAACCCGGGAGGCAGAGGTTGCAGTGAGCCGAGATGGCGCCACTGCACTCCAGCCTGGATGACAGAGTGAGACTCCTTCTCCAAAAAAAAAAGTAGTCTCCTTAGGCCTCATTTTACTTACCCATAAAATGGGCATTATATACAATAATAATAAAAACAATAATAGAAACTACCAATTATCTCCCTGGCAGTGTGTTAATTGCTATCATAATTTTATTTAAATTATACAACCTCATGAGTTAGGTAGTGTTAATACCTCTATTTTTAGCAATACAGAAACTGAAGCTCAGAGAAATTAATTAAGGTGTCTGAAGAAGCAAATTTGCAAATTGGGAAGCAGGGATTCAATCCAGTCAAAATTTTTTTACGAGAATTAAATGTTACCAAATATGTGAAGTGTTTAGGTAGTCCTGACTATCTTATATGCTCAATAAAGTTGCATCCTTTTACTGTCTTAGAAGGTGAAGTGAGACTCTTGCTTGGGAGACACATTAATTGGAGAGGATTAAGAGGCATATTAGGAGTGTCATAAGAAGACACTGAATGACAAGTAGATACCATTTTCCATGCGTGCAGATTATGTTTCTTCTGTGACTCCACAGCCAAATCCTTTACCATCTCCATCTTCTCCTGAATAGTCCTCTTAGCCTTTGCCTTCTCAGATTAGACAACTGGCACAGAAACAATCACTGCCTGCCACTTCCACCACTTCCCCGCTCCTGGTTTCTCAACAACCCTTTCCATATGACTCCACATACTGCTTCTGAATTTCAAATGTCATGAAATTCAGAGTAATAATAGTAACAGCTACACTTCAGTGAGAGCTTACTGTATGCCAGAGACTGTGTGCCACTATTTATATGCTTTAACCCACTGACGCCTCATCACACTGGGTGGGGAATGTGCTATCATTATCCCCTTGCAAAGAAGAAACTGAAGCTCCAAGAGTTGAGGAACTTGCTTGTGTCACACATTCAGTAACTGGTAGACTCTAGATCTCAACTTATGTCCATGTAATGTCAAAGCCCAAGTTCCTAACCAAAGACAGTTTCTCAATTTACAAATGGCAAAACTTTAGGCAGAAAGGTGCAGAGACATTCCCAGCCACACAGCAAATTAGAAAGGATGCTGCTGAAAAATCTGACATTTTATGACATCTTTCAAAGATGCTTTGTTACACTCTAGCCTGAATAACTCTCACTGGGTCCATTCTACATCTCTGGCTCAGTTCATGCTTCATTTGCTCTATGTTGTCTCAATAGATGCCATTATTGGTGAAATGGAGGCCAATGTCCTCTAAGATTACACAATGTCAAGTAACTCACAAAACTTCAGTCCGCTTCATCACAACTTTCTATAAATACAAAACTTTAAGCTTAAGCCCTTTTTCAATAGACAGGACCAAAAGAGAAAATAAACTTGCCATAACTCGGTGATATAACGGTATTTTAAAACTCTAATCTTTCTGCCACTTGAAAGAGGTGTGATAAACATCTTGATTTTATTCAAAACTGTCACAGAAAGAGTTTTCTCTTATCAGAAGGCTGCAGCTTTTGAAGTGGGTGGAGTACTAATGGCAGAGCAGCACTGAGATTTGGGACTGAAGGGGCAAAGTGGGCTGGTACAGTGGAGATGCCGTAACAATGAAAAGCTTCACATTCTTCCAAACAAATACATCCAATGAATTTATTTGATAACTTCAGTGTACAAAAACCTGTGTTGGGCACTAAGAAAAAAAAATGAGCAATAAGAATTGGCCACAGTCCTCAAGGAGCTCAAAATCTGGTAGGAGAGATCAAAAAGAACGTAATTAATGAACCACACTGAAAAGCATATCAAAATGTCACAGGAGAAGAACAAATAAAATGTTTGGGGATTGGAATAGGTCAAAAACCTCATGCAGTCCTGGAGGCTGGAAAAGACTTCAGGTAGGAGGTGGTATTTGAAATACACTATGTAAGAGGTGCCAGGGGAATCATGCCCAGTGGAAAGAACGGCAGGAGTAGTAGCTGAATGTGCAAATCCGAAGAGTTGAGCATATTCTGGAAGAAAAACTCTAACAGTGGACTTACAGAAAGTATTGGTAGGCTATGAGGAGTCCTTGAGGGATTTTGATTGGGGAAATGGCATGCTGAAACTTATGTTTTAGAGCCTAATTCCCCAATCCAGATGAAAGATAATGTCAGTTGTAGAAAGGATGATGTCAGTAAGGA
Source organism: Homo sapiens (assembly GCF_000001405.40). NCBI lineage: Eukaryota > Metazoa > Chordata > Mammalia > Primates > Hominidae > Homo > Homo sapiens. The sequence continues at coordinate 148,477,177 of NC_000005.10, forward strand.
TAGAGATAAGGAAATGCATGAGAAAGTCTACTGATTACATAGCCAGATTGATTTCCACTCATTTCTGATAAAATAATTTTTATCAAGAATCACTTTCTGGCTGGCCAATAATTGGCTTTTCCTTCCAATTAGATGCTATTTGGAACTAGCTAAATTGAAATCAATGAAGACCTACTGTATAAATGCATCTTTGTTTGCAGACAGCCAAAACTCCACGGAGAAACAAAGGGGCAAAGGGGAAAAGTGCACAAGAAGAGAATCCATCCATTTCAAGGATTGTTCTTGCTGCTAACAAGAACGGGCCTCAGGTGGATCAAGTCCCCTTAGATTTGGTGGAACCTGGGCTCCATTTCCAGCTGCAGGTAATTTCTGCATCCTTGGAAAAATTCCACATTAACTTCTCTGACGTACAGCCTGGTTTTCTGATCCCTGTGATAGGAAAATGATACTTACCTTAACAGGGTTAAATGAGGTGTCTCATGTAAAATGCTTTCACCAAGGCTGACATGTAGTAACTGGTAAATGGCACCAAAGCTACTGAATTATGATCAGCCTTTACTTATTTCTCTGATCCCATCTCCTACCACTTTTTTTTCGCATTAATTAGGCTGTACTGGCTATGTCAAGCACATTCCTGCCCTAGTGCATTTGTATTTGCTTTTCCCTTCGCCTGACTTGATATTCCCTCAGATCAAATATATGCCTGACTCCTTAGAATGCTTGTCCCCTGTCACAGAGCTCACCTCCTCCATCTAACCTTCCCTAACTACTTCATCTAAAACACCCCCTTGCCCATCTCTATTTTTTATTCTCTTTATAGCACATATCAGTATCTAAACTTGCCTTATTCATGTACATGTGTCTCCTTGTTTATTTTCTAGTTTCTGACAAGAGAGAGTAGAGACCTTGTCCGGTTTCTTTATTAGTAGACTTCTGGCAAGAGACCCTGCCTCATAGTCGGTGTTCAGAAAATCTCTTTTTCTCTGAATGCCATAGTGCTGTTGAGAGAATTAAACTATAGCAAATAGAAATCACCTAGCGCACAGTAAGTGCTAAATCAATACTAGTCTCTTCCCCTTAAATGAATCTAGAGATGCTCCAACATGGAACTAGGCGATTTGTAAAGAAATCAAGAAAGAGGACATTCTCCCAAGGGTAGGTTAGTTTGGAGGTGGATTCTGCAGGAGGTTCTGGGGTCTGGTAGCAGGTACTTCACAGCCGGTGAAGGCTTAGGTCTTCATTCTAGGAAGGAAGTTTCAGGAGACAGTGTGCTTTCTGAATGGAGGAAGAGATTTTCTAACGGGGAGGTGTGATTCTGAGGAAATGATTGTCACCTGGAAAAAATAGTTCATGGCAGTATTATGAACACCGCCTCAGAAAAGCTAAGGACAGGAGGTAAACAAGCACCAGCACAGAGGGTATTCCCTGGTCCAGCGATTGGGCTTTAGGCTCCCAAGAACATTCCATCCAGGGCATAGATTATAATAACCAGAGATGGGAGATCCAGACCTACCTATTCCCCGTCCTGCTTGAATCTTTTATGTGATGGAATTCCAGGTAGATTTGTGTATGAAGAAAGGATTCTGATGTGTAAACCTAATTCTTGTCCACCCCTGGCATTTTATATGTGAGAAGATAGGTCCCAAGAGGTAAACAAAAGAGCTAAGTCTATTTTACTCTGGACATTACTCTGTCTCCTGACTGCTGACAGGGTTCATTCCATTGTTCCACACTCAGAAGAGATGGGACCTAGATTTCATCACACATAACCTGGGCCTAAAGGAGATGAACTCCAGGCTCTTGGATGGCTCGTGACATGCCCCCTCCAGTTTTTTTTTTCTAAAGGCTTCAGCAGGGATGCACATGCTTAACCTCAATCCAAGACCTCCAGATATACATTGTCACACTGCCTTAAATGCCTCCTCGTGGTTTGTGCTCTGAGAGTAGCTGGACAGGATCCCCATCCTCTGCTCATTAGGTGACCATGTCATAGAGGTTTGTCTTATTGCTGGAGGCCTTGATGAAGGTGACAGACAGGCAGACAGGTAGAATCTGGTAAAATCACATTATCTAGGGGCCCGGGGCTACTAGCTTTCCTTTGAGAGGAACCTGGTACTGGAGTCAGAAAATTCTCTAGCTTCAAACGACATAGCTACTGGAGAATGCCCTGGGATCTTGGAGGTTACCGAGAAGCTCCACAAGACTGAGGCATGGGAGTTGACTTTGGCATTTTATTGCATATTCAAAATTCAGTTATTAGTTTTCAGACGCATTTTTCCTTGAATATATAATTTATATAAACATGTACAGAATGCACTCATATAAACATATGTATAATTTATCAATAAATATAATTTATCAATTAAAAAATCTATGTAGGCTCCAATTTTTTCCATAACACATTTCTGGGAACTGCATCAAAAAGTAGATGATCATAAAGCCAAAGATGCTTTCCATGTAAACAAAGTTAGAATCAAGGATTCTAGGACCTTCAAAGCCTTAGCTTCAAATAAATCATAGCTATAACTAACAATCTCATAAACCAAAAACACAACCATCATTACAATTTGTAATCCTTTGAAATTAGAGAATTAAGTTTCATGTTCTATGTGGTGGGCACACATGTACTTTATATGTTGATCACACAAGGGATCTCAGTGCATTATAAACTGTATAAGTGGCCCCTTTGTAATTCTACTTTATTAAAAATGTAAATAAAATTAAGTTGTTAGCTAAAATAGCATTAAACCACAATTAACAATCATATACATAGACTATCAGATCAGGAAAATTTTCAAAAGTTATCAGGTTCAATATCTTAGTTGACTCTTTATGTAGTATTCATGCTATCTGGTCATAGTCTGGTCCACGTTTGATTTTTTTCATAGGATTTGTATATATATAATTTATAGCATGGGGATGATTTTGATGGTCCAAGTATTTTCTTCTTCAAATACATTTTTTCATAGTGAACAAACATTTGAATCTTATTCCATGTTACTTTGAAGTTATATGAGAAGTTACGCTCATTATTATCAAAATTAGCCTGTAGTCCCTTACTTTGTGAATAACCAAATCCTTTTAAATGAGTTTCTGTGATTCATAAATTCGTGTGTTGGGCAACCTGAAATGACCAAATTAGGATGGGTGGATTTGGAAGAATTAATATCCAAAGGGTGCTTCTACAATTCCTAGAATTTTATTTATTTGTTTATTTAGTGAGATGGAGTCTCACTCTATTGCCCAGGCTGAAGTGCAGTGGTGCAATCTCAGCTTAATGCAGCCTCTGCCTCATGGATTTAAGCAATTCTCCTGCCTCAGTCTCCCAAGTAGTTGGGACTACAGGCAGATGCCACCATACTCGGCTAATTTTTGTAGCTTTAGTAGAGATCAAATTTCACCATGTTGGCCAGGCTCGAACTCCTGACCTCAAGTGATTCTCCCACCTGGGCCTCCCAAAGTGCTGGGAATACAGGAAGAATTAATACCCAAGGGGTGCTCCTAGAATATTATTTTTTTAACAAGGCTCTGGTTTGGCATTTACCTTCCTGCGAACTTTGCCCTGGGCATTTCTTTCTCTGTTTCTTTATCAACATAGAAACTTACTCTCTTAAGTTGGTTTACCTCCCGGTAAATAAATTCATAGTCCTCGAGTGCTCAGGCACATCCACAGTAATCCAAAACGCCCAAAGTAATGATAAATATGTGGAATGGCATTTTATGATTTACAGAATGTTTTCACAAAAAAATTATCTTATATCTCCACAACAACTTTGTGAAGTAGGCAAGAGAGATTCTCTCTGAGGTCTGAGACATTCAGGAATTAGTTCAATTTGCTTAATAAGTCAGCAATGGACCCAGTGCACGTGCTGCCTCTGTGCTGTACTCCTCCCACCAATGTGCTCATGCAGGCAATGGGTGGGTGTGTGGGCAGCCACAGCAGATTGGTTGGGTCTCATCATCAGGTCCAGAGCCATGGAGCCCAGAAGCTGGCTGCTCCCTTCTTCATATTAGAAAAGCACCTCAAAATGGTGCTTGCCTCCTAATGGTGGTTGCTGAGCCTAGTGATGGCAGGGGAACAATGACTTGAAAAATCAAAGGGGATTGGTCCAGCCACAGAGTCAGAGTCAGGGTGTAAGTTAGAATTTAAATAAACTTTCTTCATATGTGACAAGAATGGTTCCCTGGTTCAATCTGCTTCATTGATCAGGGAGAATCCCAGTCTACACAAAGAGCATTTCAGCATGGAGAGATATTTCTCACGAATTCTGAATAGCATTTCTCTTTCAGAGGCTATTTTCCTTCCCTAAAACATGACTTTCTCCCCAACAGAATTAAGTCTTCATAGGACAGAGAGGCTTTTTTTTTTCTTTTTCTTTTTGGCATTTGGATGGTTTGGTCAATCTTCTCTTCCTTATTCCAAAGTTTCTTCCTGTCGGTTTCAGTTCCAGAACTAAAGTAAACAACAATGGAAACAATAACTGACACCTTATAAGCAATAAGAAAAAAAGAGAATATGATAAATAATCCTGAGATGCTATTAAACCACAGCCAAGATCAAAGTCAGAATCTCACATGGCTCTGGGTTTGGCATTTACCTTCCCGGGACTTCTGCTATGGGGCATTCGCAAGAGCCACTGACTCAGCTTTGAATAAAAGACATCCAGATTAATCTGAAGGACAAAGCTGGAAAGGTCAGGGGTCTAAAAGGCCCAAATGAGGAGGGTCGTTCCTTTGAAACAAAGCCAAAAGGCAGGCAGGCCATGGCTTCTCGAGGTAGCAGACGGCTATAGCAGCATACTGTTGTCTTAGAAACAGAAAGAAAACTTAAAGGTCCTCTAGTCCAAGCTTGAGTGCACAGATGTGGAAAGTGGGGTCCAGAGATGAAAGAACACTATTCAAGATCTCACAGCTTGTTTGCAGCACAGCCAGGGCGGCAATTTGGGTCCTCTGGCTTCAAGTACAGCATTGCCTCGGCATCCCCAGTGCTGCTGGATCCTGCCCTCCTGCACCTTGGGGGAGCTGCAGGGGAAAATGAGTTTCCCCAGTGTGAACTTCCAACAGTTATCTCCTTTGGCAGCAACAAAGCCAGATTGAAGGGTTTCAAAATGATATCACAAGTTCATGGGAAAGATCCTGAAGCCTAATAAACACCTACGATGTTGCTAGCCCTGCCCAAGGCTTTTTAGAAGACGTCCCGTTCTAGCCCAGCAGGAGAGCGAGCATCTCAGGGCAGACACGCCAGCGGCCAGGACACCAGGAGGAAGCTATCTGTCTTCAGCTTCCCTCCAGAGTTGCTGTGGAGACCATTTTCCTCTGACAGATCTCTGACCCTGTGTCTTCCATGGAAAATAAATGGAGCATGTCCTGAAGAGGAGGACAGACATTGGACATAAGGAAGAGCAAGTGGACGTCTGGGACTGACAAGGGGGCCAACCAAGAGGATGCACGTTTGGACCCAGACACAGGGAGAAAAGTGTGTTAGCGTCTGGCACAGAACAGGGCGAAGAAGAGGCAGGGGATAGCTTGAACATGGCTGTGACGGACGTGACCAAGCAAGTAAGCAAGACAGGAGCGACGCCTCTGGCTAAGACAGGAACAGAGAGGGAGTATTTTGTTGATATCTGGAAGCCCACACAGCAAAGAAGGCGTATTTGGAGACATCAGTGACCGAGATAGGACGCAGCAAGCTATCGTGCTTAGAACGTGAGTGAGACAGATCAGACACAGTGAGTGACGGGAACATGTCAGAGACACCAGAGACCACGCGGCAAAAGCAGAGAATCTGGGAAGAGGGAGTGTTGGGAAATAAAAAGTGAACAAGGAGGCCATTATGTCCCCTGACTCCCTCCAGCGCCACCTGCTGGAATCTCAGAGGAAAAGCCCAGCGAGCACCGGGTTCCTGCACTGGCGGACGGAAAGCCTCAGGTGAAGAGAATACCGGGTGCAGTCGCGCACAAGCAGCAGCTTAGGACCTGGCCCTCTTTCGGAGGCATGGCTGTCTTCTGGGTCATTGTCCCAGGGGCCTAAGTGTCACTGGGCTGAGCAGCCACCAAAGGAGAAGTTGCTGGCGGGTGACACTGACTCTCCCACTGGCCACCACACTCCACTGCATCCCTAGAGAGAGGAGAAGATTACAGAACCTCAGAATTGGAAAGGATGTTGCAGATCATCTCCTGAAAGAGCCCACCTGCATGGCAGGAACACTCTGTGCCATGCAGATGAGTAGCTATTTGGCTTCTACTTAGGAATTTCCATTGACAGGCCAGTCCATATTAATTTTTGGCAATAATAACTATTAGAAATAGCCCATTAATGTTCAGCCAAAATCGGTGTCCATATGGCTTCTACCTGATGGACCTATTACGCCTATCAGGCCCCCTCAACATTGTGCCCTCTACCGATTATATCCTCCAAGTTTTCTCTACTCCAAGCTACACATTCCGATTTTCTTTAATAGTTCATTATATATTATAGTTTCCAGATTATTCCCCATAATGGGCACTGTCCTTTGAACACCTCTCTTGAATTATGGTACTAGGAAAGTGCACAAATTTTCGCAGGGAGCCTGACTTACATCATGTGCTTTTCATCATCAATTGGGTTTATTTCTATTAATGTAGTCAAATTCAGTTCATTTCTAAAAATGGTAATAAGTTATTGGCGTATATTGAGCTTGCTGCCAACTTTGATCGTTTTTGATACAACAACTGTCAATTCCTGAGGTTCTTTATTACATTGCTGCCTAGTTGATTTTATTATTTATTTATTTATTTATTTATTTATTTATTTATTTATTTATTTGAGCCAAAATATAAACCATCACATTTTACTCAGTTAAACTTTGTTATATCGGTTTGGTATCACTTTAGTCAGCTGAGATCATTCTAAATCATAGCAATTTTAACATTCAAGATATGATTATTTAGCACCCACTCAAACTAGACCTTAAGTTTTTTGCAAGCACATAGGAAGATCAAATAATCTACAATGGTAGATATTTCAGTTTAGTGTCATCTGCCTTTTAGTTTTTCAGGCAAGGTAAAAAATGTTGAGCAAGATAAAACAGAGAATCATAGTTACCCCAAGACAGGCTTCCTTGCAGTCAAACATCTAATGCTCAATGTGCCTGAGAATGGACCCGCTCTGGCAGGCTTTGTCCAATACCTTGCTAAAATGTCTCTGTCAAACAGAAAATCTGTCCTAGCAGATAAAGAAATTATTTGGCATGAATTATTATACAACAGTGAATCTTACTTACACAAGCTATGAGTCTATGGTTTCTGGAGATTAGCTTTAGTGTTTCTTGAAAAATTGGGGCAATATTTACTATCTCCAGGCTTCCACCTATTCCCCAGTCCTAGAAGAAGTTCATTCGGACTTGTTAGCAACAAGTTTTTTTTAAGCCCCTGAGATATGACACATCTTGGCTCAGAGAGAGTTAAATGCTTTCCATCAATCCTGGACAGCAACTTTCTCCCTAAAATGTTCTCTTCTTTCCAGTTGGAAGTCTATTCTTATTATAGCAGAATATGCAAGATTTCTTCCCTAAATAATGAAATCTAACTATTTCTGGGTTAGATCTGAACATAGCTCTGAACATAGCTTTTGTTCATCCTTGATTCATCCTTGGTTATATGTTCCTTCCTCCAGATTTTCCACATGCCATTTTAAAGTGTAAACTCTCTAGATAACTCAAGATGTGCCCTCAGGCCTTTACATACTCCCTTACATTTTTATCTGTCTGATTCATTGAATATATCTATTTAGAGAAAAAACAATGAATGAAAAAGAAGGAATGAAGGTTAAAAAGGAAGGAAGGAGAGAAGGAAGAAAGGGAAGGAGGAAGGAAGGAAGAAGGAAAGGAAGGAAAGAAGGAAGGGAAAGAGGGAGAGAGGGAAGAAAGAAAATAAGAATTTCTCATCTCTCATTGGCCAAATCCCCTTTGTATCATATTTGTTATTATTGTCATTATTAGCAACGATAAAAACAACCACCTATTAGTGCAGCACTGGTGTGCCAGGCATTGGGCTGAATGCAGTATGTGCCTTAATTCATGTATTACACCCATTTAACAGGCAAGGAAACTGAGCTTCAGGGAGCATAAGTAATTTGCCCAAGTATACACAGTTAATAAATGACAGGGTCAGACCTTACATTTAAGTCATTTTTGACACCAGCACCTGTGCTAGTAACTGTTCTACTGTATTGTCATTCATCATTTTGACAACTACCACTATGGATACAGTATTTAGGTCTCGCTGTCTCTAGCATTTCTTTGTCCCACTATGGCAGACTCCTGGGTGAAATGAATATGTAGAGGGGTGCATGTTATAAATGTTCCACCTGTGAGAAACCTGCAGTGTGATGTGGCATTTCCATTTATTGCAACACAATATGACTGTGACACTAACATGAGACTCTTTCCTGCTAACTCCATCTGACCATTAAAGAAGAGTCATTGCCAAGTGGAACCCCATGTTTTCTGTGACGTAGAACTAGGGAGACTAGGTGTAAAGGGGGAAAAAATCCTGTGAAGGTAGGAGGAAAGTCCGGAAGACAAAGAGAGGGGCCACATGAATAAACATAATAAAGAATGAGGGGTGAGGATAAAAGACAAGGCGAAAAGATCAGAGCTAAAGAAAGCCATGTGGTTGGGCATGTGGAAGGCTCCAGAGCAATTGGAGAGAGGAAGAGGTTCTTTGAGAAATGTTTCCGAAGGGCTACATTGGCTCTCTCTTTCTCTCCCTCTCTATCTATCTTTGACATTGGCAAACTCAGCTTCAATATATTGGCTCTCTTGTACAATTCTTTTAGAGATTTAAATAAAGATTGAAAATACTCTAGTATTGCTATTTGATGTCTAATGCCAGGTTACATCAATATAGCTCTGGCCATGGAGAAAGGACAATGGCCCAGCATCTAACTCCATGAAGGACTCACAACGTCTCTCTCTCAGCAGGACGAATGGGAATGTGAGAATAATGACAGAGTGATCTTATGGTCAGTTGGCTCATAGCCGCAGTTCTCATTGTTATATTTACATAATTGTTCACAGTTAGCAGTTTAGTGTCATCTGCCTTTTAGGCCTTCATGCATGATAAAAAAAAATGTGGTACATTATACTGCACCATAAGAGACCTCCTTCCTGTGCAATAAGATCATCCTCAGTGCACATGGCTTTAACACTCAGGAAGCCCCTTTCACTCCCAGCTAGAAGGTCACCTTACTAATTCAGAGAAGAAAGCAGCAGAGTGTAGCAACCAGAAGACAGGGACCTGGGTTCTAATGCCTTTGGAGCCTCCAGTTGAGTGACTGGATGACTTTGTCCCTTTCCTGTGCCTCACTTTTCCCATTTGTTAAATGAAGGGGAGGATAATCTGTAAGATCATTTGCAGCTCTGACATTCTGATTCTATGAGTAGCAGGGATGGTGGGTGACAGAGACAGGCCTTCTGATTGGGCACCAGCTGTGTGTGGGACTGTTCTCCAAAGCTGTGGGTAATTGCTTCAAATCTGGCTTTTAATATTCTATTGTTAGTATCTGATACTTTATATTCCATGTGGAGGGAAGAGGTTTCGCTGGAAACACAGGGAGGGTAATTTTGGATTTGTATTAAAGAATCTGAAAGACCTCAATTTCGGAATCTGTGAAATTACATTGCAAAGCTGTTAAACGTATTTGGGTAGGATAGGATAGGGTGGGGCTGAGATGCCACAACTTAAAATGCAGCGAGATCACAACTGTCTCTCCTCAAACATATGTTTGATCAAAAACATTGGCAGAGCCACTCAAAATCCCTGATGCAAAACATCATTTAAAAAGAATCTTTCTCCAATATTTTAACGGATGAGTTTTTAAAATGCAGTTTCTTGTTGTAATCATTTTGGTAAAATCCCTGACAATTTACAAAGCATTGTCATATCTTTTTTTCACATTTAATCTTCAATGCAAATCTGTAAGGCAAGAAGGTACAGAGTCTTGTTTCCATGTTAGAGGAAGAGGAAAGTGTAATGTAGAGGCATGGATTGATCGATGGGTAATGGTGGATCTAGTGCTATAACTTGGGTATTCTGCCCTCCAAATCAAGAATTCTGCCCATTTGGAAACATGGAAATCATTTATGTGGTGGGAAGTTTTATAACAAAGTTATTAGCAGTTAATGAAACAGACTTACAATTACTTGTTCTGTGGAAGAAAGAATAGGAGGAGGAAGAAGGAGAAGAGGAGGAAGAAGAAAAGGAGGAGGAGGAGGAGGAGGAGAATCACTTGCTAAGTCATCTTTCTCAAAGGTCCAGAGGCTATGTGCATGAGAACTATATTGGGTACTTTTATAAAATACAGATTCCCAGGATCCATACCAGACCTTTGACAGCGAGGGTAGGAGGGCAGGAGTGAGCCAGAGAGAGCAGCAATCTGCATTTTAAAAAACTGCTCTCAGCTGATTCTTACGCACACAGGTGTATGAGATTTCCCTCCAGCCATTCTATTCATACCAGAGAGCGAGCTTAGAGATAGAGACAGTAGAGAGAGCGAGCTTAGAGATAGAGACAGTAGAGAGAGCGAGCTTAGAGATAGAGACAGTAGAGAGAGCGAGCTTAGAGATAGGCAGTAGAGAGAAATCACAGGCAGGTCAGAGGGGCCAGAGATAGAAGTCCCTGCTCCCAAAGGGAAAGGAATGGAAACAATAAAATAAAACATACATTTCAGCAAAGTGGACAAGGAAGTATTTATTGGTTGTCATCACATTGAAGATAAACAGATGAGAAAAGACTTGGTGATTATGAAAATGAGAAAGCAAAAAATGTAAAGAGATGCACAGAGCAATGTTTTTTTAGGTGCTTTTCATGTGATGAGAAATAGAATTCTTGGGTATTGTTAGCTGATAAAAACCGAGTTGTCTATAAACCGTGAGGCACATAGATTTGTAATAAGTTATCAGCAAGTTTGCTTATTAAAAGTCCATTTCTTAAATTGTCTGTAGATACACTATCAACCAGAATTCTACTAAGGCTAGAAGATCAAGTGTTTCCCAAACATAGGATGTGTTCTGTGAGTGACATCTCAGAGAATGGGCACAGCATTAAATAATCTGAATGACAGCAAGGGGATTCAAATTATTCATTCAGTCATTCTGACTCAGTGTGGTCCTGCTCTGGTTTAACAAGTCTCTAATACCTAACAAACACAGTGCAGGCGTCAGGCTCAAAGCCTTTGGCAAAAAAACAGGATAAAGCTAAATTTTAATAACTTTGTTTTACTTTCATTGCATTTGTATTAAAAATCATCTTCTCTATATAGTTTTGCATTTAAGGTCACAATACAGAGTTTCCTTTACAAATATGTTTATTTAGATTTAAAACGTATTTAAAGAAAAATAGTAAATAAATAATAGCATGGCATGGGTAGAGTGGTGATATGATAAAAAAAAATCATGAAAGTAGCATGCAAGTTACAAAAGCCCCTATCAGACAGATGAGAAAACTAAATTGCAGAAAGCATAGTGTCTTGGCAAGGACATAAAGCAATGCATCTGCAGGGCATGACATCTAGGATCTTTCTTTCTACTGTCTTTTGAAGCTTGCAGAAAGCTGAGCTTTCATAGTTTGGGATGTTAACATTGTGGCCTCTGGACAAAATGTATTCCCAAGGGCCCTTTAATCTCATCACCAGTCTCAGATATGTCCATGTTTCAATACACCAAAGTGCGAGATCAAATCAGGTGTGGCTGATTCTAATCCCTATGTACTTCTTTCCCTATTTCCCAATATGTGCATAGAACTAAGAGGTCAAATCAATATCCTTTCATGACTTTTTTCCATTGTTTACCACAGTTCCTAAATGGCAAATAAAAGGATTGAAACTCTGAATCTTTGGGAGTCAGACTATCTACCTGCTTTTTCTATAGTATTCCAATATAAAAGGACCTAAAATATCTAGGAGAAAATACCTTAAAAGTACGTTTTAAACACAGCCAATATTTACTGAATGTTTATTATGTGTCAACTACTGTGCTAAGAAATTCATGGATTATTTCATATAAACTTCACAATAATCCTATCACATGGGTTTTATTATTTGCAGGCTCTGGCTGAGTGGAATGAATCCTAGTAACTTTCCCCAGGTAGAGTATCTAGAGAGTGGTGGGGTCAGGATCTGAACTCAGAGCCTGATTGAAACAACATCACTAAATTTGCACCTTCATGGAACAGGCATTCTCAACCCCTAAACAGTGCTCTTGAGAAGCTGCCCATAGGAGTGACAGTGAGTCAGGTACATAAAGAATACTTAAGATACTGAGGGATAAGCTGAGCTTCCTAAAGAAGGGCAAGTGGGTGGTAAGATAGCCCAGAGACTGAGGAGAAAGTGGGGCAGGAAAGTTTAGAGAACTCCTATTGGAACTGTGCCTAGAAGAATGAGTAGTCTTGTGCCAGGCTGGAAAGTGAGACAGCATTCAAGGCAGCAGAGATGATCCAGAGACAATATAATTCGCTATTTGTTTGGGAAAAGCTGACCAATCTTGTATGTTTATTGCACGAAGAGTTAGGTCAGGGGAGCTGGGCTGCAGCGGGGAGAGTTGAGGGAAATGAGCTGGAACACCAGATTGGATCAGGCCAAGAAGGGTTTCATATACCCTTCCCTCTCTGCCCACTGCAAGTCCTACTGTACTGCTCAAGGTTATCCTATTACAACCCAATCCAGCTGGCATTTGCAGTTTAAAATCCCACATGTCTGAATGGCCTTTCCATCTTCCTGAGTGATAAACACGAAGCAGCTTCTCCCTTTATGGCTATATTATATACATAGTCCCAAAAGAAAACCAGAGGCAGAGAAAATAATTTATAATTTGCAACTCTGTCAAGGAAAGAGCATCCTAAAATCACCAAAATGTGTGAATAGCCTTTCAGTTCAATTCTAGAACTCACCCTTTTGGAAAGTCATGCAAATGTATATATACATATACATGTATATATATAATATATAATATACATATACATATATATGTATGTGTGTGTGTATATATATACATATATATATGTATATATATCCTGATCAGTAAATATATCCAATATTTTTTCCAAATGCAATCTCAGGCATCAAATTAGCTGTTTACCACTAAGCATCTATGGAGATATTTCTCCTTTGGAAATGTCTACATTTTCTACCAACCCCAGATTGCCAAAGATTCAGTAAAGGAAAGCAGAATGGCCCCCTAAAATTGACAGTATCATTTCTGACATATGTCTTCTCATTAGTAATATTTCCAGAAATTCTCCAGCTTCAACCAAACAAAATGTTACACTGGCTGAAATAGAGTTTGCTGTCCCCTACACTTAACTGCACTGTGGGACGATGCTTATGATTTTGTAACTCACAGAATCACAAAAAAAGGGGCTGAGAACGTGTTATTCAATCTACTCACCTCTTCCCCAGAAATGTTGACTAATGAACATTCAGTTCTTCCAGTTACTGATATTCGGTCAATCAACACTTTTAATTGACTGATGGTCATCCAATTGTCTCCTTCAACTTTACTAGGAACTCCCTAGTAAGGCAATCCATTCCATTTTGTGCTGAAATACATGTTCTTATAACCTCAATCCTTTGTTTCTTACCTCTCTCCCTCACATTATGCAGAAGAAGTCGAATTCCTGTTTCCTCTAACAGCCCTTTAAATATATAAAAACAATAATTATGACCTAAAACCTCTTTGCTCTAAGCTCAGCATCCCCAGTTCCTTCTACTGTTATTTATATGTCATAAATTCTGTAGAGAAAATCATGGCATTTACCCTCTTCTGAACATACTCCGGCTTGTCAATTCCCGGTATAAGATGAAGCTTTTATCATTTCCATGGACCAGGTACCTGCACATTGCACCATGGACTAAACACACATTTACATGGGAATATGGTTTTCCAATGGGTATCTCAGTGTGCTTTGGAGGAGATTTCTTCCTGAACAGCTGCTCTGACTAAATTGGAAGGTCTGTGTCCTCGCCAAGTACATGCTGTAAGAGAACAAGCTCCTAGAGCCTGCCTAGTGGAAAGGGCTTATCTGCAAGGTTACTGCCGGTACTCTAACCACAGAAGTTCAGGACCCTTCCTCCTAGAAACCGTATCAGTCGCCTTCTACGGCGCTATATATTTTTTTTTTTTTGGTCTTGCCTTAAGAATGTATGAGGATTAAAAGGAGCCAAATGGTGCAGGGGCTGAACCTCCTGGTACTGTTGAAAGACCTCTCCTGCTGTCCTTGGCAGTGGCAAGGAAGTTCTCTGTTGTAAAGCTCAGAGGACTAGTTTGAAGCAGGGTTTCTTAACCTCGGCACTATCTGGAAATCTGGGGCCAGGAAATTCTTTGCTCTGGGGTGTTCCATGCATTGTCGGATGATTAGCAGCGTCCCTGGCCTCCACCCACTATATACCAATAGTATTCCCACGTTGTGACAACCAAAAATGCCACCAGATATTGCCAAATGTTCTCTGGTAAACAAGATCATTCCTGATAAAGAACTACTGGTTTAAACCCACACAATCTCAGTGATCTAAGACATGCAGCTAGATCTAAACTTAAAGCATTATCTAATTCAACTTCCTCATTTTATTGGTGTTGGGAGAGGTAATGACTTCCTGATGATCACTAAGGGATTAGAAGACAGGCCTCCTGCTCTTTCCAGGACACCAGCGGTTGTTAACCCTGCTGCGCACTCAAGCTCCTAAAATAAATGGATTTCTGCTTCCCAACCAGACCCAATTAAAATGGAATCTCTACAAGCAGAGCTCAGGCTCAGGTATTGCTTAAGAGGCCCCAGGTGGCTGTAATGTGCAGCCAGGGTTGAAGGCCAGGGCACCACATCACACTGCCTCTATCTTTGACCTCAAATAAACCACGTTGGGCATTTCTGGAGCTGAGTGTTGTTTGGGGGCTTGCCCTGCAGGGTGGCATGCATAATCCCTTTTTACTGCGAGCGCTGATCTCTGAGGGCTGGTACACAGAACCTCGACACCCTGACAGTGGGTGCACCTACGGAGCAAAAGGGGGAAAACAAACACACACGGAATGTGCTCAACTTGTTTGACATGGCTAGTATATTTTATGTTGGGTCAAAGAAATGCCTACAGGTAATTTAAAATCCAGAAGGCATATTCAAAATAACAGCCCCAACTGTTCAGCACAGGGTATGATGTACCCAGGAAACAAGTCTTGTCTCATGTTGCTTAAACAATTGTTTATAAACAGTGTGATTAATTTATTTCTGGCTTTTCTTCTAGTAGAGGAGCCCTGCATCCCTTGTTTCAGGAGAAGTGTTTAGAACATGGAGATTTCTATTGACTCATTTCTTAAGAAATTCTTATCAGGAAGCTGAGAAAATAACTGGAGACCTGGAGGAAGATGTTTTACCAAGATATGAATGATGCTATGCAAATACTTATGATAACAATGTAGCAGTTTCCATTGATTGAGTGCTTTCTGTGTAATAGGAACTGGCATATCCCTGAACGGATGTTATCAATTTAACCTTAACAAAAGCCCCATGAAATGGGTTCTAATATTATGTCCATTTTACAGATGAAGAAAAAAGCTTGGAGATGTTTGGTCAAACACTTAAGGTCATATTGACACTAAATGGTAGATCTCAGACAGGACTGAAACCCAGGTGGGCCAGATTCCAGCACCTGCAGCCATGGCACTGTGCTGGGTGGGATGGCCCTTTGATTACATACCAGTGGTCGCCTTCCACCAAGCCAGAAGCTGGAACTTTTCCTGAACAGTAAGTCTCAATGGAAGGGATAATGTTTCAGCCTCAACACATTAGCCTAGAAGTGGGCATCCTGGAAAGAAGCTTAGGCCACCCGATTAACACATTTCTGAAAAGCAGGTACATTTTGCAAAAAGCACTAACTTTTCTAATCCTGAGTATTTGATGAGACCATTGGTGTTCTTTTAAAGTTTTTATTCTTGCTATTTTCCTGGTGTGATCTCAACAAGAACAGTGTTTTCTGAAAGATTACTTCACGTTGTGATGGGGACCAAGGCCGGCTTTGTGGGTATGTGACCAGTGCATATACAGGAATCCAGACCTAGGTTTAATGCTCTGCTGTTGCCATCTTGAAATTCTTAATAACTTTATTCTTGAATTTGTGAATATTAGTAGAATGTGTATGTATCAAAAAGTGAAATAAAAGCAGTTGAGTTAGTTTTCTGCACTACTCTGGTAAAAACAAAATACTTAAGTGTGTATGAACTACCTACCATGATCTGTATAATTTTGATAATTCCACATACAAGTTAAATGCTCTTTTATTTACATTCGAAGTTGGCATTGCACAATGTAAAAGTGAATGATAAATTGATTCATGTATCAACGATAAATGAATGATAAATTTATTCATGTATCAATGATGAATGATAAATTGGTGCTAATAATTTTAAAAATTTCTTAACTAAAACAAAGGTAATTAGCAAGTAAAAAAACACCAAGACAAGTTGGGAGGGAGTGAATGAAAAAAAAAGAAAGGCTTTAAATTTTAATACCTTTAAGAACACTTTTTCCTGCCATTCGAACAAGTTGCTTGTATTTTTATTTTGCATTTGGCCAGCAAATTATGTAGTCTGCCCTGGTAGGGGTTAATGGAGACAAAGGAAGGTCATCCTCATTCATCTTTGATTTACCCAGATTAAGTCTGTTTTGGCTCAAAACAATGAGGTAAACGTTGAATACAATTGTAACCTCTAAAGTTCAAGGTAAAGGCCATAAGATGGCTTTTAAATGTCAAACAACTTTCCGACATTAGCAGAAACCTCTGAGGATCCAAAGTAAGTCAACTCTAAATCATTTCCTCATCCATGGGTAAAAATCTTCCAATTCACAGTGTGAAAACCTTTATTTAAAAGGGGAATTCTGATGTGCTGAAGTCAAAATTTAACAAGTGGTTTCACTGTGAACAAACAACTGTTTCAGCTGTGGAATTAATACATATTTTTTAAAGTGGTGGAAGCTTATTCTGGCATGCACAGTCCAGATGAACAGTGAAGTATAAGAACATGTGTTTATTTAACAAATATATTAATTGAGCAATTTCTGCACCATGGGGAAATTTTAGGGAATAAAATTGACATGGTACCTGCCCTCATAGACTGGCAGTCTGGCTGGACAGACAGATAATAAACAAGTTAACAACAACAAAAAATATATGGTAAGTTATCATAGTTGTTATTTATAAAGGAAATAACAAGGGGCTGTAACCCGGATTATTTTTTCTTCTGCTGTGTTTTGCCTCTCACTCATTCTCTTTGCCTCTTACTCATTTTCACTTTTTTTCTATGTTTACATTTTCTCCGCTATTGATTTCATATAGAAATCTGAATACACTAATGTCGTACATGGAAATGTTAAAGATTTGTATAGCACATCCAATAGAATTGGTTGATTAGTTTTTGAGCGTTGCTGATAACAAGAGTTAGTGAGTCTGAGAGAAAGTTGTATTGCCTCCTTCCAGAGAGAAGGCACATATAGCTCTGGAGATGCTTGGTCAAACAAACTTTTTACAATCATGAGAATTTTCTACATTTATATCTAAGCCAAGAGCCACTCACCACATGTGGCTAATGAACACTTGGAATATAACTAGTGTGATTAAAAAACTGAGTTTTTAGTTGTGTTTCATTTTGGTTAAATTAAAATTTAAATAGTCATGTGTGGCTAGTGGTTACCCTATTGGACAACACAGATCTAGAGATCTCAAGTCAATGGACAGCCTGTTTATCACAGGGATTAACAGTGGATGATGGAGGATGATAGCCAAGAACCAAGTTAGATAGGCAATAAGTTCTTTGGAAAGTGCTTGCAAAAGTTCTCAGACTTCTCAGGAATTGGGTAAGTGTCCTAGGTTTGAGTAAGATCTGAACCTGGAAACTGGGGAAGAATCTAAGCCTGGTGAGAGAGCAGGGAAACCCATCTCCAAAGCTAAAGTTTGCATACAATCTCTGCTGTGTTGCCTAATTTATAAATAGTCTGTTCTTAAAATTATCACTCTCATGTGGACAGAGCTTTGCAGTTAGCAAAGCAAATTCACATCAATTATTTTGTTATTTTGACAATGAAGGAGTGAAATAGGAGGATGGGGATTATCTACCAAAGAAGTCAAAACTGGAATCTTTAGCAGATTTTGTACAGGGAAATTCTCTGCTCTAAGGTTACAGTCAGCACCGCTAGTCCCTTTTCTGCCCTCAGTTATCTGAACTAATAATCATGGAGACAGTTAAACAGAAGAGAGGGTAAGCCAGTAGACTAGAGACAGAGCATTTTTTCATCCTCTTGTCAAGTCCTACAATGTTCCAGGCACTTTACTAGGCTCTGAGGATACAACAGGCTGCAAGACTGGCAAGGTCCTTGGTATTTGTCCAATGGACAAAGAACCCCATTAGCAAGTCCCCAAAGAACCTCAAATCAAATTAATATGACTTGTTCCTACCACCTGCCACCTTGTTGTGGTCACAAGACTATGTAGTCATACCATGTCTTCCAAGTGGGGAGAGAGGCTTAAAGCATGACTGAACTGAAGCAGGCTTCCAAAAGGAATTTTCTGATAATTATATTTTACCAGTTAAGTTAGATAAAGTTATTATCTTTTAAGAGATTCTGGCCTGGGTGCGGTGGCTCAAGCCTGTAATCCCAGCACCTTGGGAGGCTGAGGCGGGTGAATCACGAGGTCAGGAGTTCGAGACCAGGCTGGCCAACATGGGGAAACCCTGTCTCTATTAAAAATACAAAAAATTAGCCGGGTTTGGTGGCTGGCGCCTGTAACCAGCTACTTGGGAGGCTGAGGCAAGGGAATCGCTTGAACTCAGGAGGCGGAGGTTGCAGTAAGCCGAAATCGCGCCACTGCACTCCAGCCTGGGTGACAGTGTGAGACTCCGCCTCAAAAAAAATTTTATAAGAACCTAATAATTCTAATATGTGTCATAACTTGAAGCCCTGAATCACAATCAATGCTAGCACACCTTGGACAATTCTGATCCACAAAAGTCTAGGACCATGGCTCTAAACCGTTAATATGCATAACAGTCATGTTAGTAAAAATGTCATTTACAAGCCCTGCACTGATTCAATGAGTGGGACCCAGGAATCTGTGTTTTTACTAAGCTGCCAGATGATTCTAATGTGAGTGATCTGCAGATCATGCTTTGATGGAAAAACGATCAAGAAAAATAAAAATAAAAGTTGCAAATAAGGGAATATATTTGCACTCCCCAAATTTCCAACAATAATATATACACAGAGAGCGCTAAAAGAAATTGGGATATTTATTAAGAAAAACAAAAGCCTCAGAAAGAACCTATGGCCAAATATGCCTAAAGTGCTGTCCTAACGTAAAAGATGTAACCTGTTTTTCTCTTTCTCAAGGCAGAACGAGGGTTAGTGAGTAGAAGCCACAGGGATGGAAACGTCAACTCAATATCAGGAAAACCTTTCAAGCTCTAGAGCTGCCCAAACTTTGAGCAGACTGCTCAGATGGGAAGCTTCTCTCATTGCAGGAGTTCAAGCAGAGATGGGATGCCCATCACCAGTGATGACAAGGAAACTGTTGATTTGTTAGCAATTCCCTCAGCTCCTGATAAACCTTGTGTACACCTGCAGTGATGTTCACCGTACTGTAATATCTTGCTAGTGTATCCCTTGCTTCAGTGGTTCATGTTTATATCTGCTGCATGCTGCCTTCTGCATTAAATGCTCAATACATAGTTCCCGTGAATCAAACTTCAGAACCTAATAAATTGAGTTCCAGAATCTGCAAACCTGGAGTTCTGATGGGCTTCCTATAACCTCAAAAGGAAAATCTGGGTTTTACAGCCACCTCTTCTACTATCCACAATGAACCTTTAGCAATTTATCTGCTCTTCTTCAGTAAAGTTTTAAAGTTTCCTTCAATAAAGGTCTTATACTTTTCAAAAAAAACCATTTTTTTTAAGGAACTTTAGTTATTGCTTCTGTGGATGGTGTTTTATTTTTATTTTTATTTTTATTTTGAGACAGGGTCTGGCTCTGTCACCCAAGCTGGAGTGGAGTGCAGTGGCACAGTAGTATTTTTCTTAATTCACATACTAATTGGTTTTTTCTCATGTGTAGGAAAGTCACTGAGGATTGAGTGTTATCTCATATCGTCCATCCTTATGAAATATCTTATTACTTTTCACAGTTTACAGTGGATTTTCCTGGAAGATGATTATAATAGATCATACAGATGGTTAATAAATAATGGAAGCTTTGCTCTCTTTTTCCAGTTTTTTTATATTTCTTCTTTCTGTTCTTTGGATTTTGTATGTACAATGTTGACCACAAGAGATGATAAGACATCATTGTCTTATTCCTCACTTTAGTGGGAATGCAGCTAATGTTTTATCATTAGGTTATTTCTTTTCTTCTCTGCCACTATGTGCACTATGGGTTTCCTAGAGTGGGAAAAGTGATTTCTATAAAACCAAGACAGATATTGGTGGGTGGGGAAAACACAGCTGCAGAACAAGATTAAGGATGAGACAAGGACAAAGAGGCTGGCTCCAAATTCACTGAGAATCTGAGTTTGCACATTTGATGAACCTCTTAGAATTCCACACACTGGCATTATGCCTCTTTCTAATACATGCATGCAGACAAATTAAAATTGCCCTCAAAATATTTATATGAAAATAATTCATGTTTAGAAGCTATATTTAGAAGACTATGTAACCTATATGTCTAGACAAATGGTGTCATCATTCAACCAAATGCTGTCTTCACTTCTATTTTGATCACGGGTTGCATATTTCCAAAGACACTTCTTGTCCAACAGAAAATAGTCAAACACAATTGCAGACATCTCTGCTACTGTGTACACTAGTTAGTACAATTTTAGCAATCAAAACCCTCTAAGAATGTCTTTCAAAAGCATATTTTATTTCATTGGCTACCCATTTGCTTATTTAATAATAAAATTTCATGTAAGTAAAAGGGCCATAAGGATAGGACCAAGCTTGGGAGACCTATGATTCTAAACCATTGAGGCCAGGCTTGGCTGTTTCTAATTCAACTTGGAAAAGTAAAATTCCATTTTGTCAAAAAGACTTTAAAGGAAGGAGGCCCCACAATATCAGAGTGTTGTCATGAACTGGGTCTTCTCAATGTGAATCTTGTAGACTAAGTTCTCTATACCTTTTAGGATCTCAGGGAAGATTTAACAAACAAAACCTAATTTTCAATTTTGAGTATTTTAATCCTTCATAAATCTGAAGAGAATCAGGAACACCTTTCATCAGCAAAAATGATCAATCAATTGATCATCTACTGTTATACAGATACTATGTTAGAGACTATACAGTTCCTAGAGAAGAGGAAGCCATAGTTTCTCCCCTCAAGGAATACTTGATATAACAGGAATTAAATAAGGAATTGTATACTCTAAAGCAGTATGAATGTCATGAGAAATAGTGCTGTAAACAGGCCACTGCTATCCAGCAGAAATAGAGAACAAATGCCCAAGTTGAAGAAATGTGAAAAAGGTATGTTCTGAAAACCATAGGAAGAAGAGTTTGATCCCAATCCTGAGATGAACTTCTTTTAAATTGATTCTTTGTTTGAATAATCAACGGGTACCCAAAGATAGAAGTCAACAGGTGGTTAATAAGAATAGGTCCATCTGATCTAAACTTACTTCCTTTAAAAAAAATGAGTATGAAAATGCCTTCATTTGAAGAAGGAATGTTTTCCATGGTTTGTAGGCAAACTAGAGAAATATGAACAAAATGGTAGAGTTGATAGATTAAAAAATGACTCATCAACTTTATCCAAAAAGTCAAGGTGATCATGGAAAGTTGTAATCTTAACTCTGACTCTAAGTGGCTGGACAAGGCTGAGTTTTGAAGTCAGAAACAGTTGGGTCTGAATTCCAGCTTTGTTGTTTACTACTTGTGTGACTTTGGGCATGTTACTTACCCTAACACTCAATTTTCTCATCTTTAAAATGACAATGATCATAATACCTTACTTCTTTGAGTTATAAAAATTAGATGCAAATGATGGACTTAGGGCTCTCAAATATAGTAACAAACATTCTTTTCTGGAATAATGTTAGGTTTCATAATCATAATCATTATTATTAATAAAATGGAAGGAGGTCTCTAGTGACCTGTCCAGTACTTTTTAAATGTTTGCCTTGGGTGAGGAAAATGAAGGTATGCCTATAAAATTGTAAATTTTATACATGCAGCTAGAAATTTATCTTACATTTTTATGATTTATATTTTGCCCCCATGGTTGAATTTTACAGTTATTTTTATTTAGCTCCATCTCTTCAATACCAGCTGATTGGTTTCTTTTTAAATCCTTAAGCCTGCCCTCTAATATGTTAGTTCTCCCTCAGAGCCACAGAAAAAGTGTCTTGATTTAGTAACATGATACAAGATTATTCCATTTATGGAGATAGGGATGACTCAGAAAACTTGTGGTTGGAGGGTGAGATAGTTTGGATGTTCATCCCCTTCAAATCCCATGTTGAAGTGTAATCTCCAGAGTTGGAGGTTGGGCCTAGTGTGAGGTGTCTGGGTTATGGGGGTGGAGGCCACATGAATGGCTTGGTGCCCTCCTTGCAGTAACAAGCGAATTGTCACTCTACTAGTTATTGTGAGATCTGGTTGTTAAAAAGAGTCTAGCATCTCCCTCCTCTCTTTCTCTCTCTTGCTCCCCTTCTTGCCTTGAGACATGTATGAACCCCCCTTCATCTTCTGCCATGAGTAAAAGCTTCCTGAGGCCTCACCAGAAGCTGAGCCAATGCTGATGCCATGCTCGTACAGCCTGTAGAGCCATTAGACAAATAAACCTCTTTTCCTTGTAAATTACCCAGCCTCAAGTATTCATTTATAGCAACACAAAATGGGCCAATACAGGGGGTAAGTGTATAGAGCTAAGAATTCTGTTTTGGTTGCATCACATTTCATTTAAGATTTCCAAGAGACACCTATATGGGGTTGTCAAGGAAGCAAATTGGATCTTCTCTCTGGATCTCAGAGGAGTGTTATGCCCTGGAGATATTGATCAAAGAGTGAGGTGACAGCATGAAGACTGTATTTAAAGTTATAGATGGTGAATGTATAAAGTAAGAGCATAGTCTGAGAAGAGTATCAAGAGCCAAGTCCTGAAGAACTCCAACAGTTTGAGGCCAGAGAGAGGGGAAGAGCCTCTAAAAGAGACTGGGAAAAAGTTGCTGGTGAGTTAGCAAGAAAACCAGGAAAGTATGGTGTTAAGGAAAATTAAGGTAGGAAGTATTTTAAGAAGGAAGCTAGGCCAACTCTAAGAGGTCAAGTAAGGATACCTTTTCAAAATTTGAAACTTCTGTAAGTCAAAAGTTAACCAAAGTTAAAAAGCAAGCAGGAGATGGGGAGGTGTATTTGCCAATTCTATGACACCAGATGAATATACAGAATATAACAAAGAACACCCAGAAATTAATAAGAAAAATACAACAAAGTTGTCACAAAAAGGGCCAAACACATAAAGATGCACTTTATATAAGAATAAATATAAATAGTATATAACTAATTTAAAAGAGGTTCAATCTGACAAACCGCTAAGTAATGCAAATTAAATGATACAGCAATTACTTTTACACTAACCTAATATTTTTTAATTAAGAAAATATGAAAGATTGATAATATTCAATGTTGGTGAGGAGAACTCACACTCACAGATGAGAATGCAAATTGTTACAGTGTGTTAGGATGCCAATATTATAGTAAACATAAACATTTTAAATGAGCATACCTGTCAATACAGCAATTTCATTTTTGGTAGCTATCTGAAAGAAATACTAGCACATGCACCAAGAAATGTGTTCAAGGGCATTACAAACAGTACAGTTTGCAATGACAAATAATTGGAAATACTTACATGCCCACTAACAGCAAATAATTAAATAAATTTTAATATGTATTTTTAGTACAGAAGATTATGGAACAGCTGAAACAAGTGAGTTAGAGCTATATTTTCCCCAGTGAAAAGATCTTCAAAATGTATTGTTAAAGGATAAAAAAACAAGATGTAGAAAAGTACATATAAAATGATCCCATTTACATAGAGTGAGAAAAAGTTATATTTCTATGGTTTTTATGAATGTCTGTAAATACATTGAAATGATCAGCAGACTAATGTTAACTATTGCCTCTGGGAACAGGGGTAGGATTAGCAGGATAAAAGCTGATACTGATTTTCATTGTTTTGGTTTTATATTTCTTCAATTCATCTGAATTTGCTAATGATCTACTTGTGGGATTTTTAAGAAAAATGCAAAAATTGTCTTAGTTGTGTTAAGTTAAAACAATTGATCAGAAGAATTAATTTTAGAATTTGTTAATTCATCAAGAGTTTAAGTTCCTATTACATATCAGACAATATGTAGAGTATTTGGTATACGGCAGTGAATAAAATAGGCAGAATTCCTGTCCTTTGTAAGATTTAACCTCTAGCAGATGCAGGTTTCAACTATTCTGTATAGGCTACCCTTACTCTTATAAGATTCTCCACTCCCACAGTAAAACATCACAGACCAACTTCCTGCACTTTTCATGAACTCATGAAGAAACTTATGGAAGACTGTAATCCCAGCACTTTGGGAGGCTGAGGTGGGTGGATCACAGGGTCAGGAGATCGAGACCATCCTGGCTAACATGGTGAAACCCTGTCTCTACTAAAAATACAAAAAAATTAGCCAGGCATGGTGGCAGGTGCCTGTAGTCCCAGCTACTGGGGAGGATGAGGAAAGAGAATGGCGTGAACCTGGGAGGCAGAGCTTGCAGTGAGCCCAGATCACACCATTGCACTCCAGCCTGGGCGACAGAGCGAAACTCTGTCTCAAAAAGAAAAAAAAAAAAAAGACTGAACAAAAAGCAGCAGAAAACTCTGCAGACTTAAATGTCCCTGTCTGACAACTTTGAAGAGAGTAGTGGTTCTCCTAGCACAGAGTTTGAGATCTGAGAATGGACAGACTGCCTCCTCAAGTGGGTCCCTGACCCCCAAGTAGCCTAACTGGGAGGCACCTCCAAGTGGGGGCAGACTGATACCTCACACAGCCAGTTACCTCTCAGAGATGAAGCTTCCAGAGGAACGATCAGGCAGCAACATTTGCTGTTCAGCAATACTCGCTATTCTGCAGCCTCTGCTGCTGATACCCAGGCTAACAGGTTCTGGAGTGTTAACTCCAGCAAACTCCAACAGACCAGCATCTGAAGGTCCTGACTGTTAGAAGGAAAACTGAAAAACAGAAAGGACATCCACACCAAAACCCCATCTGTACGTCACTATGATCAAAGACAAAGGTAGATAAAACCACAAAGATGGGGAAAAAACAGAGCAGAAAAGCCGAAAGTTCTAAAAATCAGAGCACCTCTCCCCCTACAAAGGAGTGCAGCTCCTCACCAGAAATGGAACAAAACTGGATGGAGAATGACTTTGACAAGTTGAGAGAAGGCCTCAGATGATCAAACTTCTCTGAGCTAAAGGAGAAGTTTAAACCCATCGCAAAGAAGCTAAAAACCTTGCAGAAAGATTAGACCAATGGCTAACTAGAATAACCAGTGTGGAGTAGTCCTTAAATGACCTAATGGAGCTGAAAACCAAGGCACGAGAACTACGTGACAAATGCACAAGCCTCAGTAGCCGATTCGATCAACTGGAAGAAAGGGTATCAGTGATTGAAGATCAAATGAATGAAATGAAGTGAGAAGAGAAGTTTAGAGACAAAGAGTAAAAACAAACAAACAAAGCCTCCAAGGAATATGGGACTATGGGAAAAGACCAAATCTACGTCTGATTGGTGTACCTGAAAGTGACGGGGAGAATGGAACCAAGTTGGAAAACACTCTGCAGGATATTATCCAGGAGAACTTCCCCAACCTAGCAAGGCAGGCCAACATTTGAATTCAGGAAATACAGAGAATGCCACAAAGATACTCCTCGAGAAGAGCAACTCCAAGACACATAATTGTCAGATTCACCAAAGTTGAAATGAAGGAAAAAATGTTAAGGGCAGCCAGAGAGAAAGGTCAGGTTACCCACAAAGGGAAGCCCATCAGACTAACAATGGATCTCTCCGCAGAAACTCTACAAGCCAGAAGAGGGTGGGGGCCAATATTCAACATTCTTAGAGAAAAGAATTTTCAACCCAGAATTTCATATCCAGCCAAACTAAGCTTCATAAGTGAAGGAGAAATAAAATACTTTACAGACAAGCAAATGCTGAGAGATTTTGTCACCACCAGGCCAGCCCTAAAAGAGCTCCTTAAGGAAGCACTAAACATGGAAAGGAACAATCAGTACCAGCCACTGCAAAAACATGCCAAATTGTAAAGACTATCAAGGCTAGGAAGAAACTGCATCAACTAACGAGCAAAATAACCAGCTAACATCATAATGACAGGATCAAATTCACACATAACAATATTAACCTTAAATGTAAATCGGCTAAATGCGCCAATTAAAAGACACAGACTGGCAAATTGGATAAAGAGTCAAGACCCATCAGTGTGCGGTGTTCAGGAGACCCATCTCACATGCAGAGACACACATAGGCTCAAAATAAAGGGATGGAGGAAGATCTACCAAGCAACTGGAAAACAAAAAAAAGGCAGGGCTTGCAATCCTAGTCTCTGATAAAACAAACTTTAAACCAACAAAGATCAAAAGAGACAAAGAAGGCCATTAAATAATGGTAAAGGGATCAATTCAACAAGGAGAGCTAACTATCCTAAATAGATATGCACCCAATACAGGCGGACCCAGATTCAAAAAGCAAGTCCTTAGAGACCTACAAAGAGACTTAGATTCCCACACAATAATAATGGGAGACTTTAACACCCCACTGTCAACATTAGACAGATCAATGAGACAGAAAGTTAACAAGGATATCCAAGAATTAAACTCAGCTCTGCATCAAGCAGACCTAATAGACGTCTACAGAACTCTCCACCCCAAATCAACAGAATATACATTCGTCTCAGCACCACATCACACTTATTCCAAAATTGTCCACATAGTTGGAAGTAAAACACTCTTCAGCAAACGTAAAAGAAAGAAATTATAACAAACTGTCTCTCAGACCACAGTGCAATCAAACTAGAACTCAGGATTAAGAAACCCACTCAAAACTGCTCAACTGCATGGAAACAGAACAACCTGCTCCTGAATGACTACTGGGTACATAACGAAATGAAGGCAGAAATAAAGATATTCTTTGAAACCAGTGAGAACAAAGACATGACATACCAGAATCTCTGGGACACATTTAAAGCAGTGTGTAGAGGGAAATTTATAGCACTAAATGCCCACAAGAGAAAGCAGGAAAGATCTAAAATTGACACCCTAACATCACAATTAAAAGAACTAGAGCAGCAAGAGCAAACACATTCAAAAGCTAGCAGAAGGCAAGAAATAACTAAGATCAGAGCAGAACTGAAGGAAATAGAGACACAAAAAACCCTTCAAAAAATCAATGAATCCAGGAGCTGGTTTTTTGAAAAGATCAACAAAATTGATAGACCGCTAGCAAGACTAATAAAGAAGAAAAGAGAGAAGAATCAAATAGACGCAATAAAAAATGATTAAGGGGATATCACTACCGATCCCACAGAAATACAAACTACCATCAGAGAATACTATAAACACCTCTACGCAAATAAACTAGAAAACCTACAAGAAATGGATAAATTCCTGGACACATACACCCTCCCAAGACTAAACCAGGAAGAAGTTGAATCCCTGGATAGACCAATAACAGGTTCTGAAATTGAGGCAGTAATTAATAGCCTACCAACCAAAAAAATCCAGGATCAGATGGATTCACAGTCGAATTCTACCAGAGGTACAAGGAGGAGCTGGTACCATTCCAATATCCCTGATGAACACTGATGCAAAAATCCTCAATAAAATACTGGCAAACCAAATCCAGCAGCACATCAAAAAGCTTATCCACCATAATCAAGTGGGCTTCATCCCTGGGATGCAAGGCTGGTTCAACATATGCAAATCAATAAACGTAATCCAGCATATAAACAGAACCAAAGACAAAAACCACATGATTATCTCAATAGATGCAGAAAAGGCCTTTGACAAAATTCAACAGCCCTTCATGGTAAAAACTCTCAATAAGTTAGGTATTGATGGGACATATATCAAAATAATAAGAGCTATTTATGACAAACCCACAGCCAATATCACACTGAATGGGCAAAAACTGGAAGCATTCCCTTTGAAAACTGGCACAAGACAGGAATGCCCTCTCTCACCACTCCTATTCAACATAGTGTTGGAAGTTCTGGCCAGGGCAATCAGGCAGGAGAAAGAAATAAAGGGTATTCAATTAGGAAAAGAGGAAGTCAAATTGTCCCTGTTTGCAGATGACATGACTGTATATTTAGAAAACCCCATCGTCTCAGCCCAAAATCTCCTTAAGCTGATAGGCAACTTCAGCAAAGTCTCAGGATACAAAATCAATGTGCAAAAATCACAAGCATTCTTATACACCAATAACAGACAAACAGAGGGCCAAATCATGAGTGAACTCCCAATCACAATTGCTTCAAAGAGAATAAAATACCTAGGAATCCAACTCACAAGGGATGTGAAGGACCTCTTCAAGGAGAACTACAAACCACTGCTCAACGAAATAAAAGAGGACACAAACAAATGGAAGGACATTCCATGCTCATGGATAGGAAGAATCAATATCGCGAAAATGGCCATACTGCCCAAGGTAATTTATAAATTCAATGCCATCCCCATCAAGCTACCAATGACTTTCTCCAGAGAATTGGAAAAAACTACTTTAAAATTCATATGGAACCAAAAAAGAGCCCGCATTGCCAAGTCAACCCTAAGCCAAAAGAACAAAGCTGGAGGCATCATGCTACCTGACTTCAAACTATACTACAAGGCTACAGTCAGCAAAACAGCATGGTACTGGGACTAAAACAGAGATATAGACTAATGGAATACAACAGAGCCCTCAGAAATAATACCACACATCTACAACCATCTGATCTTTGACAAACCTGACAAAAACAAGAAATGCGGAAAGGATTCCCTATATAATAAATGGTGCTGGGAAAACTGGCTAGCCATAGGTAGAAAGCTGAAACTGGATCCCTTTCTTACACCTTATAAAAAATTAATTCAAGATGGATTAAAGACTTAAATGTCAGACCTAAAACCATAAAAACCCTAGAAGAAAACCTGGGCAATACCATTCGGGACATAGGAATGGGCAAGGACTACATGTCTAAAACACCAAAAACAACGGCAACAGAAGCTAAAATTGACAAATGGGATCTAATTAAACTAAAGAGCTTCTGCACAGCAAAAGAAACTACCATCAGAGTGAACAGGCAACCTACAGAATGGGAGAAAATTTTTGCAATCTACCCATCTGACAAAGGGCTAATATCCAGAATCTACAAAGAACTCAAACAAATTTACAAGAAAAAAACAAACAACCCCATCAACAAGTGGGTGAAGGATATGAACAGACACTTCTCAAAAGAAGACATTTATGCAGCAAACAGGCACATGAAAAAATGCTCATCATCACTGGCCGTCAGAGAAATGCAAATCAAAACCACAATGAGATACCATCTCACACCAGTTAGAATGGCAATCATTAAAAAGTCAGGAAACAACAGGTGCTGGAGAGGATGTGGAGAAATAGGAACACTTTTACACTGTTGGTGGGACTGTAAACTAGTTCAACTATTGTGGAAGACAGTGTGGCGATTCCTCAAGGATCTAGAACTAGAAATACCATTTGACCCAGCCATCCTGTTACTGGGTATATACCCAAAGGACTATAAATCATGCTGCTATAAAGACACATGCACACGTATGTTTATTGCGGCACTATTCACAATAGCAAACACTTGGAACCAACCC
The DNA here is from genome assembly GCF_000001405.40 of Homo sapiens. Taxonomy (NCBI): domain Eukaryota; kingdom Metazoa; phylum Chordata; class Mammalia; order Primates; family Hominidae; genus Homo; species Homo sapiens. The sequence goes on from NC_000005.10 coordinate 148,507,125, forward strand.
AAATGTCCATCAATGATAGACAGGATTAAGAAAATGTGGCACATATGCACCATGGAATACTATGCAGCCATAAAAAAGGATGAGTTCACGTCCTTTGTAGGGACATGGATGAAGCTGGAAACCATCATTCTCAGCAAACTATCGCAAGGAGAAAAAACCAAACGCCGCATATTCTCTCTCATAGGTGGGAATTGAACAATAAGAACATTTGGACACAGGAAGGGGAACATCACACTCTGGGGCCTGTCGTGGGGTGGGGGGAGGGGGGAGGGATAACATTAGGAGATATACCTAATGTAAATGACGAGTTAATGGGTGCAGCACACCAACATGGCACATGTATACATATGTAAGAAACCTGCACGTTGTGGACATGTACCCTAGAACTTAAAGTATAATAAAAAAATAAATAAAATAAAATGGTAATTGTACTCATACCATATAAGTTTCTTCAAAAAAAAAAAAGAAATTTATGGAAGAAAATATGGAGTGTACATCCATATGCCATCTCTAAATTGTCTCTTTGCTTTACAATGATCCTGCAGATTACCAGACGCAGCAGGATTTTAACAATACATCTTATTTAGTAAAATAGGCTTTCTTGGGCTGCCCTGGAAACTCCCAAACTCTCTATGAAAAAAACCATCAACTGCTAAACAACTGACTTAGCAAATGTATTACCAGAGCATACGCTGTTTGTAAGTTGTCAACAGCCTGTACTTAGGCAACTGCTAGATTAAATAGCTAAAAACTATTTGGCACCCACACAGAAGTTCTTGTACACACACTTTATGGTTGAATTCTTTCTATGACACTCCTGAAGGCATAATAATTAAGAGAGAATGTCGGTTTCTAGGAGTATCCTTTGGGGTCTTTCCACCAGCTGAAACCACAACACCATGCTAGGCTTTAGCTACAAATCTGCCTACACTTGTAGCAAAAAATGGAATTCATGCTCTGAGCAGCCTCTGAGGCACAGGATTTATATTTTATAGCAATTCTTATTTTTCTTTTCTTCTTTTCTTACACATGCAAATGAAAATATCCCCCAATTTTCAGCCGCCAGAACAGCTGAATACTAATCATCATCAGAAAAATTAAATGCTTGTTTCAAAGAAGGAACTACTCCTTAGAAATTCCTGCGCATCTCAGGGCAAAGAAAAAAATGTCACTGGCAATCCTGTTTTGCTACAGGATGAATGTATTTATCACACATAGCTTTGCATAGCTGAGAACAATTCTAGCCCAGGGTGACCAGAAAAGTCTCAGGGTTTGGAAAGAGGTACCATAACTAGACACTGAACATTTAACTCCAAAGTCACTTCCACCTCCATCCACTTATGTGACCTTGGGGAAAAAAAATCGCTGGACCTGTCGGTATTCTCTTATATTTCATTTCCTTCCTTGTACTGTTCTATCTGCCTGAAATGGCTTCCCTGCCTTCTCCTCCATGTCTCAAATTCTTAGGAAATACTGTTCTGTGTTCTGTAAAGCCTTCCCTGAGCTTCTTAAGCCAAATCAGCTTCCTTTCCTTTCTACCCCAATTCTAGATTGCCCATACATCCATTATATCACATGGTATTACTGTTGTATATTTATTATGGTATTTATTTTAGTTTATCATGTTATTTATGGCCATATTAGGTTCTCAGGCACTACGTTATTACTATTGGTCCTAATATTAAATAAAACTTCTAGTACCATTGTGAGTGCTTACTGTATGTCATGCCCTATATGAATATATTATCTCTACTCATCAGAAAACACACATGAGATGAGAATTAACATTCTCATCTGTTTTAAAGGTGAGGAAAGTAAAACCAAGAGAGAGTATGCAGATGGCTAGTAGGAGCACCGAGAATCAAGACAAAACCTATTTTACTTTAAAATCCATGCTTTTAACCACTACTCTAAAGTAACACCTTTAAATAATAATAGATAACATTTACTAAATACTTGTTAAGTGTCAGGCTCTGTACCGTGCACTCCACATATACTAGCTAATTTGATTCTCATAAAAACTCTGTGATGTAGATATAGTGATTATTATCTTAAGTTTTTAAAAAATGAAATTGAGGTTAATAATGTTTAAACGACCTGCCCAAGGTCACAGAACTATGGGGACTTGATTAGAATTCAAGTCAATCTCCCTCCAGAGCCTGAGTTCTTAACCATTGCTGTATTCCATGACCAGATAGTAGAATCTTTTATAATCTTTGCAAACTCTATGCAGGTTTCAGGGATAACCCCTTTGGAAACAGAAAACTGGAGCATTACCCCTTCTGAGTAATACAAATCAACCAAATCAATGAACTCCCTTAGTATACTCACCTTAGTACATGTGTGGATCCATTAATGGTTGTGGTTGAACAAGGGACAGTCTGGCCCAGAATGGAAGGTCTTCGGTAGCGCTCATCATCACAGCAGAGGATGATGAGGAAGGCACGTCTAAAAGACTTATTCAAGAAGGCGTAGAGAAAAGGGTTCAACCCGGAATTGATATAGCCGAGCCAGAGGAAAGCAGTCCACACCTGCCCAGGGACAGTGTAGTCTATGAAAGGATCCACAATATTGGTGACAAAGAATGGTGCCCAGCAGAGGCAGAAGCAACCCATGATGATGCACAGGGTCTTGGCTGCTTTGGTCTCTGTCCTCATGCGATGAGTGCTATGCTGGTCTGCCGACTGAGGCCTGCTCTCGGAGGAGGCTCCTGCCCGTTGTAACATCTGGATCTGATGGGCATGCTCCTTAGCTGTGACATAGATGCGGTAATAGGCCAGCACCATGAGGAGAAATGGGATGTAGAAGGCCACCACAGAGCAGGTGATGGCGTAGGGCTTGTTGACCATGAAGACACAGTACGTAGAGTTAGAGTTCTGGTTGAACTTCCTCTTTTCTATCTGAGAGTTGGAGGGAGAGAGGAAATGAGGAAAGGAGGTAAAAAGGAAAGAAAAAGTGAAAAAGAAGTGGGAAAAATGGGGAAGAGTGTGAGAAAAGAAAAAGGGAAAAGGAAGAAAGTGGAGGATTGGAAGATAAAAAGAAGGGGAAGAGAACAAGGAAAGAAAATGGGAGAATAAAAGAGTAAAGGGGAAAGGAAAGAAAAGAAAGTTTATCAGCAAAGCTTTGGTTTTCTTATAAGCCTACAATACAAAGAACCTTGATGACAGAAAAGGAACATGATCATATCCCAGGGCCCAGAGAACTTATCTGTACAAGAGGAACTGAAGGCTCCAGGACAGAAGAGAAATAAAATAGAGACAGAATCATTTATTACATTTACCCAACCAGAAGTGAAATTCTGCCTCTGTTCTCCCTTCCCTGTCTGCTTGCACATAACAGATCAGTCTCTTAACAGAATGTCTGCAGATCAGTAACATTAGAGTCACCTGCAGTACATATTATAAGTGCAGATTCCTGCCCACTCCCTGCTGCCACCCCTCCACTCTCATCCCTGAAAGATCTACTAATTCTAAATCTCTGGGCAATGAAGCTCAGATATATGCATTTTAAGCAAGTTTTTTCCAATAACTCTAAAGCTCATTAATATTTGAGAACCATTGCTCTATACTGTGCTAAACTTAGCTCTTTGGGGGATGCCATGGGGCACTTTTCTAGAGTCATTTCTCTACGTATTGAGTTCCCTGATGAAGGTTTGTCTCATTTAGATAACACAGAGTAACACAGAGTAACAGCCTGTGTTATAGTGTAACAGCTTGTGTTTTAGTGTAACAGCCAAGAGGGGCCTTAGGGCTTGGGGGAAAGAAAGGGTAGATATTTTAATGGAAGAAAAGAATATAAAGATTGGGTAGGGCAAGGTCATGAGGGACTTTGGAACCCAACCAGAGTTAGAACCTAGACAACACTCAATGCTTCAACTTACTCTCCTCCCAGTCTCTCCTGAACCCACTCCATTTAGGTGTTCACCCTAATCACTCCATTGAAAATGCTCTGGTCAAGGCTATCAATGACCTCTGTGTTGCCATTCCTCCTTTTAAATGAGCCATCTACACCTTTGACATAGCTGAACCTTCCATCCTTCTTCTTTTTTCGAATATTTTATTGAACCAAAATACGTATAAAGTACATAAAGTGTATATACAGATGAATCAATTATTACATAGTAAATATGCCTGTGTAATTATTATTCAAATCAAACTATAGAATATTATCAACAACCCAGCAGCCTCCCAAATGCCTTCTCCTAGTCATTAATATGCCCAAACATAGCCACTCATCTACATCATCATAATGTAATTTTATTTGTTTTCCAACTAAGTATCAATATAATAATAAAACACACAATCTGTATCTTCTTTAATATTGTATCACTCACATTATTGCATGTACAGGCAGTTTATTCTTTTTCATTGTAGTATAATATTGCATTATAGGAATAAACTACAATATTACATATTCCAATATTGACAGACATTTGAGTCATTTTTGGGTTTGTGCTATTTTGCATAAAACTGTTATGAATATTCTTGTGGAAGTTTGTGTGTGTGTGTGTGTGTGTGTGTGTGTGTGTGTGTGTATTTTCATCTCTCTTAGGTATATACCCAGGACTGAAATTGCTGTATCATAGCTTGGGTATATACAGCCAAACAGTTCCCAAAGGGACTGTATCAATTTATATTTCCACCACGAGAGCAGGAGAGTTCCAGTTACTCCACATGCTCGCCAACATTTGGAATTTATTGTCAGTATGTAGTGGTATCTCATTGTGGATTTGTTGATGATGTTGGTAAAGTTTATTTGATTACATAAGTAAAATACTCCATGTGTTTTTGACTCTTTCCATTGGTTTAGATTAGGATTTGTCTTATGTTTTGTTACTGAAAAGTGTCCTGGGCATCCATATCCACATAATTATAGTACATTGACATCACTCCTTTTGGAAAGCATGTGAGACTGAGTTTCTGCATCTGTTTCCTGATTAGCACTCTGGTTCCTTCAATGGGACGAGAGCATTGCCTTCAGAATGGTAAAATATTGCCTAGATCTTGTCAGTCCCAATTCTTGCAGCTGTATCTTCAGTTTCAATCTGAGTAAGTCACCTCAAACTCTCAGTGTGCCCTGGTTTCTGCATCTTTGTTCCCTGTTTACTATGTCCTGGCTATTTCATTGTAATTTTGAATTAAATCCAATAAACTTGAATCAAATCTAAGTTTATTACAACCCTTCAGTTTCTTATTGCAGTTTTACTGTGCATCTCCTGAGAACTAATAATGTTAATCACTGTTTTGCCCTTTCGATATCCTGTCTTTTGAATTGATTATTCAGGTATTTTCCCATTTTAAAAATTAAGTTGTAACTCTCTTTCTTATTGATTTTTAATATAATAGTTCTTTTATATTCTAGATGTCTTTTGTCAGATTTATGTGTTGCACATATATCACTCTGTGGCATGGCTTTTCACTCTAGTATCTTGTGATAGAAAGAAGCTCTGAAAGAACCTATACTTTTGGTTAGTACTTGTATCTTGTTTATGAAATCTTTGTTTACTCCTAAGTATAAAGATACTGGCCGGGCGCGGTGACTTACATCTGTAATCCCAGCACCTTGTGAGGCCGAGGTAGGCAAATCACTTGAGGCCAGGAGTTTAAGACCAGCCTGGCCAACACGGCAAAACACTGTCTCTATAAAAAAATACAAAAATTAGCCAGGCGTGGTGGCAGGCACCTGAATTCTAGCTCCTAGGGTGGCTGAGGCACTAGAATCGCTTGAACCCGGGAGGCAGAGGTTGCAGTGAGCTAAGATCACGCCACTGCACTCCAGCCTGGGTGACAGAGTGAGACTCAGTCTCAAAGATATTGTCAAGAGATGTAAAGACATTCTTTTACATGATCAGTTAGCATATCTTTATTGTGTTAATTTTTATGTCTTTTTTTTTTACAGGGTCATGCTCTGTCACCCAGGCTGGAGTGCAGTTGTGCTCACTACAACCTCTGACTCCCAGGCTCTAGCAATTCTCCCACCTCAGCCTCCCTAGTAGCTGGGACTACAGGTGTGAGCCACCACCCCTAGTTAATTTTTAAATATTTTTTGTAAAGACAGGGTTTCATTGTGTGGCTCAGACTGGTCTCAAACTCTAGGCTCAAGCTATCAGCCCATCTCAGCTTCCCAAAGTGCTGGGATTACAGGCCTGAGCCACTGTGCCTGACCAGTTTTTACATTTAATGCTTCTACCCACCAGAAATTAGTTTTTCTGTATGGTATGATGTACAAGATATGGATATTGAATTGACCCCTGCAGCATGTATTGAAAGGATTATCTTTTCCTAGTTGCACTGCAGTGTAAACTTGGTCATAAATCAGGGGACTGTATATGCATATGGCTCCACGTTTGGATTTCCTATTTGTTCTCTTGAGTTGTCTCTCTCTGCATGTACTGCTTTAACTTCTATAACTTCATACATCTTAGACATCTAGTTATAAAAGTCTTTGAATTGTGGTTTCTTTTCTTGAAGACTCTTGGATAATGTTTTATCTCAGTATTTCCATATAAAATTTAAATTAATATCTCAATTTCTATAAAAATCTTCTAGGATTTTGATTGGAATGAGAGTAAAATGATTAAGGGAAACTGACATCTTTACAATGTTAAGTCTTTGAATTAATTAACATGGTAATTCCTTCCCTTTGTCTTTTTAAGTATATTTCAATAATACTTTTTAATTTTATAATTTTCTTTGTGTCTTGCACATCTTTTGTTAGATTTGTTTCTAAGTATTTTATGCTTTTACTCTGTTGTAAATGGTACCATGTTAAAATCCTGATTCCTAATTGTTGCTAATATGTAGAACTTGGTGAGGATTTTTATTGTAAGCTGGCTATGTATTCAGCAACTTTGCTAAGTTAGATATCAACTAAAATTCATCTTTACATTCTTTTGAATTTTCTCCAGGAAATACTCATATGATCTGCAAATAATGGCAGTTACATTTTTTTCTCTTTCCAATCCTAATATCACTTTCTCTTGCTTTATTGAGCTTGATAGGGCCTCCCATCTAATTTTGAATAAAAATGAGAGTAGTTGACACCTTGTTTCACTCCCAGTTTTAGGGGATGAGCCTTCAATAATTTACTAAGTATGATATTTGCTATAAATTGTATGTCAATGCCCTCTACTTGGTTAAGGAAACTACATTCTATTCTTGGTTTGATGAGATTTTTAAAAAATCGTGAATGGGTATTGAATTTTGTCAAAGCATTTTTGGCAGTAACAAAATGAACATGTGGGTTTTCTCCCCTTTTTTTATTGATGCAATGAATTACATTGATTGCATTACAATTCCTGGAATGTCTTATTTGTACTGGACCCTGTGACACACTAGTATTTTTCTTAAGGATTGAAGGACATTTCCACCAACTATAAACACTGCCTGCTGACAGGTCTTAGTCATCAACCTTCTCTAGAAATAGCTCTTGACTGAAGAGAACTGCTTAACCCAATGTCACTTACCCTTCTTGGGATCAATCTGCATCCAGTGTGAATATACACATGCATGAAGATATGAAGAATAGACACCTATATGATATACTCACAAACATGCTATTTTATTCCTGTACATATTCAGTATCTTGTTTTATAGACTATTATAAGGTTATCATGTATCATCCTCTTGAATTGATATTTTTATCATTATGAAATATTTCTACCTCAAGAAATATTATTTTCCTTAAATTTTATTCTATCACTAATAATAGTAGAGTAACACCAACTTTCCTTGACTTATCACTTGCATAGTGTATGTATTTCTATTTTTTTATTTTCAATTTTTCTGCCACTTTATATTTAATGGTCCTCTCTTACAAGCAGCATATATTTGTATTTTGTTTTGATGCAGTCTGACAACTTTGTCTTTTAGCATCTATTCTTTAAATAATTTAATATTTACTAAAATTGCAAATTGATTTACATTTGTCTATAATCTTACTGTTATCTATTAATCTTTTCTGTTTCTTGGTTCCTTGTTTCCATATTTATTGCTTATTTTCAGAATAATACCTGTTTGTATTAACACATTACCTCTCTCCCTATTAGCTTATTGGATATATATTCTTTTATTATCTTTATTTTAGGGGCTACAACTCATTACAGTCTTTTTCATACATTTGCCATTTCCTTGGCAATGCAAAGATCCCAAACAGCCCATGCCCCACGCCTGCCTTTTATGCTATTGTTTTCATGCATTTTAATCCTACATATATTTGAAAACCCACAAGACATTAATATTATTGTTATTTTAATAGTCAACGTTCTCTTACACTATCCACATATTTATCATTTCCAGTGCTCTGCACTCTGTCCTGCATTATGGTGTTTCAATCTGGGATTATTTTCTTTTTGACTGAAAAATTCCCATAAAAGTCACAATACAAAAACCTGATGTGGAAAAATTCCCTTCGTTTTTGTTTGCCTGAAAACGTCTTAATATCATCTTAATGTTTAAAGCATATTTTCATTGGGTATAGAATTCTAAGTTGTAGATTTTCAACATGTCATTCCATTGTCTTCTCACTTCTTTCATTTTATTGCATGGTCAGCTGTAAGTCTTATTTTCCCTGTTAAGTTTAATTTGTCATTTTTCTCTAATTACTTTTGAGATTTATCAACTTGTCTTTGATTTTCAGCAATTTTTTAAATGAATTTTCTAGATATAGTTTTCTTCTTTATTTAACCTGCTGGGGTTTTGTAGAGTTTCTTGAATCTCTGACTGATGGCTTTTATCTTTTTGGAAAATTCTTAGGCACTATTTCTACAAATATTACATCTGCCCCATTCTCTCTCTCTGAATTCAAATAGAATACTGATTACATGGATGTTAGAACTTTTTTGTATTATATATATATGTAACATATATATATATACACATATACATATATGTATGGACACACACACATATATTCTGATATGATACATATATATACATATATATCAGAATGGTCTGTAATAAAATTTTATCCATTTATCTCTATGTGCTTCAATCAATATTTTATTACAAGGTTATGGTATAACATCCTCTTGAATTGATATTGTTATCATTATGAAAAAATGATATTACCTAAATTCCAGTTTACTACAGGTGTTCTCAGATATGTCAAATCTACTATTAAATTTATCATTATACTTATTTATTTCAGTGTATTTATTAGTTGCAGTATTTCCATTCAATTCCCCCCTCTTTTTTTTTTTTTTTTTTTTTTTTTGAGACTAGGTCTTGCTGTGTCACCCAGGCTGGAGTGCAATGGCACAATCTCGGCTCACTGCAACCTCCACCTCATGGGTTCAAGCGATTCTTCTGCCTCGGTCTCCTGAGTAGCTGGGATTAAAGGCACATTCCACCATGCCTGGCTAATTTTTGTATTATTAGTAGAGATGGGGTTTTACCATATTGGCCAGGCTGGTCTTGAACTCCTGACCTCATGATCTGCCCGCCTTGGCCTCCCAAAGTGCTGGGATTACAGGCGTGAGCCACCGCACCTGGCCAAAAATTCCCTTTTTTTTTTTGTAGATGCTCCTTATCTAATTACTCCATTATCTAGATTGCCTATGAGACTGTTTCTCTTGTCTTTCTGTGTTCATGGTTTTTGGCCATTTAGTCTTGCTTCCTACAGGGTCTGGTGACTTAATTAAAGGACACACATTGTGTATAAAAAAGTACAGTTGCTCTGGATGGTAGTAGCCTATTCCAGAAATAATTTAATTTTCTTCTGGCAAGCAGATAGAATATGAAAAGAACACCTCAATCATGTTTAGGTTATGTTTAATGCATTACTTTCAATGGCAAAAACCACAATTACTTTTACACAGACCTTATATGACTCAGTAAAGGCCCCAAAGGAAATAGTAGAGGTCTTCTTTTTCTTTTTGAGAGTGTAGCTACTAAGTCTTATTTGTCTTGGTTACTTTCCAATCTTTCAAAGAATATTTTACTTAATCTTCATATTTTGTATTTAATTCAGTATGTTTTATTTAGCTTTGATAGTCATGCTTATGACAGTTCCCGCCTTATCTAGAACCCAATTCTCTCTCCTTCCTTATAATATGTTTTAAGGCATATTTGCTTCCAAGACAATTTTCTCTTTCTTTGTTTTCTTCCTCACTGGCTGTTCCTTCCAACTGTCCTTTACTGCCCTTCGTTCCTTAGACCTCTTCTATTCTGTATCTACCTGCATTCCTCAGGTGATTTCATCTAGTCATATGGATTTAAATGGCATCTAATCTTTGAGAATGGTCCACTTTTTTTTTTCTTTCTGATCGGGACCTCCTAGGAACTGCAGAATTTGATATCAAGCTCCTTACTGGACATCTCCAATTGCATATCTAATAGGTATCTCAAATAAGTAAAAAAGCCAAGTGTTTGACTCTCCACACCCTATAAACTTACACACAGTATTCTCATCTCGATTGATGGTTACTCACTCTAATCTTCTAGTTGCTCTGTCCAAAATTTTGGGTCATGTTTGGCTTAGGTTTTCCTTTCACATTCCTCTTCTAATTTTTCAAAAAAAAAAAAAAATCCTGTTGGTTAAATCCTCAAAATAGATCCAGATTCTAAATTACAATCTCGATTGTTATCACTGAGGTTGGAGTACCATTGTCTCTCACCTGTCAGATTACTTCAATAGACTCCCTTACAGTCTGCTTTTTAACAGAAAAACCAGAAAGATTCTTTAACAATATAATTCAGGTCATGTTACTCATTTGCTCAATACTCTGCAATGGCTTCCCATTTTCCTCATAGTAAAAGTCAATGGTCTTAAAATAACCTGAAAAGTCCTACACGATCTTTCTCCTATATATTTTTTTTTACTTCCTCTCCTACATTTCCCTCCCTCATTTACTCTGCAACAGCCACCCTAACCTTGATATGTTAGGAATATTCTACCATAGCACTTTGCACTTGCTATTTTTCTGGCCTGGTATATTCTCCAAGATATCCACAAGTACAACTCCCCAACCTCCTTAAAGTTGTAACTGAAACATCACCTTCTCAATAAAGCCTAGTTTAACACCCTATTTAATATTACAATCTGCTATCCGGTTCACCTGCTTTTTCATAGTACTTACCATCTCCTAACATCCTAGATATCTGCTTATTTTTAATCTCCTCTACTTATTTTCATCTCATCACTTATTGTCTGCCTCTCTTTGTTAGAATATAAACTTTACAAGGATGTGGGTCATTGTCTATACTGTTCAATAATGTACCCTAAGCGCCTGAATTAGATTCTCAAATATGGTTGGGGCTCGATAAATAATTAATTATAGAGCAAAAGAATATGTAAAATCTGACAATTTCTCACCACCTCAAATTGCTATCATCCTAGTCCAAGTTAGCGTTAGCATCATCACTTGCCAGGATAATTGTAATTCCTTCCCAAAAGTTTTCACTATTTTCTGCCATTCCACAGTCATTCTCTATAGAGTAGCCAGAATGATTCTTTTAAAACATAGGGCAAATAATGTCATTCCTCTCACCCAAACCCTCAAAAGCTTCTTCTATCACTCTGAGTAGCCACAGTCTGACTCCAGGCTACCTCTCTGACCTCTACTTTTCTTACCAATTTCCTCCTTGCTCACTGCTGTCTGTAATCTTCTAGGCCATTCCTTGAACTACCCAAGCATGCTCCCACTCCAGGGCCTTTATGATTATTGCAATTTTGTTCCAAAACACTTTTTTTCTTAGTGCTTACATGACTTACTTTTCCTCTTCCTGCAGGACTCTGCTCCAGCAATATTTTATTAAGGAAGGTGAATGTCATGTGTAAATCACTCACTTTTTACTTGTTTTTGTGTGTGTTTTTTTAAATAAAATGTAACACCTGAAATATATCGTACTTTCTCCTCACTAGATTTTAAATGCCATATGAACTGAAATTTTTTTTACCATTAATTTCTCAATTGCCTATGGAACATAGTGGGCATTCAATTATTTCTTGAATGAATAAATAAATAAATAGTGCAGCCATTACGAGCTTAGACTTTGAAGTCGTATAATTCCCTTTATAAAATGAATATTAAACATAGTAATATTGTGTTGGTTAGATGATATTGAAACATGTGAAGAATTTAGTATATTGTCTATAAATATTTAATAAATGGTAGTGATGATGGAAAGAGAAAGCAGGGTCTAGGTTTGGGAACATAAATGAGAAAATTATTATGTGAACCCTTTGAATTTTTAGGTGGTTTCTTTCCCATTATGTTAACAACCCTGCATTGGGTTGGTGTGGTTACCAATTTGTAAAATTTGGGGATGGATTAGGACATTTCTAGCAAGCTTAGCTTTAAAAGCACAGCTGATTCCATTGAGCAAAGGAAGAAAGTCCCTGGAGTAGGTTTCTGCCTTGGGCATCTGTACTTGCATGTATGTGTAGGTTTATATGTGTGGGTATATAGCTGGTCATCATTAGGCATAGATTCCATATTTGTGAGTTAATCTACTCATTAGAATTTATTTGTAACCTCCTAAATCCCCCAAATCAATACTTGAGTTGCTTTCACAGTGTTTTTATGGTCATTTGTAGACATGCATGTGCACAAAGCAGTGGAAGCATTGTTTCCTGATAGGTGTGTTTCCAGCTGAAGTCAAACAAGGCAATGCTCTATCATCTTGTTTCACTTCAACAAGTGTCCTTTTTGCTATTTGCCGGCACATATTTTGCATTGTGTGCTTTTTGATGGTGATTTCATGGTTTAAAATGGACCCTAAGTGTACTGCTGAAGTGCTGTCTGGTGTTTGTAATTGCAAGAAGGCTGTGATGTGCTTTACAGAGAAAATACATGTTTTAGATAAGCTTCATTCAGGCATGAGTTATAGTGTCTTGTCCATGACTGCAATGCTAACGAGTCAACATATAAATTAAATAGGTGTTTTTAAGCACAAACACACATCAAACAAGGTTATGCATTGATTGGCTGATGAAAATGTTGTGACCAGAGACTCACAGGAACCTAATCCTGTGTTTTCCCTGGAAGCAAAGATTCAGTATTTACCAATTCAGTGTTTGCAATGACTTTATAGAATTTAATTGCCGCCAACAACATGACCATGTGGATTGTGCTAGCTTCTCTCTAGGCAGGTTCAGTGTGCAAATGAGTGGACAGATATGAATATTAGCCATGTTAACAATAAACAGATGCTCCATTTCCCATTTAGGTGAATTAGGGTCCATTTTAAACCGTGATTAAAATTAAATAGGCAATCCCTTTGGCTCATTCTAAGTGAACAAAAACTTTCTGGGTTGTTTTCTTTAGAAATTCTACTCAGGAGGTAGAAGTGCTGATCCCTCATCAGAAGTTCCCAATGCACAGAAGCATACACTTCCAAAGATCTTCTCCATTAGGGAATAAGTTTAGCATATAAATTAAGAGCACAGACTCTGGAATCCAAAGCCCGGGCTCAGATACAGTCCCCACTACTTCCTACCAATGACTTTAGTGAATAATCTCCCTGATCCTCTGTTCGCTGATCTATAAAATGAGGATAATGATAGGATCTACTTCATAATGTTGTTGTGAAGCCTAAGTGAGGTTCCCAGGAATAATGATTAACAGGGGGCTTCATACATACATAGTAAGTGTTCAACATTCACTGGCCATTATTATTCTTGGAGTAATAATAATGGTTGAAAATTTGGATTTCATTTCCTCCAGGAATGGTGAAACTGACAGTTTAAAATAAATTGGATAGGATTCAAAAAATGTCCATGCAGTTACACTTCTAATTCACTCTTCTGCCTCCGGCATTTCTTTCAGAATCCTAAGGAATACTTGTTCTGACATACCGCATGAAAATCCTGGCCCAGGCCTTGGTTTAGACTCCTTTCCTTGAAAAAGAACAAGGCAGGACTAAGGGCTAAGAATGCGGTGAAAAGAGGAAAGGGCAGCTCCCTGTCTTGAGGGTCCTGTTGCTCTTAATCTCTCCTCTCCACTCCACTTCCCACATCTCGATGTATCCGGGGACCACTTCTACAGCAAGTGCCTGACAACTTCCTTATGGAATATATATCCCTGCTAAAGAATCCAGATCATAGATTTTGATCTTCATTGTAAGTTTAGTATGTCAAAGCTGGAGGACTCTTAAAGGTTAGTATCTAGACAGAATGAGATGGTTAATTTTATGTGTTAACTTGACCAGGCATGGGGTACCTACACATTTAGTCAAGCATTATTCTGGGTGTGTCTTCGAGGAAATTTTTGGATGAGATTAACATTTGAATCAGTAGACTGCCTTTCCCAATGCAGGTGAACCTCATGCAATCCATTGAAGGCTTGAATAGGAGGGAACTCATGCTGCCTTACTGCCTTCAAGCTGTGATATCAGTTTTTCCTGCCTTTGGACTCAAACTAAAACATTGACTCTCCTGGGCTCTAGTGTGCCGGCATTTGGACAGGAACTACACTATTGGCTCTCCTGGGAGTCTAGCTTGCTGACTGTAGATCTTGTTACTGGTAAACATCCATAATCACATGAACCAATTCCTTACAGTATCCCTTTCTCTCTCTCTACACAAACACACACACCCATTAGTTATGTTTATCTGGAGAACCAATACACAGGGATCGGAATAATGCCTGGCATATGTTGCATGCCCTCCTAGATCCCTGGTAGACCTTCTTCTCCATTGAGAACCAATGGATCTTCTCATCACAGTGCTTCAGGAAATGAGACAGTTCAGAGCTGGGCTCAGGGCTTAGTTCTCTCAACTTCTAGCCTGGAGCTGTCTTCATTCCCCAGCAGCCTCTACCCACATGACATATTTTCTTCAGCTCCATGTCAGCTGATACAGTTTGGCTGTGTCCCCACCCAAATCTCATCTTGAACTGTAGCTCCTCCCATAATTCTCACTTGTTATAGGAGGGACCTGGTGGGAGATAACTGAATTATGGGGGTGGTTTCCCCCATACTTTTCTCGTGGTAGTGAATATGTCTCATGAGATCTGATGGTTTTATAAAGGGGAAACCCCCTTCGCTTGGCTCCCATTCTCTCTTGCCTGCAGCCACGTAAGATGTGCCTTTTGCCTCCTGCCATGATTGTGAGGCCTCCCCAGGCATGTGGAACTGTGAGTCCATTAAGCCTCCTTTTCTTTATAAATTACCCAATCTGGGGTTTGTCTTTATCAGCAGTGTAAAAATGGACTAGTACATCAGCCTTATAGACTCTCCACATAAAATGGAATAAAGACCTTTTGGGGCAAATGACATGCCTCAGGCATGTCTAAGCAAAGTCTAAGCTTTGAATATTTGTTCGCTTATCTACAAGCTGTGTGACATTGGGCATGTTACTTAACCTTAACCTACATAAGCTTGTGAGCCTGGGTTTTCTCATCTGAGAAATGGGGGAAATAACTATACTTTCCCCATAATGAGGTTTTCAAGATTATATATAAAGTATTTAGCATACTCTCTGGCATACAGGCATGTTAAAGAAAAAAATTATTCATGACATTTGTTAAAGCAGTAAAGCAGACTTTATTCAGGACTATCAACATAGGTTATAGGGACTACTGTGATGGGGTTTTGTAGTAGAAGAGAGAGATTGAAATGCAACAAGGGAAAGTGGAAATTTATAGCCAAACAGCATGGTGAGTGGGGGTTAGTGGATGGAAAATTACCAATAGAAAACATCAGGAGTAAGAGAGGATTCTGGCTAAACAAACCTAGCAGGGCTCTTGCTGAAGACAGGCCAAGGTGATCATACATCACCTGGGAGATGGTGGAGGGTGAAGAACCTAATCAAATATCAAGGGTGGGGGATTCTGGCTATACCAACTTAGCAAGATTCTTGCTAAAATTGGGTGATGCAAAAACAGACATAGAAGTCCAAAAGTCAAGACCTAGATGGGACAAGGATTCAGAAAAGTCTAACTAAAGTTGGGTTAAGGAGAGGAGTTTTGTCAGTAAGCATTCAAAAGTGTTAGCTTTAAAAAAAAAAATTATCACCCAGACCACTATCAGATTCTTAGAATACTCAATCTAATATTATTTATTCATTTAGGAACCCCATGCAAAGTTGATCAGACAGTAAACCAGTGAGGTCTGTGTGGATACTCACCAAATCAATTATGCCAATGTTATTCCAGCCTTGCATTATAGGGAGAAAAGAAATAAACGTGGGGATGACCCAGCAGCCTCCCAGCATTAATGCGATGCGCAGAGGGGTCATCTTGTTCCTATAGACCAAAGGCTGGCAGCAGATGGCGTAATACCTGGAGAGAGAATAGAGGGCAGAGCATAGGCATGGGCAAGGAGGAATGGGAGGGAGAGAAAAGAGAATATATGAGAGAGAAAAGGGGAGGAAGAGGGGATGGAGCAAGGGATAGAGAACAGCAAACATTGAGGAGAAGAGTCGGAGGGGAAGCAGAGAATAAAAATAAGGAAATAAAAGAAAGAATACAGGGTAAAAAGAGGAGAGCAAGTGGCAGAGGAAGGGAAAAAGAAGGAAGAGAGAGAAAAGAACAGAGGAAAGGAAAAGTGATTATATAATACAACATGATATACTGGCCTGTGAGTTTCTGTTAATATAAATATTAATATATACTTTGGATCACATCTGAGAATCATTGCCTGCAGTTGGCCCCACAGTCCTCTCCATCTCCCAATATCTGGAGGAGCTCCACACACACCAGAAGGTCTTTTCTATTTCTGGCACTGTTCCAACACTATCCCGATGCCTGTGCATTGAGGAGCCTCTGCCCAGCCCTCTGGGCCTCAGTATCCAGGCAACTGTAATCTATTTGATTACAACTTGAGGTGACCCAGGCATAGCTCTACATCTGGGCTCTAACCACTGTGTCTCAGATTTGTCCCCTTACCCTTGATCACCTGCCTACATGGAAGTGGAGCTCTAAGTCCGTGTTTTTTTTTTTGAATTGTGGTTCAAGGATTCCCCTCCATCCCCCCATCCCTGCCATGCTGAATCAAACTCACCTGAGGAAGCCTTTTTAAAATGCAGATCCCAAGGATCTCCTGAATCAGAGCCTGTTGGTGAACAACCTGGAGCTTGCATGTTGACAAGTGTGAGTTATTACTAAGTGTGAGTTATTGTTAAGGATACTCAGTTTCCTCCTTCCAAACACGTACACTTCTTGGCATCCTTACGGCTGGATAGGACCAAGGGACTAGTCCTGACCAATGAATCATGAACAGAATTGACATGCATCACTTCTGGGACAAACCATTTAACTGTTTCTGGGATACTAAGAATGTAAAATTTTGAATATTTCCTGCTCCATCATTTCCTGTCTACTGGATGAGACCACCCCACTTCCATTTATTAGAGTCTGACCTCTCTCATGGGACACAGTGCTCACTATCTTTTGATTCCATGTTCTGCCTATGATACTAACTTTCTTCCTGCCTCCAGAAAGAGGTACAATCTGCCCATTCAACAGTCTGGCCTCTAACTTCTAGACCGTTCCTGCATGTTACTCTGGCCTTGGAGATCACCTCTTCCATGCCCAGGCATGGCATGGAATTTCACAACAGGCAGAATGCTACAGTAGATCTATCATTCATTTCTCTTTGGGAGAGTACAAAATAGAAATGCAAAAAGAGCCTGGAGGCTGTCTATTCTTTAAGGTTTTATACCATTTAATGATGAACCACCCTCATACACCCCTCATTTTATGCAGTTCACTTTGTTAATTTTTCCCACCTCTTCTTTTCTTTTCTTAATTCAAAGCCTAACTAACAAAACAATGGCTATATTCTTTGAAGAGGTGGTAGTAGGATGGGTTGAGAGAGAGGGTGGAATGAGGAGAGCCCCGTGTTGGAGCACGAGGAGCAGGTGCCTCAGGAGCAGGGAGAGGAGAAATACCCGCTTTCCTACAAGGCACTGAGGAGCAGCTGACGACATTGTGCCAAAAGCTCCTTGTAGCTGGCAAGCTTGGTGGGGTGTCCTGATCTGGGCCAGAGTGCAAGAAACAACAAATCAAAGAATGGGAGACTGTCTTGCTCCGAAAAACCATTGTCTCCATTATAATTCTGACATGGCTGCAAAATCAAACTAAAGATAACTCAGTCATTGAAAGAATCATGATTAGCTGGATTCCCTCCACACTGTTGGCTTACAAGAAAGACAAATTATATCTGAGTAGCAAATTTTTCTGAATGGTGATATTCATAATCATCAGAGGTTTATTATTAACATAGAATTAATGATGAATTTGAAGTGGATGAAATATACTCTTTTTTTTTCAAATTTTGTTTCCTTCTTGATTTCCTGTTAGGGGGCAAGTTTCTTTCCATTTAGCATCCTTCTTCCTTTCTCTTGTTAATAGCACTTCAAATCCTTCGGGAGTTATCTCTTTGCTGTTGCTATAGTGCTGTTGGGAAAACAAATGATGGGGCTTTGACTTTTCTAGCCTAGGGGTGACCCGATCAGACTTTCTCCTAGGACTCAATGTCCTGCAGAGGGATGCAAGGTGGGCAAGTCAGCAGAGGGCTTTTTATCTCAGCAGCAGCCCCCTGGTAGGGCTGGGGATTCATTCCTGCTCCTTGGATCTTTTGCAGCATGCTCTTACCCATCAAGTCCTCACTCCTTAGCTCTCTCTTTAAATAAACCACCTCATATATTTCCAATAAATTCTCTTTTTGCTTAAGCTGGTGTCATGGGTTGAATTGTGTCCTTCCTCTTCCAAAAGATATGTTGAATTCCCAACTCTCAGTAACCTTGGAATGTGACCTTATTTAGACATAGGATTTTAAAAGAGGCAATCAAATTAAAATGAGGTCTTCAGGGTGATCCTGAATCCAATGTGACTGATGTCTTTATGAAAAGAAAAATTTTGACACAGAAACTGATATGCACAGTACGAAGGTGGCCATGAGAAGATGGAAGATTGGAGTGATGCGTCCATAAGCCAAGGAACACTTAAAGTTGCCAGCAACCAGCAGAAGCCAGGAAGAGGCAAGAAAGAATCCTTCCCCTACAAGTTCCAGAGGGATAATCGCCCTATTGATACCTTTATTTCAGACTTCTAGCCTTTAGAGCAGTGAGACAACAAGTGTGTATTGTTCTAAGCCATCCAGTGTGTGGTACCTGTTATGACAGCTTTAGCAAACTAATACAGTTGGCTAATAACAATCTCTTGCTTGCAAGAAAAGTATACCACTTCACACAGAGCAGTAAAACTGGCTTGAATGCCAGATATATCTTTCATAGTATACTTAAGTAAGAATATCTTTTGTTTCATTCAATATACTTTCAGATCATAGCTCAAGTTTTGGCATCCTTTCTTCTATTATCCCAAAAAGGCAATAGAGGGATAAATGAAGAATGAATTCTGCCCTATCTTTGTTGTGTAATCAATATAATTTTTGAGGTTTAGAATGAGGTGCCGAGATGTTGCCAAGTAAAGAGCAGATTTCAGAAATTTTGGTTGGATCTCTAACGTCACAAAAATCCAAAAGTTCAAAAACACAAGGCCAAATTAAGTATCCTATAGGACACTGTTCACCACAACCAAGGTATGGAACCTACCTAAGCATTTATTAGTGGATAAATGAGTATAGAAAATGTGGTATATATATACATGATGGGATATTATTCCATCATAAAAAAAATAAAATCCTGTCATTTCCAGCAGCATGGATGGAACTGGAGGACATTATGTTAAGTGAATAAGCCAGGCACAGAAGGACAAATATTGCATGTTGTCCCTCATGTGAGGGAGCTAAGAAAATTGATCTCATGGAGGTAAAGCATAAAATGATGGTTACCACAGGCTGGGAGGGGTAGTATGTAGGGGGAGTATGAAGAGGGGTCAGCGAATGCATACAAAAATACAATTAGATAGTGGGAATAAGATCTAGTGTTTGGGCAGCACAAGTGGGTAACTTGTTAACAATCACTTATTGTATCTTTCAAAATAGCTAGAATAATAGATTTGGAATGCTCTCAACACAAAGAAATGATAAATGTTTGAGGTGATGGATATCCCAACTACCCTGATTTGATCACTACACATTGTATGCTTGTATCAAAATATCACATGTACCCCATAAGTATGTACAACTATTATGTACCCATAAAATTTAAAATATTTTACATAAATAAATAATATCTTGCAGGACAAAAAGTACGTTTCAGAAAGCAGGATGTCTTACCTGAGAAGATTCTTTGATTTCCATAAATGGATGTGGATGTTTAGAGGGTTATGTTGGGAAAATAATAGAATTTACAAGAGGGCTTTAGAATGTATGGTTATATTGGTGCTCATAACATTTTTATGAAAGCCTTTCTTTCTAAATCTAGCTTGCCCAGGGCTATTGCCAGTTTCCCTTGACATAATGATCATCCCATGAACAATAATATTGCCCTACATTCTGTTGTCCAAATGTTCTATGCTTTAATTTGCCTTACCCTAGATTTCTAGGAGCTGCTGCTATATAGAATTAAATAGTGGTAACAGGTTTCCTTTTAAAATTCAACTTAAAGGAGGATACTGTGAATGTAGTACACATTTTACCAATCCCTTACACATTTTTTAATTTGAAACAGAATCCTGTTCTGTTGCCCGGGCTGAGGTGCTTATGTGATCTTGGCTCACTGCAACCTCCGCCTCCCAGGCTCAATTGATTCAGCTGCCTAGCTTCCTGAGTAGCTGGGAATACAGGCGTGCACCACCACACCCAGCTAATTTTTATATTTTTAGCAGGGACAGGGTTTCGCTATGTTGGCTAGGCTTGTCTCAAATTCCTGGCCTCAAGTGATTCACCCGCCTTAGTCTCCCAAAGTGCTGTCATTACAAACATGAGCCACCACACCTGGCCCCCTTACACATTTTACATATACAGTCAGTTCCCTGGAAAATGCTTGCCAGAAGTAAAGTGCTTGGGCAATAAGCCCAACTCGAAGGGTGCTAAGGTGGAATACATCCAAACATGCCCAAACACAGATGTAGAAATTTGCTCTTGCAGGATCTAGGGTGGTTAGGCAAGGGTGGGAAGAATCCTTTATCTCCTTTTTTAAAATTATCAATAAGTAAAGGGGGAAAAAGGATTTTATTTTACTTAAATTTAAATTAGGTTAGGTAGATTGTTAGTGACAGGTAAGGATATGAATAAGAAAAATACTGAATTATGTCTAGGTATATGTTTTACTTGCATTTTGACCTCTGCAGCTTCTTCAATGTGGTCCTCTGTCTTACAGTAAACATAATTTGATTTTTGAGTGGGATTGAGTATAGAACATAAGGTTCTTATTTGGAGCTCGAATTCTAGCATCTACTTAACTTTATGTGCTGAAGATTCACACCAAGACCTGGCACCTTTGAGGCAGCAGCCCTAAATAAGTCACCTCATATCCTTCCAATGTCTTTCTGATCTTTGCTTTCGAGCAAAAAATCTAGAAAAGTAAACATCCTCTGAAGGCTGGACTCAAGAATGCAAATTAAGTAGGTGAAAAAAAAATCACTGAATAAAGGGATTAATAAAAATTGAGTTCTAGTGTTAACCGATGGTGCTTCCTTAAAATTTTAATATTTGTCTGTAGATAAGACTAGATAGAAATCTGATAACTTGACTTTTATATATTGCAGTTGATTTTCAGTTCCTATATTTGGATTATAATGTCCCCGTTAATAACAAAAAGGAAACTGACCTATCATGAACTATTCCTGCAACACATAAACACCACCACTAGACAGAATTAGCTAATTAAATTTGCAAGTTCTTTGGAGGGAGGTAAGGCAAAATGCACTGGCTGGTTTGATAATAATAGCTAGTATTTATTTACTGACCAAGGGCTCTGCTCATTTGATCTCATTTAATCCGCACAACTATTAGATTGGTGCAAAATAATCGTGGTTTTTGCCATCAAGAATAATGGCAAAAACCACGATTATTTTGCACCAACCTAACACTTTTGAGACAGGAACTGTAAATATATCCATTTCACAGATGAGGAAAGGGAAGCACAGGAGTGTTCGAAATTTGCCCAGTCTCACAGGTGGTAAGAACTGAGCTGGCATCTAGCCCAGGCAGACTCACTCAAGAGCCAGGACATAAACCTCCTATCATTTCACTCAGCTGCCTCTCCCATTGAAAAGCCACTTTGGAAACAATCAAAACATGAACATACTGAATCTCAGAACTTGAAGGATGCTAAGAATCATGAAATCCTCAAGTCCTCTGATATGGTTTGGCTGTGTACCCACCCAAATCTCATCTTGGATTGTGGCTCCCACAATTCCCGTGTGTTGTGGGAGGGACCAAGTGGGAGGTGATTGAATCACGGGAGTGCGTCTTTCCCATGTTGTTCTCATGATGGTGACTGGGTCTCACAAGATCTGATGGTTTTATAAAGGGGAATTTCCCTGCACAATCTCTCTTCTCTAGTCTGCTGCCATGTGAGACATGGCTTTCGCCTTCTGCCATGATTGTGAGGCTTCCCCATCCACATTGAACTGTGAGTCCATTGAATCTCTTTCTTTTGTAAATTGCCCAGTCTTGGGTATGTCTTTATCAGCAGCATGAAAATGGACTAATACAGTAAATTGGTACCAGGAGTGGGGTGCTGATGAAAAGATAACCGAAAATGTGGAAGTGACTTTGGAACTGAGTAACAGGCAGAGGTTGGAATAGTATGGAGGACTCAGAAGAAGACAGGAAGATGTGAGAAAGTTTGGAACTTTCTTAAGACTTGTTGAATGGCTTTGGCCAAAATGCTGATAATGATATACACAGTAAAATCCAGGCTGAGGTGGTCTCAGATAGAGATGAGAAACTTGCTGGGAACTGGAGCAAAGGTGGCTCTTGTTATGATTTAGCAAAGAGATTGGTGGCATTTTACCCCTGCCTTAGAGATTTGTGGAACTTTCAACTGGAGAGAGATGATTTCGGGTATCTGATGGAAGAAATTTCCACCAGGAAGAAATTTCCACCATCAGGAAGAAATGTTAAGCAGCAAAGCATTCAAGAGGTGACTTTGGTGCTGTTAAAAGCATTTAGTTTTATAAGGAAAGCAGAGCATAAAAGTTTGGAAAATTTGCAGCCTGACAATAAAATAGAAAAGAAAATCCCATTTTCTGAGGAGAAATTCAAGCTGGCTGCAGAAACTTCCATAAGTAACAAGAAGCTGAATGTTAATCCCCAAGACAATGGAGAAAATGTCTCCAGGCCATGTTAGAGGTCTACGTGGCAGCTCCTTCTATCACAGGCCTGGAAGCCTAGGAGAAAAAATGGTTTTGTGAGCCAGACCCAGGGTCCCTGTACTATGTGCATCCTAGGGAATTGGTGCCGTGTGTCCCAGCTACTCCAGGCATGGCTGAAAGGAGCCAACATAGAGCTCAGGCCATAGCTTCAGAGGGTGCTTCCATGTGGTGTTAAGCCTGCGAGTACACAGAAGTCAAGAATTAAGGTTTGGGAACCTCCACCTAGATTACAGAGGATGTATGGAAATGCCTGGATGCCCAGGCAGAAGTTTGCTGCAAAGGCAGGGCCCTCATGGAGAACCTCTGCTAGAGCACTGCAGATGGGAAAAGTGGGGTTGGAGCCCCTGTGCAGAGTCCCTACTGGGGCACCAACTAGTAGAGCTGCGAGAAGAGGGCCAGCATCCCCAGACCCCAGAACCAGAGATCCACCAACAGCTTGCACTGTGCACCTTGAAAAGCTGCAGACACTCAATGCCAGCCTGTGAAAGCAGATGGGAGGGAATCTGTACTTAGCAAAGCCACAGCAGTGGAGCTTCCCAAGACCATGGGAACCTACCTCTTGCACCAGCATGACCTGGATGTGAGACATGGATTCAAAGGAGATCATTTTGGAGCTTTAAGATTTTAGTGCCCCACTGTATTTCAGACTTGCATGGGGCCTGTAGCCCCTTTGTTTTGCTCAATTTCTTCCATTTGGAATGGCCATATTTACCCAATGCCTATACCCTCATTTTATCTAGAAACTAATTAACTTGCTTTTGATTTTACAGGCTCATAGGCAGAAGGGACTTGCCTTGTCTCAGATGAGATGTTGGACTGTGGACTTTTGATTTAATACCAAAAGGAGTTAAGACTTTTGAGGGACTGTTGGGAAGGTATTATTGGTTTTAAAATGTGAGGACGTGAGATTTGGGAGAAGCCAGAGGTGGAAGGATATGGTTTGGCTGTGTCCCCACCCAAACCTCGTATTGCGGCTCCCACAGTTCCCATGTGTTGTGGGAGAAACCCGGTTGGAGGTGGTTTAATCATGGGGTGGGTGTTCCCCATGCTATTCTCATGATGGTGAATGGGTCTCAAAAGATCTGATGGTTTTATAAAGGGGAGTTTCCCTGTACAAGCTCTCTTCTCTTGTCTGCCACCATGTGAGATGTGCCTTTCCCCTTCTGCCATGATTGTGAGTCCTCCCTAGTCACGTAGAATTGTGAGTCCATTAAACCTCTTTCTTTTGCAAATTGCCAAGTCTTCAGTATGTATTTACCAGCAGTGTGAAAATGGGCTAATACATCCCCTCTAAAATGAAGTGTGTATCCAAACCCACTTAATTTTTCTAGGGATTTGGAATTCACCAGGTCCTACTGCAGTACATTCTAAACTTAAGGGCATCCTAAAGTTAAGAAAGTTTCCTCTAAAAATCAATTTTCGGTAACTTGTAGTTTTTCCCTCTGGCTTAATTTAAATTTCTATCTAATTCTTTTTCTGCATAGTGGTTCTAGTGATATCTGAAGAGAGCTTTTACATCCCTCTGAAGTCTTATTTTCTGCAGGTAAAAAATTCCCTGTTGCTCTCAACCAGGGGTGACTTTGCTCACCAGGGGACATTTGACAATGTCTGGAGACTTTGTTGTTGTTGTCACAATTGGGAAGGAAATGCTACTGGCATCCAGTGGGTAGAGGTCAGGAATGCTGCTCAACGTTCTACAGTGCCCCAATAACAATACTGGTCTATGTCAGTAGTGCTGAGATTGAGGACCCCTGGTTTAGATGAGAGGATTTTCACCAATAGCAGGAGTGGAGCTCCTTGTCCTCTGTATGTGCTATAACATGTCGTTATCTCTTAAGAGTGGGGTGCCACAAGGACAGCACTATGTTCTGGTGCATCCTATATGGACCAAAAACCACTGCATTGCCTTCCACTTTGCTCACCATAACTTAATATAGCTTAGGGGATACCCAGAAGCACAGGACACCTGTGCCCCTAAAAAAGAAAATGATCTAGGACAAGAGGTGGGAAAACCGTCCCCCAACTGATGTATAAGTTCCATGAGGACAGCAATGTTTGCCTTGTTCTGCTTTGTGTCCATGATGGCTAGTACAATGCCAGATATATTGTGGATACTGACAAACTGGATTTTTAAAATGTAATAAACTCTCAATCACTACCAAGTACAATAAATTCCATTAAAATATGTTACCAGGTTTTGGAGATGTGAACAGGCATATCTAGCAGAGGGATGGGGAAAGGCTTTCTTCAATAGCGGTTTTTTAAGTCAAATGTTAGAGACTGGATCAGGATGGTGGAGGAGAAAGTGTAATCTAGGTGCTGTAGACAGCATGGCCAAGGCCTGAAGAGAGAAATTATATATATGAAATACATACCCATAAATGTATATTCCTATATCTATATAGCCCTATAAACATAAGAGTAAAGTTAATGAAATTGTAGGGTGTTCACAAGGAAGTAGACAAAAATAAGCCTAAAAAGGCTGACTGGGGCACGTCTCAGAGCAGTGGTTCTCAAATTGTATCATCTGTCAGAATCACTTAAAGGATTTGTTGAAACACAGATTGCTGGTAGGTCTGGAGTGAGGCCCAATAATTTGCATTTTTGATATGTTCCCAGGTGATGCTGTTGCTAGTGGATTGGAGAACACACTTTGAGAACCATTGTCTTAGAGGTTTTGAATGTTAGGCTAGGAGGAGTTACCAAAAGATTTTTAAGCTGGAAAACGTCCATCGTAATCAATATTGCTGTGTGCTTTTCTAAAGAAGCTGAATTAAAACGAAGTCAAGAGAAAGAGTTGTTGATTCATATGCTAGGTAGACAGTGTTTAACAGGAAAAGTAATTGTCTCATCTCAGGAATACATGAATCAGCAAAATTTGTTCTCCAGCCTTCCATTGGGTATCTCCCATTCTTCCTTAACCAGAAAACTTTTACAAAGTAGTTAAATGAATGTTCAAATGATGAGTGAGGTTCCAGATGGCCAGGATTAACTAAAATGAAGCAAGGATATTTACAAAGTAATTTCTTATGCAAAACATTTCAAAAGTATTGCTCATAAAACTCCATTAAAATCTGCTTTTGTAGACCCAGCCACCAGCTTCTCCCACTGCAGCCATGTGCAAATGTGTGATCAAATTGCTTTTAAATGTCTCTGGGGACACAATTTACTTTGACAACTCTTAGTAGGCAGCCATGTATTTTAAGCTCCATGCTAATCCCTTCCGTGCTCCTTCTGCAATTAAGGAAAATTCTACTTCCTCACTTCCTGCCCTCCCAACCACAGAAAAGGCACAAGAAGCAATGATAATAAGTTGGAATTCTAGACTGTCAGAATTGGAGGAGATAGTAGCAGTCAACTTTACGTCTTCACCATTGGGTACCAACTTTCCCTGCCTTAACTCCTTAGTAGCTCTGTGGTCTTAGAATCAGTTACTAACCTCAAGAAGATCCAGTTTCTTCATCTTTAAAGTTAGAATAATTATGTCAACCTCCAATTATGCCTCTCCTTCACTGTGAGAATTGATGAAATAATATGTTTAAAACATAGGAAGTTCTTGGCACATAAATATCTGTTTAATACATATTATTATAAACAGACTCAAATATATTTTGGAATTATGAGCTCTACATTATTTAACAAATAATAAAAAGCCACTTGGTTCAACATCTTTCCCTAACAGTTGATTCTAAGAAATATAAAGGTGAATGAATTGGTCTCTAAAGGCAAATGAAAGCATTAAGACCATATTTGTTATGTGCAATGGAGGTGGTTACATGTAAGATCTAGTAATCATACATTGTCGCTTAAGCTGCTGAGTTTTGATGTAGATGTTACATGCCAATAGATAACAACAGGGTAAACAGGTCATGTATAGCTTGGCAAAACCTTCCAACTGGGTTCCCTGGCCACCTCTTAATAGGTGCATTTGGGCTGGTAACAGGTATGTACCTTCCTGGGATGAAGCTCCCAGAGTGAGGGGCAGGCTGCCATCTTTGCTGTTTTGCACTTTTCACTCTTGATACCTCCATGTAGTGGGAGATCCAAGGTGACTAGCAACTGGAGCAGGCCCCCAGCATACTGCAGTAGCCATATGTTAAAGTAGCCAGACTTAAGTGGGTACCTGTTCCCATATCTCCTCACCAGGCAGGTCCTCCAGGCCTGGGCCTCCAGCCATCCCCTGCCAGAGGTATTGAGCCAGTAGCAACTCAGGACCTCCCGGGACAGAGACTCCAGGGGCAACTGAAAGCCTCTCTGCCACTGCTTCTGCAGTGGAACTGCCCTTGCTACCCTTGGACTAATGAAGGAGTAAAGACCCTAAGTGCCTTCTCTACACCTCCAACAAGCTGCACTTGACCCAAGGAGAGGAGGCCAGACCATCTCTCATGGGTCCCACCTACTCCTTCTGCTTGCACCAGACAGGTAACCCCTAACTTGGGCCCCAGCACATACCCTTCAGTCTGGGCTGACTGCACTGAGCAATTCCTGACCTCAATCTCTCTGGGGTGGAGCCTCCAAGAGATAAGCAAAAGACCCTTGTCCACAACCACTACTAAGGTCCCTTCCTCTGCTGCCTCCAAGTGGAGGAAGGAATATGAATACTGAGATTGCCCCAGAGCTACAGTCAGCAGCCCAGGAGTTCCAAGCCATGATCTGCAGCCAGCATGCAAGTGGGAGAGGAACCCACACCTTCAGAGCATTTAGAGGGAACACAGCTGCAACTGTGAGGAAACAGGGGAGCCACACAACTGAGCAAGAGTCTACCAATTGACCATATGTCTAAGTGCCACCCACAGGACCACACCTCGAAGCTTAAGCATCAAAAATACCTCATTTATATACCCACCTCTGAAACCAAAGACAAGAAGTCAGCTTCAAATAAAGACTGTACACAATGCCTTGGCCCTGTGAAAGCAGGCAGGAAAGGAGTCTATTGACTGTATTCAATCTACACTGCAGTTAAAGGAATACCCACATACAGAGATGAGAAACAACCAATGCAAAAACTCTGGTAATTCAAATGACCAGAGCATTGTTATGTTTCCAAATGACTGCACCAGTTCTCCAACGAGAGTTCTTAACCAGGCTGAGCTGGCTGAAATGACAGAAATATAATTCAGAATATGAATAGGAATGAAGAGTATCAAGATTCAGCAAAATGGCAAAACCCAATCCAAGGAAACCAAGACACACAATAAAATGATACAGAAGCTGAAGGATGAAATAGCCAGTATAAAAAAAGAACATAATGGATCTGACAGAGCTGACTAACACAACACAAGAATTTCTCAATGCATTCAGAAATTTAACAGCAGAATAAATCAAGCTGAGGAAACTTTCTCAGAACTTGAAGATTGTCTCTCTAAAATAAGACAGTTAGACAAAAATAAAGACAAAATAATTAAAAGGAATAAGGAAAACCTCTGAGAAGTATAGGATTATGAAAAGAGGCCAAATCTACAAATCACTGGCATCCCTGAAAGGGATGGGGAGAAAGCAAACAACTTGGAAAACATATTTCAGAAAATGATTTATGGAAACTCCCCCAACCTTGCTAGAGGCCAACAGTCAAATTCAGGAAATATAGAGAACTCCTGCAAGATTCTACACAAGAAGACCATCCCCAAGACACATAATCATCAGATATTTTAAGATAAAAATGAAAGAAAGAATGTTAAACACAGCTAGAGAGAGAGAGAGGAGGTCACCTACAAAGGGAACACCATTAGTCTGAAAGCAGACTTCTCACCTGAAACCCTACAGACCAGAAAGAATCGTAGTCCTATAATCAACATTCTTAAAGAAATATCTTCAACCAAGAATTTCATATCCAGCCAAACTAAGCTTCCTAAGTGAAGGAGAAATAAGATTCTTTTCAGATAAGCAAATATTGAGGGAGTTTGTTACCACCAGACCTGCTTTACAAGAGATCTTGAAAGGAGCACTAAATATAGAAAGGAAAGACTGCTACCAGATTATACAAAAACACACTTAAATACACAGACCAATGATATATAAAGCAACTACACAAACAAGCCAGCATAATAACCAGCTAACAACACAATGACAGAATCAAATCCACACATATCAACATTAACCATGAATGTAAATGGATTAAATGCCTCACTTAAAAGTCACAGAGTGGCAAGCTGGATTAAAAAAAAAAAGTGTGACCCAATGGTATGCTGTCTTAAAGACACTCATCTCACACGTAATGATACCCATAGACTTAAAATAAAGGAATGGAGGAAAGTCTACCAAGCAAATGGAAAACAGAAAAAAACAGGGATTGCAATCCTAATTTCAGGCAAAATAGACTTCAAACTAACAAAGATCAAAAAGCACAAAGAAGGGCATTACATAATTGCAAAGAGTTCAATTCAACAAGACCTAGCTATCCTAAATATATATGCACTCAACACAGAAGCACCCAGATTCATAAAGCAAGTTCTTAGAGACCTACAAAGAGACAACAATGCCCACACAATAATAGTGGAAGGCTTCAGCACTTCATTGACAGCACTAGACAGATCACTGAGGCAGAAAATTAACAAAGATACTCAGGACCTGAACTCAACATTGACCAAATGGACCTGATAGACTTCTACAGAACTCTCCACCCCAAAACAACAGAATATACATTCTTCTCATCACCACATGGCACATACTCTTAAATCAATCACGTAATTGGACATAAAACAATCCTCAACAAATGCAAAAGAACTAAAATCATATCAAACACACTTTCAGACCACGATGCAATAAAAACAGAAGTCAAGGCTAAGAAAATTACTCAAAGTCATGCAATTACATGGAAATTAAAAAATATGCTCCTGAATGATGTGTGGGTAAGTAATAAGATTAAGGCAGAAATCAAGAAGTTCTTTGAAACTAATGAGAAGAAAGATATAACATACCAGGATCTATGGAACACAGCAAAGGCAGTATTGAGAGGAAATTCATAGCACTAAATGCTCACATCAAAAAGTTATAAAGATCTCAAATGAACAACCTGACATCACAACTGAAAGAATTAGAGAAGCAAGAAAAAAATCAACCCCAAAAATAGCAGAGGACAAGAAATAACCAAAATCAGAACTGAATTGAAGGAAATCAAGACACAAAAAAACATTCAAAAGATCAATGAACCCAGAAGTTAGGTTTTTGAAAACATGAAGAAGATAGATAGGATACTAGCTAAAGTAATAAAGAAGAAAAGAGAGAGATCTGAATAAACACAATTAGAAATGACAAAGAGGATGCTACCACTGATCCCACAGAAACAAAACTAATCAGAAACTACTATAAAGACCTCTATGCACACTAACTAGAAAACCTAGAAGAGATGGATAAATTCCCGGACACATACACCCTCCCAACACTGAACCAGGAAGAAACTGATTCCCTGAACAGACCAATGATTAGCTCTGAAATTAAATCAGTAATAGACAGCCTACCAACCAAGAAAAGCCCACACCTGATGGATTCACAGCCTAATTCCACCAGATGTACAAAGAATACCTGGTACCATTCCTACTGAAACTATTCCAAAAAATTGAGGAGGAGAGACTCCTCCCCAACCCATCGTATGAGACCAGCATCGTCTTGATACCAACACCTGGCAGAGAAACAACAACAAGAAGTCAGGCCAGTATCCTTACATGAATATCAATGCAAAAATCCCTAACAAATTACTTGCAAACTGAATCCAGCAGCACATCATATAGCTAATCCACCACAATCAAGTAAGCTTCAGCCTCAGGATTCAAGGTTGGTTCAACATACACAAACCAACAAATGTGATTCATCACATAAACAGAACTAAAGACAAAAACCACATGATAATCTCAATAGAAGCAGAAAAAGGCTTTCAATAAAATTCAATAGCTCTTTATGTTAAAAATTCTCAAAAAAAACTAGGTATTGAGGGAACATATCTCAAAATAATAAGAGCCATCTATGACAAACTCGCAGCCAACATCATAATGAAATGGCAAAAGCTGGAAGCATTCCCCTTTACAAATGGCACAAGACAAGAATGCCCTCCCTCTTCTAATAGTATTGGAAGTCCTAGCCAGAGCAATCAGGCAAGAGAAAGAAATAAGGAGCACCCAAATAGGAAGAAAGGAAGTTCAACTATGCTTTTTTTTGAAGATAACATGATTCTATATCTAGAAAACCCCATAGTATTGCCCCAAAAGCTCCTTCAGCTGATAAACAACTTCAGCAAAGTTTCAGGATACAAAATCAATGTACAAAAATCACTAGCATTCCTATATACCTACGACAGCCAAGCTAAGAGCCAAATCAGGAAGGCAATCCCATTCACAACTGCCGCAAAAAGAATAAAATGCCAGGAATCCACCTAACCAGGGAGGCGAAAGAGCTCTACAATGAGAATTACAAAACACTGATCAAAGAAATCAGAGATGACACAAAGAAATGGAAAAACATTGCATGTTCATAGCTGGGAAGAATGAATATTGTTAAAATGGATGTACTGTCCAAAGTAATTTGCAGATTCAATGCTATTTCTATCAAACTACCAAAAACATTCTTTGCAGAAGTAGAAGAAAAACTATTTTAAAATTAATATGGAACCAAAAAAAAGCCCAAATAACGAAGTCAATCCTAAGCAAAAAGAACAAAGCTGGAGGCGTCACCTCACCTGACTTCAACCTATACTACAGGGCTACAGTAACCAAAACAGCATGGTACTGGTATGAAAACAGAAACATAGACCAGTGGAGCAGAATAGAGGGTCAGAGATAAGACCACACACCTACAGCTATCTAATCTTTGACAAAGCTGACAAAAACAGGCAATTGGGAAAAGATTCCCTATTCAATAAATGGTGCTGGGTAACTGGCTAGCCATATGCAGATGATTGAAGCTGGACCCCTTTCTTACACCATATACAAAAGCCAACTGAAGATGGATTAAAGACTTAAATGTAAAACCCAAAACTATAAAAACTCTGGAAGAGAAACTAGGTAATACCATCCTGGACATAGGAACAGGCAAAGATTTCATTACGAAGACACCAAAAGCAATCACAACAAAAGCAAAAATTAACAAGTGGGATCTAAACTTAAGAACCTCTACACAGCAAAAGAAACTATCAACAGAGCAAACAGACCCTACAGAATAGGAGAAAGTATCTTCAAACTATGCATCTGACAAAGGTCTAATATCCAGCATTTATAAGGAACTTAAACAAATTTACAATAAAAAAGTCAAACAACCCCATTAAAAAATGGTCAAAGGACATGAACAGACACTTTTCAAAAGAGGACATATATGCAGCCAACAAGCATATAAAAAAGAGCTCAATATCACTGATCGTTAAAGAAATGCAAATCAAAACCACAATGGGATACCATCTCATACCAGTCACAATGGCTATTATTGAAAAGTCAAAAAATGACACATGCTGGCGAAGTTGAGGAAAAAAGGGAACATTTATACACTGTTGGAGGGAATGTAAATTAGTTCAACCATTGTGGAAACACTATGGCGATTCCTCAAAGAGCTAAAAGCAGAACTATCATTCAACCCAGCAATCCCATTACTCGGTATATACTCAGAGGAGTATAAATCGTTCTACCATAAAGACACATGCACCCAAATGTTTTTTGCAGCACCCTTCACAATGGTGAAGACATAGAATCAACCTAAATGCCCATGAATGACCGATTAGATAACAAAAATGTGGTACATATACACTATGGAATACTATGCAGCCATGAAAAATAACAAAATCATGTCTTTTGCAGGAACATGGATGGAGCTATAGGCCATTATCCTCAGGAAACTAATGCAGAAGGAGAAAACCAAATACTGCATGTTCTCGTTTATAAATGGGAGCTAAATGACGAGAACTCATGAACACAAAAAAGGGAACAAAAGACATTGCGTCTACTTAAGAGTGGAGGCTGGGAGGAGGGAGAGGAGTAGAAAATCATATTAGGTACTGGGCTTATTAATACTTGGGTGATGAAATAATGTATACAACGAACCCCTGTGACACAGTTCAACTATATAACAAATCTTCAAATATACACCCAAACCTAAAATAAAATTTTAGGTTTTATTTTATGTGTGTGTATATATATATATATATATATATATATATATATATATATATATATATAATCTTATATATAATTTTTATAAAATAAAAATTTTAGAAAAGATATTTATAAAAAATAGGTGTGATTTGGCATCCAGCTGATCATGGGAGATAAGTAAAAGATGACTTCAAAAAGTTGTGTTTCGATGTCTGAAAGATAACTAATAGATTCACCTTCAATATACAATGTGGAAGAGGATATAGTATTAGTTTACAATAAAAATGTCTACTTGAGCACACTGAGGTTTGAGAAAACAGAAAGATGTTTAAGGCAAGATGCTGAGCAGACAGAGATAGAACCCCAGAGCCCAGTGTGTGAAAGGGGTGAGGGAGAGACAAGAGCAGAGGTGCAAGTGAAGCCATGGGATAAATGAGGTTTCCAAAGGAAAGAGGGGACATACTCAGGGCTGGAAGGCTAAGGATCTAACCTTCAAGGGCACTCAGCTATGAGTCAGAAAGAACAAGATGACTATCAGTGTCTGGGAAGGCCCTCGCTACAGCCACTAGGAATTTGCATTTAGAGAGGAAAACAATAATGGAATAGTCCTTGTGGCTAACATTAATTGAACACTTACCAAGTACCATGCACTGGTCTATGCATTATTCAGTTTATTAACTGAACAATAAACACTCAGTTATTTATTCCTCACAAGTCCTAAAAGAGAAGGGAAGGGATTTTCTATTAATAACACAATTTTTACAGATAAGACAAAGTCCAGAAAACCTTTGTCACTTCTCCAAGATCACACACTTGACAACCAGTCAAGCTGTGACTGAATCTAAGCAGCCTAGCACCTCAGGTCTCATTCTTAACCACTTTCTATATTAAGAGTTCTGAGGACAGAGAAACCAACCCCAGCGTCATACAAACAACCACAAGTCACATCTCAGCATTCAGTGCTCAGCCAAACATGCATGGAACAGCTATTATGTTCCAGAAAGAAAAACACACGAATAGATAAGATAAGGCCTACTCTCAAGAATTTTATATTCTGGAGCAAGGCAGACAAATCAAACAATTATTGAGACGCACATAATAAGAAACTTCTATTAACCACGATGCTTTGATTCAATACTCCATGGGAGCTCAGAGGAAGAAATGACAAATTTTTATGAATGAAGCCCAACAGTCATTGGAGAAGGCGACACATGTTATCTGAGTATTGAAGAAAGGTGGATGTTTGCCAGAAAAATAAAAGAAACCCAAGGCACAGGTAGCAACATGCAGTTATGAGGAAACATATATTCAGGGAATGATAACAGATCACTCATGGGTAGGAGTTGAGGTAGGAAAATCAGACTGAGAACACATTGGAAAAGCAGTGAAAGCTGAGCTAAGAATTTAGCTTTTAGTTAACAAGGGCTTTCCTATGGGTTTTCACATGCGTTTTCAGGAGCAGCCACTCCCCAGGCCTCACCAACTTCCCTATCCCCTACTGATACCCACAGCCCCTGCAGATCCCGGCATCAGCATCACTTGCTCAGGAGCCTACCCTGCTTTGGAGATTGCAACTTAGCAGACTCCAATAGCTTTTTTTTTTTCCTTCTCCTTATAGTATTCAATGGTCACCAATTTTACTGTAATTATCTGTTTACTGTCTGTATTCCCAACTAGACAAAAAGTTCCATGATTCAGAGTTTTTCTGATCATTCACCACTGTATTTACAATGTCCAGAACAACTCATAGTAATTAGTAAGCACTCCATAAATGTTTGATGAAATGAATATAAAAATAACAGTTCAAACCCTCTGGCATGAAATTCAACTCAACAAATATTATGTACAAAGCCTGAACCTGCCCTAAAAGAGTATGTGAGAAGGAGAAACTTTTAATATACTTTCCTTGTGAAATGCATTTCAATCCTATTGGGAAAACAAATGTAATTGTGTGACACAGTTCACAATGACAGACACTTTTCATTTATACATTACAAAATCGAATTATACTCCAGGGAGATCATTAAGAAAATGCAGATACATTTATCTCCAGCACAAGATTAAACATGCAACCTTGAAGTAAGAATTGTATGTTTTACAAGTAAACCTGTTTAAAAGAGGATCGGAGACTAAGAAACTGTTGGAGAATTTTGCCGATAAAACACATCAAATTTTTGAGCTGTGCAGAGGAAGGGTGACAATTCAGCTGGGTGTATCCAAAAAAGAATCTTGCAGTACTATAGAGAATACTATCTTCAAGGAAGTGAAATTGACTTTTTTTTTAAAAAGGGAATTACATTTAATGCTAAGTAAAGGACAAAGTACAGCATGTTCAGAGAAAGGGGATAAAAATGGTTAAAAGTCTGAAAAGTATGGCTTATGAGGCCAGCAGAAGGATCTAGAAATATTTGGCCTAATATAGGGAAGACTTGGGGATGATATACCTCTGTTTTGTTGTGGAGGCTCCATAAAGATACCTGTAGGGTCTGGCCAGCCTAAGGGGAACTGGTATCTCCTCTTCTTGTCTGCCTAACACCCATCTTTCCAGTGAGAACTGCTATTTCTTCACACCATATGTTTTTGGTAAAGCTGGGAGTCATGGTGCCTGACCTCTGCCCAGTAACCAGGATGTGTCATCTCCACACCACAGTGACTGGTTAAGTGAAGAGTGTTTGACACAAGCAAAGCCAACGGAAATTCTTCCATGAGAAACAGCACTTAGGTTTCTCTTCCTATGGACTCATGTGTTAAGGATGGTTTAAGATTTGTTGACTGTGACTATTTTTCTTTCCTGGTGGAAGAACCCAGCCTAAGAAAAAAATCTAACAAGAAACCAGAGCTGATGGACAGCATAGGGACAAAGAGGGACAGATAGAAAGAGAGGAATAGACATAGGGAAACAGAGAGGGAAGTAAACAGGGAGAACAAGAAGGCAAGATGGAGACAAAGAGGAGAGGGAAACAGAGTTAGAGAGGGGCAAAGTTAGACTAAATGACATTGTTCAAATCCTTGTAGAGAGCCATGTCTGAAGCCAGACTTTTCAGTTATTTGAACGATCAATTTATTATCTGCCGCATGCTGCTGAAAGAAACCTTGCTAATAGATCATCCAATAAGCAAGTTGGTAAAAACATTACATTCAGGCAACTCACTGGCATATATCATAAACTCAAAATATATTCAAATAAGTCTGCTTATTACATATGAAATCACTGGCATTTACAGGCAGTTGCTATTTACAGTGGTTACCTCAGGTTATGCAGCTGTGGAAGTGGATATTGAAAGAATTGGGGACATTATGTTCTACTTGTGAACTGATGGCATTTTCTACAATGCTCAGGTATTATTAATATTGTGACTTAAAAAATCTGTGAGGATTAGAAAAGGGACTGTTAGAAAAAAATCAAATACAAGCTTGTGAACAGGGAGGAGGTTAACCAAGACCAATGTAGGAGTGATGCACCCCGTAAGAGATGGTGAGGGCTCCCTTAGAGGGAGATGTGAGGGTGTTTGATGAGAAAGCAGAGAGAACACACTGGTCAGGAAGATTTCCATGCTCCCTGGCTTGTTCTGACCTCAGAGGGAACTCCCAGCACTGAAGCAGAATGTTCTCAGAGAACTGAGGAATGTGCCATTCTAGCAACATTTTCAGTTAAAAGGCTATTGTGGATGGACTTGCATTTGAGAAGGTTACGTTCTAGCAAAGGGAAAATTGAAGTTTAAAATGTGTATTACAGAAATTAGTAAAACTGAAGGCCCCCAACCCCAATTTAACTGACCATCCACTCTGGCCAGCACTACACCGTATGCCCTACCCCTCAAATAACCACCTGTTAACGATTTGGTGAAAATTCATTCATGATCTTTCTTTTTCATTCTCAATCTCTCTCTCTTTCTTTCTCTCTCTCTCTCTTTCTCTCTTTCTCTCTCTCTCCACCTCTCTTTCTCTCTCTCTCCACCTCTCTTTCTCTCTCTCTCCACACACACTCATGTAAACCCAGATACATGCATCTCTATATTTATTTTACAAAAATGGAACTATGCTAAACATTAGAGTCTGCCAGTTGCTTTTTTTCCCCCAACATAATACACCAGTGATATATTTCTAGGACAACACACGTCATTATTTCTCATGGTTTTCAATGGCTGCCTTATATTTCACTTTTAAAACTAGTACTCTATCATGACTACTTGGTTAGCTTTTATTCACCACAGTACTTTAGATCTTAAAAAAATCAACTGTACTCTAAAGCTTTTAAAGCAGTTTTTGATCTCCTATGACCCATACTATATGGTGCATTTATTTTAATTATGCTTTGGAAATTATTTTTAAGGAGGCAATAAATTCTTATTAACAGAATTCAATTCTGAAAGCACCAGGAAGCACAGTGAGCTGAGAATGGGAGTTGGGAAAATGCATTTTGTAGTACTAAAGGAGTCCTACATTTTGCTTTGATCCAGGAGTCTGCCATCTGAGAAGAGTTACAAATTAAAGTGAGCCCTCTTGCTCAAAGGAACTACCCCTTATGATTGATCCCAGAAGACTTGTAGCAGCTCTAGAGAGAAGGACATGGCATACTGCCGGGAATAACATGGCTAACAAGGACATCACACCTCATTGAGACATTCACTCTGTGCTTTGGCCCAGCCCAGCTGAACCAAACTGTTAGGACGGGAAGGACACAGCAAAAACAGAGCTAGATGATAAATAAAACCATCCTCTTCCAGGCTAAAACATTGCCCTGTAATGTTCAGGATGGACCCTCCAGCACTATGAGGGAACGCTCTTGGGACAGGGAAAGCTGGAGACAAGCTGGAGGCAAGATCCCCAAGCTCCCCAAGGAAAATAAAACAAAAGAAACCCCATCTGATATCTTACTTATGGTATTGGAGTTTTTGACATACACTGTCAGAGAATGAAATGGAATTATTGGCATGACTCTCACAAAGAGAACGTGCTGACCACTCCATTTGTTCAATCGTGTTTGTCAAATACCTAAATAAGTATTTATGCAATGACTGTTTAATTGTCAACCTCCCCATAACAATGCAAGTTCTATGAGGGCAGGGATCTTGCCCTTGTTCGTAGCCTTGGGCTTCCTCCCATTGGAATAGAAAGACATTTAAGAAGAAAGTATAGACTTGATTTTAACTATAATTACACTGAGTTCTACAAAGGAGAAAAATGGTTTTGATGGAGTCAGCGAAGACTTCTGCAAAGAAGAGAAGATTTAGCTAAAATCTGAAAGACATGCAGGAGAGGAGGGGCAGAGGAAGTTTTCAGGCAGAGGGAAAAGCCAAGGCCTCAGGTGGCTGAGCAGAGAGCCCTGGAGAACTAGAAAGAAGGCCAAAGCAACTCGGGCCTGGAGGTGAGGTTAGGAAGGGGGTGAAGGGAAGCTGGGGACATGGACAGGAAACAGAGGGTGAAAAACCTTGTATGAGTCTGGTCTTGATCTTCAATGCAATGAATAGCCACTGAAGGGTTTTAAGCAAAGGAGCAACAGTATTAGAGCAGCATTTTAAAAGGATGGCTTTTGATCTTGTGAGCGACAAGTGGATGGGGAGGGAATAAAACATATTTGGAGGGAATAATTAGGAAAGTGTTGAGTGATTTCTTCAAGAAATGATATTACTTTGGATGAATGATAGAGAGAAATAGACTAGGATCTCTTTAGGAAAGAAAATGAGCAGGACTTGTCATTATTTAAATGTAGGAGGCAAGGAAAGACTGCTATCAGAATAACTACCTGGTTTCTAGATGATGCAAGCTGTTGGAGCAGCTATTCACTGAGGAGGTGCAAGTTTGATGAGAAAGATCATGAGTTGTATGGCTAGTTACAAGAAACTGACATGAACAACAACATCCACTAACATGGAATATTGTGACAAGCTGGGCCAAAGTGATGCCTTAAATGGATTATCCAATTTATACCTAACTGTAGTCATATAAAATAGGTGCTATCTCCCTAAGTTTTAGAGACAAGAAAGGCTTAGACTCAGAAAGGCTTAATCACTTATTCCCATTCCCAGAACTAAACATTTTAAAAGCTGGGATTTGAACCCAAATCTCTTCAATTCTAAAGCAGATGGTTCTTAATGACCAATTCATCCTGTTTCATGACAACTCATACCTACTCAGGAAAAGTTTCCTGATTTGAAAAGTACGTAGGCATAAATCTGAAGCCAAACCTGTCAAGGAAACCTCTAGACCTTCTCTCAGGGCTGCCCACAGCAAACTCTCCACAATGGACAGTTGATTCTACACTTTCTCCCATTTTTTTTCCTGGCTGACTGGCTCTTTTTCTTACTCCTGCTTTTACACAGGCCTTGAGGTTACCTCAGCTGCCCCTATCACCCCTGCCTGGTCTTCTCCAAATTCCTGTAGTACTTTCAGTCTCACTACTCATTTTAACAATGATCATATGCAGGTTACCCAGCAGGATTTCCATAGATTTTCTACTTCCTTACATTGTATTTCCTATAATACAAACTTTCATTCAGTGTATCCTGACTGTCTTTAAAAGTCTTTCATGTACTAAAGTCAGATTGTTGTAAACAAGCTAATAAACACAAATTTCCAACTATGCCATGCCATGGGTCTGGTTGCTTGCCATGAGTTCAATTTTACCAGAGTCATTATCTCTAGCTATAGAGTGGAGTCTCATTATACATGCATTTAACTTAAGCATATTCAACTATATGTTCTTGGCAGAGGAAAAGAGAAAGCAATTTAAATACAGCAGGCCATTATGACTACCATTCCAATCAATGCACATATGTCCCATGAAATAGGAGATGAACCTGCTGTCCCCTCAGCTGGTTTCAGTCTCTAAGTACCTCCCCCAGTGTGATTAATTCTCTGGGAAGACTATGATGTTAGTGTTTAAAAGTGTGTATGTTAGATATACCACAATCTCTAGTTTCAGTCAACTACTTTTCCTAGTCCTCAATTTAAAAAAAACAGTGATTGTCGGTGAAACCCCGTCTCTACTAAAAATACAAAAAATTAGCTGGGCCTGGTGGCGGGCGCTTGTAGTCCCAGCTACTCAGGAGGCTGAGGCAGGAGAATGGCGAGAACCCGGGAGGTGGAGCTTGCAGTGAGCCGAGATTGCGGCACTGCACTTCAGCCTGGGTGACAGAGCAAGACTTGGTCTCAAAAAATAAAAATAAAATAAAATAAAATAAAATAAAATAAAATAAAATAAATAAATAAAAATAAATGAAAATAAAAATAAAAAACAGTGATTGTCTGAGCACGATGGCTCACATCTGTAGTCCCAGCACTCTGGGAGGCTGAAGGCTGAGGATAACTTGAGCACAGTAGCTCGAGACCAGCCTGGGTAACATAGTGAGACTTGTCCCTATAAAAAATAAATAAGAATAAATAAAACTAAATTTTAAAAAAGTGATCTATCCCAAGACTGGAGGAAAACTTGGGTTTGTTGGGT
The DNA here is from genome assembly GCF_000001405.40 of Homo sapiens. Lineage (NCBI taxonomy): Eukaryota > Metazoa > Chordata > Mammalia > Primates > Hominidae > Homo > Homo sapiens. The sequence continues at coordinate 148,547,812 of NC_000005.10, forward strand.
TGCTCAAGACACAGTAAGAAATCATTGTCCCTGGCAATTCTGATTACATGTGATTTGCACCCCACATTTTTCTGAGAGCTAACCCCTAAGATACTACTACATTGATAACAGCATGTTTGTGTAGTCATCTGACTTTAGATTGCATTCTACCTTTATGATGAAATGTAAATTAGCAGGAATTGGAAAATGAATAGTGATGGTACAAGTGATAAATACATAAATCTGCAACAAATGAGGCAAAGATGAAAATCATTAGGTCCCCTGAAGTCAAATATGAAGAAAGAAAATAAAATTATGCCACAAGAATGAAATGCTAGATCTGGGTCCAAAAATCATAAAATTATTGGGAAGTTTACTGTAACTTTCTGGAAAAGAGTCTCCACAATTATATGCACATACATAAATATGTATATCAAATTATTACAGAAACATATTTTCAAGAAAAGGTTATGTTCAAACATAGGGCATTTTCATTCTGAACCACCCCTGCTGCCCTCTGGGAAGATGTACTCATTCTTGATGCTTAGCTTCTTCAGAATTTTGTTCATGCCATCAGTATAAAATTTACAGCTCTATAGTAAACTTGATTGCTGACATCTATTGCTATTTAGATTGCAATCTCCTTGCAGACAAGTTATAGGTCTTACTAATCTGTGCATCTACAGTGCCTCAGAGAGGGCCTGACTAAAAAGGGGGCCTCTGCAAAGGCTGGAGAATGACTGTATAACTGAATTATCAAATTTACCTCTCTGAGATTCATTTCTTCTAATGAATAAGAAAAGGCAGACACTGCCCAATATCCATCAAGTCATGTCTCCAGCATGGAGCTCCGCTATGCACATTGTTCTGTCCTTACCTATCCAGAGAAATGCAGCACAGGTGAAAAATCGATGCCGTTGTGAGCAGGACGTCCAGAGATGTCCGAACAAGACAAAACACCTCCCCATAAATCCAGATGTCTTGAACCAGCTCAATGGCACCAAAGGGCATCACCAGCACCGAAACCAGCAGATCCGCAAAAGCAAGAGATACAATGAAATAATTTGTTTTTATTTTCCTGTGAGTGAAAAAGTGTAAGAGAGGAGGCAGGGGGAGGGATGAAGGGAAAAAGGGGAGGGAGAAGAGATCAAGAGAAAAAACAGGGAAAAGGGAAACAAAGAAAGAAGAAAAGAAGGGAGGGGGAAAGAGGAAAGAAAAAGTCACATGCTTAGTGTATTCCGTGAGATTCAATTTCCCCTTCTGTAACATGGCTGAGAAGACCCAGCGTGGTCCAGCCTCTCCTGACTTCTCCAGACCTACCTTATACCAAAACCTCTTTTTTCCTCCCCCTTCTGGCCACCCTGCCCTAATCTGAGTTTCCCTGCACATATAGGTCCCTTTTGAGGGCCAATGCAGATGTTCTTTCTTCCAACGGTTGCCTGGTTAATCCCACCCACCCGTCAGTCCTTGGTCGGGCATTCTCAGGAAACTCTCCCAAGGTATGCCCTGTGACTGTAGTCACAGTCCACCATTTTACACTAGCAGACTGGCTACTGTGTACTCACATTTATAACACTGGTCAGAATTGCGCTTTTGCACTTTATTTGCATCATCATTAGATGTGTGGATGTCTTACTTAGAGAGGAACTGCTTCGTTATACCCTCTTATGGCCCAGAGGCTCTCATCCCAGGCTGTACACTAGAATCACCTGATGCATTTTAATAAGTATTGATGCTGAGGTCTCACCCCAGATCAGTTAGTTCAGGCACCCTGGGGAGTTAACGCCTCTCCCCTCAAAGATTACCAGATACAATACAGGATGCCTGATTAGATTTGAACTTTAGCAATAAATCACTTTTTAAATATAACTATGTCCAAAATACTACATGAGACATACTAATACCACACGATGATAGTTTTTCAAAGTGCTTCAGGTGGTTCTAATTGCAGCCAGGGTTGAGACTGATGAAGTAGAAGTGCAAAAAACACAGGTTTAATTTCTAGATCTGTCCCTTGTCAGCCACATCTTCCCTAAACCATTAATAAAATGGGGAGGTTAGATTATATGTGCTCTCAACAATTGTATATATAGTGATCACAACTATAAACACATTTGACAAAGAAAAAAATGACAGGATGGAAATACACTGAAATGTTTACACTGGTTGTATTAGAGTTGTAGGATTAATTGCAATCCCTTTTTCTCCCCTTTTATTTTTAAAATGTTGTTCCCATGAATGTTTTCTTTCTTAATTACAAATTCTAATAGAAATGTTCACACCCAACTCTCTAGGGACAGCTCAGAACTCCCATGTTTCCTCAAAAGGTTCCCTCCTGCTGCTCACCTGAGCTGCCTGTCCCAGCACACAGCCACCATCACCAGCAGGTTCCCCAAGATGGCCATCAGGATAACCGTCGAGAGAAACGTGAGCAGCACCACCTTCTCCACTGACCCGAAACCCTCCTCAGAACTGAAAGACACACACAAGCACAAAGAATTGAATGAAACTCTGGGACACAAGAAGGAAAATTCGTCTTTTCATCATTGACCTTCAGAAAGGTAACTTCACCATCAGCTGATGACACATATATTTATCATGCGTTTAATGTACACCAAAATCTGAACCGGTCGCTTGACATTTTATCCTGGTTAGCTCCTACATAAGAGGAGTATGAGGCTTAGAGAGCTGAATTAACAGGTTATTTTCCATCCAAGCACTTGTGGCTTTCCTTCAGGGCATTTAGTTCAACTAGCATTCAGACATATGTAGTTGATGCCTGTTTTGTGCACCTACTCAACTAGATTGCAAAAGCTGAGTGAATGAATGATAGTAACTTTGCAACTGCAGGAGCAGCCCAATTTGGTCCAACTTTGTGTATAAAATGGTGAGTTGTGTTTTAGTTGCCATGGACCCCCAGGTTGCAAGTTAAACTGACCAGGCCCAGATGAACCAAGCATGCAACCACAGGGTGGAACCTAAGTGCTTGGACCAAGGCATGGGGACCAAATAAAGAAGTGGACGTCTCATGGCATGATCCACGATCCAATCATATAGAGCCCTAGCATCACCTTGTGGCATAATCCAGTCAGATCATACCTCTTGGCATTAACTTATCACAAGATCCAATCAGATCACACCTTATTACCCTCTACCTATAAAACCTGCCACAGCCCCCAGCTCAGGGGGACAGATTTGAGCTTTGCCTCCTGCTTCCTTGCCGATCAACTTACAATGAAGCCTTTTTTTTTTTCCTCAAAAGCCAGGGCCATAGTATTGGCTTCTATAAACATCAGCAAGGAGCCCACTGCTTGCTCAGTAGCAACTTGAACTGGTTGTTACTGAGCAAGTTACTTTGCATTCATACAGTTACTTGGCCTGAATGCAAAGCCATCTTGTTACAGTGTCCCATTCCAGCCCATGCAGAAGCTTCTGCTTACAGGTAGGTTCTCCCAGAGAGAAAAGATTGTGGTGTGATGGTTGTTCTTACATCAGTTCACCTGGACAAATTGAATTCAGATTCTGTGAAGTCTGTTGGAGAGATAGTAGCCAATAAATAAGCTCAGTGGCTCCTTTCACCACCCTGATCATTTCTTTTAGTGCCCACAATATGTCATTGTTTTCCCAGTTCAAATTTGTGTTCTTGTCAAGTTCAGCATCTGATTTAGTCTACAAATGTTGCCTTCCCCATGTAAACTCAGCATTTTGTTTTATTAACTTGAAAATGAAGATCCCTTTTCAATGAAAGCATGATATCTGCAGATTAATATTCAGAAGCTATAGGGATTTTAAAAACTTTTATAGTATAATAAAATGTTCTTTTTAATGAAGTTTCAAAGAATCTTAAAACTCTTAGACCAGCGGTGTCCAATCTTTTGGCTTCCCTGGTCCACATTGGAAGAAGAATTGTCGTGGGTCACACATAACATACACTAACACTAACAATGGCTGATGAGCTAAAAAACAAATTGCAAAAAAATCTCATAATGTGTTAAGAAAGTTTATAAATTGGGTTGGGCTGCATTAAAAGCTGTCCTGGGCTGCCTGTGCCCCGACAGGCCATGGGTTAGACAAGTTTGTCCTAGACCCAAACCCCACATTTGAATATGGGAAAACCAGGGCCCAGAAAAGAAGAGCTGACTTGTCAGAGCGTGCTAGTGGCTGGTCTGGGAGAGGCTGCTTGTCCTGTGAGCCCACCACTGAGAACACACAGTTCCAAAAATCAAGAATTCTCTGTCTTTCCTGAGCTCTTTTGACTGAAAATTAAGGTGCATGCCCTCTCCAGATGGAAGCAGCCTGCAAAGTCATGGCTTTGGCCTTGTCCAGAACTTCTGTTAAGCTGGCACAGAAGACAAGGGGCCAAAGGGAATGAGGAACCAGTCTGGCAGCAGTTGGAGAATGAGAAAGTCCCTCCATTCAGCTGAGAAGTATTTTTATAGGCAGATTGATAGATTGTTTATGACTGAAGTTCAGATGAAAAGAAATTCCAGATATGCTTATTTAAATCACCCTTCTACACTTAAGTTCTAACTATCAACAGTACAAATATCAGATAGGGAAGATTTAATTCAATGAGGAAAACTGTACACTTAGAAAAAAGACCTTAATAGGCTGATGTGGCCACCAAAAATTCATTTGATCTTAGGTCATGTTAGTTGAGTTAAAGCACTAACAAAGGAGGTGATGGTGGTTCTCTTCCCTGTCCTTCTTAGAGACTAACGGCCCCCCTGAAACTCATCTCTTCCACCCCCAGGGCCTCTGTATTTGAGGTGCCTTCTTCCTGGAATGATTCTTCAGTGACAGACTTCTTGTCATTCAGGCCTCAGATTAAATTTAACCCCCAGTTAGTGTACCACAGCCAACAAACATTTTTCATTTTCTTTACAGCATTTACTGTTATCTGAAATGACTTCTGTTATTGTTTTCTGTGCCCCAATTCCACAGATTGACTTTTGTTATCTTTTTCACTACAATCTCCAGTGTCTGGCACAATATCTAGTCTAGAGTATGTATTAATGTACATGAAATGCTATGTATTAATATTACATATGTAGATGATGCATTACATAGTAAGTGCTCAATTACTTGCTGATTCAGTGAAAGAGAGATATATTGTGCTCATAATGGTTATATTTATTATTCAATGTCTTTGAAGCCTGGTTGAAAGTATAGAGATTTCACCTAGAGAAAAGAAGGCCCAGAGATGAAATGCAAAAGCTACTTGCAGCTATCTGAGCGCTGTCATTTGAAATAAGAGTAGATTCACATATTCATTCATTTAACAATTTCTGAGCACCTACTCTGTGTTAGGCATTGTTGTATGTCCTAGGGAAACAGCAATAAGCAAAACAGAGAGAAAAACAGACAATAAACAGATGCATGAGACAGTATGTAAGGTGTCAGCTGATAGTACAGTCCATGGCAAAAAAAAATATCTAGGAGGGTAAGGAGGACTGGATGGCCTGTGGCGGATTGCAGACTGGCTATTTAATAAAGGATGTCAGGGAAGGTTCAATGATAAGGTTATCACAGGTTGTGAGGCTAACTAAGACCAGTGGGTGAACTTTAAGCAGTGGTTCCCAGCCTTACCTGCATATTTAAGTTACCTGAGGAGCCTTAAAAAATGCTGATTCTGGGAATCCACCCTCAGAGGTGCTGATTTAATTGGTCTGAGTTGCAGCTTGGATAGAGAAATTTTTAAAATCTCCCAAGTGACTCTGATGTGTAATGAATTAGAGTCACTGACAGGGAGGCAAGATTTAGTACCAGATAATAAGAGCCTTCTAACAATTAAAGATGATCTGCAATAGCTTCCCGGTGTTGTTTTGTGTTCCCTGGCACAGAAAGTGTTTAAGAATACCAGAATGGCAATGAGATACTAATTTGCACTCATTAGGATGGCAATTATAAAAAATAAAACAACGAATAAAAAATAACAAGTGTTGGTGTGAATGTGGGGAAATGGAAACACTTGTGCATTGCTGGCGGGAATGTAAAATGCTACAGCCACTGTGAAAAACAAGTTTGATGGTTTCTCTAAAGGTTAAATATAGAATGCCTATGTGATCCCCCAATTCAATCCCAGGGGTACACCCGAAAGAATTGAAAGCAGGGATACAAACAGACACTTGTATACCAACAGTCTATAGCAGCATTATTCACAAGAGCCCAAAGGTGAACACAGCCCAAGTTTCCATTAATAGATAAGTGAATAAATAGAATGTGGTATATACATACTACAAAATTTTATTTCTCTATAAAAAGGAATAAAGTTTGTTGTTGTTGTTGTTGTTGTTGTTTTTGAGATGGAGTTTTGCTCTTGTTGCCCAGGCTGGAGTGCAATGGCGCGATCTTGGCTCACTGCAACCTCTGCCTCCCGGGTTCAAGTTATTCTTCTGCCTCGGGCTTCCAAGTAGCTGGGATTACAGGAATATGCCACCATGCCTGGCTAATTTTGTATTTTTAGTAGAGACGGGGTTTCTCCATGTTGGTCAGGCTGGTCTCGAACTTCTGACCTCAGGTGATCCGCCCGCCTCGGCCTCCCAAAGTGCTGGGATTACAGGCATGAGCCACCGCGCCCGGCCAGGAATGAAGTTTTGATACATGCTACCACATGGATGAACCTTAAAAATAAATGAAACAAATAAATAAGTGAAATAAATCACACACAAAAGGAGAAGTATTGTGATTCCACTTACATGAGGATTCTAGACTCAGAAAATTCATAGGGAAATTAAATAGAAAAGTAGTTATCAGGGACTGGGAGCACAGGTGAATGCGGAGTTATTATTTAAGAATTATAGAGTGTTTGGAATGATGAAAAAATTCTGGAAGTGGATAGTTGTAATGGTTGCACACCACTGTGAATGTTCTTTTTTTAGCTTTTTATTTTAGGTCCAGAGGTACATGTGCAGGTTTGTTATACAGGGGGTTTGGTGTACAGATTATTTCATCATCCATATAATAAGCATTGTTTGATAGGTAGTTTCTTGATCCTCACCCTCCTCCCACCTTCCACCCTCACGTAGGTCCCAGTGTCTGTTGTTCCCTTCTTTGTGTCTGTAATGTACTCAGTGTTCAGCCCCCACTTGTAAGTAAGAACATGCTGAATTTGATTTTCTGTTCCTCTGTTAGTTTTCTTAGGATAATGGCCTCCAGCTCCATCGATGTTGCTGCAAAGGACATGACCTCATTCTCTTTTGGGGCTTAATATCACTAAATTATATGCTTAAAATGCTTATTTTATATATTAATAATAAATTTTATTATTTATATTTTAGCATTATATAAAAAAAGAATTCCTGGATGACCACATATCAAGGTACTGTACAGGGCTCCTATATTGGGGGCAGGCTGGCCTGGCTGTTTTAGGTCGCTTTTTTGTCTATGGACTGTGATTTAAACATATCCTTATAACATGAATTCTCCATCAACACCACCACCACCATAAGAATAATCTTTCTTATACTGTCTTTACTCTTGTAAAAGAAGAAAACAGATTCAGAGCGTCTGTGATGAACATCTCTGGCTCCAGAGAAGGTACATTTTGAACCAAGTGGGAATGTCAGGGTTAGAGAGCACCAAGTTCAATGTAATGGTTCATTTGTGGCATGCCAATTAGGAGTTAGAAATAGCTTAACTTTAAACTAGGAGTGACGAGCAAAATTTAAGCATAGAAGAAGCTTTTTAAATTAGGCAGAACTGTCCATTGAACTAAAAGTAAGTCCAGTAATGACAATTAAAATAAATTCCAAACCACTTCTGCAAAATTCATGTTAGGTCCTTGGGTTGCCTCTGACACCCTCAAGCAATCCTGTCAACCACAACTGGACAGCTTTCATCTGGCTGAAGAGCTGTCCACTCCACTAAATTGGTTCGTTGACAGCTATTCTTATGAGAAATTTTACTTTCTCTTCTTTTTTGCTTTCTCCGTGATCTTTTGATCCATTAATAAACTCCACAAACTTGTGGGCTGGTTTTGCCATTTTCTCTGCTCTTCATGAAAGAAAATATAAAGACACAAATTCTGGGTAAATTTCCACATAGGTTAGTATATGTGAAAATGGACTGTGAATGATAAAGTATGATAAATAAGTGATTATTGTTATTAATAATGATAGAGACAATAGCAAAGGAAATCTTAGGTTATACTTTGTCACACACACACACACACACACACACTCTCTCTCTCTCTCTCATACTTTCTGGAGAGTCAAGAACATTTTTTGTTGTTATTTATTTATTTATTTTTGAGACAGAGTCTTGCCCTGTCCCCCAAGCTGGAGTGCAGTGGCACAATCTCAGCTCACTGCAACCTCTGCCTCCTGGGTTCAAGTGATTCTCCTGCCTCAGCCTCCCAAGTAGCTGGGATTACAGGCACCTGCCACCACACCCAGCTAATTTTTGTATTTTTAGTAGGGACAGGGTTTCGCCATGTGGGTCAGGCTGGTCTTAAACTCCTGACCTCAGGTGATCTGCCCGCCTCGGCCTCCCAACTTGCTGGGATTACAGGCATGAGCCACCACGCCCAGACTTTATTGTTATTTTTTGTGGGCTTTTGCACTGGTTTTGTTCATAAACAGCTGTATGACTTCAAAAAATTCACTTGACTTTTCTGAGCCTCAGTTTCTTCATGGATCAATTGAGAAAGTTAGATTAAATTTCTTATTCATCAAATATGTATTGAGTGCCAACTATATACCAAGGACTGTGCTGAGTACTAGATTCAATAGTAAAGAAAATGGACAAATTTCCTGACCTCATGGGGTTCATAGTATGGATGGAAACAGACATAAGCAAATGCACAATTAAATAAATAAATACAGTTTGTGATCAGTTCTTCCCAGTTCCATTTCCCAAATGTTAATATTTATATTAATCCACTGAGGATCTTGATAAAACGCAGATTCTGATTTTTTTTAGGCTGAGGCAGGGTCTGGGATTCTGCAGTTCTCACAGACCCCTAGGCATTGCTGATGCTGCTGGTTCCTGAGTCACAGGTGGAGTAGCAAAGTATAAAAGGTGTAAACATGACATTATGATAGAAAACACGCTGGCTTAGAGAGAAGTGTGAGGTGGTTGGGAAACACTGGAGGTGACAGTCAACTGAGTTCTGATGTATGCAGAGAATTTGGAAGTCAGAGGAACCAGGATAAGTGCATTGCATTCAAAGGGAAGAGCAACTGCAAAAGCCCTGAGACAGAAAAGATTTTTCATGTTCACTATCACAGGGGAAATGAGCAAGGGACTGAGCATCTGAGATGAGCTCAGACAAGTAGTCGGAAGCCAGACCCTGAGGGCTTTTTTGTGCTCTAGGGAGAAGTTTATGTTCTATTGGAAGATCAATGAGAAGACACAGAAGTGATGTAAGCAGAGTAATGACATGGGGGCAGGGGTGATAATATGCCAGGGGTTTCTGCAGGAGTCCAGGTAAAAGAAGATGGTAGTTAAAAGTAGCATGGTGGCTGGGGAGATGGAGAGAAGTGGGTGGAATAAAGGTTTTTTGGGGAGTAAAGAGATAGATAACAAAAATAGATTCCATGAGTGAGTGGGAAGAAGCACAAATAAACGCCATATTTTAGAATTGCATATCTGAATAAATGTTGGTACAATTTAATGAGATGGGTGAAACACATTAAGTGTGAGATACCTATAGGACATTCGAGTGAAGACGTCAAGTAGGCAATTGGATGTATGTGTGTCTGGAGCTCAGAGGGATGACTGGGCAGGAGATACATGCTTGGAATTGCCAGCACTTCTATGGGATTTAGAGAACTGAGGAAGGATGTGATCACCCAAGAAGAGGGTCAGGGTCTTGATGAACAGCAGTACTGAGATGTGCAGTAGAGAAGGTAGAACCAGCAGAGGAGACTGTGAAAGACTATCCAGGATGTTCTGGGGACATCAGATGAGAGCGGTATTTTGGAAGCCAAGAGGAACATTTCAAGTGAATATATGTATGTATAATACATATATATAATATATTATATAATATATATATTAGGAATATATAAATATATATATTCTTGATACTTCCCTGGAACTACTTCAAGATCACTCCTAAGAATGACAGGAAGCAAGGAGGCAGGGAAACTAGAGTACTTTTTCTCTTTATATTTTTATGTATCGAACTTTGCAATAAAATTATGTTAGACCAGAGGGCTCCACCATTGCACCAATGATCTCCGCAGTAAGTGTCTCCTCTCCCACCTGTTAGGAGTGTCATGTACACAAGAAATATTCTTGAAAATATACACAGCACATCCACAAAAGATCCCATACTCCCTATCTAAGTATTTTTTTCACCCTTCCTGCCCAGCCCTGCACAGTCTTTTGCAAAGGAATTACATTTAAATTAAAGAAAATAATGTTTCATTTTCTTACCAATCAACAGTTAGGAGAAGAGTACAAGGGCATTCTGACTTACAAGAGAGCCTGTCTAAAATTGAATTATTTTTTTCTAGTGAGAATTTTATTAACCTTAAATATAAGGTCCCTGTTGGTTTCTATACTGATAAGAGAATGAATATTAACCAAGAGGGCCTTAACGTTCCACTCAGCTTGATTAAACTTTAGACAGCCTTCTTCCTGACTCCAGGCTCTGAACTCCCTTTTCTTAGAGCATTTACTTTAGAAAATTTGTAATTGCAAATTCTTTCTCTAACACTTTGAGATGTAAATGAAAGATACTCACCAGTTTTACAAGCTAGGACTGCCATTCTCAAGAACTTTTCCTTTCCCTTTGAAAGGAAATCATCAAGAAATATAGTGCTCCTATCTCTCAGTCTGTAGGATCGAACAGCCTAACTTAGGTGGACACCTTGCTCCAAGTTGTAAAACCGTCCCTTGTCGTGAAGATATGAGAAAGTTTACTTATCCTTTGGGTAAGGCTAATTAGGTAGCACATTAGGTAATCCCTTCCCCCCACTCTATTTCTTAAAAACCCTCCTGTCCTTTGTTGTAGTGAAGTTGAAGTCAGATTGCATTCTGGTCTCTCTCCCTATTGCCATAGCCTTGGAAAAGAAAAAAGTCATCTTTACCTGCTTAACTTCATCCAGTGCAATTTTTGTTTTGACAGTATACATCATTTATTACAAGTACAGATGTTCCTAGACTTATGATGGGGTTACCTCCCAGTAAACCCATTGTAAGTTGAACACATTGTAAATGGAAAATGCATTTAATGCACCTAACCTATAGAACATTGTAACAGCCTAGCCTACCTTAAATGTGCTCAGAAAGCTTACATGGGCCTAGAGTTGGGCAAAGTCATCTGGCAGCAGACTACTCTGTAGAGCGTAGGTTGTTTACCTTCGTGATCACCTGACTGATTGAGAGTTGGAGCTCACTGCTGCTGCCAGGCTAGGTAAGATGGTATCATACAGCATATTGCTATCCTGGGAAAAGATCAAAATTCAATATTGGAAATACAGTTTCCACTGAATGCATATTGCTTTTACACCATGGTAAAGTAAAAAATTCTTAAGTCAAACCATCATGTCGGGGACCATCTGTAATTGTATGTGTGTGGCTTCTTCATTACCTTTATTACTGGCCATGAACAAAATCTGAGTTTAACATATAGGAGCGATAAACTCAGATAATAATCACATTGCTAATATGACTTATGTAAATTGATTTTTCAAATACTTCTTTATTTAAAATAGAAATAACAGAATCCATGAGTATGTTGTTTTTCCTTATAACAAATAACCTGAGCAATACTATGTAATTGTTTTAAAGTATATATCATTTCCTTTAAATATATGCACTCTTTCCCCCTAGGTTTCTTGAGAGACTAAACATACAAATGGACAATGGCCAGACCATGTGTAACAATAAAACTCCGATGGACAATCTCTGGCAGCCAGCCCAGAACGATCAGGACTTGTTCAATGACTGCGAGCTAGCTTCCCCCTTTTTTAACCCTCTTACCTGCTTCCAACTCAAGACTAACAACAGAATGCCAAAGACACTGCTCCCCAAAGCAATTACGTAAGATGCCTCACTGCTTGTTAGTGCACCTCCTGCTTCAATGTGCCAACAACCTCCAATCAGAAGATAGCAGAAGCCTTCTTTTCCCCGCTTATAAAGCTTTTTTACTCCCCTGCCTGTCTTTGAGACTTTGCTAAATTCCAAGGATGGTGGCTGATCCTCTTGCTTTATCATGCTCTGAATAAATTGCTTGTTTGTTCTCATCTGTGTGGTCTTCATTTGTTTCCATATTCTAGGTGTGTTCTAGATGTTACACTTATTTGAAATCCTATATTTTGACTTAAGTGGAAATCCTTTCTGAGGAAGAAAATATTTCTTATGATTTGGCTTATATTACTTTGGGTTCTTGTACTAAGTTCTCAGGTCTCCCAGTTAACGTTTTTTCTTTTCTTTTTTCTTTTTTACGGAAAGCTTTTTTTTTAAAAAAAAAAAAAAAAAAAAGAGGAGGATTAAATAAGATAGTTTGCATAGCCTTATTCCATAATATGAAGCATCAGAGCAGTGGTGCTTCAAAATCACCAGCAAACACTAGGATCATCTGGAGGGCTGGGTTAAAACACAGACTGCTGAACCCACCCACACTTTCTAACTTAGTGCATCTTGGGTGAAGACCAAAATTTTACATTTTTAGCAAGTTCCCAGGTAATGCTGATGTCGATGCTGGTCTTGGGACCATACTTTGAGGACCACTGACCTAGAACCTTACAAGGGATGCCCTTAATCTTAACCTCCATTCTGCCTTTGCAAATTATTTTCTTCTGCTTCTCACTTTGAAATGTCTTCCTTGGAAGTGGGTTGATTTTGACATTGATGTACTGAACACCTACCATATGGCAAACAATGCACCTGGAAGATTTTTCATGTTGGCGAATTCAATCTTCATAATTATCATTATCATGTGATGTAATATCATGATGCCCCCTTTTCAGAAGAGGCTGGAGCTCAGCATGGTTAAGAGACGTAATATTTTGTAACTATTAAGTGGTGAAGCTGGGATTTAAACCCACATATTTTTATTGCAAGTCCAGTATTTCTCCTACTAAATTTTAAACATGCTTACTTAGAAGTGAATATATTTCCTTTAAAAAAACACATGCTAAAATTTTGCTTTTTGTCTAGAAACTTAAGACTCAAAATACTGATGATGACAGCTTAATATGTGTTGTAAAATGTGCTGGCTATAGAAAATGGTAGGAGAAAAAAGGAATAAACCTTGTAGGATGGAAATTATATATAATGGAGTTTTTATGTAATTCTAAAATAATTTTATTTGATTTTTTTTGAAAACCCTATAGACAAGGACACGAGGGCAGGGAGGTGGTTGGTGCACAGCTGGTGAAGGTTAGGTAGTTTTGAACTGCAAACATGCAGAGTAAAATTCTTGAGGCAAAATCTTAATAGACTTTTCAAGAACCTCAAATATCACACATACTGGGCATGAAACAAACTTCAAAGCCCAAAGAGGATCTCTCTGTACAGAGTATAATGGAGTTAAAAGCTGTAAGGAATACAAAGGATTTCAGGATGAAAGACACTGTTTTCTGAGGCCATGCCTGAATGTAAAGCCAAGGCAGGATAGATAGGCAAGGTGAGATCTACATCTGGAGAGATACCCACTGCTGCACAGCATGTTAATCATTAAGGATTCAATTCTTCTTGGAAATGAAATGCCAAATAATAGTGCTAGTCAATTAGACCTCAGAGGTGGTCTCTCTTTAAGAAAACCCATTTTCCAAAAGTGGAACTGAGTCAACAGCTACAGAGATAGATTTCTTTTCTTTACAAGATCATTTTTTCTTTATATGTGCACAGTCTAGCGTCTCTGGTTTGTGTTGAAAACATTTTTTTTTTTTTTACACACACTTGTTAAGGAATACACTCACCAGGCACAGAAATGTCTTCCTTTGGGGTAAAACACATGACATGTTTTCAATATTCGGCTGATCATTTCCTCAAAATTATTCCTGTGATTATGAGAAATTCAGCACAGGGAAAAAATGTGGACCACATATGCCCTCTCCACTTTGGTAAATCATTTACCCTAAGCATAAGCACTCAAGGAAAAGTGGACTTTCCCATACTCTGATAGTAACCTGCTCTCCATTCCTTTGCAACAGATGGCCTCTGTCACTAGGCCCAATTGCCAGTGGATACAGCTCTCCATATTTTGCCAGGATCTTGGTTTGCTGTTGCCAAGTACTATGGTTTCTCTTCTTACTTCTGCCTCTGATAATGCAAAAAATCCTTTGCCCAAAGGAGAGATGAAACAGCTCAATTTTATGCTGTTGCAGGAGTAGTCAAACAATGGCCATTGGGCCGAATCCAGCCTGCTGTCTGTTTTTGTAAATAAAGTCCTAGTGGAACACAGCCACACTCAATCATTTATGTAGTTCCTCTAGCTGAGTTTACACTACAAAAGTAGAGCTGAGTAATTACGAGAGAGATTTCATGGCCCGAAGAGAAACTTTACTCCCTTTATGACCCTTTATGAAAAAGTGTCATGACCCCTGCTCTTTTGTAACCAGAGATGTTTGGTCTAAAGAAGAACATGGCATTAAGACACAAAGACCTATAAGAGCCTAAAAGGAGCCTATTTACTGGGAGTCATTCATTCCTCTGGATTCTTTCACTAAGTGGAAAGCAACACCCTTCCGGTTGACCACGCCAGAAACTGAGCATCTTGCTCATTTTTTTCTTCTCCTTTACCTAGGTCATTATCTACTCTGAGGATCTCTTAAATCCCTTCACTTCTCTCCAATCTGCTGTCAATACCCTAGGAGAGGGCTTCCTTTCATCTTCTCCTAGACTATCACAACCACTTTTATCCCACTAACTACTTTGTCTTTGTCTTCAAATTCTTAGTATATGAGACAGCTTAAATTTAACATGTTCAAAATTGAACTCCTGATTTCCCTAACCTCAAACCTGCTTCCCATATGAATACATAGCAAATCTATTTCTCCAGTTGCTCAGGTTAAAAATTTGGAAGCCACTTTTACCAGGTCTCTACCTCTTCTACCTCCAGTACATCAGCAAATCCTGATAGCTCTAACTTCATAACGTTTCCTGATCCCAACCCTTTACCAGCCATTCAATGTCATACCATTCTAGTTCCTACTACATCATGCTTCACTTGGTGACTGCAAAGTCCTCTCAACTGGCATCCCTGCTTCCATCATTTCTCACATACAATCCACTCTTCACCCACTAGACAGAATGAGCTTTGAAAAATATTGAGATTGGAACATATCACTTCCATACTCACTGCCCTTAAGATGGCTTGTCATCTCACTAGGAGTAAACCCAGAACCCTCACCATGACCTATGTAAATTTACAAAGCTGGCCACTGGCTGCTTCCATCATCTCAACTCTCACCACTCTCTCTTTCCCAGGCTGCTCCCGCTAAGGAGACTTCCTGACTTCCACACTGTTCCCAGATGGTGCCAATCATGCATCCACCTCCACCATCCACCTCTCACCTGATGCTACCACCATCTGGATCTCTCCATTCAAGTGACCAGAGAAGCTCACCCTTCACTTCATTCAGGTGTCTGCTCAGATTCATCTCTGCAGAGAGGACTTATTTAAAAAAGAACCTCCCCTCACTCTCTATTCTCTTGACTTGCATTATTGATTTTCACAGCTGTTACCTTTTACGCTCCCACACACACTAGAATAACTTGAATGTAAAATCACTGAAAGCAAGAACTTGGGCTGTTATATTCACTGAAGTATTTTCCAGCACCTTTTTGGTACTGTTTTACAGTACCTAGCACATAGTAGTGCTGTGAAAGTACAGTTGGTTCTCTGTATCTGTGGGTTCCACATCCGTAGATTCAACCAACTGTGAATCATAAATATTCTTTAAAAAATAGTGCCTGTATTGAGCATGTACAGACTTTTTCTTGTCATTATTACGTAAACAATAGATATAACAACTATTTGCATAGTATTTACCATTGCATTAGGTATTGTTAAGTAACCTTGTTGAAGTATATGAGAGGATATGCTTAAGTTAAATGCAAATACTACATCATTCTATATCAGGTACTTGAACATCCTTAGACTTTGGTACCCCAAAGAGGTCCTGGGACAAATCCCCTATGGATACCAAGGGACAAATGTATCTGTGGAATGAATGACTGACTGAATGAATGAATGAATGAGCTACTTCTTAATTAGTTATTCTGCCTTGGCAATTACTCTTTCCCAACACTCTCAACACTGAAGTCAAGATATGTTCTTCCCCCAAAAGAAATTAGCTAATTTCTCCCTCTTGTTCAAAATCTTATAATGTCTTCCCATTGCAATTTTGATACAATAGCACATCTTGACCTGGTTTAAACTGGTCCCTACTTACCTCTCTAGCTTTATTTCTGACACTGTTCCATAACCAACACTAAATGAAGTGCCCAAATTCTCACTCAGTGAGATGAGGCACGCTTGTTAAACTCCTTCCTCTCCTTCCCATTCTTTACCTGGCAAGCTCTCGCATGTCCTTCAGCACTCAGCTTAAACATCTTATTGTCTGGGAAGCCATCCTGACCTCAATATTGTCCCTGTCGTATATGCTTCCATTGTACCCTATAATTATATATCATAGCTTTTATCACCCTATATTTAATTGTTATTTAAAGATCTGTGCCTCCCAACCACACTAACTTACTGATTTTGGTATCAACAGTGCCTAGTATAACAAATATATGTTAGACAAGTAAACTGATATACAAGGTAGCCCTTGCTTGAAAGAAGTTTAAAGTAGTGATCAACACAAAGGGATTTCCCCCTTCATTCAGCTCAATAGTTCTGTTAATCCTGTCTCTAAACCACTCCCCCAGACAAGTGCATTTGGGCCACCAATCCTCGCTTTGAATTACAAGTTATAGCTGTTAACATCACATACAAACCACTAAAGAGTTAACAAGTTTCTCCAGAGAATATCAGAAGCCTTTCCCACATTGTACTCTTTAGGCTAATAATACTTTTAAGTCTATTTTCTAGTCATGTCCTGGGCACCGAAGTTGTTATAAAGATTAATAAATTTGGCCCGATGTGGTGGCTCACGCCTGTAATCCCAGCACTTTGGGAGGCCGAGGTGGGTGGATCATAAGGTCAGGAGTTCGAGACCAGCCTGGCCAGTATGGTGAAACCCTGTCTCTGCTAAAAATACAAAAATTAGCCAGGCATGGTGGCAGGCACCTATAATACCAGCTACTCGGGAGGTTGAGGCAGGAGAATCACTTGAACCCAGGAGGCAGAGGTTGCAGTAAGCCAATATCACACCACTGCACTCCAGCCTGGGCAACAGAGTGAGACTCCATCTAAAAAAAAAAAAAAAAAAGATTAATAAATCTAAATCTAAAACACTTACAATGTTGTTTGGCATGTAGTGTCTGTTATCTTAATCCTAGCTATTAATATTCATCTTTTCTGTTCATTTCAAATAGACACAAATGACATTAACACTGGTCCTGGTCTTCTAGCTCACAATGTAGCAAGAAACTAAGCCTGATCAATGACTGATCATTATGAGAGCATGTTGTAATTTCAACAGCTGGGGGCTGTTGAAACGACAACTATAAATAGCGGCCAGAGAAAAGAGATAATGAGTAAGAATACACTGGAGTTTTTCCAGACACAACTGGTAGAAAACACAATTTAATATAGCAGAGAAGAAATAAAGGTGCTGAAACTCATAGGAGTGGAGATGGGGTTTAGAAGGTGGTAAACGAATGTGAGGGGCAAGAATTTGGGAGGATTTGAGGCTGGCATAATCATAAGAGAAGCAGGGAGTATCCAGTATCTTGATGGGCATAAGGATTTTGAAAAGAAAGGCTCTGCATTCTATTCCACAACCAACATGTATACACTCACACCTACACGCCCTGCCATGCACCCAACATATAAGAGAAGATGAGGGAGTGAAGGTGATGGGAGAGGCAGGTGGAGAATAATGGTGGGGTTGCCCAAAGATAGACAGACTGAAGTTCAGATTCTCTACCTGGATTAGACCCTCTATCCACTACTTCTCCTCCTGCACCTGGTTACTAGTCATCTCTAGAGCCAAAGACAGAATCATGTAAAGGAGGCTCATTTGGAAAAGCTGGCTGTGGCATTCCAACCTGGCAAATCTAAGAACTGTATTGCAGTACTTGTCAATGCATATCCAGATGATGCTTGTGACAAATGTTAAAAAAGCCTTAAAAACATTCATGCTCCAAAAATTCCAAAAGAAATAAATCCTTATAGCTGTTCATAAAGATTTCTGTACATTATTACTCACAACCATGTTGTTCATAACTGGAGAACATGAAACATCTAAATGTCTATATTTGGGTATTGGTTACATAAACAATTTATTAATACACAGCCATTGAAATTCAGGTTTAAAATATTTAATGACAAGGGACATTTCTCCTAAATACCATCCAAAGTTAAAAGCAGGTATAAAACAGTAAAGCACAAGCTCAACCTTTGTAAAAATATGTATTTATATATGGGTCCAGATACTATAGTGAAAGATTAATTTGTGACCTTTTTTAAAAAATTACAAAAATACTAGAAGAAATGAGTGGTTACCTTCTTCCTCCATCTCAAGAAAATAACTAAGATTTGTATAACTACAAGCTTTGAAGACTCCAGTGTCAAGCTTGACAGGGAAGCAACAGAGCCTCTTGCCTTCAAGGGATCTGTGGACGTGGTGGTGACCAGGACAAAGTGAAAAGCAAAAGGTCCAGCTTAACGGAGAAAGAGGAAGAGGTCCACAAAATGTCTGAGATTGAATTTACCATTGAGACCCAGCTTGAGGAGCTCACAGAAAAGTTAACTAATTTAGAGATTAAAAGAAATTTGGCATTTCGTACATCTGAATGTTGTAGAGTAACACTGAAATGCAAATCTGGTATATGTATGTGATACACATACACATACATGCTTACATATACAAACATATATATGTACAGGTAAATGATACATACATGGTACCTAATATTTATACGTATGACATACCTGTATTTATTACATATGACTCCATATATTAATATTATCTATATCCAAAATGGTTATCTCTAGGTGATATTAATCTAAAAAAATTTGAATTATTTCTTCATTTTTTTTTTTACTTTTTCCCAGTATTTCCCATCAAATGTGTATTACATTGCTAATCCACAAAAAATTGTGTTTTTTTTCAAAATGCATTGCCTATGTCTGGTTTTGCTCATAACAGTGCCTTAATAATTATATGAAATCCGCACGTATTGTTCCTCTCACCAGTTATTAAACTTACTAATTGGCGTACTTCATTTTAAGAAGTTTTTAATTGCAAATGTAGCTATAAACTGTGGTGTGGTGCTTAATAGATGAAATTTTCTTAGTTTTTGCCCATCCACCTGAAGCTGCTACAAAGAAAGAATAACTTCAATAATTTTTTTTAAACAAAGTTCTCTCCCCTTCTGTGGATGTTTTGGAGCTTACAACTTTGTCCTGAATCTAACCACTTCTCATCAGTGGTGCCACTAATATTAGTGCAAGCCACTATTATCTCTAACTTACTTCTTACAAGTTTATTTCTTGCAATAAAATCTTGTCTTCAATTTCCTGCCCTTATAGTCTATGTGCTACACAAAATCTAGAGTTATACCTCTGAAATCAAAGGCAGACAATGTATGTTTTCCACTCAAAATTATTCAATGGCTTCCCAGCTCATGCAGAATATCCCAAGTTTCTACCGAGACTTGGTAGAATATACCAGGATATAAGGAACCTGGTACCAGCTGCCCCTTTGATCTCGATTTCCACCAGTTCTTCTCCTCCCTCTGCTCCAGGCACAAACACCTCCTCTGTATTTCTCCAATATGTCAAGTGCGCTCTGACCTGTGCGCCTGTTGTGTTTTCTTCCTAGAATATTCACTTCCAAATATCCACTAGGTTCCCTTTTTGTCTTCACTTAGGTCTCTGCTCAAAGGTGTCCCCATCAAAGAGCATTTTCCTGACTATTCTAATGAATGTAGCATACTTTGTCATTCTCAGATTCACTATGCTGCTGTATTTTTCCTGATGGTATGTATCTAACATATTGTATATTTCTTTGTTTTCTAGTGTCTATTAACTGTCTCCCACCAATAGATAAGTGCCACGAAAGCAGAGGCTTTGTCAGTTTTCTTGGCCCATAATAGGTACTTAACAGATACAAGTTAAGCACTGAATGGTGCCACTGAAGACTATGTTGGAAATACGGTTGTATCACCTACTACTACAACATGTGATTATTTATCCACTTTATCCAAAGTCCTGCCTTCAGATACTTCAATCTTCTACTGCAAATGAAATACTCTATCTTTTCCTCAAGACGTTATATATGTTACATCCAATAGAGACCATAAGTCTGTCCTCTCCAGTTCCATTATTTGTTTGTTTTGTTTTCAGAACTCAGTTGAATTGTTTCTATTTTAAAGTTTAGGGTTTTTGGCCACACTAATCCCCATTTTTTGTTCTTACATAAGCATTGCAATTTTCATTTTTTACACTGATTATTTCTAGTTTAGATTACCTTATCCCTTTAGAGAATTTTTTTAAAGTATACATAGGGTCTGATAATTAATTAACCTATAAATCAATCAACTAACGAACCAATCAATATTTATTACTTATTTACCATGCTTGGCCATGGAGCTATAGTTGACAGGGAGACAGATAAGGTCCCTGTCCTCATAGAGCAAGTGGTAATGAATTACATATTGTAGAATCACTCTTCTTTTTACAAATTGTCCATGAGCTTAACTAAAGACACACACATTTATAAGTAGCCAGGAAATTGTAACTTCAAACAATAAGATACAATTTCCACCAGTCAGACTCAAAAAACACCAAATTGCCAATCTTTTGAATTGACAAGGGTGTGCTGAAAGCATACTCTCAGGACTGGTTATGGGAGGACACATTAGTAAAGCTTTTTGGATGCTAATTTGGCAGTATGTTCGAAATTTTTGAATGCACATTTTTAACATATCTATTCTAGGGAAATGCCCCAACACTTGCTTAGGTGTCCAGAGATGCATGTAGAAGGTTGTGTGTTGCTATAGTTTTTTGTAAAACTGAACACTTGGAAATGGTACAAAACTTCACAAATCTATTAGTGATTAATTACATCATGGCACACTGATA
This sequence comes from Homo sapiens, assembly GCF_000001405.40. Lineage (NCBI taxonomy): Eukaryota > Metazoa > Chordata > Mammalia > Primates > Hominidae > Homo > Homo sapiens. The sequence goes on from NC_000005.10 coordinate 148,568,948, forward strand.
CCCTTAAAAAATACTATGCAGGTGTTAAAAAGAATGAGAAGGGATCCATATACATATAATAAAAAGTATACAGCCATGCATAAACAATGAAACCAGGGAAGTAGTTGTAGGGTCAAGACAGACAGAAGAGTTTTTTTTTTTTATCAGAAGGAGATCTGATTTTCATCAGGAATATATCTGATCAGCAGAGAGTTCAGTCATATTTGTAATATTTTATATCTTAAGCTGGGTCATGGACACACAGGTGTTCTTTTATGTTTTTTCTCAGTACCTTTTGTTATATCTAAAATAGAGCCATTAACACAGGAACAGAAAACCAAATACGGCATGTTCTCACTTATAAGTGGGAACTGAACAATGAGAACACATGGAGACAGGGAGAGGAGCAACACAGACTGGAGCCTGTTTGGGGGACGGGGAGAAGGGGAGTATCAGGAAAAATAGCCAATGCATGTGAGGCTTAATGCCTATGTGATGAGTTGATAGGTGCAGCAAACCACCATGGCACATGTTTACCTATGTAACAAATCTGCATGTCCTGTGCATGTATCCTGGAACTTAAAATAATTTTTTAAATGACTTTTTAAATTAAAAAAATCTTATTTTAAATACATTTTATTATTTTATTGTATGTATATTATATTTATCTTATTTATTATTTTATTGTACAGAAGTTGTGCTATACTTACAATAAAATAATATAATGTATCCAAAACATGAGTAGATTAAAAAATTATACATCAATATACATTATATGATATCATAGGAGTTTGAATAAAATAAAAACTGAGAAGAAGAGGGAGACAGAAATGCATATGTATGCATACATATACACATATTTAATATAAGTAGATCCAGAGGTCATGGCCATAAGAATGCACACCCAATTGTTAATCATAAATATTTTGGGCAGGGTATTGAAGATGATGGGAGACTTCTTCATTCAGAATATTACTAGAACTTTAAACTACATGAATTTGTATGCTTATGGGTTACTTGTTTAACTGAAGAATAAGGAAAGACTTTTCCCTCACCTGTGAATCCCATCTTTTGCACTCTGGCCAACACCTAAGTCTTCTCACTTTGCACTAGAAGGATAATGTACTGCTCTTGCCAAATAGGTCATACACAAGAGTATTAATTTCTCCAAGCAGCTGGGTGTGAGCCCAGCTCCAAGCAGAAAACAAACAAACTCTCTGACTCAAAAAGAGGCTTGGCCAAGGAATGTCAGGTTAGATATAGGCATATGTTTGTCCATTTGTTCATTCAACCATTCCTTCACCAACTTAATCATATCTAGATGCACTCAACAGAGTATTTGATAGTCCACTCTATTTCAGGCACTGAGAAGAGGAAGCAGGCAGTCCCTTCCCTCAGGGAGCTCAGAGGCTACTGAAGGAGACAGACATGAATCCAATAACTGCATATACATAAAATTACAGCTATGGTGGATATTATAAAGGGAGGTACACAAGGTAACATTGACCCTGATGGGAGAACAGAAAACACTTTCTTGAGGAGATGATAATTGAGCTGCAACTTAAAGAGGAATAGAAGTTGACAGAAAAAAGGCAGAAAACACTGGGGACTGAGGCTGGAAAGTGCAGCCGTGAGAGCTACATAACTTCGTCCAGCAACTGAAAGGAGACAAAGATCACTGGAGTGCAGAGAATGAGGGGATGCCTCATGTCAGATGCGGCCAGCAAGGGTCACACATCAGGAGGGGGTTGGAAGTTGTACTAAGTATTTATGTATTATCATTAATTCGGTGATTGTTTTAAGAAGGTTGGCACTGGGGGTGACATGATTAGATTTGCATTTTGACCTATCTGGTGTATAAAAGAGAAGGGACAAGAGTATTTTTTGTGTTGTTTATGTGTGTGTGGGTTTTTGTTTTTGTTTTTGTTTTATTTTGTTTAGGGTGGTCTTAGTAATTTAAAAATATTTTCCTTGTATCGATACCAGTCAACCTATCTAGAACCTAGTTATTGGTGGAAGTGGCACCATCTCCTAGGGGATGTTTGAGATATCTTTGGGATACTGGGTTGTAGTTATGATTGGGGAGCACAACACAAATCTAGAGGAAGGACAGGTTTCACATTACAACATGAGGGACAATCCCTCATAAGAAAATTATCATTCTACAGGCCACATTCTCCATGATTCTAGAACATCCTACCAGCCACTTGTGTAAGTGAAAAATTTGTTTGTAATTATCTAATCTAGAACATAACTCCTTTTACTTATAAATAAAAAGAATCTTGCATGGTAATTTCCATACACTGAATAAAGGGAAGGGTATGCTTTCATTTGGTTCAGAACAAATATTCACCCTGTCACCTACATACAACATGTCTGCGTTAGACTTTGTTGGTAGTTGTCGTGTCCATGGTGGTGACTTAATGTACAAATGCACATATCTGACTGCTTTATTATGTTCTGTTGTAGATGAGCCTAGCATTTATACAATGAAATGTATGTTATTTTACCAAAATTACTCTCCTTTTATTGCTTCTTTGTATTTCAGTTAAGACATTATATTGATAATTGTTCATTGTGTATAGATACGTTAGATTACTCGTGGATTTCATTTCAGTATTGTAAAGGGGTATTACAAGCTATTTGTTTTTAAAAAGAGAGTAGCAGTTGATCTGGGGTGATTGAGAATTACTGGCCTAGAAAAATATGACTTTCAAGAGCTAGGCTGTTTCGATAGACAAGACACACTTCAGGTGTCTTGTCTAAATGAATGCACTGGAGTGTTCCTGATTTATCAGTACTGGATGCATGCAGTTAAAGAAGCTCAGAGAATGTCAAAGGTTGGAGAGAGCAGCACAGGGGCAGAGGTGGCACACTAGTTCCCTATCAAGAAAATTAGAAAGATCTGCTCCAGCTTCAAGCTTTTCTCAAAGTCCTGAAGGATTTTTAACACATCTTCCATAAAAAGCTGTAATTTATTATCTCATGAATATCTAATTTGACAATATTTGCAAATCAAGTTTGTGGAATTTTGGTGTGTTCATTTGAGTGTGTGTTTTGTTCTTTCTCAAAATAATTCTTAAGGTAGAAATGTTTCTATGTGCTAGAAATGCTGAGATAAAAAAATTAATTTTGTGGTTAGCTTGAAAATAAATGGTGGGCTCTAATATGCAACGTAATGTAATATAATATAATAAGGGTATCCCCTTAGGGTTGACTGTGGCAGCTTTCCAAGATTTTAGGCCTTGTCAGTTTCTCTGCTTTGATAATAATGGAATAAAGAACAGTTATTCTCATTATCTGAGTGCTACTATATGCCAGAAAGAGTCATATCTGTTTTTTATGCATTGGCTGATTTTTATCGTCACAACAGCCTATGGTTATAGATATTATGACTATATCCAATTTACAGATGAAGCAACTGAGGCTCAGAGACTTGAACTGATGTGCCCAAGGTCACATGGCTGGTAGATAGTCCAGAACAGGATATCTTAATCCCTATGATAGACAAATGTAATAATATTTTAATTTAATCACCAGTGGCATAATTATGAAGATAATCTAACAGTAAAATACATAATATGGAATACAGATGAATAGAAATGTTTGCCTCTTAAAAAAAGTCTGATAACTCCTTTGAGAACCAAGCCTGCTCTCCTTCAATGAGCTTGTGCTCTGTACTTCCTCAGTTACTCACTCCAATGTTCAGTCCATGAGTTCGTCATTACCAATAGTTGTAACTCCCAACAATTTCAGTTTAAAATATCTCATTCTTAAACCATCATTTCCTGTCTCTAGAACCCTTTTCTTTAGTACTCTTGACTCCAGTAATTCTTTGACCATCTCAGGATATTCAACCTATTGATTCTAACATGTTTTCACTGTCCCTCACCCTCCTCATGTCAGAACATGACAGGCCACAGGCAGGCTATGGATTCTAAAAGATATCGTGAATGCTAAAAGTGCTGGAAGATTAAGGATACCCTGAGAATTGTCATGGATAATGATAATCCAGTGATACTAAAACATATCTAGACAATTAACCAGAATAATGAAGGTTTAGAATTATTCCCTGTGGCACAGGTAGAGCAGCTGAGGAAATGGAGATCTCATTCGAGAGACCAAACAGCTCAGAGGTTCTGGAGCAGCTAATTCCAATCTCTGAACACTGTCATGCAGTTCTAAAGAGTGTGGCTGGATCCTAGTCAGGGAAGATACTGGAAGGTAGAGTTCAGCTCAAACTAAGAGAAAATGAAAGGTACTTTTCTTCTCATACTACAACTACAATTCAATTGTATAGCTGAAATGCTGTATTGAGAAGGTTTCTGAGAATGGGTTCTCAGTCACCATTGTCTCAGTCAGATTGGGTTAGATTATACTCTGGGAACAAAGAACTCTTAATCCTCAGTAATGTAAAACAGCAAAGGTTTATTTTTCACTCACTGTACATGTCTGTGTGCATTGTCAGGAGGCTCTGCTCATCTCATTCCCTCTGTGATCCAGAAAGATGGAGTGGTCACCATCTCAAATGTTCCCATTTTACATGCTAGAGGGAAATAGAACGTGGGGGGTTAAAGTGTGTGTGTCACAAACTGATAATGAAATGTTCCAGCCTGGAAGTGACTTATATTATATCTACTCAAAAACTCATTGGCCAGAACTAGTCAGAAAGACTCACCCAACTATAAGGAGGATGGGGAGTGCAAATCTACAATGAACAACATAATGAGCACCAGAAGCAGTGGCATGAGCAGTGGTTGACCTCCTGGGTCTAGACAAGGCATTCTAGCATTTGTCTTGCTACTCCTCATCCCTGCCCTAATCACCAGAGCTGCCCTGCAAAGCCTTACAATGTAGTGAGCTCCCTAACACCAGAGTGTTGCAAGCAAAAGTTAAAGGAGTGCAGGTTAATGACACCATAGAGGCTATTCCTTTATCTAGTAGACTAATGGTCTACCTGGATCTACACGAGTCTCTTACCACTCTGAAATAAACAGAACTAGGAATTATGGAATACTTTGCTAAGTGTACCAGATATTTGGAGAAAAATTACCAGTTCTCAGGCCAGCTAAACAACCAAGCAATGGGGTGAATTTTGCTCATTTAAAACGGAGAGAAACATAGGCTGACCATTATAGTCCCATCATTGCTCCTTTTCCCGCAGGAGGGCAAAGCACATTAACTCTCTCCCCAGCAAGAGACAATGATCAGAAGAATCAACATAAAGTGAGGGAAAGGATTTTTATTGAAAAAGCTGCTATAGCAAAGTTTGTGGTGCTAAATATTTCTTTATAAAAACCAGCACTTGACTATCAGCCTCCCTATTCAGCTACAGACAGGACAGCAAATGGTTGGGTGAGAAAATGCACTGCTATTCACCCAAGACTGTTAGGCTAATCAGCAATGGAAAAAACATCTGAAAACACCTGATAAAAGGGCAAATATGCTGTAAGGCTCTCGCGCGCTCTCTCTCTCTCTCTCTCACTCACACACACACGTGACAGATTTTAAAAATCAACATCTGAATGCAGCCTTCAGTTGTCAAAAGCTTTCTTTATGATTCCTATTTAATCCACAAAATTCAGGGAGGTTAGAATTACTATTATAAATGATATTTTCAGATAAATAAATTCAGATTCAAAAAGATTAATTTGATTCACTTTGTGTCCAAGTGGGTCTACATCTGTAGTACACAGGAAAGCACCTTGAATGGATGTGTGACAAAAACTGACTTCTTAATCTTTCAAAGCTGACCTCATCACACCACCACTACTTGCTGGGGCTGGTGACAGAACGTCGGGCTTGAGGGACCACAGTTCCTGTAATATACGGTGCTTCTTACATGCTCAGGGAAATCATTTATCATTGACATTCTACAGTAAGTGAAATTTCCACCCACCACAGAATTCATTTTATTTTTCATATTGTCAAATGACATAAAATAATTTTCTCTGGTTTCTGCTGCTAAAATGTCCTTATAGTGGAGCTTATAATAACCCAAGAGGAAGCAAGCATGATAGGATAACTAATGAGTTTTCCACATAAGAGTCAACCTCTAAACACACTAGAAAATCAGCCAAACCAGCTGGAGATAAAATGGCTGAATGGCTGATTGAATCATGTATTCCTCACTGGTCCAGTTGAGAAGGGCTTCTGGGTACATCTCCTTTTTACTTTCTGCCTGCCTTTACCTCTTTTCTCCCCAAGTTAAAATCATTAGAGGCTCTTCTCAACCTCCAATTTTGAGGCTAGTGTAATCCTTAATAGAAGGAGAGGTAAGCATCCCCTGATCAATTACAAGAGGTCTATACCTCAACACGGCCTTCCTGTGACGCCAGTTACCCTGTCCAAACACTGAAGTTGCACATTGGCTCAGAAACTGGATTCCTTTCTTTTTCTGTTCCTTATTTCTTTCTGCTCACCCCCTCCCTTCTCCCTTTCTTTCTTTTTAATTAAATGAGTAAAACATGAACACATTCTTATTGTTAACAAAATTGGATTAGGAATAATTACTGTCTGGCATGGCCATGTGTTGACAGAGATCTGGAACCATTATGAACTGCTGTGGGAGCATCACCACATTGACAGAATTTTGGTACTACCTAGTAAAGTAGAGATGTATACACCTGCTACCCACTCCTAGGCACAGAACCTAAAGAAACTCACACATGTACCCAAGATGACATTATTATTTATGGACTCATTTTCTATAATTGCAAAACACTGGAAATTATCTAAATATTCATTAATAGAATAATCAAAAAATAAACTATAGTCATAAAATTGACTGCTACATAGGAGTAAAAAAGTTTAAATAAACTAAACATATCAATATTGATACATTTCGCACATATAATGAGTTTCTGAAAAGCAAGCATTCTCCTTGAAAACCGGCCCAAGACAAGGATGCCTTGTCTCACCACTCCCATGCAACATAATATTGGAAGTCCTAGCCAGAGCAATCAGGCAAGACAAAGAAATAAAGAACATCCAAATAGGAAGAGAGAAAGTCAAACTATCTCTATTTGTAGACAACATGATTCTATATCTAGAAAACCCCACAGTCTCAGCCCAACAGCTCCTTCAGCTGATCAACAACTTCAGCAAAGTTTCAGGATACAAAATCAATGTAAAAAATCGCGCCACTGCACTCCAGCCTGGGCGACAGAGCGAGACTCCGTCTCAAAAAAAAAAAAAAAAAAAAAAACAAAATCAATGTAAAAAATCATTAACATTCCTATATACCAACAACAGCCACGCCGAGAGCCAAATCAGAAAGGCTATTTCATTCACAATTGCCACAAAAAGAATAAAATACCAGGAATATTACTTACCATGGAAGTGAAAGATCTCTGCAATGAGAATTACAAAACACTTCTCAAAGAAATCAGAGAAGGCGTAACAAATGAAAAAACATCCCATGTGCGTGGATAGAAAAAAATCAATATAAAAATGGCTATACTGTCCAAAGCAGTTTACAGATTCAATGCTCTTTCTATCAAACTCCCAATGATATTCTTCACAGAACTAGAAAAAAACTATTTTAAAATTTATATGGAACCAATAAAGAGCTCTAATAGCCAAGGCAATCCTAAGCAAAAAACAACGAAGCTGAAGGCATCATGTTACCTGACTTCAAACTCCACTACAGGGCTACAGTAACCAAAACAGCATGATACTGGTACAAAAACAGGCACCTAGACCAATGGAATAGAATAGAGAGCCCTGAAATAAGGCTGCACATCTGTGACCATCTGATCTTTGACAAAGCTGACAAAAATAAGCAATGGGGAAAAGACTCCCTATTCAATAAAGGGTGCTGGGATCACTAGCTAGCCATATGCAGAAGATTGAAGCTGGACTGCTTTCTTGTACCACATACAAAAATCAGCTCAAGATGGATTAGAGGCTTAAATGTAAAACCCAAAACTATAACAAACATGGAAGACAAGCTAGGCAATACCATCCTGGACAAAGGAATGGGCAAAGATTTCATGACAAAGACCAAAAGCAAACACAACAAAAGCAAAAATTGACAACTGGGATCTAATTAAACTTAAGAGCTTCTGCACAACAATGACAAAAAACTATCAACAGAGTAAACAGACAACCTACAGAATGGGAGAAAATAATTTGCAAACTATGTATCTGACAGAGGTCCAATATCCAACATTTAAAAGGAACTTAAATTTACAAGAGAAAAACAACCCTATTAAAAAGTGGGCAAAGGACAGGGCCATCCATTTTCCAAAAAAAGACATACATGTTGCCAACATGCATATGGAAAAGAAGCTCAATATCACTGACCATTAGGGAAATGCAAATTAAAACCACAATGATATACTATCTCACATCAGTCACAATGGCTATTAGTAAAAAATCAAAAAATAACAGAGGCTGGTGAGGTTGCAGAGAAAGGGGAACACTTGTGCACTGTTGGTGGGAGTGTAAATTAGTTCAACCATTGTGGAAAGCAGTATAGTGATTCCGCAAAGAGCTAAAAGCAGAACTACCATTCGACCCAGCAATCCCATTACTGAGTATATGCCCAGGCGAATATAAATCATTCTACCATAAAGACACATGCACACGAATGTTCATTGCAGCACCATTCATAATAGCAAAGACATGGAATCAACCTAAATGCCCATCAATGACAGACTGGATAAAGAAAATGTGGTACATATACACCATAGAATACTATGCAGCCTATATAAATAATAAGATCACGTCTTTTGCAGGAAAATGGATGGAGCTGGAGGCTATTATACTCAGCAAACTAACCCAGCAACAGAAAACCAAATACTGCCTGTTCTTACTTACAAGTGAGAGCTAAATGATGAGAACTTATGAACACAAAGAAGGAAACAAAAGACACTGGGGTCTACTTGAGGGTGGAGGGTGAGAGGAGGGAGGAGAGCAGAAAAGATAACTATTGGGTGCTGGGTTTAATTTCTGGGTGATGAAATAATCTGTACAACAAACTCCCATGACATGAGTTTACCTATGTAACAAACCTTCACATGTACCCCTGAACCTAAAATAAAAGTTAAAAAAAGTAAATACGTAAAATAAAAAGGCAAGTTGTCAAATGATATATGAAGTATGTTATTTATATAAAATATGAAATATAAAATATACTAAATATCATTTTGTAATACATGCTTAATGTACTAAAAAGTATTAAGCAAATGCAACAGAATGATAAGACTACAAATTCTGGGAGACAATTACCTCTGTGAGGCGAAGTGAGGGGATGCACACAAGGAGGGGTAAACTGTATTTGTCGTGCTTTGTTTCCTAAACTGGATGATGCAGATTTGTTCTGTTGTGCAGTGTTATTTTCTTAGTCTGAACTATTTTGCAATAAATTATAAACACTCTAGGAAAAAAAATTCAAATATTTCAGTAAACTTAAACCTCATTTTGACCACCACCCAGCACCTAGTCCTAGGCATCCTGAAGAGTTATCTACTGTTAGTTATTAGTTCTTTTCCACTCAATATAAATAGCATTGTTTGAACAAAGGTATCTCTTTCCTTTTTATATAAACGATAATCTAACATGCATACTTTCAATGAACATCATGTCTTAACCATATAAATGCACTTCCCTCTTCAACAATAACGAATTTTCCTGGAACTTAAGCATTTTCTTTTTGAGGCAGACGGTATAATCGCTAAAAGCACAGTCTTTAGAGACAAACTGCCTGAATTCTTCAAATCCTGGAGTCAATACAATATTTACCCAGGGCAAGTTATTTTCTGTGCTTCGGGTGTCTTATCTATAAAACTGATAATCACAATACCTACGTCTTAGGATTGTTTGAGGATTCCATGAGTAAAGTCATGTAAAACACTCAGAGAAGTGGCTGGAACATAGTAAGGCCTTGATAAATATTATTTGTAGCTACAGTCTTTGCTATAACATATTGGAAAGGGCCCTTACAATGGTGTCCTTACACCAAGTCCAACTTATGGCTACTCTAGAAAAATCAGGATGTTCTTTTGCCCACTTCTCCTAATTATGCTGAGCTTTGGAAATCAGTCATCCTTCAGAAACTCTATAGAACCTGTAGCAATGCCCAGTCTTTTGATTTCTGCACACTAAGTTCTATTTGTCCAAATTCCAGGCATTGTTTTCTTATAGGAGAATTTCTTCAAGTCACTCATAGCTGTCAGTTTCTGCCAATTTAATTTGGCAATTAAGGAACTGTACATAAGTGTTTATATGTCACCGTTCTTTCTTTAAGTTGAGCCTGGGGGCACAGCCAATGTTTCTTTTTTCACATTCATGCTAATAATACGTTGGTTGAGTTGCACATAGCATATGTAAATTTTTGGCAATTTATTTTTCTCATAGTTCTCAGAGTTTGCTTCAAATTTATCACATCATCTACGTTATACTTGCAGTTAGTCTACTTCTCACCTAATATCAAATTTTGGATTTGCGTAATTCCCTACGTTAAGAGAGATTAAAAACAAAAATTTTAGAGTCAGCCAGACCTGAGTTCAAATCCTAGCTCTGCCATGGGTTAGGCATGTGGCCCAAGTAAACATATTAGTTTTCTATAGATAGATAACAATTTACTGCAAAGTTAGCAGTTTAATATAACACCCATTCATTATCTCACAGTCTGGGCATGGTGACTGGATTCTCTGCTCAACTCTAAAATTAAGATGTAGGTAGGGATCACTGCTGATCTCATCTGGAGCTCAGGATTCCCTTTTCAGCTCACATGATTGTGGGCATAATTCACTGTCTTGCAGTTGTAGGACTAAAGACCCCATTCTCTTGCTGCTGTCAGCTGAGGTAACTTGCAGCTCCAGCAGCAGCCCACATTCCTTGACACATGGTCTCCTCCATCTTCAAAGCCAGCAAGAGATTTTTCCCACATATCAAATCACTCTCAAATTCACATCGCTGATTTCTGCATCTCTTTCCTCTGGACTCAGATTTAAAGGGCTCATCTGATTGGGTCTGGCCTACCTGGATAATTTTCCTATTTTAAGGTCAGCTGATTTTGGAACCTTAATATTACAAGCCAAATTCCTTTACATCAGTACCTAGGTGAGTGTTTTATTGAATACCAAGGAGAAGGAGTATGTATGTACTCCAGGGAGCAGGATATCTTGGGGGACAGCTTACATTTTTGCCACTCACAACAAGACATATTGGCTTTGCAATCCTCAGCTATAAAATGGGAACAATGGTGCTCACTGCAGAGAAAAAGTCAATTAGATACAGTGAAACAAAAAAAGCTTCCAAGTACTGATTATGCTCAGGATTAGGCTGCCTGTTTTCATTACTTCATTGTCCCAGTAATCTTTTTCCCCCAGTTTTACTGAGATACAACTGATATGCAAAATCTCTACATAATTAATGTATACTTGGTGAGTTTGAACATGTTTACACTCATGTCGCCATCACTATAATCCAGGAAATAAATGTATCCATCATGCCAAAATTCCCCCTTTTTACTCTAATGAGAGCTATCCTATTAACCAATGAGTAAGTGCACTGTATCTTATTGTTAACTGCAGGCACTATTTTGTACAGACCTCTAGAACTTACTCATCTTGTATAACTAACATTATATCTATTGAATAACAACTCCCTTGGTAACCATCATTTTATTATCTACTTCTATACCTTTGACTGTTTTAGATGCCTCATTTAAAACGAAACATACAATATTTGTCTTTCCGTGACCGACTTATGTCGCTTAACATAATGTCTTCCAGGTTTATACATGTTGCCACAAATGTTAGGTTTTTCTTCTTTTTCAAGGCTAAATAATATTCAACTTTATGTGTTTAACACATTTTCTTTGCCTATTCATTCATCTGTTGATAGACATTTGGGTTATTTTGGCTACTCTGAATATTGTTGCCATGAACATGGGAGTGCGGATATCTCTTTGAGACCCTGATTTCAATTCTTTGGGTTATATAGCCAGAATTGAGATTGCTAGATCATGTGGTAATTCTATTTTTGATTTTTTGAGGACCCTCCATACTGTTTTCCATGGCAGCAGTACCGTTTTACATTTTAAAGGGTTCCTGTTTCTCCACAACCTCACCAACATTTGCTGTCTTTTTTTTTTTAATAATAGCCATCCTATCAGGTGTGAGGTGATATCTCAATGTTTTTGATTTGCATTGCCCTGATGATTAGTGATAGTAAGCATCTCTTTTGTTTGTCATTTGTATGTTTTCTTTGGAGAAGTGTCTATTCAGATCTTTTCTCCATTTTTAAATCAGGTTATTTGATTTTTTTGCTATTGAGTTGTAGGAGTTCTTTATATGTTTTGGAAATTAATGCATTATCAGAAATATGGCTAGCAACTATTTTCTCTCATTTCATAGGTCGCCTTTTCACTCTGATGTTTCCTTTGCTGTTCAGAAGTGTTTTCGTTTAATGTAGCTCTACTTATAATTTTTGCTTCTGTTGCCAGTTTTTGGGTGCCATATCCAAGAAATTATTACTGAGATCAATGACAAGAAGCTTTTCCCCTCTGTTTTCTTCCAGGCATTTTATGGATTTAGATCTTATGTTCAAATCTGTAATTCATTTTCAGTTAATTTTTGTGTATGATGAATGACACAATTTTATTACTTTGGATGTGGATATACAGTTTTCCCCCCAAAAAATTATTGAAGAGACTGTCCTTCCCTTATTATGTATTATCAGCATCCTTATTGAAGATTAATTGACCGTATATGTGTGGGTTTACTTATGAGCCTACTATTCTGTTCCATTGATCTATATGTCTATTTTTATGCCAGTCTCAAACTGTGTAAATTACTGTAGCTTTGTAATATATTCTCAAATCAGAAATTTTGGTAGCTCCAGCTTTGTTCTTACTATTCAAAATTGTCTTGACTATTTAAGGTCTTTTGCAGTTGCATGAAAATTTAAGAATTGTTTTATTTATAATTATAAAAATGTTTTTAAGATTTAGCTAGGGATTACATTGAATCTGTAAGTTACTGTGGGTAGTGTAGACATTTTCACATAGAATGTATTTTTGGGAAAAGCACACAAAATCCACATTTTTATCTAATTTCTTTCATCAGTATTTTATAATTTTAAGCATTCAAATGAGTCTTTCACCTCCTTAGTTAGGTTTATTCCTAGGTATTTTATTCTTTTTGATCCTATTGTAAATGAGACTGTTTTCTTGACTTTTTTTTGGATAGTACATTGTTAAAGAATAGATATGCAACTCACTTTCGTGTGTTGGTTTTGTATTCTTCAGCTATACTTTGTAGCCTGAATTAGTTTATTAGTTCTAACCTTTTTTATATTTTTAGAGTCTTTAGGGTTTTATACATATAAGATCATGTCATTCCAGAGTCTTTTTTTATAATTTCAAATTTGATTTAAGATGCAAGGGGTACATGTGTGGGTTTGTTACGTGGGTATATTGTGTGATGCTGAGGTTTGGGGTAGGATTGATCTCATTACCCTGATATTGAGCATATTACCCAATAGTTAGTTTTTCAACCTTGTCCTCCTTCATCCCCCCTTCATCCCTCCCTCCTCTAGTGGTCCCCAGTGTCTATTGCCATCTTCATGTCCACAAGTACCCAGTGTTTAACTGCCACTTAGATGTGAGAACATGCAGTTTTCTGTTCCTCTGTTAATTTGCTTTGGATTATGGCCTCTAGCCCAGCAGCCCTTTTAAAATGAGCCCAATACAGAGTCTCCTTTGGTGACTGATGCTGATTAGGTCTCCAATAATTATTCTTTATATAAAAGAATGGTGCAATTGTGAATGGGAGTTCACTCATGATTTGGCTCTCTGTCTGTTGTTGGTGTATAAGAATACTTGTGATTTTTGTACGTTGATTTTGTATCCTGAGACTTTGCTGAAGTTGCTTATCAGCTTAAGGAGATTTTGGGCTGAGACAACGGGGTTTTATAGATATACAATCATGTCGTCTGCAAACAGGGACAATTTGACTTCCTCTTTTCCTAATTGAATACCCTTTATTTCCTTCTCCTGCCTAATTGCCCTGGCCAGAACTTCCAACACTATGTTGAATAGCAGTGGTGAGAGAGGGCATCCCTGTCTTGTGCCAGTTTTCAAAGGGAATGCTTCCAGTTTTTGCCCATTCAGTATGATATTGGCTGTGGGTTTGTCATAGATAGCTCTTATTATTTTGAGATACGTCCCATCAATACCTAATTTATTGAGAGTTTTTAGCATGAAGGGTTGTTGAATTTTGTCAAAGGCCTTTTCTGCATCTGTTGAGATAATCATGTGGTTTTTGTCTTTGGTTCTGTTTATATGCTGGATTACATTTATTGATTTGCATATATTGAACCAGCCTTGCATCCCAGGGATGAAGCCCACTTGGGGGAGGGGGGAGGGATAGCATTGGGAGATATACCTAATGCTAGATGATGAGTTAGTGGGTGCAGCGCACTAGCATGGCACATGTATACATATGTAACTAACCTGCACATTGTGCACATGTACCCTAAAACTTAAAGTATAATAATAATAATAATAAATAAAGTTAATTTGATATTTTGCAGAAAAAAAAAGAATGATGCAAAGGCTAATAATACTCATATTTTACAGATGAAGAAACTGGGACTTAAAGATAATATCTAAAAGCAGTTATCATAGTTACAGCCTCTGGCAAATAGAAAACACTCATTAATACTAATTGCCATCATCATCATCATCATCATCATCATCATCATCATCATTATTATCATCATTTTATATTAAAAAGAAGAAACACAAAAGTGTCCAGTAGCACCTACCACACACCCACTCCTAATCTGGGCCATGTAAAAACTGTGGAGATGATGAGTCCTTTGCAAGGCATTTCCGGGGAGCTCCTGTTCCCTGGGAAGCTGCCTGGTCATTTTTCGGCTGCTTTTTTAATACCCCAAGGAGGGCTGTGGTTGAAGCTCTAGTCCTGGAACTGACAACACCAGAATCCAGAATCTCCCAGTTTCTTAATACCAACTTGATGGTGGAATTTGCATTGTCTAGTGCAAAATGCAGCCCTTTTAACATTTACATTTGATCTTTATCTTCTGGTTATACAGATTACTTCATCTAATTTTACCTGTTATTTGTTTTAAAGCTTTTCACCCCATCTTACCCAACTTTTAGTGGAGAAAGGTAATACTCAAAAGCTCTCTCAATTCTTATAACAGCATATAAAACATTTCATGCTCATTAAACTAACACCCTTCATTCTCTCATTCTTTTCAAATGTCAATCCTTAAGTGACATAAATAAGGTTAGCAAAACCTTCTAAGAGATTTTAGACTTTATCTAGTACAAACACCTTATTTTACTATGGAGAAACTGGAGCTTTCCCCCAAAAAAGGATTTTCTTAAGGTAATCAGCTGGTGGCAGAGCCAGGACTAGACAGATGGACATCAGGAGTCCAGTCACCCAGTGCCACACACCTTCCAATTACATGACTCCACTTGGTGCCTAGTTTATGACCTCCAAAGCTCTGCTTAGTGACTACTTTCATTTTCTCTGTGTATTTATATATAAAAAAACTCAAAGGAGAAATTACAAAGTAAAAATAGCTCATTATAACTTAACAGTACCCCTAAGCAATCAGACATTCTGTAACAATTCAATGGCCAGGCTGTCCTATTAGGTACTGCAGACACTGATAACTACCTTCCCAATAGCCATTCTCTCCTACTTCCTAGGTGACAGACCCCAGTTTTGTTTGGGGGCACCAATATGCCCAACTCCATCAAGCTACTCTCTTTTTCAACCTCCCTGGCTGCCAGGAGCAACAAGATATAGTTTGGGCCAAGGAGTTACAGGCAGAAGCTGAGTAAGCATTTGGGGAAGACTTGTTTTTCTGAGTAAATGAATAAAGATTGCTGGCATCACATCTTCCCTTTTCTTCTCTTTGAACCAAAATTGATATCTAGAGCAACAGTAGCCACCTGGAAGCCATACACAGAGACAACAAAATGGAAGGCTAGAGGTACGGGTCATTGATATCACTGGCTGGCTGCACCAGACCTGAACTATTAATTACTGAGTATCTTTTCAGTAAAAGAAACAATAACTCAGAAAGCAACATGGTATAGAACCTAAAAGCACTGCCTGGGAGTGACAGACTTGGGTGTGAGTCCTGGCTAGCTGCCTGACCTTGAAAAAGTTACCTAACTTCACTGAATGCCAGTTTTCCCAATTCACAGGATTGATTTAAACATTAAATAAAAGAATGCATATAAAATGCTTAAAATGGCACATTGCAAGCCCTCAGTATATGGTAGCCTGGTTCAATGTAGGAATCTCTCTCTGCAATTATCTGATTATTATCCATTGTTTATCCAGGGAATGTATGCAGAATTGATCTCATTGGTCAGCAAACAACATGTATTACACTCACAACTTTATATGTAGATTGGTCATGGAAGGCACAAATTACCAAAATAAAACTAATGAATATTCATCAAAGATTGCCTTAGAATCCTAGAACGCTAAAGCTAGAAAGATAGCTTAACCTTCATCCAATAAATATTTGCTGAGTGCCAAATATATGTTCAGAACCATGCTAGTCACTGTTGATATATGAATATATCATTGAAGTAAGATTCCTGTTCTCACGGGATTTATCTTATAGTGGGGGCATTTCCTAATGTATATCTAATATGACCATCTCAATCACAGCTGAAGAAACTGAAGCCCAGAGATGTTAAATGACTTGCAGGCATACCTAGGTCACACAGCAGTTAATGGCAGATGTTGGAGTAAAATTCAAGCCTCTTGACTCCTATTGGGTTGGTCTTTTGTCTATATCCTGAAATTCCTGATTTACATTTTTGTATACCGTCAGAAAGTATTCCTTGCTGTCCACCAGGATGACTGAGATAGAAAATCTGATCCCTGAGTTTCCTTCATTTCCTACCACTCTCTCATTTCCCTATGCTCCACGAAGTATAGTCTTGGTGTGATTTCCTCAAACATGTCAAACTTGCTCCTTTTACAAGACTCTTACTTCTGGTTGGCCTTCATCCCTAGTTTTATTTGTATGGCATTCATTCACCATTTCAGCCTCAGCTTGAGGGCCATTTGTTTTGACTGTCCCTTAAAATGTATCATTATCATTCTCTACCTCACTCACCATTTCTTTCAGCTCATATATATAACCAGCTGAAATTAACTTACTAACTTTTTTTCCACATGTTTGTTGTTGGGCTGCATGAGGGCAGACACCTTATCTGCCTTGCTCACTGCTGCATTCCAGAGGCCAGAACAATGCCTGCAACCAGAGCTGGTACCCAATAACTACTTGTCAAAAGAACATTGGGTGATGCTGTTAGCTCTAGAATTCTAGGCTCCTGAGACAATCTTTGTCTGATAAATATTTGTGAGCTATACTTGGCAATCTATGTTGAACAAATGAATGAATAAATCCTGGAGCCATTTTGTATTTAGCTTTATAAGATACTAGATCCTGAAAAGATCCTGAAGCAAAGTTACTCGAACCCTTTAATGTAAAACAGGAGTATATTAGTCCATTTTCACACAAGGCACTTCTTACATGGCGGCAGGAGACAGAGAGAGAGCGAAGGGGAAACTGCCACTTTTAAACCATCAGATCTTGTGAGAATTCCCTCACTATCACAAGAACAGCATAGGGGAAACCACTTCCAGGATCGCATCACCTCCCATCAGGTCCCTCCCTCGACATGTGGGGGTTACAATTAGAGATGAGATTTGGGTGGGGATAGAGCCAAACCATATCAAGGAGGAAAGTGAAGTTGAGTACTTGCCTTGAGATCTAATTGACTGAATTAACTGATGTGTAGACAGGGCGAAGTTGGGGGTAAAATCTATCCATGGCTACCTCTCTAAAAATCTAGAATAATAGTGAATGAGATAGCAACTGATGATTTGACTATGAGATGGTCCAACTTCTCTCACCCACTCCTTTACTCTCTGCTGCCCTAATCCTCTTAAACCTCATAGGATGCATGCCTGAAATTCCATCACAGATTTTCTTTTTCTTTTATCTGGGGCTGCACTCTGATGGCCCTGGGCAGCACAGTGTTTCTGAAACACTTGCATGTGGATGCCTCTAGGTGAGGCAGACACTCTCCAGCTCCCCTGAACCCCCACTGCTCCCTATTGTCTCACCTCTGGCTGCTTTAGAAACTTATCGTACCTGCTGGACCTCTGGAACCACGTTTGTTTTAGGGCTAAAGTGCAATTTCTTCAGCTGCTATCAATAGATTACATTTGACCATGAGTAAATGACCCAGGGCTAATTTTGTTGCATGGAGGACAATATCTTGAAGATATTTATAGTCGCATAGGGTATCAGAGGTAAAAGAAATTTAGACATAGTCTTTTCTCACCTTTTTCACTTGAGAATGAAGAAACAGGCTTAGGAAAGGTAGATGACTTGCTTAAGGTCACACAGCAAGTTAGTGGCAGATCTGGTACTGAAATTTAGACTTGGTGACCAAAGTGGTCTGGCACAGAGCAAGGATGCTTTGAAGTACTTGGGCGGAGGGTTGGGGGGGTGGTGAAAGAAAGCTGGGATGGCTGGTGGTGGAATTTAGAACATCTTCAAGATTCTGCCTGGGCTGAGCCCACCTTTCTCAGGCTTTTCCTCCCAGTAGAACTCTGGAAGGTAGGATACTTGCTCCTCCCATGTAATGATACACTTGTGCCTTCATCCTCCTTCACTAATTTGTGTCTGTATCTTTTCTGTCACTTTATATAACTAATTACTGTTTACTCTTTCCAAGCAGGGTGTGTGGGGATCCAAACTGTGGGAGAGAATGGTGTTACTTTGGGGAAGCCTTTGCAGAAACAAGACAGTCTGGAAGAAAGGGAAACTCCAGCTGCAGAATTTTCTTCTCTTTTCTTGCTGTGGCCCCATCCTCCCACCTGGCTCTAGGGGAAAGTCCTATTTAAAAGTGAGAGTTAGTAACTTAGCATCTTTCAGCAGATATCACAGTTGCCTCTGGCACAGCCTCTTGCACCCTCGTACTTCCTCTCCTGGCTGTGCCTGCCTCAGCATGGGGATAACTGACTGCCCTCAGTTTTCCTCACCCTGCTACTAGATTTGTAGCTGGATTTGGGGACCTCTGAAGGAATTTTAACCACATAGGGAAGCGGTATGATCAAGTGGAAGAAATGAAAACACCAAGGCTCGTAAGATTGAGATCTAATCCTGCTCTGCCACCAACCAGCTGAGTCTCCCCTGCTGAACCATCAGTCAGCTCTGTGGTTGCAAGACCGATAGACTTTTCTCAGCACTGGTCTCATTTAATCTCTGCAACACTTGCATTGTTGACCAACCTCTTTAACAATTTTTAAAACAATTTCTAATTCTGAAATGTTCCAAAAAGTACAGAAAATATTACATAATGTTGAGCAAACAAACCGTACAATCAGACCTGAGCAATGATTATGAGAAAAAGCTCAGGTGGCCAAAGGTTAAATTCTGGGAGGGTCTTAGACTTGGGGAATGGAGAAGAACCAGGGGGAAGAAAAAGCCTTTACTGCTTTGCTCCCTCTCCCCAGAAGTTATCACTACACTAAAAGTCAGTGTATATCATTCACAGTAGGTTTTAATTCTTTTTTTTTTTTTTTTTTTTTTTTGAGATGGAGTCTCGCTCTGTCGCCCAGGCCGGACTGCGGACTGCAGTGGCGCAATCTCGGCTCACTGCAAGCTCCGCTTCCCGGGTTCACGCCATTCTCCTGCCTCAGCCTCCCGAGTAGCTGGGACTACAGGCGCCCGCCACCGCGCCCGGCTAATTTTTTGTATTTTTAGTAGAGACGGGGTTTCACCTTGTTAGCCAGGATGGTCTTGATCTCCTGACCTCATGATCCACCCGCCTCGGCCTCCCAAAGTGCTGGGATTACAGGCGTGAGGGTTTTAATTCTTTTATTATAAATGTATAATAAATATACAAATATGTGTAATATATATAAATAATACACAAATATTATGGTCAAAATATACTATTTTAAATGTTTTTATGTTTTCTGTATGTTTACGTTTATGTGAATGATGGTATCCTTTTGAAAGCTGCTTTTTTATTCAATGCCATTCTTTTGAGATTGTCTATAGTATATGTATACACTGAGTCCATCTTAATCGATACTCCACTATATGAATAACCCACAATCTATTTTTTTCTCCTATAAGAGATAGATAATTTGCTTCTACTATTTTGCTACCACAAGCAATCTGCAATAAACATACCTGTGCACAAGTTCGAGTTTTTCTAGGTCAAAAATCTAGAAGGGGGCTTGCTAAGTTATTAGGTATGTATTCATTTTAAGGTTCTTCAGAATAGTTATACCAAAATTCTGCTAAATACTTAGATGAAAATTCTGCCGAATTGCTCTTCAAAATAATTATACCATTGAACTCTCCCTTGAATAAGAGTTTCTGTTTCCTGACATTCTGCCAGCCCTTGTTGTCTTTGATTTATAAAGTTTTGCCAATATGATGAGTATCAAATGGCATCTCATTGTGCTAGCATTTCCCTATTTTCTTGTGAGATCACATAGCTTTTCATTTATTGTATTGACCACTCAGTTTTCTTCCTCTAGGAATTGTCTTGTTTCTCATTTTCTGGTTGGGTTGTTTGGTGTTTTCTCTTAGTGTTTTGTAAGAAATTTTATATCTTGGCTTGTAATACTTTATCTGTTACATGGTTTACAAATAATTTCTGTAGTTGGCTTTTTTCACTTTGTTTTGGGCATATTTTGCCATACAGAAGATTTAATTTTATTTTCCCCCAGCTTTATGGAGATATACTTTACAAAAATATATAATATATATGTATTTATGGCATACAATATGTGATATTTTAATATACATACACATTTTTAAAAAATTAAATCAATCTAATTAATATGCCACCTCACAAACATCATCTTTTTGGTGTTGGGAACATATGAGATCTACTCTTTCAGCAATTTTTAAGTATACAATCCACTATTATTAATCGTAGTCACCATGCTGTCTAGTAGAACTCCAGAAGTATTTATTTATCCTGTCTAACAAACTTTGTACCCTTTGCCCAACATCTCTCCTTTCCCCAGCACTCCCTAATCCTTGGCAACCACCATTTCACTCTCTGCTTCTATGAGTTTAACTTTCAGAAGCTTTAATTTTAATATAGTCAAAGAAAACAATATTTCATTGTTGGATTACAATTTTTGTGTTTTGTTGAAGATGTTCTGCCTACCATAATGCCATACGAGAAACTTCTAACACCCCTGTAATTGAAAATGGTATTCTTCCTCCCTCAACCCAGGATTTTAGTTCTACCTTGTTTTTATTATTCTAAATGACTGGTATTATTATTTTCTTTTTTCTTTTCTTTTTTTTTTTTTTTTTTTTTTTTTTTTGAGACAGAGTTTTGCTCTTGTTGCCCAGGCTGGAGTGCAATGGCGTGATCTTGGCTCACCACAACCTCCACCTCCCGGTTTCAAGGATTCCCTGCCTCAGCCTCCCATATAGCTGGGATTATAGGCATGCGCCACCATGCTTGGCTAATTTTGGATTTTTAATAGAGACGGGGTTGGTATTATTTTTATTTTATTTTTACAGAACAGCAGAGCAAATACTTTCTCAGCGCTACCCACATGTTCATTAAATTTTTGGGGTATATCACTTCTTGAATTATATTTCTACTTTCTGGTTTAATTTCCTTTTTCCTAAACTCCATCCTTCATACTTAAGTGAGAGACTCTATGTAAATGCTCTTAGTCTTGTTTAAAAACGTATTTGTTTCAACATTGATGTTGAAATATTTTTCTTTATAGATGATACGTAGTGTACAAATATTTTCTCCCATTCTCCCAAAAGGTTATCTGTTTATTCTGTGTATAGTTTTTTTTTTTCCTGTGAAGAAACTCAAGTTTAATTACATACCACTTGTCAATTTTTGCTTTTGTTGCATTTGCTTTTGGGGTCTTTGTCATGAAATCTTTGCCTGTTCCTATGTCCAGGACGTATTGCCTGGCTTGGCTTCCAGGGTTTTTACAGTTTTGGGTTTTACATTTAAGTCTTTAATCCATATTGAGTTGATTTTTGTATATGGTGTAAGGAAGGGGTCCAGCTTCAATCTTCTGCGTATGGCTAGCCAGTTATTCCAGCACCATTTGTTGAATGGGGAGTCTTTTACCCATTGCTTGTTTTTGTCAGCTTTGTCAAATATCATATGGTCATAGATGTGCAGCCTTATTTCTGGGCTCTCTATTATGTTCCATTGGTCCATGTGCATGTTTTTGTATCAGTACTATTTTGTTTTGGTTACTGTAGCCTTGTAGCATAGTTTGAAGTGAGTAACATTACGCCTCCATCTTTGTTCTTTTTGCTAAGAATTTCCTTGGCTATTAGGGCTCTTTTTTGGTTCCATATGAATTTTAAAATAGGTTTTTTTAATACTTCTATAAAGAATTGTCATTAGTAATTTGACAGAAATAACATTGAATCTGTAAATGGCTTTGGGCAGTATAGTCATTTTAGTGATACTGATTCTTCCTATCCATGAGCATGAGATGTTTTTCCATTTGTTTGTGTCATCTCTGATTTCTTTCAGAAGTGTTTTGTAATTCTTATTGCAGAGATCTTTCACCTCCATGGTTATGTGTATTTCTAGGTATTTTATTCTTTTTGTGGCAGTTGTAAATGGGATTGCCTTTATCGCCTCATTAAAAAGTGGGCAAAGAATGTGAACAGACACTTTACAAAAGGAGACAAACATGCTGCCAACAAGCATATGAACAATACTCAGTATCACTGATAATTAGAGAAATGCAAATCAAAACCACAATAAGATATCATCTCACACCAGTCACAATAGCTATTACTAAAAAGTAAAAAATAACAGATGCTGCAAGGTTGCAGAGAAAAGGGAACACTTATACACTGCTGGAGGGAGTGTAAATTAGTTTTGCCATTGTGGAAAGCAGTATGGTGATTCTTCAAAGAGCTAAAAGCAGAACTACCATTTGACCCAGCAATCCCATTACTGCAGCACTATTCACAATAGCAGAAGACATGGAAACAACTGAAATGTCATCAATGGCAGATTAGATAAAGAAAATGTGGTACAGATACTCCATGGAATACTGTGCAGCCACGTAAAAGAATGAGATCGTGTCTTCTGTGGGAACATGGATAAAGCTGGAGGCCATTATCCTTAGTAAACTAACATAGGAACAAAAAATCAAATAACATGTTCTCACTGACAAGTGGGAGCTAAATGATAACTACTTATGAATACAAAGAAGGAAACAACAAACACTGGAATCTACTTGAGGGTGGAGGGTGAGAGGAGGGAGAGGACAAGAAAAGATTACTATTGGGTACTGGGCTTAATTACTAGGTGATGAAATAATCTGTACAACAAACTCCCATGCCCCATATGTTTACCTATGTAACAAAACTTCACATGTACCCCTGAACCTAAAATAAGAGTTAAAAAAAGAAATTTTTTTTTACTGAGAATAGATGCCTAAACTAATAATTATATCCTCTCAGCTCTCTAAGGATAAAAGCCCCATGTCTTCTAGTCTGTACTGTTGCTGAAAATTTGCTGTTGCTCTGCAAATAAGCAGACTCTTCCCTCTAATAATATTTTGTCTTCTATGTCTTTGATATCATGCAGCTTCACCAATATTTTTATATATGAATTTACTTTCATTTTTTCTACTTAGGACTCATTGTTATTATTATATATTAATATTCATGTACTTCATTTATTCTGAAAAAATTCCAGCCATCATTTTTTGAATATTGCCTTTCCCCAATTCATCCTATTTGATTTTTGTGTCTCATACGAAATATAAACTAATTTATTTTCCTCTGTGCCCTATGTCCTTTAAAATTTCAGATATTATTTATCTCTGTACTACCACTTTGCTAATTTCCTCACTTCAGTCTTTTAGTTCATTAATTCTGCCTTCAACTATTGTTTACGTAATGTTTTATTTTCCTTTGACAATTTTAAATTTTGATTACTATGTTTTTCTCTTTAGAAGCTGTATTTGGCTACATTGGTTTATTCTTCATCATAATGTCTCATGGCTGTCTTATGGTTTCAATTTATTCTATTGTTTATTAATTTTAAACAATTATGTTGTAATCTCTCAAACTGGTATGCAATCTGAAGTACTTATAGTTAAAATTTTTCTGCTTTTGGGTCCTCTGATTCTGACTCAAAGCAGCTTTTACTCCCATATAGTTTTCCATTTTTGGTTGTGAGTTCCTCTTTCATGGGACTTTTCCTGTGAGAATTCTGGACAACTTTGGTTCAGTGTGTGTCCCTTCAGAGGAGTATCAAGTTTTCTTCCGGCAGGAGACCTGCCAGGGCAAATTTCATGATATTTTCTTGGCTTGTGAGTTCTCAGATCAATGACAGTAGTATAAATTTGAACCACACATATTCATTACAAAATGGAACTTTTCATCATTTGTTCTCAAAGCTACTCTTTCTCTGATTTTGTTCCAGTCAGCTAACCAAGAAGGAAACACAGCATCATCATTAATGTCTCATATTTTCTTACTCCCTAATCCAAATATGTGACTCCTGTGGCTTCTATCTCATTACTTTTTCTGAAATGCCTCAATTTCTCTCCACCTTTAATGTAATTAACTTAATTCTTTGATCTCATACCTGAAATAAACCTTCTAATTACTGCTTCTGCCACAAGACTTAACCTTCCCTGATTCATTACACCACAGCTGAATTGATATTTTAAAAATTCAAATCTAATCCTGTCATTCTATGGCTTAAAAATTATTACTGCACCTCCATCACTTTCAAAATAAAAATAAAACCTTGAATTCTAAGATGAAATTCAAGTTTATTGGCAATCTGAGCTCTGTTTTTGGCTTTTATCTCTTGCAAATTTCTCTTGAATGCCTTTATACAAATGACCAATGCTTCAACCATACTAAATTTTCAATGTGTTCAAATTCCCAGAATATTTTTATATGCTAGAGAAATCAATGTGTTGATCCATAAAATCCAGATGAAAGCTTCTCAGCATGAATTATTGTCACATCTTTTCTGATGACAAAAATTGTTATTCTTTATTATACGTCATTATACTAAGCATATTTACTATGCTTCGTAGTGAAAGTATATTAAATTGTAGTCAGCAACAATATTCTTCTTTTTAGGAATTGCATTCATTTGTTTATATTTCAGTAGCAGTATAACATATATTCCTAATAATATGACAGTGTATGCGTTTAAACATATTGTCAATGACAAATATAATAATAGAATTCTCACAGACAGGTAAATGCTTGTCTTAAGTGAGTTCTTAAAGGCGAACTGAGTTGTTAGATAATACGGTTAGAAATTATAAGAATAAAAAGTTGAGATCAATAAGTTCTTTTCTGGCTCATAATTTTACAATTCTGGGTTTCGTGTGTGTGTGTGTGTGTGTGTGTGTGTAAAGTTACCTAATTGACATTACAGTAAGTGTAATTCATTGGGAAAAGCAATAAAATAATAAAATATTATAGCTGAAAGTGACCTTAAAGATAATTTAGTTCAATAGTTTCTGAAATATGTTACTAGCCAGAACATTGCTTCCAAAGAAAAATTTTGAAATCCAACATGTGAGACAGGTACATGTGGGCCTCCCCTGACTTCATTTAGAGACTTTAATACTGCAGCCCTATGCACAAGTAATCCTTCCTTCTCCTATCTACCCGCAACACCGAGGTTACACAGAACTAAGTTTAAAAATCACTGATCTACCGCAACCCAGTCACTGTTCAAATGAAAAACTGGAAGCCCAGAGACCCAATGATGTATTCAAGGTCAATTAGCCATGGACAAGGCTGGCTTTAACCCTAATCTTGTAAGTCTCCATGAAGTTCTATGGCTATGACTCTTATTTTTTACAATAAGTTCAACCCAATCTCAGAAAGCCAATAGAATTTCTCATTTCTCATATCCCATAAATAGATTAATGTTTTAATGTAACAAGTTTTCCCATGTATTTACTCCCTAGAAGCTTTGACATAAGAAATAGTTGCTCATTGCAGAAAATTTCAAAAATAAAGAAAAACAAACACATAAAAGATAGAAATCTTCAGAAATCTCTGCTGGAAGAAATAACCATTGTTATACTTTTTTCTCTGAAAACAGTTTTTTTTTTTTTAACCAAATGGGATTATACAAGGTGTATCAGTGAGCATTTCTAACTGCAAATAGCAAAATCCTCTTTAGCTAATACAGACAGAAAAGACATGTATTAAAGGATATTAGGCAGTTCTAGAATCTCTAGCAAGATCAGAGAGTCAGTGTTGAAGTCAATCCAACCAGAAAATAATACTCAAACATTACAGGACTTCTCCAGAGAAAATTCTAGCACCACCACGACCAATGGACACAGATGCCCCAGCTCACACTCTAGAATGTGGTGTAGGCCCAAGATCCAACACCAGCCCAAAGTGAGATTCTCCACTGCCTCCCAAAAATTACAAAAGAAATTTTCCCATGTCATCTGCTTCATCCCATTTTCCTCTCTTCTTGACGAGACTGATAGCACCCAGGACACAGGACACATCTACCCACCAGGAGCAAATCATGCCCCAAACATGAGAAGGGTGTGCAAAGATCCCACAATGCAATGACATAACATTTGTAACAGGAAAAGTCTTCATATATTTGTGTTCTTTTAATTTATATATTATATTAATTATTGGCCTGACAAGATTGATACATTGACCATTATATGCAAATCATCTTGCCGTAAGCAATTTGTATTGATTCCAAATATAATGAATAATTCAATTTATCCTTTCCTTTTTCTTGTCCTCCAAAAAAGTATTTTAAAAATCTTTTCCAATTTAAATGATATAAATTATAAAAATGATGCAACCCATTTATAAGGACAAAAATCCATAAAATTTTGGGCCGCATGAGGAGTTAGTGTAGTGACACACTTATTTACTCCAATGACTAATAATTATTGCAACATCATGTTTTTATCTCTCCAACTTAGTTAAAAGTATCGTACAGATGATCAGTTGCTTCAGACACCAATCAGCATCCCACGGACTTCCGATCAAAGACTGTGGCTGCAAATCAATTGCAGCATATGGCGTTTGTGCTTCTATTACCCAGAGCAGTAGCTGAGGACATAGTAATTAAGCAAATGCTAATGAGAAGTCTAAAATATTCACAAATGTATGAATGTATGGATTATAGTTATTTGGCACCAATTTTAAGTAACAAGCACAATCTGTGTCAAAATGCACTTGTGAAAGTCTTAGTATGTGCCGATAATATCTTACTACTAGTCTCTGAATGTGTCCAGGAAATCTATTTTTACAAATTTAAATGTTGCAATTATCACTACCTCACTAATAAATAATCCTGATTCATCTTCCAGAAGCAAACCTCAAATTTGGTTACTCTCCAACTTCAACTCTGGATAGGCTCTCATTGTTTATTCTTTAAAGTTCACAGTTCTTACCCAAGCATTCAAAGCTCTCTATTAACTCACCTCAAGCAACTTTTTCATGTATTATCCCCCCATTCCCGTTGTCTCTAGCTCAGCGTTTCCCAATGCTGGCATTTTGGGGGCTGGGGCTGGCTTTTTTTGGAGAGCTGATCAGTGCATATTAGAATGTTTCACAGCATCCTGACCTCTAACCATTAAATGTCAGAAGCATCACCACCCCCTTCTGCTGCGACAACCAAAAACATCTCTAGACATTGCCAAATGTCCCCTGGTGGTGGAGGGAGGGGGGTGGGAGGTGCCCCAGTTGAGAAGTACTGCTCTAGCAAAACTGAATTACTCATTCTTCCTACACAAACTCTGATTTTTCCTGCCTCCATGTCCATCTTTCATTCATTCTGCATATATTTTACTGAACATTGACTCTATGAAAAGCACTCTACCAGGTGCTAAAAGTTCAGTAGTGAACAAGATGGCTATGGCCCTGACTTTGTGTAGCTAATAGCCTTATGAAATAAGCCAGATCAAGTGTAATAAGCCAAGAAGGCAGAGAGTTGAGTAAGCAGCCCCTGAAGAGGTAGAGTGAAAAGTGCTGAGAGCAGAAGCCTCCACTCACCTGAGTAGGACATCCTTTCCAGAACTCAGTGTATACAAATTCTACCCACCCCCTGAAGCCCAGCTCAGATGCTGGCTTTATTCAGCCTTCTCTGATAGCTTCATATAGAAGTAATCTCCTATCCTCTGCATAGCCAGAGCAGACATTCTCTATGGTACTTGGCACCCTGCTCTGTATTGGTTATTATTCATGGCCCCATTATTGCATACATCTCTGACTACATGAACCTCTTATGTATAGGATGCATGTCATATTCATTTCTGATTTATCCACAAGAAACTCAGTTCTTTACACAAAAAGAAAAGCTAAATTCACATCTACTACAGGCTCCAACCAGGGTCTTTTCCAAAGGGCAGTGAGGGTAATGTGTTTAAAATGCCATACATCACCTTAGAACCCAAGTTGAAACAGTTTCTCATCACTCTTGGGATTAAGAACAAAGCCTTGAATGTAGCTACCAAAGTCCCTAATGCCTGTCTCATTCTTCTTCTTACTCCTTACCTCTTACCACTGTGCCCTTTACTGTCTGTGTTCCAGCCATATTCACTCCTTTTCAATTGCTTCAAGGTGCCATGATCTCTCCTAAAGCAGGGCCTTTGCACTGCTCTTTTCACTGCCTAGAATGCTCCCCAACCACTGTCTAGCCTCTGCATCGCACCTTTCAACTGTCACTTTCCTACATAGCCTTATCTGACCCTCCAGCCAACATGTGGTTTTTTGGAAACATGTTAAAGAATCAATTTCTTTTCCTGCATAAGTTATTTAGCCTATATTATATCCTTGCCTCTATGATTGATAAAGGCTTATCGCCTTCACTATATCACCAGATCAGTGAGAACAAGTACCTCCTACACTCATAACAGTGACTGACACATAGAAAGCATTCCATAAAAGATTTTGTTAAGTTGATGAGCAAATGGATTTTTAAAAGTAGTTAAAGTTTTGATGAAGATGTCCATAATTGAACAATCAACATTCTGAGCACGTTTATGAAAAGGGAGGCAAAATACCTTCATTCCAGAATGTTGGAGGAAGAAAAGGTTTATCTGGGATTACTTAAGTAGCCATCAGTGAACTCTGAGGGAAGATTCTGGGATTAAGAGGAAAGAGTAGGACCATAAAAAGGGTATGTGCACAGGAGAGTCAGAAGAAATGAGGAGGAGCTGAGGGAAGGACAGACTGATTTGGGGGAGGTTGGTGGTAAAGAAATGAGACAGAAAAGTGATGCTCAGAAGGCCAGTAGTTGAGGCCAGGCACAGTGGCTCATGCCTGTAATCACAGTACTTCAGGAGGCTGAGGCAGGCAGATCACCTGAGGTCAGGAGTTTGAGACCAGCCTTGTCAACATGGTCAAACCCCATCTCTACTAAAAATACAAAAATTAGCCAGGTGTGATGGCACACGCCTGAGTCCCAGGTACTAAGGAGTCTAAGGTACTAAGGCAAGAGAAACACTTGAACCCGGGAGATGGAGGTTGCAGTGAGCCAAGATCTTACCACTGCACTCCAGCCTGGGTGACAGAGTGAGACTCTGTCTAAAAAAAAAATAAAAAAAGCCAGTAGTTGAGATCAGAAAAAGTAAAATCAGTGAAGGTTAGTGGTCAGTAAGAAAGACCTTCAAGCCATGAAGTCTAGCACTTTAAAAAGTGTCTTGGAACACAGTAGGTACTAAATAAATATTTATTGAGTAAATTCTGACCAAATAATCTTCTACTTAAAGTAAATCTACTTTTTAGTATTGTGTCAGACTTATTTGTAATTGCCTGACTACTAGCCTTCCTTCCGCTAACAAAATTCATGTTGAAAGAATGGCTGGTGAGCTATCTGGAGTTGTAAGACACAGACTTTAAAATAACTAGTTAACATGTTCAAGAAAATAGACGATAAGATGGACAGAATTTCACAAGTAGATTTTAAAATATTTTAAAATCAATGTAAATTCTAGAATTTTAAAATACAATTATTGAAATTAAGTAAGTTAATTGATTAATGTAACAGCAGGATATGAATTACAGGACATAGATAAAGAGAACATTAAAAAACAGGAAGATAGTCAAGTAGAAAAACACACTGACTAGATAATAGAGATAAAAAAGAATGGAATACAACAAAAGGAAAGTATAGCCGATAGATGAGATACATTGAAATGGTGCAAGGTATATGCAATTGGTAGTCCACAAGATGCAGAGAAGGAAAGGGCAAAAGCAGAGTTTGAAGAAATTTCTGAAATTGCTGAAACACATCAAATCACAAATCAAGAAATATTATGACCGCAACCAAGATCAATACAAAGTAAAAGTAAGCCTAGGCACAAAATAAAAAGAAAAATCTGCTTAAAACTCCAATGTAAATAGAAAATTTTAAAAGCAGCTTGGGAGGTGGGGAGGAAATAGACACATTTCTTCAAAGAAAAGACATCTGACTTTTCAGCAGTAAGTATGGAAGTCAAACACAATGGAATGAACAATTCACAATACTGAAAGAAAACAATACTGTCAACCTGGACATTTTATATCCATTGAAATTATCCTTCAAAAGTGAAAAAAAATGAAAACACTTTAAGGCAAATAAAAACAGAATTTGTCATCATATCTAGTACTGGTAAATTTTAAGAGTTCTCTTTACGAAGAAAAATGATCCCAGAGAAAAACATGGGAATGCAAACAGAAATGAAAAACAATGGAAAGGGAAAATATATAAGTAAATTCAAATTATTTATTACTATACAAACAATATATTATGTTTTTTGCAGTTTAAAACATACCTAGATTTAATATGCAAAACATCTAAGAAAGGAAGGAGATAAATGGAGTCAGAGTGTTTCCTTAGCATTGTCTGAGAAATGGTAAAAGTAAAAAGTTATATTAAGCTAATAACATAAGCATATTTTAATCTCTATAATAACCATTAAGGAATATACTTCTAACAAATCAATAAAGGAGAAAAAGCAATAATAAAAGACAAATTGGAATGTACTTCTAACAAATCAATAAAGGAGAAAAAGCAATAATAAAAGACAAATTTTTAGTCCAAAATATGGTGGGAAGGCTTATAAAATAATTATAAAAAAGGACAACTAGAAAATAAAAATTACCATACTAGACATACATTCAAATATATTTGAATGTAAATATTTTAAATAAACTCATGAAAAAGAAAGCATTGTTAACTGGGTTCCAAAAGTGTGTGCTGCTTTAATAAAGTTAGTTTAAATATAAGGACAAATAAAATATGAATATATCTTCATATATATACATATATAACATATATACATATATAAACACATATATATTATATTATATATTTTAATATATGTATATTATTTATATATATATATTTTTTTTTCACACATGACTGGGGGCCTAATCAGCACCAGTCACTAAAGGAAGCTCTTAACTAGGCTTATTTCAACAGGACTGATAGGGATGACATATTCCTATATGTAGAAAACCCTAAATACTCCAGAAAAAAAATGTTGGAGCTAAGAAAGGAATTCAGGATACAAAGTAAAGTTTCAAAATACAAGATCAACACACAAAAAGCAGTTGCAGTTTTATACACTAGTAAGAAACTATCCAGAAAAAACAAATTAAGAAAACAATCCCATTTACAATAATTTCAAAAGAATAAAATATTTAGAAATAAATTTAACCAGTGAGGCAAAAGATCCGTACGCTGACAACAAAAACCAGTAATGGAAGAAATTCGAGAAGGAGAAATGGAAAAGATCTTTGACTTTAGTTCTGGCAATAATTTTTTTTAGGTATGACACCAAAAGCAGAGGCGACAAAAGCAAAAATGAACAAGTGGCATTGTATGAAACTAAAAAGCTCCTCCATAGCAAAATAAATAGCCAAATAAATGAAAATGCAACCCACAGAATAAGAGAAAATACATGCAAACCACATATTTGATAAACGGTTAATATTCAAAATATATGAGGAACTCCCACAACTCAATAGCAAAAAAAAAAAAAAAAAAAAAAAAAAACAAATAATGCAATTAAACATTGGCTAAAGGATTTAAAGAGACATTTTTCCAAAGAAGACATAAGAATGGCCAAGAAGCATATGAAAAGGTGTTCAGCATCAGTAATCATCAGGAACATGCAAATCAAAACCACAATGAGATAACACCTCACATCACAGAATTGCTATTATTAAAAAAAATAAAGATAAGTATTAGCAAGAATATGGAGAAAAGGAACCCCTACTACACTGGTGATGGAACTGTAAATTGGCACAAGCATTATGGAAGACAGTGTAGAGGTTCCTCGAAATAGTAAAAATATAACTACCATATGAGACAGCAATCCTACTTCTGTGTATTTATCCAAGGAATTGAAATCAGAGTCTCGAAGAAATACCTGCACTGTCATGTTCACCGCAGCATTTTTCATAATAGCCAAGATGGAAAAAGCTGCCTAAATGTCTATTAATGGATGGATAAATAAAGAAAATGTGATAAATATATGCAGTGGAATAACATTTAGCCTTTAAAAAGAGGGCCAGGTGTGGTGGCTCACTCCTGTAATCCCAGCACTTTGGGAGGCTGAGAGGGGTGGATATCTTGAGCTCAGGAGTTAGAGACCAGCCTGGGCAACACAGTGAAACCTTCTCTTTGCTAAAAACACAAAAATTAGCTGGGCACAGTGGCATGCATCTGTAGTCCCAGCTACCTGGGAGGCTGAGGTGGGAGGATCATTGGAGCTTGGAAGGCGGAGGTTGCAGTGAACTAAGGTGGTGCGGCCACACTCCGGCCTGGGAGACACAGCAAGACCCTATCTCAATAAATAAATAAATAGGAATTCTACCATTTGTGACAAGATAGGTGGACTCACAGGATGTTATGCTAAGTGAAATAAGCCAGACACAGAAATACAAACACTGTGTGATCTCACTTCTATATGGGATCTAAATCAATCAAACTCAGATGTAGAAAGATAATTTTTCAGAAGCTGGGGGTTGGAAAGATGAGGAGATAATAGTCAAATGGTGCAAAGTTTCAATTATACAAGGTAAGTAAGTTCTGGAAATCTACACACAGCATAGTGCCTACAGCTAGAAATACTCCATTATATACTTAAAATTTGCTAAGAGAGTAGCTCTTATGTTAAGTGTTCTTACCACAAAATAATAATAATAATAAATCGGGTTGGGGAAAAGTTTGGGAGGTAAAGGTCGTGTCTATGGCCTTGAGTGTGGTGATGGTTTCACGGGTGTATACTTACTCCCACACTCATCAAGTTATGGACCATAAACATATACAGCTTTTTACATGTCAATGATACCTCAATAAAGTAGTTTAAAAAATAACTGGGGAATTTTTTAATATTTGGAAATTATGCAATATCCTTCTAAATAAACCATGGGTCACAGAAGAAATCAAAATGGGAATTTTAAAATGTTTCAAACTAGGTGATAATTAAATTATGATGTGTTAATATTTATGGGATGCAGATAAGGCAAGGCTTAGTGGGAAATTTATAACCTTAAATGTATACGTTATAAGAAAAATTGTTAAGAATATAATTTTTTCAAAACAGCTTAAATTACATAAATAATCAACTAAGAAGCTAGAAATTGAAAAGCAAATTAATCCCAAAAAATAGAATGAAGGAAATAGAAAAGGCTAAGCAGATGTTAATTAAATTAAAACCAACAACACAGAAAATAAGCAATGCCAATACTTGATTCCTTGAAAAGAGTAATTCAATTGACCCTAGACAGGCTTATTAAAAAATGTTTAAAGAGAGAAATAAGGCACAAGTTATCAGTATCTGGAATGACAAATGGCACATACCAGAGATTCTACAAACATCACAAAAGTAATAAACATGTAAGCAACTGAATATCCATAAATTTAAAATTTAGATGAAATGGAGAAATTCCCAGAAAATCATAATTTACCAAATGTACTCAATAAGAAAAACAAAATCTGTAAGTAAAAGCCTTTCTACAAAATCTTCAGGCCCAGATAACTTACTGGTGAATTCTTCCAAACACTTAAGAAATAAATAACACCAACTTACACAAAAACTTTTAAAGAAAAAAGGGCAGAATGACCTTGATACCAAAATCCAAAAGGGCATTACAAGAAGGATAAATATATGCATATTTATCTCATAAATATTGATCTAAAAATTGTAAGCAAAACATGAACAAATTGAATAAAACCGCATCTAAAGCAACAAATAATAGTTATTTCATCATTGTGAGGTTAGTTTAACAAATATAAATCAATGCAATTCTCCATGTTAATAAAGGAGAATATTCATACCACCACCTCAAAAAAAGCATTTGAAAAAATGTTATAATTACGATTTACAAAGAAAAAACTCAGCAAACTAAGGATAGAGGGAAATTTTTGTAATCCCAAAGAACACCTTATAAAGATATTTTACACAAAATACTATACTTAATAGGGAAATGCTAAAAGCTTTTTCATAATATCAAAAATGGGCAAAGATGTCCACTTTCACTACTTCTATTCAACAGTGTGCTGGAGGTCCTAGCCAGTATGATGAGGTAAGAAAACAAAGTACAAAGTTTGAAATGAAAGAAGCAAAACTGCCATTATTTACAAAACGCATGGCTCTATACATGAAAAATTTCAAATAATCTGAAAACAAAGTGTTAGCATTAATAAACTAATTTAGAAAATATACTAGATACAAGGTTAATTTCCAAATTAATTTTATTTTGACATAACATCAACAAATAATTAGTAAGTTAAATTGAAAGTGATGCCATTTATAGACATACAGTAACACATGAAATGTCCTAAACTACAGGAAATAAGATAGGGTGATATTGGTATAAGAGTTGACTAACAAACCAAAGGGACAAATAGGATTTGGAAATAGCCCCACCCGTAATCATCACGGACTTAAGATACAGAGTGCAGTGGAGAAAAAAGACTTTTCAATGAATGGCCCTAGGTCAATCTGATATCTATATATATATTTAAAAACTCATCATAACCCTTACCATATACCATGTAAAAACTCAAATTCAAATGAATCATAAATCTAAATGTGAAAGATAAAGTAATATAGTTTCTAGAGAAAAACTTATGGGTTTTCTCTTCACGACCTTGAGGTAACCAAAGATTTCTTAAATAAGATGCAAAAAGGCACTAACCATAATAGAAACCATTGATAAATTAGACTACATTTTGAAGAGCTTCTGTTAATCAAAAGTCACCTTCAAAAGAGTGGGAGAATATATTTGCAACATGCGTATCTGAAAAATAAATGGCTTTATTCAGAATACAGAAAGAGGTCATAACAATATGAAGAGAAGCAATCAATTCAACAGTAAAATGAACAAAAGACTTGAACAAAATCTTCATAAAAAAAAAGATATCAATACCAGCATTTGCCAGGATGGGGAGAATTTAGATCTCTTATACTGTTGCTGGAAAACTGAGAGTATCTTGCAAAGCTGAATATACACATAGCCTGTGATCTAAGCAAACCTGCTACTAACTCAATGTACAGTAGAAATGGGTACACATATGCAAGAAAAATAAAAAGCAAAAAAACTTGTATAGCACTCAGTGTAAGAGTGTAAAAATCAAAACAATTCAAAGGTCCACTATTAAAATGAACTTTAAAACTGTGTTGCATTCATCCAATGGAATAGTTAGCCATGAAAATGAATTAATCACTTTTGCAAGCAATGAAATGGATAAATCTCAAAGATATAATGATGAATGAAAGAGGCCAGACACTAAACAATATAGAATGTATGATTCAATGTATATGAAATTCAGAACTGATATATGGTAATTACCTTTGCAGGGTAGAGGTAGGGACTAAGCACTTCAGGTATTGGAAATGTTATTATTTCTTGACACAGTTGTTCCAATAAAAACATTTTTTTCACCACCTACCTGGACCAGTGGGGTAGGAACACAGTGGAGAAGATGGCTGGCTACCTATATACTAAATGAGATAATAAAGGGAAAACATTTTGTACACTGTAAGCCACTACGTAAAATAAGGTATCTCTGTATACCTATTGCATTTGATGGCTCAGACAGTATAGGAACTGACTGCTATATCTCACATAAGCACAGTACAGCTCGTGTTGGCTCAGCTGGTACCAGGGTCAACTGGAAGCAGGGATGCTACTGTGGCCGGGACATTCCCCTGCTTGGTCTCTTGGGTCTCTGCTTTTTTCAGTATGTTCAATTCTTTCTATGTTACCACAGATTGCATTTTCTTTTCTTTTCTTTTCTTTTTTTTTTTTTTTTTTTGAGATGGAGTCTCACTCTTGTCGCCCAGGCTAGAGTGCAATGGCGTGATCTCGGCTCACTGCAACCTCCGCCTCCCAGGTTCAAGCGATTCTCCTGCCTCAGTCTCCCAAGTAGCTGGGATTACAGGTGTCTGCCACCACACCCGGCTAATTTTTGTATTTTTGTAGAGATGGGGTTTCACCATGTTGGCCAGGCTGGTCTCGAACTCCTGACCTCAGGTGATCCACCCGCCTCGGCCTCTGAAACTGCTGGGATTACAGGTGTCAGCCACCATGCCCGGCCTCACAGATTGCATTTTCATGAGGAAAGCATGCTCTAGATCTTCACGTTCCGCAGTTACTACCTATATTGAAGGACAGAGCGGGCCAGGGATCCCCTTCAGGACAAATTATCTATGGCCCTGAAGTCAGGATCATGTAACAGATTTTTATCACCATTGTATAGATGAAGAAACTAAATGTTTCTGTGATTTAAAAAAAAAAAAAATCGGAAAACAAATCAACCCAGACTGTTACAGCTGAGATCTTTAAACCTACAGAGTGTAGCAGTCTCTTCTTTCTGAATGGCCTGTACAACACTTGGTATATTAACTGCTACCAAGAAGCATGCAAAATCTTTGATGCGGATTAATTAACACAACTCAATTCTACAGATCCTACTATATGTCAGGATCTGTGCTATGCTTAGTGGGGGATAATTTGATAAATAAGGCATGGCCATTGCCCTCTGGGTCTCAGAATCTGGTAGAAGAGAAGTTCAACAGATAAATGATTTTAATATATATGGAATTTTAAAAAATATTCAAAATACAAACAGAAAGAAACTAACAGATTAATTTGGAATTGCAGAGACTGGAGGGAAAAAGGAGTGTAGAGCAGGTGTCCTTTCAAATGAATTTGAAATATGAGAAGTACTTTGAAAGGCAGTGATAGGGAATGAGGACATTATTGGGAAAGGGTAGAAAATGAGCAAAATTAGAGCTGAGAGAATGCAGGAAGGATTTGAGGAACTGTAGTTTACATGATACAGCTAGGACACCTGGCATACAGGCAGGTGTAAATATGAGGTATAACAAGACTGCAGATAGGCTGACACACTTGGAATGTCAATGTGAGAAATCTGAATTTTCATGTGAACACAGTTGAAGGTGTTAATGCAACATCACATTGGTTTCAAAAAAAAATGGAGCTATGTACATATTTAAATTGTATTTACTAGCTCTCTGACCTTAGGCAAGTGGCTTAACTCCACCAAAACTGACTCCTTAGATGAGGTAATAGTGCATGTAGAACATTTAGCACTATTATATATTCAGTATATAATATGTGCTTTGTAAATGTTAGCTGCCATTATTATTGTTTCTATGAAGGAGAGAGAATCATACATATTCAACTCTGTATGATGGTTAAAAACCAGCTTCTGAGTTATTTTAAATTTTATTTAGATTTACGTTTGTGATGCTGTGGCTTAAATCCATACAAAATATTTGGTGATAGGTCCCATTGTTCTTTGATATATAAAATAGGTCTATAACTGATTTGTCACTTCTATGAATTAGCCTCCTGTCAAAAATAACACTTTATTGGAAGTTGTCTGCAACATTTAAAAGATTTGGATTCTTTACCGTGAAACAGCAATGTTTCAAATCACTATAGGTACAAGGTTTAATTGGTAATTGTTTTATGTCCCTCTAACTTAAGCAATATTACTGTAGATTATTTCTGGAGATAAAGGCAATCCTTTTTTCAGTTAAACCTTAATCATAATGGTGGAAGTAAAAAGGTATTGTGGGGAAGCACTGGCTTTGGCATTGGCTTGATCTAGGTAAGAGTCTTAATTCTATTCCTTCCTCTTTGTCTTCAGAGAAATTGTTTAACTTCCCAGGAACCCAATTCCTCACTTGTAAAATGAGATAAAGATATTTATGTTCTTAACACAATGCTTAGACACATGATAATTCCTTCTTTTCCATGCTCCCAGATCACAGCACAAGTACTGCTTAGGGGGGAAAAATGTAGTGGGCACAGACTGGACCAGAGTTCAGATACTTCGGTCAAAAAGTTGAGATACTTTTCAAGCTTCAATGTTGGCCTAGCCTGCCCATGCTGTGATTCGGGCAGCAGTGATGCATGCTGTACAGGGCTCATGAATTGACTGAAGATACTTGAAGGAAATAAAATTAGTCATTTTTTATGGGTCTTTGTTGTTTTTATACCCATCCTCCCAACATCATTTCCACTTTCTTTTCCTAAGAAGGCCCCAACTCAACTTTGATGAGCCTCTCCATTCCCACTTGCAGTTCAAGTGCCCTGGGTGGGCACCATGTGCCTCCAGAGATGGAGCATGTGACCCAGTCCCAGCCAATTGGAGCACTAAGTTTCTCTGACCACAGTAATTAGTTCATCACAGGAAACATGATCCAAGTTGGTCCAATCATAAGAATAAAGAGATATGTGTAGTAGCTATCAGAATATTCTATTTTTCTGTCTGTCCCACTGGATTTCAATAGTTGGAGCCTAAAACATAAATGTCCCATGGACTAAGCCCCACAATACTCACTGGCTAGAGTTTTTAGGGAAGTCAACTTTAGGGAAGTCAAAATGGAGAAACCATGAAAGTTATTTATTTATACTTTCAAATTTAATTTGGCAATGTCGTATACTGCCAAATCATTGATCCCTAGAGAATCCCAATCAGAATACTGGAGGGCGACGGCTAAGATGAGGAATGGTGCAGGAGCTTAGAACCTTGCTCTGGACTATCTAACTGCAACTGTAAACTTAGGCGGAATGAACTATACCCCAAATCTATCCAAAAATACATTCTTGTCTGGATGAAGAGCTGGTTTATCAAGCGATAACTAAGGCTACTTTGGAGCCAACAGTGTAAACCGTGCTTACTTTCACATTCACTCAACAAATATTTATTGAGTGTATACCGTTCTAAGAAACTGGGTAAAATAAGCAGTGCCTGCCTTCATGTATCTTAAAGTCTTGCAGGGGAAACAAACAAACAGGCAATTATCATATAATATCATAAATATTATAATGAGAAGAGTATATAAAATATTAAGGGGACATTTTAGAGAAGCAGCTAATCTAGGCTTTGGTGGTCCACAAAAGCTTCTGAGAGATTGTGCCATAACTAGCCAAATGAAGTGGTGAAGAAGAATGCTCTCAGTAGCAAGAGAATGCCATTTATGGAAAAATGGAAGTAATGCATTAGAACTGGAATACGGGCCGTAAAGTAGAAAGTGGTATGATACAATATAGATGGAACAGGGGCCAAATCACAAAAGCCTTTAACAGCCATGTTAAAAAGTCTGGATTTTAATCAATTGAAAGCAATGGGGAACTACTGAAGGCTTTTAAGCAGAAAAGCAGCATAACAAGATTGACATTTTAGAAGCATCACTCCAAATGCAGCATGCAGAATGGATTGGAGGGAGACAAGAGAAGAACATTTCTATTAGCCCCTTAGTGTGACCAACAAGGAGGATATTGCAGTAACCCAGGTGAGAGATGATACTGTTCTAAATCAAGCCATTGTCAGAGAGATGTAAAAGAATTTCAGAGGGATTAAGGAGGTCGAAGCAGTAGGGTTTATTATTTTATTGGTTCTGAAGCTTGCCTGATCTTCGGCCATCAACTCCCAGATGGCCAGTCAGGATGCTACATATTCTATCAGGAGTGTTAATAGAAGAGATTCTTACAACAGACAAGGGACTGGTTCATCTCACTTAGGATCCTTTTCAAGTTTGCAGTACTTTGATTCTGTGCTGAAGATAGGGAATAAGAATGAATAATTACTTAATTAATGATTTATTGAATGATAGGAGTGGGGACCCCCTCGTTGCCTAAAAATTGGTAAGATATTGGAAATAAAAAGAAAGCACTACTTATAATGGCATTGCATTGCACACACAGCTAACCTATTCTGAGAGAGAAAGAGAGGACCCAATTGAATATTACCGGCAATTTTGTTCAGTGTTCCACTGATTGATCACATGCCCCCAAATAAACATGAGACAAGAGCTGGGTATCTTCTCTTCCTTCAGTCAACTCAGTTCCCACTGTCCTTCACTGGGGACAAACTCTGGCATTCTTCTTCTAATTCTGGTGATCAAGGATATGAATTTTTGAATTTTCAAACATCATGGCTCCCCAAAATATAAGGCAAATACTTATTACAGTTCTCAAGATAATGTGTTCCAATACTAGAAAAATGGTGATGTGGATTTATTGAGAAAGGGCATATTAGGCCCCACTTTTGTATAATGTGCTTGTGTATAAGGAATTTTTAAGGGTTTTTTTTTTTTTTTGAGACTCCGCCCAGGCTGGAGTGCAGTGGCGCGATCTAGGCTCACTGCACGCTCTGCCTCCAGGGTTCATGCCATTCTCCTGCCTCAGCCTCCCGAGTAGCTGGGACTACAGGCGCCCACCACCATGCCCGGCTAATTTTTTGCATTTTTTAGTAGAGACGGGGTTTCACCGTGTTAGCCAGGATGTTCGCAATCTCCTGAACTCGTGATCCACCCACCTCAGCCTCCCAAAGTACTGGGATTACAGGCGTGAGCCACCACGCCCGGCCCATGAGCCACTGTGCCCAGCTGGTATTTTTTTTTAACTGTGAAAATTCACCTTAAATATTAATCTTAGAAACTTTTGAGTGAGATTTGACTCCAGAGAA
The DNA here is from genome assembly GCF_000001405.40 of Homo sapiens. Lineage (NCBI taxonomy): Eukaryota > Metazoa > Chordata > Mammalia > Primates > Hominidae > Homo > Homo sapiens. The sequence goes on from NC_000005.10 coordinate 148,609,965, forward strand.
GAATAAATTAATGGAAATTACACTATCCCAGAAGTTGCAGAACTTGAAAATACAAATTTTATAAGTTCCAGAAGGATCATTGGAAGCCAGGGCATTTCAGAACAATTCTAATATGATGTTGTCCTTCCAATAAAACATTGCTCATCACAACTATCTGAGAAAAAGAGTGAGTGGAGGCCTTCTTCAGCCCTCATAGTCTTGTGGATAGAAAGCTCCTAAAGGTGGTGGAGGAGCCAAGATGGCCAAATAGGAACAGCTCCGGTCTACAGCTCCCAGCCTGAGCGACACAGAAGATGCGTGATTTCTGCATTTCCATCTGAGCTTTGAAGAGAGCAGTGGTTCTCCCAGTACGCAGCTGGAGATCTGAGAACGGGCAGACTGCCTCCTCAAGTGGGTCCCTGACCCGTGACCCCCGAGCAGCCTAACTGGGAGGCACCCTCCAGCAGGGGCACACTGACACCTCACACTGCAGGGTACTCCAACAGACCTGCAGCTGAGGGTCCTGTCTGCTACAAGGAAAACTAACAAACAGAAAGGACATCCACACCAAAAACCCATCTGTACATCACCATCATCAAAGACCAAAAGTAGATAAAACCACAAAGATGGGGAAAAAACAGAACAGAAAAACTGGAAACTCTAAAAATCAGAGTGCCTCTCCTCCTCCAAAGGAACGCAGCTCCTCACCAGCAACGGAACAAAGCTGGACGGAGAATGACTTTGATGAGCTGAGAGAAGAAGGCTTTAGACGATCAAATTACTCTGAGCTACGGGAGGACATTCAAACCAAAGGCAAAGAAGTTGAAAACTTTGAAAAAAATTTAGAAGAATGTATAACTAGAATAACCAATACAGAGAAGTGCTTAAAGGAGCTGATGGAGCTGAAAACCAAGGCTCCAGAACTATGTGAAGAATGCAGAAGCCTCAGGAGCCGATGCGATCAACTGGAAGAAAGGGTATCAGCAATGGAAGATGAAATGAATGAAATGAAGCAAGAAGGAAAGTTTAGAGAAAAAAGAATAAAAAGAAATGAGCAAAGCCTCCAAGAAATATGGGACTATGTGAAAAGACCAAATCTACGTCTGATTGGTGTACCTGAAAGTGATGGGGAGAATGGAACCAAGTTGGAAAACACTCTGCAGGATATTATCCAGGAGAATTTCCCCAATCTAGCAAGGCAGGCCAACGTTCAGATTCAGGAAATACAGAGAACGCCACAAAGATACTCCTCGAGAAGAGCAACTCCAAGACACATAATTGTCAGATTCACCAAAGTTGAAATGAAGGAAAAAATGTTAAGGGCAGCCAGAGAGAAAGGTCGGGTTACTCTCAAAGGGAAGCCCATCAGACTAACAGCGGATCTGTCGGCAGAAACTCTACAAGCCAGAAGAGAGTGGGGGCCAATATTCAACATTCTTAAAGAAAAGAATTTTCAACCCAGAATTTCATATCCAGCCAAACTAAGCTTCATAAGTGAAGGAGAAATAAAATACTTTACAGACAAGCAAATGCTGAGAGATTTTGTCACCACCAGGCCTGCCCTAAAAGAGCTCCTGAAGGAAGCGCTAAACATGTAAAGGAACAACCGGTACCAGCCACTGCAAAATCATGCCAAAATGTAAAGACCATCGAGACTAGGAAGAAACTGCATCAACTAACGAGCAAAATCACCAGCTAACATCATAATGACAGGATCAAATTCACACATAACACTATTAACTTTAAATGTAAATGGACTAAATGCTCCAATTAAAAGACACAGACTGGCAAATTGGGTAAAGAGTCAAGACCCATCAGTGTGCTGTATTCAGGAAACCCATCTCACGTGCAGAGACACACATAGGCTCAAAATAAAAGGATGGAGGAAGATCTACCAAGCAAATGGAAAACAAAAAAAGGCAGGGGTTGCAATCCTAGTCTCAGATAAAACAGACTTTAAACCAACAAAGATCAAAAGAGACAAAGAAGGCCATTACATAATGGTAAAGGGATCAATTCAACAAGAAGAGCTAACTATTCTAAATATATATGCACCCAATACAGGAGCACCCAGATTCATAAAGCAAGTCCTGAGTGACCTACAAAGAGACTTAGACTCCCACGCATTAATAATGGGAGAATTTAACACCCCACTGTCAACATTAGACAGATCAACGAGACAGAAAGTCAACAAGGATACCCAGGAATTAAACTCAGCTCTGCACCAAGCGGACCTAATAGACATCTACAGAACTCTCCACCACAAATCAACAGAATATACATTTTTTTCAGCACCACACCACACCTATTCCAAAATTGACCACATACTTGGAAGTAAAGCTCTCCTCAGCAAATGTAAAAGAACAGAAATTATAACAAACTGTCTCTCAGACCACAGTGCAATCAAACTAGAACTCAGGATTAAGAATCTCACTCAAAACCACTCAACTACATGGAAACTGAACAACCTGCTCCTGAATGACTACTGGGTACATAACGAAATGAAGGCAGAAATAAAGATGTTCTTTGAAACCAACAAGAACAAAGACACAACATACCAGAATCTCTGGGACGCATTCAAAGCAGTGTGTAGAGGGAAATTTATAGCACTAAATGCCCACAAGAGAAAGCAGGAAAGATCCAAAATTGACACCCTAACATCACAATTAAAAGAACTAGAAAAGCAAGAGCAAACACATTCAAAAGCTAGCAGAAGGCAAGAAATAACTAAAATCAGAGCAGAACTGAAGGAAATAGAGACACAAAAAAACCCTTCAAAAAATTAATGAATCCAGGAGCTGGTTTTTTGAAAGGATCAACAAAATTGATAGACCGCTAGCAAGACTAATAAAGAAAAAAAGAGAGAAGAATCAAATAGACGCAATAAAAAATGATAAAGGGGATATCACCACCGATCCCACAGAAATACAAACTACCATCAGAGAATACTACAAACACCTCTACGCAAATAAACGAGAAAATCTAGAAGAAATGGATAAATTCCTTGACACATACACTCTCCCAAGACTAAACCAGGAAGAAGTTGAATCTCTGAATAGACCAATAACAGGATCTGAAATTGTGGCAATAATCAATAGCTTACCAACCAAAAAGAGTCCAGGACCAGATGGATTCACAGCCGAATTCTACCAGAGGTACAAGGAGGAACTGGTACCATTCCTTCTGAAACTATTCCAATCAATAGAAAAAGAAGGAATCCTCCCTAACTCATTTTATGAGGCCAGCATCATTCTGATATCAAAGCCGGGCAGAGACACAACCAAAAAAGAGAATTTTAGACCAATATCCTTGATGAACATTGATGCAAAAATCCTCAATAAAATACTGGCAAACCAAATCCAGCAGCACATCAAAAAGCTTATCCACCATGATCAAGTGGGCTTCATCCCTGGGATGCAAGGCTGGTTCAATATACGCAAATTAATAAATGTAATCCAGCATATAAACAGAGCCAAAGACAAAAACCACATGATTATCTCAATAGATGCAGGAAAGGCCTTTGACAAAATTCAACAACCCTTCATGCTAAAAACTCTCAATAAATTAGGTATTGATGGGATGTATCTCAAAATAATAAGAGCTATCTATGACAAACCCACAGCCAATATCATACTGAATGGGCAAAAACTGGAAGCATTCCCTTTGAAAACTGGCACAAGACAGGGTTGCCCTCTCTCACCACTCCTATTCAACATAGTGTTGGAAGTTCTGGCCAGGGCAATTAGGCAGGAGAAGGAAATAAAGGGTATTCAATTAGGAAAAGAGGAAGTCAAATTGTCCCTGTTTGCAGATGACATGATTGTATATCTAGAAAACCCCATTGTCTCAGCCCAAAATCTCCTTAAGCTGATAAGCAACTTCAGCAAAGTCTCAGGATACAAAATCAATGTGCAAAAATCACAAGCATTCCTATATACCAACAACAGACAAACAGAGAGCCAAACCATGAGTGAACTCCCATTCACAATTGCTTCAAAGAGAATAAAATACCTAGGAATCCAACTTACAAGGGATGTGAAGGACCTCTTCAAGGAGAACTACAAACCGCTGCTCAAGGAAATAAAAGAGGATACAAACAAATGGAAGAACATTCTATGCTCATGGGTAGGAAGAATCAATATCGTGAAAATGGCCATACTGCCCAAGGTAATTTACAGATTCAATGCCATCCCCATCAAGCTACCAATGCCTTTCTTCACAGAATTGGAAAAAACTACTTTCAAGTTCATATGGAACCAAAAAAGAGCCTGCATTGCCAAGTCAATCCTAAGCCAAAAGAACAAAGCTGGAGGCATCACACTACCTGACTTCAAACTATACTACAAGGCTACAGTAACCAAAACAGCATGGTACTGGTACCAAAACAGAGATATAGATCAATGGAACAGAACAGAGCCCTCAGAAATAATGCCGCATATCTACAACTATCTGATCTTTGACAAACTTGAGAAAAACAAGCAATGGGGAAGGATTCCCTATTTAATAAATGGTGCTGGGAAAACTGGCTAGCCATATGTAGAAAGCTGAAACTGGATCCCTTCCTTACACCTTATACAAAAATTAATTCAAGGTGGATTAAAGACTTAAACGTTAGACCTAAAACCATAAAAACCCTAGAAGAAAACCTAGGCATTACCATTCAGGACATAGGCATGTGCAAGGACTTCATGTCTAAGACACCAAAAGCAATGGCAACAAAAGACAAAATTGACAAATGGGATCTAATTAAACTAAAGAGCTTCTGCACAGCAAAAGAAACTACCATCAGAGTGAACAGGCAACCTACAAAATGGGAGAAAATTTTCACAACCTACTCATCTGACAAAGGGCTAATATCCAGAATCTACAATGAATTCAAACAAATTTACAAGAAAAAGCAAACAACCCCATCAAAAAGTGGGCAAAGGACATGAACAGACACTTCTCAAAAGAAGACATTTATGTAGCCAAAAAACACATGAAAAAATGCTCACCATCACTGGCCATCAGAGAAATGCAAATCAAAACCACAATGAGATACCATCTCACACCAGTTAGAATGGCAATCATTAAAAGTCAGGAAACAACAGGTGCTGGAGAGGATGTGGAGAAATAGGAACACTTTTACACTGTTGGTGGGACTGTAAACTAGTTCAACCATTGTGGAAGTCAGTGTGGCGATTCCTCAGGGATCTAGAACTAGAAATACCATTTGACCCAGCCATCCCATTACTGGGTATATACCCAAAGGACTATAAATCATGTTGCTATAAAGACACATGCACACGTATGTTTATTGCAGCATTATTCACAATAGCAAAGACTTGGAACCAACCCAAATGTCCAACATTGATAGACTGGATTAAGCAAATGTGGCACATATACACCATGGAATACTATGCAGCCATAAAAAATGATGAGTTCATGTCCTTTGTAGGGACATGGATGAAATTGGAAATCATCATTCTCAGTAAACTATCACAAGAACAAAAAACCAAACACTGCATATTCTCACTCATAGGTGGGAATTGAACAATGAGATCACATGGACACAGGAAGGGGAACATCACACTCTGGGGACTGTTGTGGGGTGGGGGGAGGGGGGAGGGATAGCATTGGGAGATATACCTAATGCTAGATGACGAGTTAGTGGGTGTAGCACACCAGCATGGCACATGTATACGTATGTAACTAACCTGCACAATGTGCACATGTACCCTAAAACTTAAAGTATAATAATTAAAAAAATAAAGAAAGAAAGAAAGAAATAAAATAAAATAAAATAAAATAAAATAAAATAAAGCTCCTAAAGGTATGTTAAGTGGTTAAGTTTCTGGATCCTCTTCTTGCAGACTGCTCAGGTAAAATGCTGATTCAGGACTTTCACTTGTCAATCAATTTCTCCAGCGGGAGCCAAAATACTTTTTTGAAAAATGTTGTCCTGTCTAAATTGACCCAGATGCTGTGATTTAATCTGCAACTGGAAGATACAGTTCGGGCAGTCTCTTTTTCCCTTTGGTTTCCATAAGCTTTCTCTCCTTTTCTATTTTTCAATATAAAATAAAGGACAAGACTTTACAGTGATTAAGAAGCACACATAGTAATTCCACAAATGTTGCTAGGCAACAAGGGCCACGTATTAGCTCAATGAATGGATTCTGGGCATCTGCACGAAGGAGAAATATGAGGAGCTTGTGAGTGAACTGTCTTGATAACCACAAGGGTTAGTGCTTTTTGACACACATGCTGTTGGATATGCCTGAGAAAGGGAAAAGGCACACTTATTTTAAACCTTTCTGATGGTTTATTTTTCCAAAATGTGTTTAGAATTCTCTTTGATGGAAATTTGACACAGTGTGTTATAATGATCATTATCTCAAGCGGGAAAGTAGGTAAAAATGGCCTGTTTCTATTTCTCTAGTTCAGGGCTGCACCTATAGCCTGAGTTATTTTAACATCTTCCCTCCTGATCCTAATAGGCATGCTTTTTCCCCCTCCCATACCAGTCCATTCACTCAGCTGATAAATTACAAGGGCATGTTCTATCTGCTAGTGAGCAACTCCTCTCCCTTGTGATCAGTATTTACCCTCTTCAGTTGCTGTGATAATATAATATTATTGACTCTAAGAAGTCTGCTTTATTTTGTTCCTATTACAAAGCAATACATGATCATTAACAAAAAAGCAGAAAAATATAGACACATGAATGAACATTAGTATCTGTGTTCATCTTCACCAGAAAGAATAATATAATATAAATTAAGGCAATGTAAATACCTTGGTGCATATCATTCTAGATTTTTTTCTGTACATACACAGACAGATTTTTTTCTTCTATCACCCATATAAAAAAGTTATAACTTACCTTATAAACTCCACAATAGCCAACATAGTTTTTAATGACTTCTGCACTACACCAGGATCATTTAAGTATTTTAATGAAACTTGGAAGAGTAATTAACAGGGTAAATGATCAGCTATTAGATAACTCTACTAATCTTATTGCATTTTCCTGTTAATCACCTAAACCCAACCATAGTTAGCTTTATTAATTACAGAATCTTATATCATTATTTCCTTTCCATTTTGATATGGTTTGGATATTTGTCCCCTCTAAATCTTATGTTGAACTATAATCCTCATTGTCGGAGGTAGGACCTGGTAGGAGGTGGCTGGATCATGAGGATAGATTTCTCATAAATGGTTTAATGCCATGTTTGTGCTGTTCTCACAATAGTGAGTGATTTCTCACGAGATCTGGTTGTTTACAAGTGTGTGGTCCTTCCCACTTCCCTCTCTCTTGCTCCTGCTTTGGTGCCTGCTTCTGCTTCACCTTCTGCCATGAGTAAAGGCACCCTGGGGTGCCAGGCAGATGCTAGTGCCTTGCTTGTACAGACTACCCAACCATGAGCCAACTAAACCTCTTTTGTTTATAAATTACCCAATCTCAGGTATTTACAGCAATGCAAGCACAGCCTAACACACACTTCTTATAATATTACCCTAGTCAAGTCTCTCTCTTTTGTTTTTTTTTGTTTTTTTTGAGATGGAGTCTTGCCCTGTCACACAGGCTAGAATGCAGTGGCGCGATCCTGGCTCACTGCAACCCCCACCTCCCAGGTTCAAGTGATTCTCCTGCCTCAACCTCCTGAGTAGCTGGGATTACAGGTGCACGCCACCACACCCAGCTAATTTTTGTATTTTTAGTAAAGAGAGGGTTTCACCATGTTGGCCAGGCTGGTCTCAAACTCCTGACTTTGTGATCTGCCTGTCTCGGCCTCTCAAAGTGCTGGGATTACAGGCATGAGCCACGGCGCCCAGCCTAACCTAGTCAAGTCTCTTACCTGGTTCTTACAGTAATGAATTAATCAGGACTCTGGTTTCAAATTTCAGAAACTTCAACTCAAAGGGACTCAAGCAAAAGGCAAAGTATGGCTGCGATGCTAAAAGTTGCAGTAGGAGAGGCTAGCTGAATGCATAGTGGAAGTCACAGACTCAAGTAAGTCAGCAAGGCTTAGCTTCACTCCCACTGTCTCTCAGCAATTCCCTCTTCGGCAACAGCTTCATTCCTGGGCCAGCTCTCTCCAAAACGTGAGGAGATGGCCATCAGCATCTCTAGGCTTCTATGTTCTCAAGAACTCTAGGGGAAAAACAGTCCTCTGATTTAGTCCCAGGAGTCACTCTGATTGTACCCTTCTGAACCAATCACTGTAGCCAGGGGTCAGGTGCTCTGAGTGGGGCCAGACCTGGAGAACATGCCCACTCTGAAGCCTGATGACACAGTTCACCCCACCCAAAACTCAAGAACCCAAGAGTCAAGGAGCAGTCATTCCCCAAAAGCAAAATCAGGGTTCTATCCGCAAGGATACTGTGCAGTCAAAAGCAGCAACCAACTTTTCCTGTGTGTTCCATCTACTCTTTCTGATCCATTCTACACTCTTCTCCAACCAGGCTCAGCTTATGGACCGTATCAACCAGCTTCTTTCCCTCTGGCTTCAATTGGGCTTACTCAACAGGATGCATTAGCAGGAGAGTGAAATCACCATATTTCTTCATCTCCTGCCTTGGTGGGTTACAGGTTGGCAGCAGCTGTGTTCCTGATCTCTTTGTGGGATCTGATAATAACTCTCTCCCCTCGGCCCTTCAGGCACAAGGATGATAACAGCTCACTGCTGTGCTAAGCTCCAAGGTATTCCACCATCCTTTGTTGATTTTAACCTTGCACACACCTTTAACTCATTTGTGCCTGCTTTCCCTTTCCTATGGGACCTCCTATCAGGCTGCTCAACCTATCACTGTTCCTTCATGTCAACCACAAATTTGGTTAGCCGTTAAAGTCTTCATTCAAGAAATGGATGTGAATATTTAAAGTTCAAAGCTAAGGGCCACTGTCAATTTAATCCAAATTGCCTGTTATTATGACCTAGGCTTTGGTGACCACAGAAGTATACTGAGGATTGTGACACATACAGCCGATTCCAATCACTTTCATTTTGGGTTGATTTAGTAGGGTATATCTGGAATATATTCTGTGAAGGTTATATTTTAGTGGAGATGATCTTGATTCTCTAGGAGGATTGAAAAGAAAGTGAATGAAGAAAGGAAAGAAGAAAGTAAGAAAAGAATTGAGGGAGGAAAGAAGGAAGAGAGAGAAAAAAGAAAAAGGACCTAGGAATAAGGAGTTTTGATCTTGGAGTAAAGAAACCTTAGAATTCAGTCCAGCTTTGTTTTTGACCATTGTAGGTGGCCTTGGGACATCTTTCCTTTTCACCGGACCTCTCTCTCCTGGCTTGTAAACACTAGGATTGGGCCAGACCATTTTTAAGGTCCCTTCCAGTTTTAATAATCTATGAAGTTCTAATGAACTACAATTAATGATGCTTGCAAGAAAAAAATGCCCTTACAAACACTGCCTGTTCAAAGAAAATTAAGATACTTTATTAAATTAGATAAATATATTTTTTTCTGACCAAGAAAGCAAAATCTTTTTGAAAACTAGGCAATCATTTAAGTTAATTATGGAATGAAAACCCAAGGTAGTGCCTGCCCTCAATTCAAAACAAACTTGTTTTTGTTCAGATTCTTGCTACAGACCAAATTTTATGTACAGACAACGTGGGGCTATCAATAGGGATCTGCAGTGAAGCCCAAGGAAAACACTAATGAAGCCAGCAGGAGCCCACACAGCCTAGCCATCGACACAATGCAAAATTGAAAACACGACTGAAAATCCACAGAGGAGGATGTCCCCACACTTCTTTGTGTGTGATTTGCCTGGTCCAGCCAAGATTGTAGAAGCTGTAGGAGGAAGATAAAAAAATTTTTAAAAAAGAAAGGGCCAAAGCAGGAAATGAGCTGTAACTTGACAGAGTCACAAAAGAAAACAGAAAAGCATGAAACATATCAGGTCCAAAGAAGGAATTTGGAAAATATAGCCTGTTTATTTTGAAATGAGGCAATTGATAATATAAAAAAGGATACCAAAATAAATTAAAAGCTCTGAGGTATTTTATGCTAAAAATACTCATTATAAATAGCCAGGGTACAAGAACAGACAATAGACAAGCCGAGTTTGAGAAACTAAATGTGTTGATATTTTAGGGGAAAAGAGGTAATGTAAGCAAAAGAGAGACTCCATCCTTGAGGGCTGGATGTTCACCTGGGGCAAGGTCAGACAAGGGCAGAGCACCTGCACCAGACCCAGTGAGAGCTTCACAGCCTCGACAAAGAAGGTAGGAGAAAAGGGAAGAAAAGTCAGAGGTTGAACCATCTGTGCTGACAAAATGGTTTTAAGTTGCTTGCCAAGAAACTGATCAGTCTGTAATGGCAGCCTTAAACATTGTGTTGAAAAGGAAGGTGAAGTCATAGCAGAACCAGGCACAGGAATAAAGAATGATAGATTGGCAGTGTTTCCAGTGGGGATGGCAGTAGGAAGGGAAGGTGGTGACCCACTTGAGTAATTTGCTGACCTTGGAATGTATGTTCTAGAACTATACTGTCCGATATGGTAGCCACTAGCCACGTTTAGTTATTTAACACCTGTAATGTGGCTGGACAGAATTCAGCTGGGCTGTAAGTGGAAAATGCACAATGGATTTTGAAAACTAAGTACAAAAATATATACTACTTTAATAATTTGCATATTGATTATAGGCAGAAATAATACTTTAGATATGTTAAGTTAAATTGAATAAATTATTAAAATTGGCTTCACCCATCTCTTTTTGCTTATTTTTAACATAGTTGTTACAAAATTTAAAATCACATATGTGGCTAGCATCTGTGGTCTGCATTATATTTCTATTGGACAACCTGCTCTGTAAAGTCCCTTTTCTGTCTCTCCAGGCTTCTGTGATATGATGATATTCAGGAAGCCTTGACTTAGCCCTCACTATCTTCTCCATCTCAAGCAGAGCCTTGTCTCAGACTAACCAAAAGGAAACCACATTGAGACTCAACAGATGCTGTAACCACACAACTCACACCCACGTGAGAATATACACTTACTTAGAAGAACAGTCACTGCCACCTCCTCACGTGTACACCCCATTCATCACATATGTACACAAGCATATTTGTATGTGTCAGAAAAATATCCATAAATAGGAAAGGAATATTAGCAGAATCATTGTCACAGTGAAAATTACATTTCAACTGTAATTATTTGTTTGAGTTAGGGAGACTCATTAGTGCTTGTTAATAAGAAAAGGTTCTTTGAAATTCAAGAATATTTAACTTCATGTCTTCCAATTCCTAACAAGAAATCAATTTACTGAGAGGGGATTCCAGAATCATGCTTCTATGTATAACCAAGACATCAGGGCTGCCCACGCATGACAGAGAGTCAAAAGTAAGCTTTGGCCTTGACATAAAAACCTCCAGTGTGATCGCCAACCAGCACAATTGGATTCTACTCTCTTAGCTGTCTTCTCTGGACTTCTGCTCTTTTCCAACCCTATGAGCCACCTGGTCTTCCAGTCCTGTCTTCCACTAGAATCTACCACCTAGCACACCTAGCAGTACCTGCCAGTTGCATCAAACTCCTGGTCCAGACTCTGCTAGTCAGTCCATGGTAGCATAGAGAGACCAATTCTAACGACTGTTTTGAGGCTGTGGTCCAGCAAGTTTGTGTTCTTGAACTTTTCAATTAGGTGAGCTAGTAAATTCTCACTGTTGCTGAAGCCACTTTGAATTTAGTTTATCTTGCTTAAAACTGTAAAAATCCTAACAGCACTCTTCAAATATTTGAAGAGCGATTCCATGGATAATCTATTTTTTCTGTACTTCAAGGGGTGGCTTCTAGTGAAGTCTCTCCTGATGATGTACTTTCACCCTGAAATTTCCTTTTCATTTATCCTTTTCAAAAAATGGTCTACAGGTCATGATTATCATTTTTAGAACTTGCCTTGGTGATCTGGTCCATCCATAATAAAGGGAATTCAAAGGTCATTTCAATACTTCATTCTGAGTTACTGACAATACTCAACATCAAGTCATTCTTGCTGCTTATTTGGATCCCAGCTCTGGGCTCTTGGCTTCTGTGTGGATCCTGAGACCCAGATGCCAATTTGCATTCCAGCTTTGACCGGTATCCAAATGCATCCTGATGTTTCTGACTGCCTCTTGTAATAATTGCTCCAAACCCCAGTGGCTTCAGGATCAGGAGTCTGTCTACCTGATCATTCCTCCCAATCTAAGAACTGCAAATGGGTCCCTAGTACATTTTGAGAAACTTCTGTAAGTAAACTAAGCATCTTCTCTGTGGTTTAAAATTGTCAACTTCCAGATTACTCATTGCTATGGTCTAAATATTACCATTTACTGGATTTGCCTGATGCTAACTGTGTGTTATAAAACTGCTTTGTGGACTAATCTTTCCTCATGTACCTGTTATGTTTCTCTGTAACCAGCCCTATCCTGATGGGTAACTTTGTCTTCAAATCCCAGCCACATCTCACCAAACTTTACTTAACCTTTCCACATGTCCCAACCTACAAGAAACACTGTATAAAACCACCATGCCTCTCTACCAATAGTTTATCATATTGTGATGTCATTCTTGTCAGGCTGATATCCTTCTGATACTCCTGTGTTTACTTACTGACACATGGATAGTAAGAAAACATTGAACTTAAGCAAAACTTACAGATTCAAAACTTGGTTCTGTTATTTACTAGCGGTGTGTCTTTAAGTGCAAAAGAAAATATCTTTTATACCTCTCAAATTTTCATTTTCCTTATCTATAAGTTGGGTTAATGATACTTGCCCTTATTTTGCTAGATATTGTGAGACTTAGATAACAATGTATGTGAAAGCACGTTGTAAATTTTTTGAAGGACTATATAAATAAATCATTAATATAAGGTTTTATTACTAGCCAGAATTGTTATCTCACACTCCTTTTTAACCACAAACAGCCATACATATTATTAATAGTTGGTGAATATTTGTCATTTCATAAATATGTACGCAAGTACCCCTAAAAACCTATTTGTAAAGCAAAATGGAAATGTATGTCCAATGAACTAAGTGAGGGAGGGACTAGGGGGATAAAGCTGTTGAGGAAAAAGAAGGGGTAGAAAATATGAGTTGTAAATGTGAATGAGAAAAAGAGTGTTGGGCAGAGTGCAAATGCAAGAGAGAAAGAGAAACAGGGAAGACAAGGCAAGTAGAATGCAATACAGGAGAGGAAGAGGAGGAAAAGACAGCAGGGAATGAGAAAAGACAACAGAACAGAAAAGGCACCAGACATTCCTAAACCACAATTACCTGCTTGGAAAATGTTCAGAGACTGCAATGGAAGCAAGCTCCTTGCCCCCAGGTCCTTCAGGAAAAATGGGCCTTTGAACTTATCTTAAGGAAATCTTAGGCAGCCCAGTGAGGAAAACCGGTAGCCAAGGCCTCTCCACAGAGACAGACAATGCCTGCTCTGTGGGAAGAGACAAGAGATGGGGACAAAAATTGGACAAATGAAATACTCGGATGTTTAACAACAGCACAGAAAATGAGGGGAGTAAAGGGGCAGAGGATGAGCTTAACATCCTGTAAAACAAAACCTGTTGTCAGACCTATTAAAATATTGCATAATTTGACACGATCTCACTGTTGTTGCTTTTCTTCACTGATATATGTAATAATCTGGGTTTAGTTGACTGCTAAGTCAAATTTAACCAATTATCTGGACATACTTAAAAACAGGACAGGAATTTTCAAGCCCAAGCAGAGTTGCTGCTTTCTAGGATCCTGAAGTGGGAATGGAATTCTGATACACAGGAGGGACTTCAACCCTCTTTTGGAGTGTTCCCGTGCTAACGTTCTAGGTCCTCAGCTGATGTCAGTCACCTCTGAGGATGGCAAAAATAAATAAATAAATAAATAAAGAGGTAACAGCAACTGCAGATTTCTGATTAGAGATGAGAAAGAATTCCTAGAGAATGAGTCAGTCAAAGAGAAACAGAAAGGTTATTAAAAGGGCGTTCCCCCTCCCGGATTTTCTTGGAGGGTTCCTGAATCACAGAGCACATGGCCTCACCTATCTGGGATGATATAGACGTTCCTTCTTAGAGTGGGCTATTTGTATTGCTGACTCAGTGACCTAAGGTACGGTCAGCTTTAGCACAGCACCTGGAACAAAGAAAGTCTTAGGGGTTTATGGTTATCGTAGTAGAGACAGTAGAAATAAAATGAATAGTAACAGCTGCAGTAGTAGTAGCAGCACTTGTAGAAGAGGAGTAATGCTGATCTTAGGAATTGGTGTAATAATACCAGTATCTGTAAATTCTACAAATAGCTGTAATGTGGTAGTCAGGGATCTGAGCACTGCAATAAGACCTCCTAGGTTTGGCTGGTTGGTTCCATCCCTTACTATTAGTTGTATAAATTTGGGCAAGCTAATTAACTTTTCTGCACCTCAATATGAAATGCAGATAATAAGAGCACCCCTTCATAGAGTGGTCATATGGAGCGCATGAGAAAATACTTGTGAAGAGTTGAGCTCAGCACTTACACTCATTGAGCATTCAGTGCCTGTTAGCTAGTAGTAGCAGGGATGGTGGTGAGGGTGGCAGCCTGAGCAAGGGAATAGATCCCACCTAAGGGATACAAAATAAAAGGCATGTTGTCCCTGTCATTAGCAATCACATGCCAGGAAATCTGCAAACAGCACCACAGGAGAAGCCTTTTCAACCTCAAATAGAGAACTTGTGTTCTTTTCACTCTCCCGTCTCTTCTCCAAATCCCGTAGCCTCAGATTCCAGGCTGCAAGTGAAATTCAGTGTGTTGTGGGTGAAGTTTCAGGGGCATAGAGTGGAGATGGGTAATGGTTATTAATATCCACTGGGCACAAAACTTTCTATGATGGGCCTTCAATGATGTGGAGATATTGCCTAAAGAGTTAAAAAATAAAATAAAGGCTTTATCAATGTTTTTTAAATTCTTCCAACATTATAAGATGTCAGACTAAATACCAGGCATACGAAGTCCAGCAGAGGAGGCAGGCATGTTAAACCACTAATTACAAACAACAATGACAATTATAAATAATTGATAACAGCAATTTGTATAGAGAGGTCTGGGAGCATAGAGGGGAGGTCAGGAGGCTTGGGGGTCAGGAGATGATAAATGACTTCATACTTTGAGGTGCAAGTAGGAAATTGGTGAAAGAAAGAGGGGACATGAAGGCTGGGATTAGGCTATAGAAAGATGGCCAGTCGTCTGGCTGAAAAATGAATTGGAGTTAGGGAGTCAAAAAGGTGTTTGGAGATGATGCCAATCATGCAGAAAAGAGGTGAAGCCTTAAGACAGCAATGACAGGAAGGGTAGAGAGAGGGTGGCAGAGTCAAGGTTACATAATTCTAAATAAAACACTGCTAAAATTAAGCTGGTATAAAAAGGGTACTAGTTATTATTTTCAGAGTAAAACCTCATCAGTTCAACATAATTGGATAGAAGCATGTCAAAATTAATCAAATATGATTTGTAGCTTTAAAAAATACATGACTAATAGCTTAGGAATTTTTGACTAGATGAGATATTTTAAATACTTTTCAACTTCCCCACTCTTAATTAGAAGCATCAATGTTCCTGCAAACAAAATGAGGTTCTTAGAAGTAAAGTTCTTTTTGTTTGTTTGTTTGGGGTTTTTTTGTTTGTTTTTTTAGACAGAGTCTTGCCTTGTCGCCAGGCTGGAGTGCAGCGGCATGATCTCTGCTCACTGCAACCTCTGCCTCCCGGGTTCAAGCGATTCGCCTGCCCCAGCCTCCTGAGTAGCTGGGACCACAGGTGCACGCCATAACACCCAGCTAATTTTTGTATTTTTAGTAGAGATGGGGTTTCACCATGTTGGCCAGGATGGTCTTGATCTCTTGACCTCGTGATCCACCCACCTTGGCCTCCCAAAGTGCTGGGATTACAGGTGTGAGCCACCGCGCCTGGCTGCAAAGCCTTTTTTTTTTTTTGAAGTGGATCGAACCCTTTTGTTTTTTCATTTTGTTCACACAGATGCACTTCATGAATTCCAAGGCTGGTCTCTACTCATAGCCTATTCCCCTCTTACTAGTGTAGAAAGTCACAACCCTCAGGCTTGACTGTCCAGAGAACTGGTCTGAGTCTCTCAGTCATAGAAGACTGGTTGGCTGATATGCCCCACCCTCAGTTAGGGGTGTCATCTGGGTGATTCTAGGCCATCAGTAATGCAACCAAAGAAAATAACATTTGAAGTTACAAATAGAAATCAGACACAATTTTTCTGATTCTCAGGACTCTGTGGCGTGACTCAATTTGTTTTGCAAAACTTCTGTCAGTGGTGCGATGATAAAATTCAGTTCAATTCAAGGACAAGCCATCAGAACATTCCCTTTCAGGGAGGGGATTTTATCTTATCCTCTACTAAAGTACTAAATTAGTTGAAACTCTTAATTATCATAGCTTGTCTAAAAGTCACACTAACTCAATGCACTATTTATTTTCCAAATACCTGCACATTTCTTACATCATAACCCTAATGAGTCATAAAGAATGTATTTACTATGAAAAATATTAGACTCGATTCTCACATGTTGACTAGAAATGAAAATACAAAGAAAATAAGTCAGTATGTCCCACTTTACCAATGAATACACAACAGGTGATTTGCTCTCATAAGCTTCCTGAGTTCAGATCAGAAAGGTGACAGTTTTAACCTTTGGATACTTCCTAATTATGCAAAATGCTTGTAGTCCTTGCAAATGAGAGAATAAAATGATCCCTTTGGTCAGAAGAAGGCAGAGCTTCCACAAAAAGGTAGTTTTCTGGATGTTAATATTTGGAGAGAGGTTTACCTTTTGGTGGTCTAGAAATTGGGAGTCAATTTATTTTATATTTAATTGACCATAGAGCAGATATGATTAGAATCCTCCCCAAAATATTTCCCAACTGAGATTCACACTAAGTTAGCCAGCTTTCTATAGACATTTTTTTACCTGAATGTTCCACAGTTATCTCCATCTCAATCAACATCAAACTAAGTCCTCATTCCCTATGCACCACACTTCTTCTCCAAGGTCACTTTAAAAACATCTTCCTCTTCCTCCTCATGCAATTCATCATGATCTACCGGAAATGCTACTTCATAAATTTCTCTAGGATCTGTGTTTTTTCCTTTACTCTCACTCTGTTCTTCCTCCTGGTCCTTATCCTGCCTCCCCTGGACTACTGTCACCGTTTCCTCAGGCCCCTCCTCTTGTCAACCCTGTAACCCTATTTGCATTCAGTGTCAGTCATGCTTCCTACATGCCTAACAGAACTTTTCTGTCTTCCGTGCAGACTGATAGATCGTATTTCTGAACTTCCATATTTAGTTGTCTACAGTGCCTCTGTATTTTCTATTACCAACATTTTTTGAATGCTAAGAAGTTTGTCGATTTTTTTAACATTTAAAAAATGACTCTAATGTATCCATTTCCACATACGCTTTTTCTGGCATTCATCTTTTGAGGATTTGAACTGCAGTAATTACATACAATGAACAGTGGTGGCATTTGAGATAAGGTGAGGCTAGAAACGTCAGTTACACTGTTGATAGAGAAAGTTGAGAATAAATACGCATCTATATTTGATATGCACAAAGGTATGATTAGTATTGAACATTCAAAGATGAGTATGTTGTATAAAACCTTTTGAAATTAAATGAAGTCATTACAAGCTAAGGAGTAAGTGAGTGGGCAGAGAAGGGGGAAAAAAGATTCTTCTTACATTCTTTAAAAATGCAAATAAGAACATTGCCTGAACATTATTACCTGACTGATAAAATGGTAATCACTTAGCAGATATTTATTTAGAAATCTGTTCCAATTGAAAAAATGTCTGAAATTTAACACAACCCTATTTGCTAAATGGTAATAAAACAGAATTCCTGGGAGAAAATAGCAGGTACTAAAAGTCATAATATGGTTCTACAAAGTTGAGGATAATTTTTACCACTGTTTTCAAAATGTAAGTGATAAGGTGGAAAGCCCTCCAGGGCCAGGCAGGCAGATTGCACACTGAACAACTGTACGCTGTGGCTATGAAAGGTAATGTGATAGTTCAAGATGGCTTCCTTTCAGACAACAGGGACTCACAGTTACGACTCTGGTAAATTCCAGAGTGCCCAGCTTCCCTAAAAGGATTTTAATCCATTTTTAAAACCCTGGACAGGCCAAATGAACATATCTGCTAGGCCTTCAGTTTGAGAACCCAAGTCTAAAATATCAAATGATAGACCTTTTGCCACATAGAAATCTTTAGAAAAGCAAACCATTGAAGTTCAAAGGATAGGCTCTGATATCACAAAAATTTGGGTGAAAATACTAGCTTCACCTCTTTCTAGAAATGTGCCTTTGGGCAAAATAATGATTCTTCTCTGCCTCGGTTACTTCATATGTAATGCTGGGGCCACTATCAGTGAGATCAGATAGGTCACATGTTTGGAGAAATGTCTGAACCATAGCAAGTCCTTCTTATCAAATGTTCAAGGCATCAAACAACAGTGATTTGATATTTTCCTTTTATTGTCGAAATCCATTTTCATAGATATTGTCATGGTTGAGTGACATTTTAATCTAAATTATATATACCTTAGGAGATAGTTTGTCTTTGGAGAGTTGGGAGATAATTTGAAAAAATCAGTGATTCCGGAAGCAAAGACTTGGATTTTAGTCTCAGGTTAATCACTTATTAGCTGTGTAGGCTGAGGAAAAATCACTTAATCCTCTGAAACTCTTTTTATTTCTTTTGTAAATAAAGATATTTATTTCTTTATTTACAAAAATTGTGCTTTGTAGGACTGCAAGAAGCTACAAGTCATAGGCAAGGCTCCAAATTATAGAAAGGAGCTTCTAAGAAATTGTAAATAATTCACAGCTTCAATCACGTTTCTTGAATCTCATCACAGCCTGTGCTTGCAAAGTGAGACAAAAAGACACAGTCTTACAGGAATCCAAGTGACCCTTCCATCTAGACCATGCTGTAATCCTATTAGGTACAGAGGTAATTCTGACTGGGCTTGAGCTGAGAGTCATAAAGATCTTGCAATTTTTTTTTTAATTAGGCAATATCTCTACCCTTGCCAAGCTATTTGCATCCGCTGATTTGCACAAGTCCTAATAAACTATGTAAAAAATCTCATTAAAATGTGACATTTAAATAAAGATTGGTAATAAAAGAAGCAAACTGCAGGGAGGAATAACAAGGTGTCATAAGAAAAGAAGCCAGATACACCAGGGTTGACTGAGCAACAGACCCAGAACGATGCAGGTCAATAATAATTCTGAGAACATGTAACTGTTGATACTAAAATTCATCATAACACTACCCTCTGTGTGTTCCAGGGAACAAGATTAGGTCTGAGAATTTGAAATGCTACAATGCTTGCTTCTGAAATACTTCTATCTCAAGCAATTTTAGTATGGGGCCCACTTTGATCAAGCATGACATGGAAGGCATACTCTTCTCACTTCACAGGTGAAATGATGTGGATTTTCATTATCAAGGAGCTTCTGCTTTACTAAAGTCCAGGGGGAAGCTTTGAGGCCTACAGACTGCTCATTTAGCAGGCTGTAATTCAAAGTATGCCTCAGTGGAACTGATAGAGCTGGAGGCTGCAGAGGTTCAGCTTGGCAAGCAAAACAAAGTCAGGACACTTGGGAGCACCCCTTTCAGTAATAACCAAATTCTCTAAAACAGGTGGACAAGGTAAACTGCACAAAAGACTGAGCTTCCTGCAGTCAAGCAGATTGAGACTCAGATGCTTATATTAATGCCGTCACATCTGCACCCTCAGGTTTCTGAAGCCGGGTGAAGCAGCCTCCACAGCAGTAAGTTCCAGAAGAAACCAAGCTTATATAGTGGGGAAGCTGTATCTGTTATTTGCCACAGTTTTTATGCACTTATATCAATCAATGAGAGCCAGAAGCCTGAAAACTATATTTTTCAGACTTTCTTGCCCACTGGCTTCAGGTTATGTTTTCCAAATGAGAGATTCAACATGGAAATTTGGGCGATGAGGTGAGAAAGAGGAGTATATTTCTTCTCTATTTGGAGGTGCTTTAAGCAGTAAGAGCAACAGCAAATGGTTCCAGAAATGTGGCAATGGTTGTGCCTCCAGCAGACCCATAACAGCAAGGAGGATCATGAGGCTTCTTGACCTCTTTAACATCTCCTTCTCCCTGCTCTGCCATGGAGCTCTGTGACCTGCACTAAATCTCCGTTTGCTTAAAATATATACAACAGTTTCCATTTTCCTGCCTGGACACTGACAAATACAATAGCAGAAAGAAATAAGTCAGGGGTATTTTCTTGTAAACAGGGGTCACCAATCAAGGGAATGATTGCATATAAAGGAGAGCTGGCTGTATGGAATCCAGCACAAGACCAGGAGTCAAAGAGACACAAGATCTTAACCCAGATGCTCCAATTCCCAAACAGAACTGTGTCCAAGTCCATGGAAGCTGCAGAGAAAAGAGAAAATGGTGCTAAATAGGTATAGAAGACCAGTGGTTTCATTCCAACTAAGCCACTTATTAGCTCCAATATTGAAGGTTTTCTGTCATCTTTGGGAGCCTTTGTTTCCTCACCAGAGAATGGGTACAGTCAGGGATAAATATTCAAACAATTTAATAACTGATCATTAAGGTCAACCAGGTAAGTAGATGGATACTAAATTGAAACAATCAAGAAACTTATAGCTTATAGTAATTAATTATCAGTTTTTGGGTAATAAATATCTACCTCTCATGATACTCGTGATGACTAAAGACACATTTATCATTTACTCTATGCATACTATGTGCAAAATACTATGTTAAGAATTTTACCTATGTTTTTCTGAAGATTACCTGTAATCTTAAGAAAAATCCCATTTTCAGACACCAAAACTGAAGGCTCAGAGAGATTACATAAATTCTTCAAAGTAATACAGCCAGTAAATGGGAAAGTCAAGACTTGAACTTATATTATTCTGTTTCCATAAACCCTACTTTTCCAGCATCCCATGGTGTTGGTAGTTGAAGTTCTGTTAGGAACGCTTCAGAAGATGTATAGGATCACGTATATGTAGAAGATTACTAGCTTAATTCCATAACCAGAAAATTTCACACATTGCAAGAGGCCATTGCTTTCAAAATATAAATGTATCTTCTTCCTTCTAGTAGTTTGTGATGCCTCTAGCTTGAGGTTCCCCATAACCCCAAGTGGCACAGGGGTTTTCAACACAAGATGAGTCCCAGCTCATATTCACTGTATTCCTGATCTAATCAAAGTACTAACTGAATAGTCACCATTTTGTCAGTCAAGCAGTGAAGTTGAGTATTATTCTCATTTACATTTCTAAAGCAACATAAAAATAACCCCTTTTAAATGGTACCCACTCACTTTCTCCTTATATGCTAACGAATGTCACAATTTCCGAGCCTGAAGAGAGATTTCCTGCAAAACACCTAAATGCCTTAAAGTTGCACATGTTCACAATTCTGACTGCCAGGTTACAAACATGAATTGACTCCAGTTCCAAATCAATTCCACATCGATAAGTCTTTAGGGCAAACAACTAACACACATTGATTTTTTAAATTCTATAAATTATTTCAAGGCTTTAGAATATTCAGCATTAAAAATTACCATTTCATTTCAGGCTTTAGTGAAGCATAATGTGTATTTTTACCAGTATTAATCAACCCCAAAATCAACTTTTCTGTTTAAAAAATTTCTATCTTTTTCTGTTTGCTAAGATTGGAAAATTTCAATTCATTCTTGTAGTTACATTGATATCCAATACATTTAATTTCTTGATCTAAAGTAATGAATTGTGACTTGGTGTCATGACAGAATTAAGGCAACTAGGTAATTAATTTGAAGCCAACTACTCACTTTGTTATGGTTTTTAATTAATGTTGTTGCATGTGTATAGCAGGAGACTGCTTTTATATAAATATTATGTATTTTATATTTAAATTATTCAACTTTTGGTATTTACTCAGATTTTCTGTGTTGTGTATAAAAGCTTGCCAGTTTGATCTTCAGTTAAAAAATATTTAGTGGCTCCCTAGTACCGTCATCAAGCCTACCAAAGGAATCAAAAAGAAAGATTCTTTCCCTGGAAAATTCTTCTTTCTTGGATTTCTTTCTCACTTTCCTCCTTCTTCCTTTACATCCTTAAAGTGGCTTACAAAAATGATCAATACATTATTTAAAAAGCAAAGGAAACAAGACGAAGCGATTAAAAGGGTTGGAAAATATAGTAAAGGCTTGTTAGAGCCATTGTACACACCTAGAGATCTTCTACACTTATTAGTGGTGATTATAAATTTGTCTCTCAGTTTCCTAGAAACCCTAGCAAAGGGCGGAAAATGCTACCATTTATATGATTCATAATCCTATAAGATGCTTTTCTGGTTGCTAATGAGAAACATTAATAAGAAAGCACAACAGTCATTTCGTGGAGAAGAAGCCGATCCTTAAATGAGGTTGTTCTTATTAAAGAAGGAAGAAGCCCCAGGGACTGCAGGGTCAGTGAAGCAAGAGGATAGAGAGCTCATGGGGCAGGGAGGTGAGTCAAGGGTAGGCAGAAGCTACCGTTAAAAAGAACCAAGACATAAAATAAACTTTTTCTCTGCTCAAAGCCTGGAGGCATTGTCTTGAGAAACCTCCAAGTGCAAGTTTATATACAAATGGACTTTCCTTCACCTGTTTATCTCCTGTCTGAACATTGTACTCTCTGGAACTTAAAAAGAAATTGATTGAAAAAATTTCTTAGAAAGCAGAAACTTTCAAATTATAATAAACAGCCAGAAAAAAGAGACAGAAACCTGAACTGCATTTAGCGATCACACTTGAACTGAGGAAAACCACGTGTCAGCCGGGAGAATCTGGTAGTTAAACAACATCAAAAGCATAGCTGTTTCTGAAGTCAGGCATTAAGTGTTTTAGGGCTGAATTAAGTAGGGTGAGGCACCAGCAAGGCTCATTCCCCAAATACAAGCCAAAGATGTTCTACAGGGTATCTGCTGCAAAATCATCAAAGCCAGTGTTTCCATTTTTCTTTCTTCAACCCTTCAAAAAAAAATGCAGCTGCCTCCTCCGGAGCCTTGAGGAGGAAAAAACAGACCAATAAAACAGATCAGGTGGGTGTCAGATTGTCTGGAAAGAGCTGCCTGTTGACTGCTAAGTTGGCTGACACTATTTACCAAGGGACAGGACTCATCAGGAACTTGCCTCCCCAACCAGGGCCTGATTCACTGCCAGCTTTTCATCATGATTCAATCCATCCTGCATCAACTGCTTTCTCTGCTATGGAGACTCTTAAGAGGAAAATGCTTATAATGCTTCTCATATTGCTAAAATCAAGACCTAGTATGACTTTTCTTAATTTTACCTTATAGTTCACAGAGAACATAGCGCATTGTATGTATCTTACTATTAGAATTCTTTTTTTTTTATTATACTTTAAGTTTTAGGGTACATGTGCACAATGTGCAGGTTAGTTACATATGTATACATGTGCCATGCTGGTGTGCGCACCCATTAACTCATCATCTAGCATTAGGTATATCTCCTAATGCTATCCCTCCCCCCTCCCCCAACCCCACAACAGTCCCCAGACTGTGATGTTCCCCTTCCTGTGTCCATGTGTTCTCATTGTTCAATTCCCATCTATGAGTGAGAACATGCGGTGTTTGGTTTTCTTTTATCACCGTATTAAATACTTTAGTTCAGTGATTGTCATCTAGCTACACAGTGAGATCCTTAAGCCCAGGAAATTGTCTCCCTCTTTCTGACACAAAGTGTAGGTGCTTAATTATTTTATAGTAAAGAAATAAAGGCAATCTACTGACAATTTCTTCCTGTGGTTGGCCATGATTGCATTTTCTAACTTTCCTGGAACTCCCAAAGTTCTTTTTTATGTCTAATCCTGGTCCTCCAGCATTTTTCATAGTAATTCTTTGAGCTTGTACACTGTAACTACTCCCAAATTACCTTTGATTATGTTAGCCAGAGTTAGTTTCTGATGTTTTTAGTCAAGGATGCTGACAGACACATTGTAGCAAGGACCAAGCTGAATTAGAAAACTCAATTAAATGACGCCAAACAAACAAAAATGAAGTGAGCAGTATGGCCGGACAAAACACTTAACTGTAAGACATTTTATTTAATAGAAAATGTCAACTAGGACCACTCTGTCTCTTGACATCTGGGGAAAATTGACTGGAGCCCCTCAATTCTAGAGCTTGTGGAAGTCTAAAGCCTTCTCTGAGATTTCTGAAATCTCTCTAGGGCATTTGCAGTCTCCTGCCATCCTGTTCCTTTTGGGTGTCCATTCTCACATAGGCATCCTCTCTTCCAAACCCCATTTACCAACACAGGAATGTCAGACATCTCAGCAATGTATACATAGACCCACACACAAACATTCACATGCACATATGTATTGAAATAAAATATCATATAAAAGAAGGCAATGCAGTTTTATGACCTTGAACAAGTTATTCAACCTCCTTATGTCTCAGTTGACACACATGGTAAAATAGGGATAATAATGATATGGAGCTTGTAGGACTGCTTTAAAAATTAAATGGGATAATACTAGTTTATAGCCCATGCTGAGCTCACACATTCAACAAAAGAAACATTCAACATGAATTCATAGCCAAGCTAGAAAATTTTCCTGAAGGACTGAGTCCTCGGAGAAGTCAGCACACACATTAAAGAAAAAAAACAAAAAGATATGCAACTGTACTCTCAAAGTCCCTTACAACTAATGTTTTGCCCCTTCCCAAACAGAGCCCAGATTCTCCTTCTCTGAATCATGTCTCCTCCAAACTCCTCCCTTTTCCATTCATTTTCTTCTATCTTCAGAGCAAGTAAAAGGATTCTTTTCCTGGGCTAGAAACCCAGGCTTTTCAATTCTCACCTTATGTAGGCACTTTTCCAAGTGGGGACATCCCTTATCAAAGAAGAATTTCTGGTTCATGCTTTTAAAATAATAAAATTTCTTCTTGCTAATTACACCTAGAAAAAGGGTGTCTAGACTTTAGTCATTTGCATAATACCCTTGTGATTTTTTTAACATTCCCTTATTAATTAATATAAAAATGCATAATATTTTTAAAAATAAACCTACATTTACATTTTAAATAAATTAATCATATAAGGAAATATTTTTCACTATTATAAGTGGCAAAATATTATTACTCATCCTAAGGAGGTAACCTCAAAATAAACATTTGATTTTAAAATAAAAATATTGTTGGCATACCACCTAAATTCATTATGTATTCCTAACAATTCATGCATCACAATTTGGTAAATGTGAGCCTAAAAACATCTTTTATTATGGACATTCAAAGGCTGTACTGAGAGGACATGAGGGAAAGTCTGTGGCATTTGCCTGTTATTAATATTGTGGATAGAGAGGGGGAGTGGGTGAGGAGAAACATATGTTGATGGGATCTGGTTAGAAAACTGACAGAGAAGATGGTCCAGAGACAAGATTCTGGGGCGTGATATCATCTTGTATCCTGCACTATTGTTCCACAGCACCCAGGAGAATGGCTAATGTCCATTTAATCAAATTGTATTCTGCTGTTAGAATCTAATGCTGCTATAAATAAATGTTTAAAAGCTAGAAATGTTACAGCTCATAATATCTGAATTATTCCCCCAAAAGTACATTTTAACCAACTGATCCAGTTTGATACAGTGTCTGAAATTTAAAACAATATTATAATGTGTCACCATTGATATTGCTCACTCTGGCCTTTTAATTAACAAAAATAAAATTGAGATTCTCTGCATTTCACTCTGCTTTCTCTGGGCAAATAATTTCACAAACTTTAGAGGAAAATTAAAGACCTGGCACCAGGTCTGGCACCAGCCTAAATAATCTATGTTAATGTCCTAAGACTCTGAACCAAGTCAGTACATCTGGGAAATAACAAAGTCCACACACTTTTATTGAGAGTGTAAAATGTTTTATTGCTAAAAATACAGTCTCTTTGTATATCTATATGTATTAGAACACAACCTTATTTGAAATATATATATTACAACAATGACAAACTGATCAACATCTCTTTATTAAATACCCACCATGTACCAGGGATTTTGCCAGGGATCATGAAACACATTCTACCCTCAAGAAATTCCCTGGTTGGGGTGACAGTACATCTTGGCAACTCAAGTCATATTACACTAGAGTTTCTGTCAAGATATTTGACAGCTCCTTTTGTGATAGTTTTCTACTATGTCAAATGCAGAGGCACAAGGCCCCTGATCTATACCTGAAATATACTTTTCTAGAGGTCTCAAGTGAATGAAAAACAGTTCTTGTGATTACAGCAAGAATGTATTTTTTAGGATGTATTCCAGCTACTGATATCTATGGATAATTCTCAGCCTCAAATGCCAATTCATAACATTGAGGCCTTATTGAATACACTTTTCTTTGTACTATTTGATTGTGCCAAATAAAGCAATCTTTTCGAAAAGAAAATCTTCCCTAGGAGTCAGACTACTATTTCATCTCCAAGGCTTGCAGAAAATTACAGGAAAACAAATCAAAACGAAACAAAAACCATTTAGCTTTATGTAACTATACCATGCAACCATTATGTCACATAATATAATAACCTAGTTGAGAAAAGAAGTGGACAAACTAGAACCTGCTATAAAAAGCAACGTGAATTTGTCTCAAGTTTAGATATACAGATAGATATTCTTAAGCTATTTTTACCCCTACTTAAATACATCTTTCTTCCTATTACAGAGATGAATATCTATTTTCAAACATCATCTCCATAATGCAGACTTTTAGTATAGGAAGCTGGAAATGTTTACAGTCATATTACGTTTTTCATTTAAACAGAAATGACAAAACACTAATAATCAAACAGTACTGTGAACATGATTATATATGAAACATCAAAGAAAATCCACATCCATTAACTTTATAACTCTACAACAACAGATTTTTAGAGTCTTCATAGCAGAAATGTTCTCAGTTTACAACACAATATGTACAGAAAGGTAACATACCTCACATTAGCATCAAGTTTGTCCATTACAGGAAATAAGCATGAGTGAGTTGGATTTCAATGCCCACAGGGTCCTAAAATGGGGGAAGTAAAAAGATGTTATAAAAGAAAGCAGCATTGAAAAATACAAGTCCTTGTTTTAAAAAACTCAAATAACTATTGCTTCCTATTATGACTTGTTTTGTGGAAATATTTAATAAACAATACTAAAGCAAAAAGCTTTTGGCATATTGACGTATGGTACAGCCGAGTGTCACAAAAGGTTTATTTACACCCTACTGATCGCTTTGTGATTAAAACATATGGGTGCTTCTTTTTGCTCCATTTATTGTTATTTATGTTCTTTCCAGAAACATGGCTTATTTTTATGATCTGCATTAGGACAGTAATTAGTGAAGATAGGTAGCTACATTCTTATGCTTAAAATAGTATATTGCCCAAAATGGCCATTTTGTTCCTATGAGGATTTTAAAAAAATGTTTAAATCATTTTAAGGGTAGGAAATCACAGATTCTTTTGAGAATCTAGTAAACTCTTGAGAACTGTCTGCCCAGAAAAAAATAGATACGCATGCACACACATGCACACTTTCCAGAGAGTCCATGATTCCTTGAACTCAGGAATCCAGGAATCCCAGGCCCATCCAGGAACCCCAGGCTAAGAATTCCCAATCGAAGGAGAGTTAACTTCAAATTACCAAAGTTCCTCTATCACAGACCCTCAGAAGACCTCACACTCTTTAATGGATGGGCATTCACTGATCTCCACAAAATCAACCCTCTTTACTAATTGTTCAGTTCCATTTTTGCATTTTTATATCTTCATCACATCTGTTCCACAGCATGATGAATCAGTAAGTGTAGGGGCAGGGTCCGGCTGTCTCTTCTAGGGTCACCATGAGCAAGTCCCTTTTCCTTCTGAACATCATCATTCACTTCTCAGTAAAGAGAAGAGATTGGAAAAAAATAATCTCTGAGTTCACTCCTAGCTCTGATATTCTATAGTTCTGTTTGCTAGTTTTCTAGTTGAATCTTACCAAGAAGAACCTGGAAATCTGTTATCTACATAAAAGAACCATGAAACTCAGCCTGGGCCCTTGGACACCTTGGCCAGGGTGAGCTAAACAGATGTGGCTGGCAGCCACGAAGAGAATGGCAGATCACTAGATATGGAAAGGACCTCGACTCTCTGTGTTTTTCGATGTTTGTTTCTTAGATCCTCTAAACTTAACAGGAGCTCCCATGGGCATTTCTGGGCCTGGGGCAGGCATGGGAAAGGCTCCACCTGCAGAACTCTGAGCCCCCTCCCCTAATCTGAAGGAAAGTAGCTCTGTCCACATCTGTCTGTTTTATATTTTGAATGTAGAATAATATTTTGCTGGAAATATACAAGTACAAAGCCCTAACTATCGAAGTGACAGGTCTCAATCCTCTTTCCTTGTCTATCTAAAATTTTTCCTGAGAGGATCACATCCATCTGGTGGCTGAAAATACAGTACAATTACAATACTATTCACTGTAGACTCCCAAAATTTTATCCCTACGTTGAGACTTTCCCAGGTGTAGACAGTGCCCATCCAGCATCTCAAGATGGATGATTAAAAAGCATTTCAAACTAAACTCTTCCTTTCTCATCTCCGACACAAAAACCTGCTCTTCCCCAGTGTTCTCTATCTCAGTAAATGGCCCACCATTTACCCAGTGGTTCAGACCAGAAAAACTTCTTCTCATACCCTAAGACCAAACCATCAGCAAACTCATTCTCTCTACTTTGAAAATGATTCCTGGCCGGGGGCAGTAGCTCATGCCTATAATCCCAACACTTTGGGGGGCCTAGGTGAGTGGATCGCTTGAGCCCAGGAGTTTGAGACCAGCCTGGGCAACGTGGCAAAACCCCATCTCCACAAAAAATTAGATGGGCGTGGTGATATATGCCTGTAGTTCCAGCTACCTGGGGGGCTGAGGTGGGAGGATCACCTGAGCCCAGGAGGTTGAGGCTGCTGTGAGCCAAGATCACGCTACTGTACTCCAGCCTGGGTGACAAAGTGAGACCCTGTCTCAAGAAAAAGAAAGAAAGAAAAAAAGTAAAAGAAAGGAAGAAAATTATTCCTACTCCTGACCCTTCTCATCACCTCTGGACCCAGCATCTGGGTCCAAGCCACCAATTTCTTTCTCTGAATTACTCACCCACACCCCCAATCTGTCTCCTGCCAGAATGATATTTTTTAAATGTAAGTCAGGTCATTTCTTGCTTGCATAAAATTCTAGTGGCTTCCTATCACACTTAGCATACAATCCAAATTCCTTATCATAGCTAACCAGACCTTACATGATCTGGCCCCCACTCTTCTCCAAACTCAACTGTAGCCATGCCCCTCCCCTTTCCCACCCACCAGCTCACTGGTTTTGCTGCTTTCCTGGGCCGTAACCGTAGGTTCCCATCTCAGGGCCTTTTCACTTTGTCTCTTTTCCCTGGAATGTGACCATGTAGATTACTCTCTCACTTCCTTAGGGGTGCCGCTCAAATATCACTTCCTCAGACAGGTCTTCTCTCAACACCTAACTACAATTTCACACCCCATTTTCTAAAAATGTCTATCCTCTTTCTCTGTTCTATTTTTTTCTTCCCAGTATATATATATATATATATATATATATAGTCAATTGCTTCTTTATTTGTGATCTGTCTTGCTCACTAGAATATAAATTTCAAGAGGGCGTAGGACACTGTCTTGATCACTGTGACATCTTCAGTGCCCTCGAGAAATGCCTGGTATATTGTGTCCTCATCATAGATATTTATTGAGTCAACTAAGTAGTTCATTAGTTTTGCAAATGAGAAAACTGAGGCTTAGGAGTTTTTGACTTTCACACTGGGAGGAAGGGGACCATCTCAGAATAGAATATTGTAATTTAAAGAATAGCAAAAGTATTATATCTTAATTAGTTGCCCTTTACTACGTGTTAATAAGTACCAGACATTGCCCTTTTTCTCCTCCTCCAACCTTTGAGTCCAACCTCCGAGTCCAACCTCCATCCTATAGATGAAGAGACTGAGGGTCAGAGAGGGTAATTGAATTGCCAAAGTCATACACAGCAGCACTTGACCAATCTGGGAATAGAATTCACGGCTATGAATTCCAAAACTCGAGCTTTAGCTTACATCATTCTTGTCATCTTATTATACGTCCTCCCACTGGAGCAACAGAGTATCCTGATGAAAGTGAACATCCACTATAATTTTCTGCTGTCCATCCATCTATTTCATCTTTCTCTGAGAATAATGTCTGGATTTTCCTTACTGGAACCACCTCTTCCCTTCTCCAATCCCTAGCTCCAGTGATGAACACATAAGCAGGGCTGGTCGATCAGAATAGTCCATTCCTGGCAACAAGAATCCCTTAGCTTACTGGCTGGACCAGGGAAAGCCAGTCCTAGAATTTTTGCTAGAAAGACTCTGTATTTCCTCTGGTGTTGTCAGACAGTTTGAAGCTGCTAGTGGCCATCATTGCCACCCCATGGGAGGAGCTTGTCTGAGAAGAAAACTAACCCAAAGGAAGGCAGAGCCACAACACAGGGAATGCCAGTGTCCTGACTACATAATTTGAGGCTTAAGATCCAGCAGTGTCTTAAGATAATTTTACACTTGAATGTCCTAATTACTAGAGCCAACAAATTCTTTTTGCCTCCTTAAGCCAGTTTGAGTTGTGTTCCAGTCAGCAAGCAAATGAATGCTGAGTAATATACAATAAAATCAATATTGTATTGTTTTGCAGATTAAAAGGAAGAAAAGCTGGGCAGTTTCAGCTTTAAAAGCCATTAAAACCTAAAGTTTGTATCATTAAAACTGCATGTGAAAATGTTACAACACAAGGAAAATCTTGTATATTCATAGCATATAGATTGTTACATTTTTTGCACTGAAACCCAATGAGCAAATTTAAAATGATTGCCTTTCAACAAACCAGTGAGATAGCATGCATTTTATCAGAGAGAAAGGAACAGAGGAAGGAGGAGTTGATGATTAGTACCTATCCTAATTTGATTAATTGATTATGCCTGACTATTTTCTGCAGGACTCACCAGGGAGAACTAATCAGAGCCATGATTATAGGAACATCTCTTGCTGGGAAGATTGCATAGGGTGAGGGGGATGTGGAAGGAACCAGTGCTTTTATCTTGAATACTTATATTTCTGGCTTCTTCACAAAACACTGCCTAGCTAATTAAAAACACAATCAACTCAGAGCATCTCCTATGCTCAGGTACAAGTTGTGTCACTTCTAAAAATTCTGCCAATTCAAATCCATTAAGACCTGGTGTGTATGTGTTTGGGGGTGTGAGTGTGTTTTAATGACAGTCACGCTGTACTCTACCATCTGGACTAAGGTACAAGAAATTATACCCTCCATACTAATCCCCTTCGGAGAAACAGTCCTAGATCATCGGAAAAAGATCATGGCAAGTTCTGGAAAAGGGATGGGCGAGGAGTTAAGCAAACTCTTCTACCAATGTGAGGTACAAATGCATGTCTCAATAGTCTCTCATGACCATGCATGACAAGCTCAAACCACTGGAATTACTCAAAACATTTTATCCATCATAAAAGTAAAATTGCAGCAACATATAGCTCTATCAGATTCCCTTGAGCTTCTTTTTCTTCACGGATATATTCAGAATCTGATTTTTCCTTATAAGACTAGGAGGAGGAAGAGCTTATCTTATTTATGCCACTCAACACCATTCCAACCCTTGGTTTTCTGGCTTCACAAGTTTTAAGTGCAAACCCCAAAGGTAAGTGCATCCCATCTTTACCCTCGTTTCTGATTCAGAATTATCTGAAATATTGCTGTGGAACAGTCATTAATGGTTAACAGAAGGTGTGTAGTTGCATCTCTATTATAAGAAGTGTGAGCACAGGGTTCACATGTGAATAGTCCCCACCTACTGGAATGAAATATCGATGTAGTCTGGTACAGTGCCAACATCTGCAAACCTGGAGCTATGTCATAACCTCGGCTTGCTTTGCTCCACTTTGTTTTGTTTTCTCTGGTTTTGGTTGCATGGATGGATATTCATGCATAACTATGCTTGGATTGACCGTGTTTCTTTATAGACTATGCCTACATGGGTTAAATCAAAAGACATATCCCAATACCTTTCTTTTGGGACAAGTGTCAGGAGTAAGTAAAACATTATTATGTTAATAGCCAAATCAAGGGTGGGAGCCTGACATAATGGAATAATTGATTATGGCCCAGTGGAGGGGGAGTCACTGGACCTAGGCCCTCCACCTGACCCTGCTACTGTCTTATTCTTAAGCAAGTCTATTCACTATTCATGATCTCAGTTTTCCCAACTGCAGAATGGAATGGGGCAGAGGATGAACCCAAGGGAGAAATGTCAAGTAATTAGAACTTCTCTAAAGTTACAGGAAACTTGTAGAATGTCTCAAATAGGTTCCATAGGTAGAATAAAAGTTAGAGAAATGTGTAAGGCCAGATATTGGATAAGAATTACCTATCCAAAGGCTTGTTGTTGACTTTGTCACCTCACTGCTATAACCTACTACCCGCCATATGCACTAAAACACACAATCCCATCAGGATCACACAAGCAAACAACCCACAAGCAGTCTTACAAATTCCATGATGATCGTGATTTCCTAGTACTCCAAACTCTCTTGACCTTCAGTATGAAAAAAATTATCGAATCATCTGAAAACTTGCAACAAAGAAAATACTCTCACTAAATGGAAGAAAAGAATCCTCTCCTTGGCTATTTACTTGGATTTTGTTTTCTGGGAAACATTCAGAATTTATAGGATGCTGTCCTAGCAATTTTTTTTAACCTTAATCAGCTGATACATTCTCTTTAAAAGAATTTCTGCCTATAAATTAGTCCCTCACCAAAAAAACCATATTGTTTACCTAGAGCTCTAAATTGCAGTGTACAGGTGAAAATGTGTACAAACGATTTAAAAAAAAAGAAGCCTTTTCACATGCTGGATCTTATTAGCACTGGTAGTAAAAATGTCATTTGAACTAAGTCATTTAGAAAGATTTAGTCCTAAATAAAAAGTTTATAGCCATTTCATTTGCATAACTGAATATCCAATACGGACGCCAATTCCATTATAATTGAAATACACCTATACTGATACGTACAATTAGGATGCAAAATGTTTTTAACTTTTTTAAAAGTAAATACACTTTTCTCAGCTGGGTAAATAAACATATTACAGCTGGTAAGTTTAGCATCTTTGTCAAAAAACTATTATATAAAACAGCCCTTAACCAACTAAAGGATATTTAAAAGGCATACCCAAGCAACCTTTTGTTAAAAGGAATGGATTACAGGAAAAATAAAGGGGTAACATACACTTCCATTTCATGTTGTGCTGAATGGGATATATCTAGTGTTTCTAGAAATCAGGTTTTTTTTCCCAAAGGCAGAGATTTTTTTCCCCCAAAGAATACAATGAGATCCCAAGAAAACAGGACCAATTAAGTGTGAATCTGGGAATTTTGTGGGGAAAAAAAAGAGAAGATTCAGTCATTAATTTATGTGCTTTTGCAATCACTTGATTAACATTTCACTTGATATTTGACCACAAATTCTATGAGAAAAGAGATATAGTACATGATCAGCAAGCACCTGAGAATAAATGGCATGGCATAATCTGAAAGTTCTCCTTGATAATTAGAGAAGGAATAATTAGCTTTGTCTTTGTGGCTCCAGAGGAGAAATGGGTGCAAGGCTCAGGAGGAGTTTGAGACTAACTGTGAGGTAGATCATTTCAATCATCAGTGCTGTTCAATTATTGATCTATGTGCCTTGGCAAGTGAAAGGATCCACCTCAGTAGGAGGCTTAGAGGCCAGAAAGCCATCAGATAGTCACGTTTGAGGGAAAGAAACAAATCTTGGATGATTCTGAATTCTGAGGAAATCCAGGAATGCAATGAGAACAGAACTAACTAAGGGGCTGTTTATTGCAGAGCAATGGTTCTCAAGTTTAGGCATGCATAAGAATCACCCGGAGGCTTGTAAAAATGAAAAGCCTGGACCCTACCCCAAGTTTCTGATGTAGTAGATTTAGAATGGAGAATCTACATTTTAACAAATTCACAGATATTACTGTTGCTGGTGGTTCAGGGACCACTCTTTGAGAACCACCACGGCAAAACAGCAATTCTCCAAAAGTGTGGTTCACATCCCCCGGGGAAAGAATATGTTCTTATGCAGTAGGTATCTAGAGCATTAAGTACTCATCAGGTCGTATGTTAAAAAATGTGCTCCCTTTTCATTTTCTGTTTTAGTTATTGTTGTTTATGTTGACTAAAAGGATTCAAATAGGTGCTAGTTTTTCTATGAAAACCCTCCTGTTATTTCCTAATCTCTCTTTTTAAAAGATGAATAGGTCTCAAGCTCACAAGTTTTTTTTTTTTTTTTTTTTTTTTTTTTTTTTTGCTGGAAACACTATTGTCTTAGTTGGGACCCCAAGAAGCAGATCTCATGATAAGGACTAAATGCACATTGTTAATTTGGCAGGTGCCAGTACACTGATAGGGGAATAATAATATAAAAAATGGAATAAGACACAGTCAATAAGATGTGTGTTATTAAGACACTGAAGCTTAATCTCACAGGGAAGCTTTGGGAAATGGTGTAAAACATATGCCTCAGAATTCTTCCAGACAAGGGGATAGGAAGGTGGGATGTGGATACTCCCGCACCCACAATTTGTTGGTTAGAGCTATCCACAGTGGAACTTGGATTCTCAGGCACCCCCAATTTATTGTGCTTGTGTGCAAAGGGGATTCCAGTAGACTGAGAGCAGCCCTCCAAAAATGTTTCAGGTCCATCATTGGAAGTCTGATGGCTTACAGAGAAATGGTCAGGGGATCTGCAGGGAAATGAAGCAACACCAACATTGTCTGTTCCAGCTATTTAGCTGAAATCTAATATGAATACACTGTTCTTGGTATATTGTATTTGTTTTTACAGTTTTCTTCTATTTCTTGCAATTGGTACTGGTTTTCGCTTTCATTTTTGTTTCTTTATAAAATAAATTTATTTAAGGAAAATTAATTGATCTAAAGAAAAATGTCACACAGTTAATGTTCCAGATGGTATGAAAAGGTGGCAAGAATCATGAAGGAGTAGAATTCAAATGGCTGAAGTTTGAGAAATGCAGGCATAATGGTTCAAGTGGGAGGTGGCACTTTTTTCTGTAAATGGCTATTTACCAAATATTTTAGGCTTTCAAGAGCATAAGGTCACTGTCACAACTACTCAACTCTGCTGTGTAGTATGAAAACAGCCATTAACAATACATAAATGATGGACATGGCTGTGTTCCAATAAAACTAAATACATGGACATAGAAATTTGAATTTTATGTAATTTACACTTGTCACAAAATATTATTCTCCTTTTGATTTTCTTGAACAATTAAAAAATGTAAACATCTTTTTTTTTGCTTGCAAGCCACACAAAAACAGGCAGTGGGCCAGATAGTTTGCCAACCCCTGATTCAAACCACAACCCTGGAATCTGTCCTAGTTCTATTAACTACCAATATGACCTTGGGCAAATTACTTGACTTCTCTTAGCCTCAGCAGCCTCATCTGTATAATGGAGATAAACATACCAAAAACCTCACAAGGTTGATGCAAAATTTAAAAATAGAAAATGAATACTCACAAAGCAGGTGCTCAATGAGTTCACAGTATGACATTAACCAGCTGTTGTAATAAGGTGGATTCCAGCTTTCCTGTGCCCCAATCATTGCAGGGTAGATATTTCCTACTCTGCTTCTTCACAAAGGCAGCTGTGTACCTAGTGGCCCATCTCCCCTACTTTGGGATGTGGCTACAGAAATTATTCCTCTTCTCTATAGGATAAGCCTCTGAAGACTGAGCCTGAAAATGCCCAAAGGTTCTTGTCATTACTGATTTCAGAGGTCTGGAATTGGGAGCAGGTCAAATCAAAATTTGCATTTCAGCTAAATTAACTCTTTACAACTAGTATTTTGAATCTTACAGAATTATGCTGTTGACAGCAGTGGTTCTCAAACATTAGTATATCTAAAAATCACATGGAAAACTGTAGATTCAGGCACTGCCACATTCAAAGCATTTTTGAATCATAAATGCCCCAGTGATTCTGATGAAAATGATTCCTGGAGAGCAGTTCAGGAGACACTGGAAGGATGGAGTGCAATCTGTCCAGGTGAGCATACCCTTCTGAAATCCTCTTTAATGATTTTTCTGTATCTGTTTAAATGCCTCATTGGCTGAGACACCTGGATTATAGTATTTGCTCTGCATGCCAAGAGAAAGGTTTCTGCAGGCATGTTTACCTCTGCTGTCCTCACTCTGTGCTATTTCTTCTGAACCTCCTGGATTAGGAAACCATTTATACAGAATTCTCCATTTCAGATATCATGTGCTAATGATCATATCCAATTAAACATGCCAGTGCAATCTCAAAAGACATAGGCTATTTACAGCCTCTTAGGTGAAAATTCTTAAGCAAAATCTACATTTTTCCTAGACTAATAAAATGTCACCTCCCCAAAGGCTGCTGTCTACAATCTCCTACCAAAAGTTTCTAAACCAACCCCTGGAGCAAAAAATAAAACTATACCCATAGATTTTAGAGGGGCCCATTTAACACAGAAGAAAGGGATCCTGGGGAAGAAGCAGAAGGAAAGCAATGGCACATTTTTATAACAGACCAAGAACCTAACCCTTCACGTGCATTACTTCATTCACCTTCACATCACGCTATCAGGAGGTTCTGCAATTATTCTCATTTCACAGATGAAGAAACTGAGGCATAGGAAAGAGGAGCTGCCCAAAGCAATTCCAGACCAGAGTCTAGAGTTTTAACTACTAAGTTATCCCACAAACAACAACAACAACAAAAAACCCAGATCTCAATGATCCCCTATCTCAGCTCTCCCAGCTTAATTTACTATTACTTATTTAGCTTCTCAAAGCTTCCAGAATGTCTACCAGCACTTGAAAGACAATATGTTTTTAACTAAGGCTCAATTTTGCTCTTGGCATCATGTGACTTTGAGCTCCTCCCTTTGCCCCAGGTTTATCGCTGTTCAGTGTGGTTAAGACATCCAGCCCACCTGTCTTATAGACCTGCTACCACTCATGAAGTTCAAATAAGATAACTTATGTGAAAGTCCTCTGAACAATGCAAAAAGTTATCCAAAATGGTAATTTCTCAGTCTGTCATTTTCATAAATTATTTTGAAATGTTGAGAAGGAAGAAAGAGTGCATTCATTTTATGAAATCATCTGTGTCAAAAATCAGATTTTCCAGAGATCTAAGGTAGATTGTAAAATACCAAAACTGCCGATCTTTGGGGGAGCAAAGAAACTCTACTACTTGGAAGGTGGACTATTTTTTGTGGCTCAATGTAATGGAAATTACCAGAGCTTGAGAATCAGATGACCTGGGCACTGGACATTGCCCTGCCACTACCTGAACTTTAGTGAGTCTTTCCCTCTCCCCTTACAGGGGAGACAAAGCTGCTTAGTGGTTAATAAGGTGGTTAGGGCCGGGGGTGGTGGCTCACGCCTGTAATCCCAGCACTTTGGGAGGCCGAGACTGGCAGATCACCTGAGCTCGGGAGTTCGAGACCAGCCTGGCCAACACGGTGAAATCCTGTCTCTACTAAAAGTACAAAAATTAGCTGGGCGTGGTGTTGCATGCCTGTAGTCCCAGCTACTCGGGCGGCTGAAGCAGAAGAATCGCTTGAACCCCGGAGGCGAAGGTTTCAGTGAGCTGAGATTGCACCACTGCACTCCAGCCTCGCTGACAGAGCGAGACTCCATCTCAGAAACAAAACAAAACAAAAGAAGAAGGTGGTTTGGGGATTCAGACTGCCAGTGTTAAGTCCCAGCCCAATTACCACCTCATGAGTGACCTTGGACTGGTCAGGTCACCTGTCTTGGTTTGTTTCCTCAGCATAAAAATAAGAATAAGAAACAACAACTTTGCAATTGTCCAAAGAATGGATTGGTGAATAGATAGACAGAAATATGACAAAGCAACTGTGGTAAAATGATAATTATAGAATCTTTTTGGTGACTATACGAGTGTTCACTATATAGTTCTTTCAACTTTTCCCTTAAGTATCTATTTTCATAATAAAATACTGGAAAATAAGCCTCAAAAAGGGCAACAACAGAGTTTTTAGAAAAGTTAAATGAGACACAGAGCTCTCAGCAATGCTCATGGAAGGTGCTTGGCAATAGCAATGATGATCTACTGTGCAGGTAGAAGATGGGATACAATCTGTGAGTTAGAGTCGTGCTAGGTGAACAGATGTGACAAACATGAGCAGAATGAGAAGCCAGGCCACATGACACAGAAACCAGGTGGACAAAGAGGAGCCAGGATGTGCCCACTGAAGCATCAGAGTCCAAGAGAGGTGCACGAATGGAAGGATCAGGATGTTGTGTCTGGGTTGCCCAATGTGCAGGAACCTCAAAAAGAAAGGCAGATTGTCTCTATTACAAGCCACAGTATGTGATTCTCCATCCAACATCCCTTTCAGAGCAGAAAAATACTGGTCTTGAAGTCAAATCTGAGTTTAAATCCTGTCTTTGCCATACTAGTTGTGTGATAGGAGGGGACATTTATTCAGGCATCCACTACACCACTTGCCATTGGAAAAATTTACCGCAACCACAAGGATGAGCCCGTGGCAACTATGCTTCTGCTATGAC
Organism: Homo sapiens; assembly: GCF_000001405.40. Classification (NCBI taxonomy): domain Eukaryota; kingdom Metazoa; phylum Chordata; class Mammalia; order Primates; family Hominidae; genus Homo; species Homo sapiens. Next base: position 148,648,743 of record NC_000005.10, read on the forward strand.
TTCTTGGTCATAAACAATTGAGCCAATCAGATTCTCTTTCTTGAGAGTCTGAACTAAGAGAACAGACTCCTGGGAATGTGTCAAACTAATGGCAGAGCAATGTGGAAAGGGTCATGGACTCCAGGAGCTGAGTTTTCTAGAATTGACTGTTTTCCCATCCTTCCTGGAGCCAAGTTCCTTAACTCCACTATAAAAGCACTATTGTTTTTTCAATAAATCCTAATTTTTTGTTTAAGTAGCCAGTGTTGGCTTTTATTATGTATAACCAATAAATACATTTACTAATACACCTAGCCTTCTAACTAATACAAAAGTTTTCTTAAAGTGTCTAGGCCTTAGTTTTCTCATCTGTAGATGAGAGAGACAATACTTCTCTCAGGAGTTGATAGAAAAATCAAAGACTAGGTGTGCAAAACATACATATGATAAATATTCAATAAACATTATTTAAATTAAATCTGAGTTTCAGAACAGATCTTTCTGAGTAAGTGCTTAGAGATACCTTGCTTGGATGGGGAATGTGTGATCATGAAAAAAAAAAAAGAAGCTAATATTCAAGAAGAAGGAAGGAGTTCATTGAATTTGAAATTTGGTTTTAAAAGAAACTTTCTGATTGAGATATCAAAAATTAAATTAATTCTACATAAATATGCAGACTTAAATTTCTGTTGGGTTTCTCCATAGTGCTAATGTGGATTTGAAAGGGGAAGAAATACAAACTCGATGGACAGATAATATATTTTTCTTAACTTAGACTCTTCAGAATTTATCTGGCAGTAGACAAGATATTAAAGGACTTTTGATTTGGATTACTCTGTAAGTAATGAGGAATTTTATCATCCAAATTAAGGTAGCAGTGGGGGTAGGTGGAGACAAGGAACATGACAAGATCTAAGACCAGAATTAATTCAACCTAGAAGTACAATTGCTGAGAAAAAGCAAAGGTTTTTCTGAAACTCAAAATAAGAGGCAAAGCTTAGATGCTTAGTAAGAATGTCAATTCATCCCTAGTAATTATTGACCTTTCAGTCTTGTTCCACTCATTGATTCTCATTAATCCAAATGTTTAGTTATCTTAAAATCAGATATATTTTCATTCTAAAAATCCAGGTGGCTGCATTGTGAGTTTCATTTTCGTTCTTTAGGTCTTAACCCAATAGTTCTCAAATAGTGGTCTCAAGACCAGGAACAACATCATCACCTGCGAACCTATTAGAAATGTAAATTCTCAGATCTCAACCTAGGTGAATCAGAAACTTTGGGAGTGAGGACCAGCAATTTGTGTTTTTTTTTTAAGTTTTAATTTGTAATTTTTGTGGGTACATAGTAGGGTACATGAGATGTTTTCATACAGGTATGCAATGTGTAATAATCACATCATGATCATGTAAAATGGGGTATTCATCCCCTCAGCCATTTATCCTTTGTGTTACAAACAATCCAATTATTCTGTTGCTCATGAAAGTTTGAGAAGCACTCTCTTAACCAATCATGAGGCTGGTGAAGCCAGTGCTCTATCATTTATTCACTGGCAGTTACCAAACCTGTGAACTTGTTGACATAGCACTTAAAAAAAAATAGTCAACCTTCTCAGACGTGCCTTAGATTTGCAAGCATATTAGTAATTGGTAAATGGTAAGGCAGTCATTCTTACTCAGACTATACTTAAGGCTAGCCCTATGAATAAGTCTATTTGGTAGCCATTTACATTGTATTTCCCTCTGTGCAAATCTGTACTACTTTCTACTGTCTCAATAGCATAAAAAAGTCAACAGCATGCAGAATGGAGGAATCAAAGGGCAAACCAAGAAGAATAAAGACAGAGTTTTTTTTAAAAAAAATGGTGACTTTAATTTTGACAAGAGAAGAAATTTTAGATTGATGGTAAGGAGAAGTTAATGGAAAAATAAAGGTATAATTCACTGTTCCTTCCTCCATCCTTCCTCTCCCCTGCACCTCCCCACTTTTCCATTACCCAACACTGCCACCACCCCTTTCACTCTGCATATGCCTTTGAGCTATTTCTGAATAACAGAGAGGGGGCAAAGTCATAAAAATGAGAGAAATCACATTTCAGCTGAACACAACTCACAACCTTATAGTATCTAGCCTGTTTTCTAGAGGCAGACTTGGATATACAACTGGGCTTGAGGATATCTAAGCTCTTTTCTACCCTGTAACACCAAGATCCCATTCATGCAAGGCACTATAATATGGAGGTTCAGAGCATGAACTCTGGAATCAGACAACACACAATTTCATCCTAGCTTCACTACTCCACAGCTGAGAGAACTTGGGCACATTACTTTACCTCTCTAAGGTTGAGTTACCGCATTGCTAAAATGAGAGTAACAGAAGTATCTCTTTCATAGGATTCTTAATGAAGATTAAATAAGATCATTCTCATTAAGCATTTAGAACAGTGTCTGGCACATATCAAGGTCTAGATTAATGTGGGCTATTAAGATTATTATTATATTGCCTTCCAAATGCTTCTCAACCTTCAGCAGCATGTTGAGCATTCCCAGGCATAGCAACAAGGCAGTGAAAAGCAAGAGGGATAAAGGTAAATGTGTGAGGATGGTAAAGTTGGAAGGGGGTGGGAAGGCAGCTAGCACCACAGCAATTCATCTATTTATTTAAAAACTTTGTTGTCAGATGTTGCTGTACAAGGTTACAGGACTCGTGCTTGAATTACAGCAGTGGTTTTCAACTGGAGTGGTAGGAGGAGGGGTACTTTGCCCACCCACCCCCCGGACATTTAGCAATGCCTAGAGAAATTTCTGGTTGTCCCAAGTAGGGGTTGCTGCTGGCATCTAATGAGTGCCAGAGATGCTGCTGAACATTCTATGATGCAGAGCACAGTCCTCACAACAACGAACCATCTAGCTCAAAATTCCAATAGTGCCAAGAAATCCTGAACTACTGCATGCTGTGAAGTTACCTTAATAATATTATTGAATATTATTGAATAATATTATTGAATAAAAATATTCAATAATAATATTGAATATTTTTCAATATTCAAAAAGGCAGTGATATGGAAGACTGAATTTTCATATCAACAAATTGATCAGTTAAATATCAGAAGGTAATCATAAGAAATTAGGTGAAATGTTTCTTGCTACAACCAAGAACATCAGTGGCAATCAGAGAATTCTAGCATTGAAAGAACCCTTGGAAATGATCTAGTGGCTAGATTCTAGCTGAAATCATTCATCACATTTCACAGGTGAAGAAACTAAGACTTAGAAAGGCAAAGAAACTTGATCTATGTCACTCAATGATGCTATAGTCATTATCCAGATTCTTCTAAAAAACTAATTTAACTTGTCAGACAGTGATAATATCAAAGGTGTTCAATTCATGTATTTGCTTTGCATTTTTTCAGTGATCATAGTCTATATCTATTCCTATCTCCAGAAATTCCCAAGTAAGGGTCTTACCTGATAACGTGGTAGCAGTGGGAATAAAAAGAAAAACAAAATAGATTTAAGAGGTATTGAGGGAAAAACAGATAAAACCTGCCTATAGATGAAAACTATGGCAGCTACTGATGAAGGAAGAGGAGGAATAAAAAGGTGACTTCAGTTCCCAGCCTGGGTGATGTAGAGGATGGTGGTGTTCAATAACAGGTGGAAAAATCAGGAAGCGTCTTGGGGTAGCAGGATGCTTATGTTGGGTTTCAGGTGCTGTCCTTTAGTCTGTGAAGTTGGGGAAGGAGATGAGGAGATGAACAGAATCAGGGAGGTCCAGAAGAGCAGGGTGAAAGAATATACATTTGATTTGTTGGCTTCAAGGATGCTTTTGCCCCTACAGGGAACAGCATCAGAACTGAAATCCAGATAACTCAGAGGAACCAGAGACACTACTGTCCTCTGGGCCCTGGGGCCTCCTTCTGCTCGATATGAACTGAACTAAATGCTCCCTGAAGCTCCTGCTAGCTTCAGTGAGCTACAGTTCTCCTGGCATTTAAATGATGACTGTGGCTCTCCTCTATAATAATAATTATAATAAGGATATTTCCCACAGGAGGGAATGATGCAAACGTAAGAGAGATTTTAAGATGAGAATGCAGGAGGAAAATAAACATGATTAAGAAATGACTTGCTAATGCTGCAAAACCTGTTTACTTTTTACTAATTTTTTTCCTGACACTTGTATATTTCCTAGGTGAGAGCTGCTCTTCAGAACTCTGCAGGTCTCATCCCTTCCCTGACTCTTTCCTTGTTTTCAGGGCACCGCATCCACCACCCACGTCCTTTTCCTTCAAAACCTGTGCTCACCAGGAGCACGCAGCAACATCTCCCTTGGTCACTGATGCTCAAGTTCCATTCCAGGGACAGGGTAAATATCCACTACTGCTCACCACAGTCACCCACAGCTTTAAGGGCCAGAGAATCCATCCCAGCGATGGAAGACAGGGAGGGCAAACTTGAACCAGTGTCCTTCCATCAAAAGCCTCCTTTGGTTCATGCCAAACCTATACCCTAAGAAACATTCTGTTTCTTCATTTGATTGGACCAAATGGAAATCAAGCCAAGATTTTCTCTTAACATTGAACTCTAGGAAGACAAGCTCATGCCTACCACTTTTTGACCTCTGCCAGCTGCCACTTCCTTGTACCAACATCCACTTCTTTCAAAGACAACTAACAGCACAGTGCCGCACAGGGTAGCAAGCTGTGAGGAAATGCATCTGAAATCGGGATTGGGATTCTGTGAAAGGCAACTGCAGGATGGTTGCGAGTACCGGCAGTGACCGCCAAGGCTTTATGCAGCACATCGTACCCACACACTCATGGCTACGTATACACACACATCAAAGTGGACGCTCAAGACACACTATCTTGTCTCTCTCTCTCTAACACACACACACACACACACACAGCACACTCTGGGCTGCACATCAAGGACCAGCCATAGAGTCCACACACACATCCAGTTACACACTTGGCTATGGATGCACAGCCTGTGCGCGCTCTCTCTTACACACACGCACACACACAAATCTTTACATACACAACCTCCCTTGTATAGTCAGTGAGCACACATGCAGTTTCACAAGTACTTACATACACAAGTGGAAAGCACCAGCCCCAAGCCTACAGTGATCCCACGCTGGAAACACGTTGTATACAACCAGCCAGCCCACCTACACCCTGAGCCGCCCCGAAGCCCACCCTGCCGCAAAGCCGGGTGTCCTGAGTCCAGAACCCCCAAGCCCCCGACCCCGTCGTGCTGCCCCGCCCCCGCCGCGTCCCCACCGGCACCCGTGGGCTCCTGGGGTCCCGACCCCCGGCGCACTTGCCGCACATACCCGCTGCCAGAGGCGAGGGAGCGAGGTGCCCTGGCAGATTCGAGCGGCCACCCCCAGCCGCTGAGCCGAGCTTCTGCTGCCGCCGCTGCCGCTGCGCTCCCAGCCGCTGCCTGCGCCCTCCCTGCCGCCCCCTCGGGTGCGGGCTCCAGCCCCCGCGCTGGGGAGCCGGCGAGCGTGAGGCGCGGGCCAGGGGCTGCGGGCGCAGGACCCCAGCCCCGGATCACCTGGGCTCGCCGCGCATCGTCCTTCTCCCCAACCGAGCCGGACTCCACGGGCTCAACAGCCCCCAGCCCCGGTGGTCCCCGCTGCCCTGCCCGCTGCCGCCCCCACTGGGCGCCAGGGACAGCGGGGGTGCCGCTCTGCCGGCAGGGCGCACAGGGGAGTGGGCACAGAGGCGGGCTGGAGCGATCTCACCCGTTCCGGGCTGGCCAGCACGCGCCCTCCCTGGCCGGAGCGCTGCTCATCTGATGGAGGGCAGGAAGGAGCCCTGGGCTGACTGCAGGCTCCTGGGTGACCTTGGACAAGTTGGTTAGCCTCTCTGAGTGCCCACTTCCTCTATTCAAATATAATAAACATGAAAGCGTTTGTGGCGTCTGTGCCAGGGAAATCCTATCCCTGTATAGTTTACTTCCTTCTTATGCCTCTGCCTCTGCCAGAGCAGGGAGAGTTTGGGTGCAGGGTTCAGAGTGAGCTTCGTAGCACCTTGGATATAAGACTCAAGTTTTCCAGAGACAATGATTCCATTTGCCTGAAGTCTTCCTAAATGATCCTGTCCATATTGATAGTCCACTATTTGCTGTCTTAGCCTGTCCTCCCAGCTTTGACCACCTGTGACCTTGAGCATGTAATTAAACAAGAGTCAAGCCTCAACGCTCCCGTCTGTAACACGGGCATAAACTCACAGTTGTGTGGTGCAGGTGTGCCACTTAGTGAGTTGCAGTACCTGTGAGGGACGGTGACAGAGTGAAAAATATTTTTCCTCAACACATGTGACAAAAGCCTCAAATTCCAAGGATAAAATAATTCAAGAGTTAGCCTAAGCATGTTGGGAAGGGCAGGAGCGAGCAGAGCCTTCCTTCACGGAGGCAGGCAGGGAGCAAAGGGGTAATGGGTGAATAATTCACCCCCTCAAGGGCCACTGAGGCCTCCTGGAACCTAAACAAAACAGAGAAGCTGTGGACAGTGATTAACTTCTGAAAGTAAATAAATCTGCAAAGACAATCTTAAAAATTATTAACTTAACGATTGTAAGCACATCTCAAGTGAACTGGAAATTTAAATTGACCAACTTATCCATGCTAGAAACCTTTGAGTTGGTCCCTTTTTTAGTTTCTCTCTGTTGACATGCCTTGTCTCTCATTTTCCCTCTATTTTGTTAGGTCCTTCCTTCTTCCTCATGGTCTATATTTCTTCCCCATCTTACTCTTACACTTTTTTCTCTCTTCTTTCCTTCTCCTCCCATCTGAGTCCCCATTCTGTGTATGTCTTCTTCACCATCTTTGTGCCAAGTTTTTGTCTCAACATCTCTCAGCCATTTCCACCTGTTAGTTCTTTCCTTGGTGTGTATGTCTTGAATATGTATTTATCTCATATCCCCTATGAAAAATTTAAAAGGAGAGGAGCTGTAGATTGTTTCTTTAATGACAATAAGATCTAAACTTGAATTTGCCACTACTCCCCTTCCCTAAACCAAACACCTCACTTAAATAAAGCCATTATCCTCACTCATGGATGCTCAGAGCCTGAATCATCTTTGACACCTCCACCTCTGTTCCCCTTCTCCCCACTTTCTACTCAAACATTTGCCAGTTCCTGGGGACTCTATTTCCACTCTGTCATTTGCATCTGTCCCTTCCTTCTTATTTCCACTGGGCCTAATTTTATATATATGTATGTATGTATGTGTATATATATATATATATATATATATATAGAGAGAGAGAGAGAGAGAGAGAGAGAGAGAGAGAGGTAATCATCAAAGATTGTCTAACTGGTCTTCTCTCCCTCCAGTCCATCCTCTTCATTGAGCTCAGCATGGTCTTCCTCAGGCAGATAGATCCCCAACAGCATCACTCTTTGCTCTAAAACCCTAATACCCATGAAAGGTAGAAAGCAGCTCCCCAAAGATATCCATGTCCTAATCCCAAGGACCTGTGGTTATGTTACCTTGCATGGCAAAAGGGACTTTGCAGATGTGATTAAGGATTCTGAGATGGGAAGATTATTGTGGATTATACAAATGGGTCCTTAAAATATTATTAAAAGTAAAAGAGAGAGGTAAAAGAGGAGGTCAAAGTGAGAGGACATAAGGACTCAACCAGCTGTCACTGGCTTTGAAGACAGAAGAAGGGGCCATAAGTCAAAGAATGCTGATGGTCTCTGGGAGCTGGGGAAGACAAAGAAACAGATTCTCCCCTAAAGCCTCCAGAAAGGAAGGCAGCTCCACAGACACCATGATATTAGCACAGTGAGATCTATGTTAGATTTCCAATCTAGAGAACTGTAAGATAATGAATTTGTGTTGTTTTAAGCCACCAAGTGGTAATTCGTTGCAGCAATGACAGTTAACTAATGCAATGCTTCTCTTTCACATATGGAGTTACACACAAATGCTTTATCTTGTTATTAACATCAATTTAGGTAGCCCAGACTTTCAGCCATCTTACTGTACCCAAACCTTCTATTTCAAGCAGTCTGTTCTTCAAACGCTTTCTTTTCTTTCCTGCTCTGTACCAGTGCTCACGATGCCCTCTCTTCCGGAATGACCCTCCACATGATGCCAGTCCTACCACTTGCCAATGCCCACGGACTCCCTGGAGTTGTTCCTGATCTCTCCCTTCTTTACTTCTGCAGAACCCTCTGTTTGTATTTCTCAAGGTGTATCTCATATTCTCATTTTAAATAGTGCTTTCTAGTGAGAGAGAAGGGAACAAGAAGACTTTACACACAGGTTGAAACTGCTTCTGGCTTGCTGCTCTCAGAATGCTGTGTTTATGCCTCTCCTGTGGCAGTGGCCACCACACTGTGTTGTTTGTGAGTTATTTATGGGTCTGCATGGCTCACTGGATTGTGAATGCCTCAAAGCTGGAAACTAGATCTTGCCTCCTTTCATATGCCCCCAGCCCCTAGAACCATGCCAGGCACACAGTAGGGACTCTATAAATGAGTTTTAAATATATGAATGAAGACAGCAGGTGCAATGTCTTGTTGTATTGAATAGACAAGGATATTAATTCATTTTTCTTGCACCATCTGTTTCTATTTAGTTGGGCTGACCAGTTGAAGCACCTCAGTTAATGCAATGTGGTTTTAAATGGGGCTGCCTTGATGCATACCTTGAAATGTAGACCATTTTTTTGTTTTTGTTTGTCTTGTTTTTTTGCTGAAGAAGAGCTACAATAAAAGGGCTCTTCATTTTTTTAATCAACTTTTTAAAGGGCTACTATTGTGAGTAAAATCATTATAAACGTGCAAAGTCTTTGGCCCAGCAATTCTATTTCTTGAAATGTATCCTAAGGGTAATAAGCTTATGCATTCAAGGATTTGCCTAAAAGAATGTTCACTGCCGGGCCTTTTATAAGAGTGGGTACTTGGAGGGAACTCAAATGTTTAATCATGAGAGATTCACCACTTAAACTATATTATCCCTCCCATGAGATATGCTCAGGTATTGAGCATGATTTTGTCAATTGATATTCATTGTATAAAAAGATGTTTGTGGATATGCTTATATTCTTTTTATGCTTGTCTGAACTTTCTAACTACCATACAATAGCCATATATTTAAAAGTTTCAATTATTTTTACAAAACTGTTTTGCCTCCAAAAGGCATCATATAAAACTTTCATATTTATCCAACTTTCAAGAAAACTCATCTACAGATGGGGTTCAGTTTTCTGATTATGATGAAAGAAGGGAAAAGTCACAAAACACTTGAAATTTAATCTGGGCATACTTTATTCTGTTAATTTATTCACTCTAGGAACATTTATTGTACCATCTTAATTAAGGCGTTTGAGAGCAAACAACAGAAACAGATTCTAGCTACCTTAAACAAAAGAAAATGATTGAAATAATATGAGAAACTCACAGAACCACTGAGATACCAGGAAGCAAGCTTGGAGAAGCAGGCACCAGGAGAGCTCTGGAGAACCATAAAGCAGAAAGCACAGCAACCGGTTCACAGACAAACTCAACCAAGATGCCACAGCATCACTCCTGACATGGTGAATGGCTTCCACAAGTTTTCCATCCTTGGGTGGGTCACTCTCCCAAATTCAGAGTCCCTGGAGAATACACTGGGTGGCCAAGGTTTGCTATGTGTCTTTTTTCTCCTTGTTCTGAGTCAGAGGATTGGAGGGAGAGGCCCTGGTCCCACCACTATGACTACACACAATGGGCAATATATTTTTCCAGTAAATTGATGATGCTGTTTGGAAGGTAACATGGAAGCTGGCAGCCTAAATGCCCCCTACATGTCCCTGTCCCTGCGATGTGCCAGAAACCTGTGCTGTTCCGGCCACAGGCTCAGTTTCCCTGCCAGGGACCCTGTACAACCAGCTCAGTGGAGCTACCAGGCCAGAAACACCACTCAAAGAGATGATGTTCTTTGATTCTATTATTTCACTTATAAACTTGAATGGTTGTCCACACCATACTTTGCTCAACTGGTACAAATATTCTGCTATGTACTTACTACGTTGCAGTCTGTCAAATGGCCTGGAGTGTGTCATCAGCACCACACCATGGAGATTATCTTAAAAGTCTCAAAGCTTGTTTTAAAACTATTGTATTTAGGGTGCCTTAGCTACAGAAAAGCGCTGTGTGGGGTGTGTGTGTGTGTGTGTGTGTGTGTGTGTGTGAGAGAGAGAGAGAGAGAGAGAGACAGTGAGTGAGAAAGAGAGAGAGAGAAAATAGAGAACAAAGAGAAAGGAACAAGGAAGATGGAAATTAAATTCCAAATTTAAATTGCTAAAATAAATCAATGCTTCTCTTGAATTCACAAACTTGAAGCCTGCATACCTTCCATCCACTTAAGAGCTGCTAAAAATTTAAACAGTTATACAAAGAGTTTTAATGCAGCTGCAAAGGCATGGAAACCAAACTGTGAATACCTTTCCCATAATAAAGCCAGGGTGACTGGCTTTATTTTAATAAACACCACAGAGTAAATAAGATCCTAGAGCAAGACACTGTGTCATATATGGGCACATGGGTCATTCACAGGCATCTCAGTTTACCTTATAGACAATCACTCTATCTCAGGAAGGAACTTCTAATAAAACCTCCTCCAAATAAAGTTGGAAATGGAGAAACATTTGCAATTTGTTGTTTGTAAGAGTCAAATCTACAGCAGAGGGCCATGTTTATCCTTATTTTGCTCTATGTTCTGAAGTGTATGATTATCTCCCAGTCTCCCAAACCCATATCAGATTAATGAGTGGGTCTTGTGCCTCAGACCTTTCTACTCAGCCTCTGGGGTGCTCAGGTTCTGGAACTTGCTTCCTCTCCCATCCCATCTCACAGCACTCTCCTCACCTGCTGTGCTGAAGCTATGCTGGGCTTTAGGTTTCTAGTCTTACACACAGCTCTTTCTTGTCTCAGGACCTTTGCATTTACAGTTTCCCAGACCTGAAATGCTTTCTCTTCTGTTTCAGCATAAATATCTCTTTTTTACAGGTCCAGGTTTCCCTGCTCCACTTATCCCTCACTCTGTTATTTTCAGTCTCAAGCCTCTGTTGATGTCACTCATAGCCCTTATCTCACTCTGTAAATAACTTATTGATGTGTTTTTCACTCACCCTGCCTCCTTCACTAAAATGTAAGCTGCTGGAAGTAAGAGATAATGCACTTCATAAGAACCTGGCTTAGGGTGGACACTCACTTGGTAAGAGGTGAATGGGTGGAAACATGAACACAGGGACAGTTGGATTTTCCCTTGAGCATCTGTCCTCTCCAGAGGGGTCACAGTTGCCCAGGAACCAAGGGTCCTTGGATGTCAAAGGAAACCGCTTCCATGTGAACTAAACGATGATCACTCATTTTTATGAGAGGAGATGGCTTGGGAAGAAGTAGACTCACATGCAGGAGGGGTTGTAAAGCAGAACAGGTGTTCAGACACAGTGACATCATATGTCTGTAACTAAAAAATGAATGTGGAGCCAGAGAAGGAGGAGAGAGGCTTCAGACTGTATCTAACTGGGAAACAGCTGCCCAGAAGTCAGCCTAGTTCAAAAGGAATTAACAGAATTGAGCAAGGGAACATAAGACCACATCAATTCAAAATAGGGCGTTCTTAATCACTTACTATCCGGCAAACTCCATATTAACCTGCTGTTTGAACACTGAAAAGCCGACCGTGTGAAGCAGCAGAGAACAGAGGCAGATAAAGGGTGGCAAAGCAGAGTTATCACAGTCCAGATAAGAGCCTCCTGGCCCCTTTCTGTGTTAGCTGGTCTTTGTCCTCCAGTCTTCCCGGTATTGTTTGGTTTAATCTATTTATGTTTGAGACTGCAGTTAACTAATTCATATTTTATTATCAATAAAAATCAAATAGATGAACATTCAGGGTACTGGAAAGGAAATCTAGAAAACAGTGTCCCGAGTCAGCTCTTTCGGGCAAGGGCAGCCAAAACAATGAAACAGACATCAAGAGTATGAAGGACTGGGAAAATCCTGACAACACTAAAATTTTATAATTTGTTTTTAGATTTATATGTAGTAAAATTTGCTGGTTTGGGTGTACAGATCTGTGAGTTTCGACCAAGCTATAGAGTTGTGAAACCACTGCCATGTTCAGGATACTGCAAAAGTGAAATTTAACATGGACAACTATACTTAGAGACACATTTTAAATAATATATTAATGGGGCATCTTTGAATGAGTTCCTACTCCATACTGTCCATCACCCCTTCCCCTTACAGGTTGATCCCATTCATACACCTAGAGGCTCTTGTCATGTAAGTAGGAAAGGAAGCCCTGAGGAGGAAGGGGCTACAGTGGGAAGAAAAGTAGGAGACAAGGAATGGCCTCTGGCCCCTGAAGATCCCTTAAACTGGTTTGAGCTCTACAGAGAAGGGGTTAGCAGCAAAAATCAATAGGAGTGTTCAAGAGGGGTTTAAGCACAAGACAAGATGCTGTGTTCTGGGCCTAATTAATAAAGCAGGGCTAGACTCAGGGAGGAGGACCTTTCCTTGACCCTGGAGAGGCAGGTCTTCATGTCATTTCCAGCTAGCCTCCTTGGCACAGACACTGGTGCTTTCATGATTGGCAGGGGCAACAGGATTCATCTCCAGGCAGCACTGCAGGCAGTGGAGATGGTCAGAGAAAAGAGGGACAAGGTGAGTGTGGCTGACATATTTGCATTTGTGGTGCATGTGGATCCCTTTGGGGTCTCCAACAGATAATAATAAGATGATTAGTGGATGATTAGAGCTATCACTTAATGTTTAAAAAAGGGCAACCAGGCTATCTAGGAGGTTGGCAAGTATTTGTTCCACAAACATTTTACTCATTTTCTATGTGGTGGCCCCTGTACTTAACCCTGCAGGATATGATGAATAAAAAGATAGGACTCCACTTTTCAAAGCACTCCAAGCCAAGTAAAGGAGATGGAGTTGGACCCAGATAATTTCAACTCACTGAGATCATTAATAAGGTAAGCATAGGCAGCAAGTGGAGTTCATTATTATTGTTATTATTACTGTCATTATTTTATTATTACATAAACATTTATGGAGCACATACTATTTGCTAGTCACTGTGATAAGCGTTTTATATGCATTATCTCAGTCGAGCCTCATAGCAAGTGTATGAAGGAGATTCTATTACTATTGCAATTTTACAAAGGAAAAGAAACAAAGCACAGAAAGACTAAGAAACTTGATATTGAGAAAACATGGCTAGAAAGGAGCAGAGCCAAGGTTGGAATTCAAGCTGTCTGACATTAAAGCTTTTGCCATGAGCAACTATGAAATAAAATGTCGTTAATAGTAACAACAATGTAAAAACAACATTAATGGTTGATTGCATTACACGTATTGAGCACTTAACTATCTCAGATTATTTGGACCACTATTATGCAGAGAGAAACAATACAATCAGGCTGGATTTCTGATGCATGAGAAGGTGGAATAGGGGCCAGAATATTACAGAGAAATAATTCAGTTTAGTATAAGACTGTTTCAACATTTGGGGCTGTCTAGCACTGCAGGTATCAAAGCACAGGCTAGATGCCATCTGCCAGGAATGCTGAAGCAAAAACCCCTGTTCCAGGTGTGAGATTCAACATCACTTTCTGCTGCTCCTCCAGCTTGTTGATTATCTGATGCTAAGATTTGAAAAGCTCAGTCTCTTTTGCCAACTCCTTCTCTGGCTAGCACTTAAATGTCAAAGCCCTCCCTCTTCTCCTCTCACTCCTTTCACTACAGTCCCCCTACCCCCATACTATTTCATCCACAAGCCTTGCTTAATTACCAATTGTATCCTAATAAGTCTCAAATTTTGCACTCCAGCCCAGAATTATTTTCTAAGCCCCAGATCTACCTTTTGGATATACAACATCCACGCTGCTGGTCTCAGGAGGACCTGGTCTAATTCACCCTGGATGATCATGGAAGAGAGGTCTCTAGAGGAAAGAAATAAATAAAAGGGGTAAATCAGTTTAACTGAGATCCTGAAAAACTTACAGAAATGGTAAAGGTATTTTGTGCTGGTTAGAAACAGAGAAACCATTTAAACTTCAGTGGCACAAGCTTGTGTCTTTGATGACCTAGAAGAAAAGTGTAACCACCTGGACCACCAAGGAACAGTATTTATAATGTCATAAAAATTTACATGTTGTTTTCTAATTTTAAACTTTTAGAATGAACCTGGATATTTGAAAAGACCTAACGAATGTAGCAGGACAGAATATATATTTCTCCATCTCAACATTATAAAAACAATGATACAACCGACATAATAATTGGGAAGTAGAGGTGAGAAAGTGTGATGAGTGGATAAAGAAACTTTGATGTCCTCATCATACAAAATAGGAGTCAAGAGATGTCTGTCTCCTGTGGTTAATGGAATGTACATTAAAATCAAAGTATAATTGTGCTATTTAAAGTTGCAGAGGTGACTAGAAGAGGAAATAATATGGGGAGTTCACTAAACAACAAATGAAGAAATATCTATGTAAGCATACTACATAGAAAGAGGGAGGTAATTTCCAGAAAAGTTGTAGTGAACACTGGTTTCATGTTCATGTTCATGTTCATGTTCATGTGCAGTAATCACATCTCCCCATCCAGACAATCTGTGTTGTAGGGAAGTTAAACTCATTGCCAGTGCTAGGGATCATCTTAATTGGCCTAAACCAATCAGTATATCCCATCCGCCTGGTCATAATGACTGAATCAGGCATAAGCAAGTGATCCAGCTGGGCTAATGATACACAAAGAGCCTTTGCTTAGGATTCTGGGAAGAAAACATTTTTGCCTTCCGTGAGAGTCCTCAGAAATAATGTTTCTCTCTTTCTTTGGACAGTGAGGTAGAAGGATTATATATCATGAAATGTTACAGCCATCTCTGCCATCCAAGAGACAGCCAGTAAAAACAACATGAGGAGAATGAGCCAGAGACTGTCTGAGAAAATGAAATCAAAGTCCTGATTATGTTGTCATAAATCAGATCAAACTGTACCTGAAGCTATAAACAACCCTTGAACTATTCAGTTATGTGAGGCAATATATTGTCTAATTGCCTACCCAATATTCTTCATGTCTTTCCATGAATAGTAAAACCTCGATTTTATTCAGTGGTAAATGACTACATTTGTAACTTCTCAGCCTTTGGCTGAGATCTGGCCAGTGAAATTTAAGCAGATGGGCGGTATGGAACTTTCAGGAAGACTCCTTCAAAGTTCCTGATATGGCTAGAGCATGCCATATTTATTCTGATTCCTTACTCATTCCTGTTCTGTAGAATGATGAGCTCCAACAGCAGGCATATTGAAAATTTGAAAATGGAAGTCATAAGGAAGAAGAAAACTATCAGCGCCTTTGTCCCTGATAGAGCTTAAATAGTAAAGATCGACTACATATCTTCAGGCTTCTGCTACCTGAGAAAACTAATGATGAAGTGTTCAAGCTACTATTAATTTGTATTTTCCATTATATACAATAAACCTACTTCTAACCAATACAGCTTTTTTTTTTTTTTTTTTTTGAGACGGAGTCTCGCTCCGTCACCCAGGCTGGAGTGCAGTGGCGCGATCTCGGCTCACTGCAAGCTACGCCTCCCGGGTTCACACCATTCTCCTGCCTCAGCCTCCCCAGCAGCTGGGACTACAGGTGCCTGCCACCACGCCCGGCTAATTTTTGTATTTTTAGTAGAGACAGGGTTTCACTGCGTTAGCCAGTATGGTCTGGATCTCCTGACCTTGTGATCCGCCCACCTCGGCCTCCCAAAGTGCTGGAATTACAGGCGTGAGCCACCGCATACGACCAGCTAATTTTTTATACTTTTCAAAATTAAACAGTCCTGATAGACAAACTCAAACAAAAAGATCTCTCTTCTAGAGATGGCTGATTCTTAGGTGGTAAACAGACATATGCCTTTTTGTCTTTTCTTATAAGCACTGTATTACTAGATTTTTTTAAAAATTGATGTAAAGAATAAAAAATGAAGAAAATACAATTAGGCATGGAGTAAGGAGTAAAACATCAAAACACATGGTTTGTGGATGGGTCCTTGCCTAACGGCAATGCTAAATTATGAAAGACATCACTGGAAAGCATTCTGTATAGTATACACACACATAAGCATATCTAAATGTGGTTGCATAGACTACTTAAATAAAATGAGGAAACTTTCACAAAATGTTACCAAGAGAAAAAGTGGAATGCCTAACAGCACATTTAATAGTATCCTATAGTAGAAATTCCTGTGGTTCTAGATTAAAAATCTATGAGAAATTTCACAAAACGTTAACAGTGGTTGTCTCTGAGGGGCAGAATCAGAGTTCATGCTTGCTTTTTAAAATTTATATTTTTCAGTATTTGCCAAATTCTCTACAGTGAATATGTCTTACTTTGTAATAAGAAAAAGTAAAATATGGGTTCTTTAAAATGTTTGCAAAAATATTTTCTAATTGAAAAAAGAATCCTGGGCCTTGACAACACAGCTACTTGGGAATAATAGTTGGCATCAGCTGTGTTGAGGAGAGACCAAAGTAGAGGATGTGACCACATCGGGGCTCAAAGCAAAGGAAAATGGAGCAGCCTGTTTCCAAGAGCAAATTGGGCTGGCCTCACAGTCCTTCCACGGCCACACTCTCAGAGCTCAGAGCAGTAGGTGTGGCCCAAGACCAAATCTTTTAAAGCAGAGAGTGTCTCCCACATACTCTAAACTTATGTGTCCATAGGTTCAGAACAACTCACCTCCAGGCACGACAGCTGGACTGCAGGCACACAAGTTTAGCTCTGGTTTCTTCCATTCTCCGTCTTGGAATGAACCCAGGAAAGTGAAGTAGGGAAAACGGAGAAGCATGTGAGAGGCGTACGAGGTGGCACATACTCAGGGCTAGTGCCCTTCTGCACACTCCGGTGATAACAAAGCCTGGCTTTGTGTGAACTTTATAGCTTTGAGTATCTTTCTGATCCAGAAGGCAGCCCGGGGCATAAAGTACCTTGAAGAGAGAAAATGGAAGAAGGTACAAGTTGATGTAGATAGTGTCATTTTGGTAACAGTAAATATAATAAATTCCAGATTAAGAATATAAGGTCAAGGAGATGCCTTTGAAATGAGTTAGCCAATCAGCTTTTAAAAACAGAGGAAAACAAAGTAGTGAACTTAGGGGGAAAAAACAAAGCAAAAATTAATCAGAAAGGTACATATTTACATTGCAAATTAATGGGAAATTTGATGCTCCTGAGCTTTTAGCCTTAAAAAATGAGGTTTAAGATTAATGATTTTAAACCTTTGGAGAGATATACACTGAAATTTCCAAAAGGGCAGAATTGCAGTAACAGATTCACACTAGTACATTAACAGACTAGATCTTTTTGTCTGCATTTGTTCCATGCAGTTTAAAATAGAGATGCTCTATGAGAAAAAAACTAATAATTGCCATTCTAGCCTCCAACTCTTTTTCCACTTAAGTACCTAAAGTATCTATTTCACACCATCTCCAAAGCTCAGACTTATTCCACTCTGCCATATTGTCTACTGCAGTAGGACCCATCAGATCAAGAGGTTCTGAAATCTTTTTTCAACATTCTGTTTCCTGCAAGCCTATTTCTCCTTCTTTTTCTAATAATAGTAGGAATAATTATAACGATAAGATAAAATGTAAAATATTTATCTGACTCATTGGGACAATACTCATATGCTCCTGGACATTTATTTTTTTTTTTTTTAATGAGTAAACCATCTAGCATTTCTGAGTAGCTTAAAGACAGCGTTGATCTCTTAATTTCTCTCAAATTTCTCAGCACCTGGGACAGCGTCTGACACATAGATGATACCCCTGTTACTATTCTAAGAGTAAGTGAATGAATTCATAAATTCTTCAAGCTCATTAAAGACAAATACACCCTGCTATCACTAATACGCCTTTCTCAAGAACCCTCATAAGTGATAGATCTATAAGAACCTAATATTGTTTATCAGAGGGACTGGAAGTTTGAGTATATAGAGGAGTAACACGCATTTTCACTTAACTTGCACAAGTTCAATTTCACATGTTTGTCAAAATATAGAGAAAATAATTCAAATACTAGGAGAAATTCTATCATCCATTTCATTCAGTAACCATATACCCTAGAGTTAGCATATGGGAGGCATAAATTTTATTTCCCAGTTTTCTTGTACTCCTCCCAAAGAAAGCCTCTCACTGTGCTAAGTGTGATTTTAGTGTCTCAGGTAATACACTTTTTATATGGCATTCTTCATAAATACAAACAAGCAATATCATGTGACAATCAACTAAAGAAGCAACAATCCATTCTAAGCTGTAAAAGAAATTGGCTGGGTTGGATTTATTCCGAAATGGCATAACGGTTTCCAATGCTGTCCTTATAAGGAAATGTGTTAATGCTATCATTTTTGTCCATGTTATTTTAACCTTTCAACTAATTTTTAAAATCAAGTCTAAGATGTAGCTACACTGTAAATATCTGAAGAGTTTGGGAGGAGGGATTTGCTCTGTATGGGGTGTGTCTGTCTGTGTCTGTGTGTGTGTGTGTGTGTGTATGTATGTACTGCATGTGTTGCCATGACAGGAATACAGCTCTAGGTGGAATGAAAACTTACCTTCAATCATAAAGCTTCACATTTGGCCACTTTCCTCTCCCTCTGTAGTTGAAAAAAAAATAGATTTTGCTATAATTTTAGAGGCCCCTGCTCCAGGGAAATCACTTTTCCGTTAAACGGTACACACATTTATTTCAAAGAGAAAATGAAATCTGAATTGAGGGCAAGGATAATTGAGGAGTAGGTCCATGATACTGTGGCTACCAGAGATAGGTGGATTCAGTGAGAGACAACCAGGGAGCCATACACAGGTATCTAAGTCTCAGGAAGTACTTGTGTATTCCATTATTCACAGGAATTGATGCTGTGCCAAGCATCTGAGTTATAAGCTACGTAACACTGGACAAACTACTTCCCCTCTACAGACTTCATCTCTAAAGTGGGCAGAACCATGATACCTACCTTGTAGAATTGTAGTAAAGATTAAATGAGATAGTAGAGGTAAGGTGCTAGGGCACATGATTAGACATGAACCCTCACTTAATAAACACTATTTATTAACACTTAGTCACTCATAAAATAAGGTGTGGGATTAGACAGTTCCTCCCAGTTTTGATATTCTAGCTCAGCAGTATTCAATAGAAATATGCATGCCATATATGCAATTGTAATTTTCTAATAAACACATCTTATAAAGTGAAAAGAAACAAGTGAGATTCATTTGAATAATGTATGTTATTTAATTCTATACAGAGAAAATATCATTTTAGCACATAATCAATAAAAATCATTAATGAGGTATTTTGTGCTCTTTTTCTTGCACTAAGTCTTTGCGGTTGAGTGTGGCCACACATACAGTACATTTCAAATTCAGACTAGCTGCTTTTCTTTATTTTATTTTATTTTATTTTATTATTATTATACTTTAAGTTTTAGGGTACATGTGCACAACATGCAGGTTTGTTACATATATATACATGTGCCATATTGGTGTGCTGCACCCATTAACTCTTCATTTAGCATTAGGTATATCTCCTAATGCTATCCCTCCCCACTCCCCCTACCCCACAACCGTCCCCAGTGTGTGATGTTCCCTTTCCTGTGTCCATGTGTTCTCATTGTTCAATTCCCACCTATGAGTGAGAACATGCGGTGTTTGGTTTTTTGTCCTTGCGATAGTTTGCTGAGAATGATGGTTTCCAGTTTCATCCATGTCCCTACAAAGGACATGAACTCATCATTTTTTATGGCCGCATAGTATTCCATGGTGTATATGTGCCACATTTTCTTAATCCAGTCTATCATTGGTGGACATTTGGGTTGGTTCCAAGTCTTTGCTATTGTGAATAGTGCCGCAAAAAACATACGTGTGCATGTGTCTTTATAGCAGCATGATTTATAATCCTTTGGGTATATACCCAGTAATGGGATGGCTGGGTCAAATGGTATTTCTAGTTCTAGATCCTGAGGAATCGCCACACCAACTTCCATAATGGTTGAACTAGTTTACACTCCCACCAACAGTGTAAAAGTGTTCCTAATTCTCCACCTCCTCTCCAGCACCTGTTGTTTCCTGACTTTTTAATGATTGCCATTCTAACTGGTGTGAGATGGTATCTCACTGTGGTTTTGATTTGCATTTCTCTGATGGCCGGTGATGATGAGCATTTTTTCATGTGTCTCTTGGCTGCATAAATGTCTTCTTTTGAGAAGTGTCTGTTCATATCCTTCACCCACTTTTTGATGGGTTTTTTTTTCTTGCAAATTTGTTTGCGTTCATTGTAGATTCTGGATATTAGCCCTTTGTCAGATGAGTAGGTTGCAAAAATTTTCTCCCATTCTGTAGGTTGCCTGCTCACTCTGATGGTAGTTTCTTTTGCTGTGCAGAAGCTCTTCAGTTTAATTAGATCCCATTTGTCAATTTTGGCTTTTCTTGCCATTGCTTTTCGTGTTTTAGAAATGAAGTCCTTGCCCATGCCTATGTCCTGAATGGTAATGCCTAGGTTTTCTTCTAGGGTTTTTATGATTTTAGGTCTAACATGTAAGTCTTTAATCCATCTTGAATTAATTTTTGTATAAGGTATAAGGAAGGGATCCAATTTCAGCTTTCTACATATGGCTAGCCAGTTTTCCCAGCACCATTTATTAAATAGGGAATCCTTTCCCATTGCTTGTTTTTGACAGGTTTGTCAAACATCAGATAGTTGTAGATATGCGGCATTATTTCTGAGGGCTCTGTTCTGTTCCATTGATCTATATCTCTGTTTTGGTACCAGTACCATGCTGTTTTGTTACTGTAGCCTTGTAGTATAGTTTGAAGTCAGGTAGCGTGATGCCTCCAGCTTTGTTCTTTTGGCTTAGGATTGACTTGGCAATGCGGGCTCTTTTTTGGTTCCATATGAACTTGAAAGTAGTTTTTTCCAATTCTGTGAAGAAAGTCATTGGCAGCTTGATGGGGATGGCATTGAATCTATAAATTACCTTGGGCAGTATGGCCATTTTCACGATATTGATTCTTCCTACCCATGAGCATAGAATGTTCTTCCATTTGTTTGTATCCTCTTTTATTTCATTGAGCAGTGGTTTGTAGTTCTCCTTGAAGAGGTCCTTCACATCCCTTGTAAGTTGGATTCCTAGGTATTTTATACTCTTTGAAGCAATTGTGAATGGGAGTTCACTCATGATTTGGCTCTCTGTTTGTCTGTTATTGGTGTATAAGAATGCTTGTGATTTTTGCACATTGATTTTGTATCCTGAGACATTGCTGAAGTTGCTTATCAGCTTAAGGAGATTTTGGGCGGAGACGATGGGATTTTCTAGATCTACAATCATGTCGTCTGCAAACAAGGACAATTTGACTTCCTCTTTTCCTAATTGAATGCCCTTTATTTCCTTCTCCTGCCTGATTGCCCTGGCCAGAACTTCCAACACTATGTTGAATAGGGGTGGTGAGAGAGGGCATCCCTGTCTTGTGCCAGTTTCCAAAGGGAATGCTTCCAGTTTTTGTCCATTCAGTATGATATTGGCTGTGGGTTTGTCATAGATAGCTCTTATTATTTTGAGATACGTCCCATCAATACCTAATTTATTGAGAGTTTTTAGCATGAAGCGCTGTTGAATTTTGTCAAAGGCCTTTTCTGCATTTATTGAGATAATCATGTGGTTTTTGTATTTGGTTCTGTTTATATGCTGGATTACATTTATTGATTTTCATATGTTGAACCAGCCTTGCATCCCAGGGATGAAGCCCACTTGATCATGGTGGATAAGCTTTTTGATGAGTTGTTGGATTCGGTTTGCCAGTATTTTATTAAGGATTTTTGCATCAATGTTCATCAAGGATATTGGTCTAAAATTCTCTTTTTTTGTAGTGCCTCTGCCAGGCTTTGGTATCAGGATGATGCAGACCTCATAAAATGAGTTAGGGAGGATTCCCTCTTTTTCTATTGATTGGAATAGTTTCAGAAGGAATGGTACCAGCTCCTCCTTGTACCTCTGGTAGAATTTGGCTGTTAATCCATCTGGTCCTGGACTTTTTTTGGTTGGTAAGCTATTAATTATTGCCTCAATTTCAGAGCCTGTTATTGGTCTATTCAGAGATTCAACTTCTTCCTGGTTTAGTCTTGGGAGGGTGTATGTGTCGAGGAATTTATCCATTTCTTCTAGATTTTCTAGTTTATTTGCGTAGAGGTGTTTATAGTGTTCTCTGATGGTAGTTTGTATTTCTGTGGGATCAGTGGTGATATCCCGTTTGTCATTTTTTATTGCGTCTATTTGATTCTTCTCTCTTTTCTTCTTTATTAGTCTTGCTAGCCGTCTATCAATTTTGTTGAACTTTTCAAAAAACCAGCTCCTGGATTCATTGATTTTTTGAAGGGTTTTTTGTGTCTCTATTTCCTTCAGTTCTGCTCTGATCTTAGTTATTTCTTGCCTTCTGCTAACTTTTGAATGTGTTTGCTCTTGCTTCTCTAGTTCTTTTAATTGTGATGTTAGGGTGTCAATTTTAGATCCTTCCTGCTTTCTCTTGTGGGCATTTAGTGCTATAAATTTCCCTCTACACACTCCTTTGAATGTGTCCCAGAGATTCTGGTATGTTGTGTCTTTGTTCCCATTGGTTTCAAAGAACATCTTTATTTCTGCCTTCATTTTGTTATGTACCCAGTAGTCATTCAGGAGCAGGTTGTTCAGTTTCCATGTAGTTGAGCGGTTTTGAGTGAGTTTTTTAATCCTGAGTTCTAGTTTGATTGCACTGTGGTCTGAGAGACAGTTTGTTATAATTTCCATTCTTTTACATTTGCTGAGGAGTGCTTTACTTCCAACTATGTGGTCAATTTTGGAATAGGTGTGGTGTGGTGCTGAAAAGAATGTATATTCTGTTGATTTGGGGTGGAGAGTTCTGTAGATGTCTATTAGGTCTGCTTGCTGCAGAGCTGACTTCAATTCCTGGATATCCTTGTTAACTTTCTGTCTCATTGATCTGTCTAATGTTGATATTGGGGTGTTAAAGTCTCCCATTATTATTATGTGGGAGTCTAAGTCTCTTTGTAGGTCACTAAGGACTTGTTTTATGAATCTTGGTGCTTCTGTATTGGGTGCATATATATTTAGGATAGTTAGTTCTTCCTGTTGAATTGATCCCTTTACCATGATGTAATGGCCTTCTTTGTCTCTTTTGATCTTTGTTGGTTTAAAGTCTGTTTTATCAGAGACTAGGATTGCAACCCCTGCCTTTTTTTGTTTTCCATTTGCTTGGTAGATCTTCCTCCATCCCTTTACTTTGAGCCTATGTGTGTCTCTGCACATGAGATGGGTCTCCTGAATACAGCACACTGATGGGTCTTGACTCTTTATCCAATTTGCCAGTCTGTGCCTTTTAATTGGAGCATTTAGCCCATTTACATTTAAGGTTAGTATTGTTATGTGTGAATTTGATCCTGTCATTATGATGTTAGCTGGTTATTTTGCTCGTTATTTGATGGAGTTTCTTCCTAGCCTTGATAGTCTTTACAATTTAGCATGTTTTTGCAGTGGCTAGTACTGATCGTTCCTTTCCATGTTTAGTGCTTCCTTCAGGAGCTCTTTCAGGGCAGGCCTGGTGGTGACAAAATCTCTCAGCATTTGCTTGTCTGTAAAGTATTTTATTTCTCCTTCACTTATGAAGCTTAGTTTGGCTGGATATGAAATTCTGGGTTGAAAATTCTTTTCTTTAAGAATGTTGAATATTGGCCCCCACTCTCTTCTGGCTTGTAGAGTTCCTGCTGAGATATCAGCTGTTAGTCTGATGGGCTTCCCTTTGTGGGTAACCTGACCTTTCTCTCTGGCTGCCTTTAACATTTTTTCCTTCATTTCAACTTTGGTGAATCTGACAATTAAGTGTCTTGGAGTTGCTCTTCTCGAGGAGTATCTTTGTGGCGTTCTCTGTATTTCCTGAATTTGAATGTTGGCCTGCCTTGCTAGATTGGGGAAGTTCTCCTGGATAATATCCTGCAGAGTGTTTTCCAACTTGTTCCATTCTCCCTGTCACTTTTAGGTACACCAATCAGACGTAGATTGGGGCTTTTCACATAGTCCCATATTTCTTGGAGGCTTTGTTCATTTCTTTTTATTCTTTTTTCTCTAAACTTCTCTTCATGCTTCATTTCATTCATTTCATCTTCCATCGCTGATACCCTTTCTTCCAGTTGATCGCATCGATTACTGAGGCTTGTGCATTCGTCACATAGTTCTTGTGCCATGGTTTTCAGCTCCATCAGGTCCTTTAAGGACTTCTCTGCATCACTTATTCTAGTTAGCCATTTGTCTAATTTTTTTTAAAGTTTTTAACTTCTTTGCCGTTGGTTCAAACTTCCTCCTTTAGTTTGGAGTAGTTTGATCTTCTGAAGCGTTCTTCTCTCAACTTGTCAAAGTCATTCTCCATCCAGCTTTGTTCTGTTGCTGTTAAGGGGATGTGTTCCTTTGGAGGAGGAGAGGCATTCTGATTTTTAGAGTTTCTGGTTTTTCTGCTGTTTTTTTCCCCATCTTACTGGTTTTATCTACCTTTGGTCTTTGATGATGGTGACATACAGATGGGTTTTTGGTGTGGATGTCCTTTCTGTTTGTTAGTTTTCCTTCTAACAGTCAGGACCCTCAGCTGCAGGTTTGTTGGAGTTTGCTGGAGGTCCACTCCAGACCCTGTTTGCCTGGGAATCAGCAGCGGTGGCTGCAGAACAGCGGATATTGGTGAACCGCAGATGCTGCTGCCTGATCGTTCCTCTGGAAGTTTTGTCTCAGAGGAGTATCTGGCCGTGTGAGGTGTCAGTCTGCCCCTACTGGGGGGTGCCTCCTAGTTAGGCTACTCGGGGGTCAGGGACCCACTTGAGGAGGCAGTCTGCTCGCTCTCAGATCTCAAGCTGCATGCTGGGAGAACCACTACTCTCTTCAAAACTGTCAGACAGGGACATTTAGGTCTGCAGAGGTTATTGCTGTCTTTTGTCTGTCTGTGCCCTGCCCCCAGAGGTGGAGCCTACAGAGGCAGGCAGGCCTCCTTGATCTGTGGTGGGCTCCACCCAGTTCAAGCTTCCTGGCTGCTTTGTTTACCTACTCAATCCTGGGCAATGGCGGGCGCCCCTCCCCCAGCCTCGCTGCTGCCTTGCAGCTTGATCTCAGACTGCTGTGCTAGCAATGAGTGAGGCTCCATGGGCATAGGACCCGCTGAGCCAGGTGCAGGATATAATCTCCTGGTGTGCTCTTTGTTAAGCCTGTTGGAAAAGCGCAGTATTAGGGTGGGAGTGACCCGATTTTCCAGGTGCTGTCTGTCAACCCTTTCTTTGACTAGGAAAGGGAATTCCCTGACCCCTTGCACTTCCCAGGTGAGGCAATGCCTCGCCCTGCTTTGGCTCATGCACGGTGCACTGCACCCACTGTCCTGCACCCACTGTCTGGCACTCCCCAGTGAGATGAACCCAGTACCTCAGTTGGAAATGCAGAAATCACCCATCTTCTGCGTCGCTCACACTGGGAGCTGTAGACTGGAGCTGTTCCTATTCGGCCATCTTGGCTCCACCCCCAGACTAGCTGCTTTTCTTGTGTTCAATAGCAGCCACACATGGTTGTTGGCTACCACATTGAACAGCACAGTTCTAGAATAATCAGTTTAGTTTTAAAGATTCAATTTGCTTTAGCTGAATAACTTTAAAAAATAATGCCAAAAGGCACTTGAAAGTTCAGCACTGAGATCTTGGGTGAGATATTTGGGCTAGAAATGGAGATGATGGAGCTATTTTTATTGTTAAGGACATGAGAATGGGTGGCCACCATCAAGCGTGATATCTTCCCTAGGGAGGCATCTTTGGGTTAAGCCTTTATTGTCCACCAAGGAGTTGTAGAAATATGTTACCTTGAATGGTTGGTTGCTATCATCACTTGGGTCTCTCTATGGACCTATGAGACAGTGAGAGAAATTACATTATACTTGTGTTCCTGACTACATCCCAGTTAATTAATAGTGACTCTAGTCTTATTTATAACAGTAACTTAAAGTTAATGGGCAATCAGAGTTGTAACAATCATTAAAATAAGGAATGTAAAGACAGTTTTATGCTAGTAGTTAAATCTGAAAGACACTAGAAATGAAGTGTGAAGCAAAGGAGGTGAATTGTATGTGTGTGTCTGTGTGTGTAACCAGTGACGCATGTAACCTGATAAGGAAGGAGTAGTTTAACTGTTGTTCCAAGAACCCAAAAAGATTCTGAGCATACACACCCTGTAGGAAAGGGAGATGAGAAGATAGAATTGCAGGGCAAGAATCTATAAGATATTAAAACTGTCACAGGTGGTACTTTAGGTTGATCTACCCCAGACCTGCTTTCCAAAAAACTTCCTCACAGCCTTGCAATAGTTCACCAAAACTAAATCCTTTTCGAGGCTGAACACAACAGTGAAAACTGTTCCTTCTCATTGTGTTCATCTATGACACCTAGTCTGTGGAAATGAGGATGACTGCACCTTTGAATCAATGTATTTCATGAGTGTAATGCAGAGATTAAGAGCTCAGACTTTAGTTCTGCCATACCTGGGCTTGGACACTGGCTCCCCCACTTACCGTGTGACCTGGAGCCCAACCTCTCCCAACCTCCACTTTCCTGTGAAGTGGAAACAGTTACCTCATTCACAGGAATGTTGCAAGGCTTAAGTGAGATGATGCATGCAAACCACCAGGCTCAGTGGCAGGCACCTCATTATTATGAGCATTTGTTGTAAACTCTCCCCCTGCAGATTTAGTTATGCAAAAGCAAGTTTTTAATGCGGTAGAAAATAATCAAGAGCAAGCATTTGGATGATTCCATACATTTTGCTCCTTATTATGCATTTAATTATTTTGGGTAGTTGGTGGAAAGAATCAATAAAAACGCCAACAAGAAAGGCAATTTTTAAAAATGTTAACATGTTTCAAACATAAAAATAGAAGGCGAAAATTCTATTCCAGTTTCACGAGGAAAATCTTTAAGGTAGCATTGTGATCCCACTGTGACACACTAGAATCTTCTGAGGCGGGAATTACATCGTCGGAAATTAAGTTCTGAGCCTCATTGAAGGGAGTGTAGCTATGAAAATAAGAACATACTGCCTTAATTATCAGATGGTCCTGGCACTGAGAAGCTGCTCCTGGGCTCCTTTCTCTAGACCATAGACCTCTAATTTGTAAAGGGAGAACGTTGTACTAAGATATCCGATTTCCTTCTGCTTCTCACACTATCAGATTCTATGTCTGTAGCAGAATTAGGTCCCAGTGATTCAATTAATGAGAATGTGACTTAATTAAAATAATTAGCTGTTGAGGCTCCTCCCCCATCCAAATGGGGAGGTCCTCCTTATAATTCTTGAGATAGCAGGATTTGAGGTCAAGAGGAAATGATGGGGTAATAAAAAGGACATGAGGATTTGAGGAGAGAGTTAAAGAGCAGAGAAACTGAAGGCAGCACCTGAAGTTGGAGAGGCAGGTGGGAAAAAAGCAGGAAAAGAGGGAATTTGAATGTTCCTGGAAATTATGTTGCACCTTCCTGTTGCTGAGACATACTTACGAAAGATTTGGGTTATTTTGAAATAGCTGTAGATTGCTAGACTGTGTTCTTTTGATGAAAACACCATTTCTGGACCAACCATGTGGACTACAGCATTATCATTATCCCTATTGGTTTCAGAGATGCCACTAAGCCACGTGGTCAAGCTTACTCCCTTTCAGACTGGTACATCTCTTCCCCCATAATCCTCACCCCGCACCCTAAGAAAATCTCTTACATGGGACTATTGGATGCATCCCAAAGGTGGCTATTTGACCCCTTTTACTTGGGAAAACCCAGGATGACAAATGTGTGGGAATTTTTTCTTCCACAGTTCACAGTTTTCTTTAGCTGGGCCCATATCCATCCTTCCCACATGGACATAAGCAGTGGACGACTGTGTATTTTACTTTTCTGAAGTTTAATTCCTCTCATTTTTTTTCTTTTGTGTTTTAAATCTCCTTTATGCTTTTGAATTGAAATAGGAAGATAATTGACCTAGATTGCTTTCCACTCTTCCCTCCCCTCTCTCATCTGCTGACTCGGGACAAACTTCAAACACAATTTAGGCACTGTCTCTACAGTTTCTAAAAGCTTTCCTGACCTCTTTCCTTAATTCCATAAAATCTGCGCAAAGCTCATCACCTCACTTATTGCACTGTATTAAAACGATGCATTCATGTGGCCACCTCTCCTTCATGGTAAGCACCGTATCTCCTTCACCTCCTTCTCCATAACACAGCACAGCCTCTGAAATGAAGCCAGTCTTCAGCAAGTGCTTTGATGAACAGTAAATTTTGAAGCAGCTCTTGAAGACTCCCTTGAGGTCCATTTTCTTTTGCTGAAGCCCAAAGAGGTGGGGAATATAGGGAAAGTCCTTCTCTAGGTTCCCATGGGAACTGAAATAAATGCAGCAACAATTAGAGGAGAAATGAATGCACTAAAAATATCATTTTACAAAGTAAAGGAATGTTACTATTTCAAGTGCTCAATTATACCTGCTGCCCTTTCTTTGCCATAGGAGAATGTTTAAAACAGCTTACAAAATTATGGTTCTTTGTTAATTAAAAAGCTTATTCACCAATCCTAATAATACTATATATATATAGATGTATGTGTATGTATATATACAGATATAAAATATCGTCTAGATCTATGATTTTCTTTCTTCCTTTTATTTATTCATTCAGCCAATCTTTACTGCATGCCAACAATAATGTGCTAGACACCATGCTAAGCTTCAGGGACACAACAGTGACTAAAAGAGCCAAGATAGTCTTTCTTCATGGAGTACACAGTCTAACAGGGTAAATAGACAACTTGAAAAGCAAGCAAACAAATAAATATAGTCTTACAAATTGTTCAAGTGACATGCAGGAACTAGCAAGGTGCTATTATGGAGACTAACGGAGGGGTCGTTGGGTTGGGCATCACTCAGTAAGAGGCACCTAATGTTAGACCCAGAGGAAGAGAAGGGACTGGTCTACAAAGAGCTGGAGGTAAACTGTTCCAGCCCAAAGGAAGTGCAGGTGCAACGACTTCAAGAAAAAGGGAATCAGGAGCTTGAAGAATGGAAAGAAGGCTCGTGTGGCTGCAGCAGAGCTGAACAGGAGGAGATTGACTATGTATGACAGAGAAAATTTAGATTTTGCTCAAAGGGCAATGGGAAGTCACTGAAGCATTTTAAGGAGGGATGTGCTATAATCCCATTTCAAAAGATCACTGCAGTTACTCCAAGATAACAGTTTTGGAAGGTGAATAAAAAACGTGAAAGCTAACTATGAGATTTTCAAGCAGTGAAGCAAGAGATGATAATGGTTTAAATAAGGATGGTGGTAGTAGAGACTGGACAATATGAATGTGGCTGAGAAATATTTTGAAAGCAGACACACCAAAATTTATTTGAAAATTTGAATTCTAGAATTCTATGACAGAATAAAAGCAAGCTCAACCCTATTTTATTCTGTGATAAAGTCAGTGTTTCAAATAAAGTTGAACTTGCTTTTTCAAGAAGGTAAAAAATATTGATTTTGAGGAAACTCTGAGAGACCTAAGCAGAACAACTAAAGAGATAGCTGGATGTTCACTTGCTCTCTCCCCTCTCCTTTCCTTTCTCCTTCTTTCCTCCCTCCACCACTTGCTTTCTCTTCTGCACACATCCTTGGGCCCTCCTCATTCTCAGGCAACCTCCACCTTGCTCTGTGGTGGGCTCTGTCTTCATCCTGTCTCTTTCCCATGTTGCCTACCCTTTGCTTATAACTGTCACTATGTATCTGGCTTCTGCCTCTCCTGCAAGCAAAAACAATGACTTTATCATAAAATAATGTCCTTCTATGGATTTCCTTCAACCCACCCTTCCAAACTACTCATGTGTTTATAACTACATGAACCATCCCCTGGGCTAATAAGTTGGGGTCAAACACATACCCTTCTCCACATACTTGCTAAGTCCTTACCAACCTTAGTTGGCCTTTCCCATCTCATTCTTCTCCACTATCTTTTATAATTAAACATAGGATTTCAGCTGCAGTGACATGGAATAGTGAGTGGCTTATTTTTGGACTAGGAAGGCTGCTGGAAAGTCTTTGGTGAATAAAATAAACAACAGCATTTCATTGCATAGTCATGAACTAATAAGAATGCATTTTTTTCTTCTTTTGAGACCCAGTCTCACTCTGTCACCCAGGCTGGAGTTCAGTGGTGTGATCTTGGCTCACTGCAACCTCCACCTCCTGAGTTGAAGCGATTCTTCTACCTCAGCCTCCAAAGTAGCTGAGACTACAGGCACGAGCCACCAGGCCCAGCTAATTTTTGTATTTTTAGTAGAGATGGGGTTTTGCTATATTGGCCAGGGTGGTCTCAAACTCCTGACCTCAAGTGATCTGCCTGCCTCGGCCTCCCAAAGTGCTGAGATTACAGGCATGAGCCACCGTGCCAGGCCAAGAATGCATTCTTAATTACTCCCTTCACACTTTCATCCTGATGCTAAGCATCATCCTGCTCTGTGTTGGCCTGTTAGAAGCAAACTCTTAGTTTTTTGTTTGAATAAGATACTGTTGTAGAGAGGATTAAATGGGGTGATACATATGAAGCATCTAATAGATGCTATTGCCTAGCATCTAATAGTTGCTCAATAAATAGTAGCTGTCCTG
This sequence comes from Homo sapiens, assembly GCF_000001405.40. Taxonomy (NCBI): domain Eukaryota; kingdom Metazoa; phylum Chordata; class Mammalia; order Primates; family Hominidae; genus Homo; species Homo sapiens. Next base: position 148,679,489 of record NC_000005.10, read on the forward strand.
AATTAAAAAGTCCTCTCCCTCTATCTGTTATCTGATTGGAGCTAACTCAAGGAAAAATATCCCCAAAAAGGATTCTTCCCCTTTAAAATAATATCATTGACATTTCACACCTTAGAACCTCTTAATCTTCAGCTGTTTTCAGTCAGAGACTCTTTAAAGGAGGCCGATCTTGTTTAAATATTGAAAAGCTAAGTTTCACAAAAACAGAATGATCATTAAACTAAGAATTATGAGTTGTAGTGTTCATTATGGTTTCCCAACTACAGGCATACAGTGATAAGTTGAATGTGAGAATGTGAGCCCTCAGAAAAATCTTAGAGATAATTTTTCTAGCTTTTTTTTTTCATTTTTTTAAATAGGAAATTAAGATCCAGAGAGAGAAAAGCAACTTGCCTAGGACTACGTAGAGAGTTTGTGGCTGAGCTGGGAAGGAACCAGGGTTTCCAACTTCCAGCACAGTGCTCTTCGGATTTCTTTCCCTTACTAGCAGGAGATTCCTTGTACAGGCTTGGAGCCAAATCTTCTTGCTTAGGTCTCTTTCCACATAAGACAGAGAAGGGAGATCCTCAGGGTGTAGAAAAATGCAAGGCACAGACAATACCTCCGTGATGGTTAATGTTGAGTGCCAACTTGACTGGATTGAAGGATGCAAAGTATTGTTCCTGCGTGTATCTGTGAGGGTGTTGCCAAAGGAGATTAACATTTGAGTCAGTGGACTGGGAGAGGCAAACCCACCCTGAATCTGGGTGGGAACCCTCTAATCTTAATTTTAGTCGGCTTTAATCAGCTGCCACTGTGGCTAGAATAAAGCAGGCAGAAGTTGCAAAGAGCAGACTTGCTGAGTCTTCCAGCCTTCAACTTTCTCCTTTGCAGGATGCTTCCTGCCCTCAAATATCAGACTCCAAGTTCTTTAGCTTTTGTGCTCTTGGACTTACACCAGTGGTTGGCCAGGAGCTCTCAGGCCTTTGACCACAGACTGAAGGCTACACAGTTGGCTTCCCTACTTTTGAGGCTTTGGGACTCAGACTGGCTTTCTTGCTCCTCAGCTTGTAGACAGCCTATTGTGAGACTTCATCTTGTGATTGTGTGAGTCAATACTCCTTAATAAACTCCCCTTTAAATACACATCTACCCTATTAGTTCTGTCCTTCTAGAGAACCCTGACGAATACAACCCCTCACTCATGCTAACTTCTCAGGTCTCAGAGAGAGGGCTAGAAACCAGTGCAAATGTGCTCATTGGTTACTGGCTTCCTGAATTAGTCCAGATCTGACATAAACCAAACGCCAATTTGCAGAATCAAGAGCAAGCAAAGGATGAGATAGGAATGGAGAAGGGAAGTCATACGAGTTTCCCATATTTGGCTTCTTTCAGGCAAGGATTGTATTTTTGTAATCTTGCATTTCCTAATACATATTTGTTGAATAAATGAATACATTCTCAGCCTTTCTCTGGCATTGCCCTTAAACAATATGTTAAATATATAGAGAGATTCTAAAGCCTGTCAGAGCATCAGATACAGTTAGATTAACCTGAATAATGCAAGACTAAAATTAAGAACTGAAAAATTAACCTGACCAAAAACTGTGCTTCAAATAAGTGAACCTAACGGACTTATGTTCCAGTTTATTTATCTTATCTAATGTAGTTTTCAAGTTCTGTATCTGTCTTAAAAGTCTTCTTATTTTGACAGTTTTTAAACAAAATATACATAACCACTCCAGTCATGAAGGGAAGACAGAGAGTAATCAAATGATTACACAAATAAATCTATACTTATAACTGTGGTGAGTAGAATGAAATACGTGAATTGTGAGCAAAAATGACATAATTAATAGAGGTCTAGCTTTCAGAACATGGGAGGTGATGGTCTCTCACAACTCACACTCTTCTCCAGATTTGAGTTTGGAGTTCAGTTCTAGTGCCTCCATTTTAAGACCCTAGCAAGAAATTCTCCTACTGCCTCCAGAGTTAGTCTGATTTTTAAAATGCCATTTTCTCACATGCTCTGCTTCTCTTCAGCACAAGAACAAAAACAAACAAGAGAAAACTAGATTTCTTTCATTCATTAAAGATTTTTGAGGTCTCTGCTATGTGTCAGGGATTTCGCTAGAGCTAGGGATACAGTCGATGAGAAATCAACCCATTTTCTGCTCTCCTGGGGTTAACAGTCTTGCAGGAGAGACAGACAGTAATCCCATGAGTGAACAAATTAAAGGTATAAACACAAATAATAAGTACCAAAACGTACAGAAAACTATGAAGAAATATAATGTAATTCCAATTAAAACTCTTAACGAGCTTTTCTGAGGACTGAAATTCACACTGATATTTAAAGAATATGTAATAATTAACAAAGCAGAGAGGGTGATGTCCCAGTACAAATACTAGAAAACCACTACCACTGGCCAGGTTGTTCCTGGCAAATTGTGTGACCTTTAAACTGTGAATTGGAGGGAATTGAGTATTCCAGAGTAATGAATTAAATTGCTAGGGCCAGCGAGCCAAATCCAGCCCTGCTGCCTGTTTTTGTACAGCTCATGAGATAAGATTGGTTTTTACTTTTTAAATGGCTTAAAGAAAGATCAAAAGCAGAATAATATTTCGTGACATATGAAAATTATGTGAAATATGAGAAAATTTCAGTGCCCATAAATAAAGTTTCATTGCAACACAGACGCAGCCACTTCTTTACATACTATAGCTCCCTTTGTGCTACAGCTGCAGAATTGAATTGCTGCAACACGGCTCTGCAAAGCCTAAAATATTTGCTATCTGCCCCTTTGCAGAAAAAGTTTACCAACCTCTGGATTATAAGAACGTGTTTCTTTTCAGAAGATAAAATTGTCAGTGTTGAGGTTGCTGCTTGAGGTAAGGGTTTAAATGTTTACAGTAGTGGAATTATATTGGTTCCAGGAAACATGCTTTCAGTGTTTGTAAAAGTGATTGGCCTGCTCTTTGGCCCCAGGTGTCCCTAAGAGATAACTGAGACTTGAGTACATGGCTTCTTTTCCATAGAATACAGCCATTTCCTGCGCCCCAACCCCCCCACAAGATGAGGCAGTCACTTTCAAGGGTGGGAGGATTTGAGTTTCAGTTGCAGTGGCCCATTTATTTAAAAAAAGAGAGAGGAAACAAAAAAAAAAAAAACAAAAACAGCCTATGGGACCTGTCATCTCCTGAGTTAGCAGCAGACACCTAGCATCTGATGACACCAAGGCTGCCAAGGCTTGTGATCCTCATTTCTCTTCTCCTGCTGCACAGACATAGGAAGGTTAAAAAAAGAGGTTGTATGGTTTGGCCTGCTAAAATTCTCTATACACCTCTCTTAGGGTCAGTGACTCAGAGAGACAGGGTGTAAGCAAATAAAAGCGTTTGTGCTTCGTTGCCTGCTTTCTCCATACTAACATGACAGCTTGTGGAAACAAGGTCAAGGAATTTAAAACAAAAGATACACCTACTGTATTCGTCTGTTTTACACTGTTATAAGGAGCTACCTGAGACTGGGTAATTTATAAAGGAAAGAGGCTGAATTGACTCACAGTTCCACATGGCTGGGGAGGCCTTAGAAAACTTACAATCATGGCAGAAGGCAAAGGGGAAGCAAGGCACTTCTTACATGGCAGCAGGAGAGAGGGGGAGAATGAGGGGGGATCTGCCAAACACTTTTAAACCATCAGATCTCATGAGAACTCACTCACTATCATAAGAACAGCAAGGAGGAAATCTGCCCCCATGATCCAATTACCTCCCACCAGGTCCCTCCCTTGACATGTGGGGATTACAATCTGTGATGAGATTTGGTGGGGACACAGAGCCAAACCATACAGCCTGCTTTGATCTTCCTTTTGGGAGGAACAATACAAAGAGGGGAACGGTATTCCAGGCAGAGAAACCAGTATGCTTGAACGTTCCAAAGAGAGAAAAATGTTGATATGTTCAAGAGCAGAATGAAGACTGGTGTGGCTGAAGCTCAGAGAGCAAAGGAGAGTGGTGGGGTCAGAGAGAGGCTGGAGTCAGATCATGCTGGGCCATGGTAGGATATTGAACATGTTAGGATGTTACCATCAGAAATTGCAGAAAAGTTTTAAGTTCTGGATTGATGCTGTTGGGAGGTGTGGCCCATCATGTTTTCCAAAACTAGCCACACCAAATATCCCATGCCATGTGCTCTTCTTTCAATGTGAACTAGATACTTCTTTGGGATACGGTGTCTTTTTCCCTCCCCTTCAATCTGGAAGGAGCATGATGACAAGTGACACTCATGACTTCCTAAGCTAGGTCATAAGAAGAGATGCAGCTTCTACCCTGTCCTTTTAAGATGCTTATTCTTGGAACTCAATCATCATACTGGGAAGAAGCAGAGAGATTATGTGGAAAGGCCACATGAGAGGTTCCAGCCAACAGCCCTCACTGAGGCCCCACTGGACAGAGGGCATTAACCCCCAGATGTATAAATGAGCAAGTGTTGAGATAATTCTAGCCCCCATCTGTTGAGTCGCCCCAAGAATTCCAGTGTTCCCAGCTAAAGTACCAAGCACTGAAGCAGAGGCAAGCTTCCACTGGTTTCCCAACCCACAGAGTCCATGAGTATAATAAAATTATTGGTAGTGTTTTATGCCACTAGTTTGCAAAGGCCAGAGAATTAGGGGGCACAGAAACAGATAACCAGAACAAGAGGCTCACAGCTCCAAAATTTAGGTTTACTGAAACCCATTCTTGTCTATTCACTTCCTTTAAAAAAAATTTTTTTTAGAATACCTACTGGTAATAGTTCCCTTTGTTATTTAACCTAACTCCACATAGGACTCTTTCAAGACCTTACCAGTGCCCCACTCCGGCACCCAGCTCCTCAACCAATTCTGCTGCAATGGTCTCAGCTCACATGTTCAATTCTTTTACAGAACCTATAAACTCAGAATGTTATCTGAGAAGGCATTTGAATAAGGCATTTTAAACAGAATTTGTAATTTTATCTTCCTTCTCTTCAGAGGTATAGGTCCTTTAAGGGAAGGGGCAAAACCCTGGCAAGCCAAAGTCACTGTTAGTATCTAGAGAAGATTAAAAAAGAAAGGAATATCACATGCAAATCTAGTTTTACTTGGTTGCAGAAAAACTTGGGAGAAATGAAAACCTGTTCACAAATTGTCACCTTTCTCACAAACTCCAGCATGATTCACAATTCAATCTGCATGCAAATTTGATCAGAACACTGCTTTCTTACTCATCATAACCTGTTTTCTTGGAAACAGATCCCTCCTGGGAGAGCAGGAAGTTTGACGTCAATTTTAAGGTTTCCCCAAGTACTGGCAGGGAATTGCTCTGTGGGTGCCTCCTACGAGTCACAGATTTCCTTGCCCACCACCTTATCAATACTTCTTGCCCTCAGACCATAAGGAGGAGGTTAAGAGAAGGCAAGAGGAAGGCAACAAATTGTCTCCATGCTTTGATTCTTGGCCTCCAGGTTTGAAGATTCTTCATTTGCAAAGAGGAACAAGTAGAGAGTGTGAGCCCTGGTGACTATCTTTTCCCACTGGAAGGGAATGATTACCCTCAAAGGGGAAATCACCTTACTCTGCTTTCAACAGGGTCCTCTGCTGCTCTTTTAAGCACTGTTTGATTTAAATGTAATAGCAAGCCTTCCAGATTGAATACTTTTCATTTCTAAGAGCAGATCAATTCCAGTTTACTTCTGAAATTCTGCTTTCATGAAATAACTTATTTTGTGTCTTATGGGATTGTAGCAGGCCTTATTGAGCTGTTGTCGATTGGTGAGGGATATATGTGAAAGGGTTTTGGAAAGCCTAAAAACCACGTTAAGGGAAGAAGAACCTAGCTGACTCTGTACCACTACTAACATTTTCGAGGACTCATCAGGGCCAGGCTACTATGCTACACTGTTCACAAAGGACTGTTGCTTGTTTAATTCTCCCAATTTTATAAGTTTATAATTTTATAACTAAAGTTTATAAGTTTATAATTAAACAGTTGCTTGTTTAATTCTCCCAATTTTAAAAGGGGAAACTTGTTCCCCTTTTAAAGATGAAGAAACTGAGGCTTGGAGACCTTCAGCAATCTTCAGAGAGTCATACAGCTGGGCAGTGGCAAAGCTGGGATCCAGTCCATGTTAAACAGCTCCAGAGCCAGCACTTAATAGAACCCACATTTGACTCTGATGTGAAGCCAAGCTTGAGAACTGATGGGTAAAGCCTTCCAGGCTTCATTCAGTTCTAATCAGGCAGCAGATCAGCCACACACAATACAGTTTTAAAGGATATCTTATCTTTGTTAATGAATGATAAGCACTGCCCACAATATTTGCAATTTCTCTTTTTGACTGTCTGGATATTGTTGTTTTAAAAAACCCTTGAAAAGTGCTTAGCAGCTAAAAATACTCGAGGGAGCTATGTAATGTAGTTTCTAATTTGAATTTGCTTAGAATGGAATGCACAGTGATCATGCTATCAAAAGTAGGGGCTGCCCAGGACTAAAGCTGGAAGGACAAGGTCATGATTATTACTCTGCCTGGATTTGTTGGGCAGCTTTGGGCAAAGCTCCTTTCCACTCTGGACGCTGCTTTCCCCATTTGTGAAATGAGTGAATGGTAGTCGGATAACAGCTTTTAAGCTTTATACCTCATAGATGGTTTTAGGGCCACCTCTAGGAGGTAGACAGAGGAGGAATAAGCCAAATTCAGGTTTACCTGTTCCCACAGAAAACAGAACACATCCACAGTTATTTTATATACTTGGGCTCTAATTACATTGTCAATTAAAAAAATAGCCAAATGTTGCTTTTGCCTAGCCACCATCCATTCACTCCTCTACATAGTCTTCTTTCTTCTTATAATGTTCCTCAATTTTTCTTTAAGAAACTACCTTCATTCCCACTTTCCATAGACCAGTGGGGATGTCAGTCAAGGGGCCCTAAATACTCTGGACCTAGCGGTGGTTCCATGACTCAAGTCAGAGCAAACAGATCCTCTGAGAACACAAGTTTAAAGTGTGGAAACCAAAAACAGAACAAAATTGGAGCAGATTCATCCCCCCAAAGGCACTTAAGAAGATTGGTGTGAAAGACTGAATTGTATCCCTGCCCAGCCCTAATTCATATGTTGAAATCCTAACTCCTAATGTAACTATATTTGGTGATAGGGCCTTTAAGTGGGTAATTAATGCCCAACAAGGCCATAAATGGGGGCCCTAATCCAATAGGACTAGTGTCCTTATAGGAAGAGAAAGGGACACTAGAAGTGAGCACACAGAGAAAAGGCCATGTGAGGATACAATGAGAAAGTGGCTGTCTACAATGCAAGAAAAGAGGCCTCACCACAAATCAACCCTGCCAGCTCCATGATCTTAGACTTCTAGCCTCCAGACTCTGAGAAAATAAATTTCTGTTGTTTCAGCCTCCCAGTGTGTGATATTCTGTTATGTCAGCCCAAGATGACTCAAAAATTGCCTAGTTTTGCTCCCCATATGTCCAGGCCAGCCTTCTCTAAGGCCTGGTATGTTAATTTTCTTTGGGATCTGTGAGTTACCCCAGATCTTCTCAAAAAATTCCTCATTGGCATACATTATGAAGAGTGGGTTTCTGTTGCTTAAAACCAAATAACCCAGCACAGTGCTTTTCCGGAGAAAAAAAAACAAAAACAAAAAACTGCAAAGTGGACAGATGCTAAAATCTCCTCCATCCTTTAAATCCAAGGATTTAAAGATGTTTGTCTACCATAGCAAACCTTCATATTTAGGCTGAAAGGAAAGAAAAAAATTCAAGCAATTTGTCATTTATTCTCAAGTTTTTAAATACTAAGTAGCTGAAAATCTGGGGAAGTTTGACTGAATTTTTCAGTCTTTATAGTTACTATAACAATGTGATTGTAAGGGGCCCTCCTGCCACTCTGGGTTGAATTCTGTGTCCCTGAAGCTCTAATATGTAGAGTGTATAGAGCAGGAGAATCTCAGACTAAGTCATGCCAGTATTCTCGAGATTCCACTCCATTCACCTTCTCTCTCAGCTGTGCTTCCAGGGTCCTCTATATGTTTCCAAATGCAACAAAATAAATGAATAAATCACACCGCCTACTGGCTGGGGGTCAACCTGCATGGCCCATTATAACTTCTGCTGACACCAACGTATAGTGCTTAAACAGCTCTTACCCACAAGCACCACATACTGGACTGTAGGGTGAACTGCACAACCCAACATAATTTCTGCAGACAGAAGTATACAGCACTAGTGCTTGGGAATAAGGTAAGGCTTCCAAGATCACCTCCAATCTCTGCAGGAGACAGTAAGCCTGCTCATACAAACAGTACACCACTATAATCCAGAAACAACTAGCATTTGAGAAAACCACTACACTAAGGCTGTCTATACCAAGGAGTTCATACAGGGCCTTGGCTCCTAAAAGCATATAGAAGTAAATCCAAAGGACCCTAACCAATATACACAACAGTCACACCCTCAAGGAGGAAAAAAATGCCATTCCAATGAAATTAAATTCAAAAATAAGAAGTGGCAGCTTCTCCAGATGAGAAATAATCAGCACAAGGACCCTGACACTATAAAAAACAGTGTCGCAATACTCCTCAAACGATCACACTAGCCCTCTAGCAATGGATCCTAATCAAATAGAAAACTCTGAAATTACAGATAAAGAATTCAAAATATAAATTGTAAATAAGCTCAGTGAGATCCAAGAGAAAGCTGAAAACCAACACAAAGAAATCAGAAAAACATTTCAGTATAGGAAAGACATAGACATCTAAAACAAACAAAAACAAAGAAACAGAACTTCTGAAAATGAAAATTTCACTGAAGGAGTTACAACATACAGTTGAAAGCTTTAAAGATAGAGTAGAACAGACAGAAAAAAATAATTTCAGAGGCTGAAGATAGGTCTTTTAAATTAACCCAGTCAGACAAAAGTAAAGAAAAAAAACAATAAAAAAAAAAGAAACAAGCCTCTGAGGAAAAAATGGAATTGTGTAAAGTTACCAAATCTATGAGATGCAGACATTCCTGAAGGAGAAGAAGACAAAGTAAAGAGCCTGGAAAACCTATCTGAGAAAATAATTCAGGAAAATTTCACTGGTCTTGCTAGAAATGTGGACATCCAGCTACAAGATCAGAGACCACCTGAGGAATCATTTGCTAGATAAACACCACCAAGGCATACAGTCTTCAGACTATCCAAAGTCAATACCAAGGAAAAAATCCTAAAAGCAGCAAAAGATAAGCATCTCATTACCTATAAAGGAAATTCCATCAGACTAACAATGGCCTTCTCAGCAGAAACCTTATAAGCCAGGAGAGATTTGGGGTCTATTTTTAGCATTCTTAAAAAAAAGTGCCAGCCAAGAATCTTATATCCTGCCAAACTAAGCTTTATATATGAAGAAGAAATAAAACCCTTCTCATACAAGCATGTACTACAGGAATTTCTCACCACTAGACCAGTTCTACAAGAAATGCACAAAAGAATTCTAAAATGAAAGCAAAAGAAAAATACTCATGATCCTAAAAGCACATGGAAGTACAAAGCTCATAAATCCTATAAAGCAATTACACAACTGAAACTACAAAGAAACTAGGTAACAACATTATGACAGGAACAAAAACATCACATATCAGTATAACTTTGAATGTAAATGGCCTAAATGCCCCATTTAAAGTATATAGACTGGCAAATTAAATTTAAAAACAAGACCCAACCATTTTCTGAGTACAAGAAATCCACCTAACCAGTAAAGATATTCACAGACTCAAAGTAAAAGGGTAGAAATAGATATGCCACACAAACAGAAAACACAAACAAGCAGGAGTAACTATATGTATATCAAATAAAACAGATTTTAAATCCATAGCAATATAAAAAAACACGAAAAGGTCATTGTATAATAATAAAGGGTTCAACTGAACAAAAAGACATAACTATTCTAAATATGTATGCACCCATCTCTGGAGCACACAGATTCATTTTAAAAAATATTACTAAACCTAAGAAAAGAGATCAACAGCAACACAATAATAGTGAGGGTCTTCAACACCCCACTGACAGAATTAGACAGATCACTGAGAAAGAAAATCGACAAAGAAACTCTGAACTTAAACTGGACTCCAGACCAAATGGACCTAGTAGACATTTACAGAATATTCTACCCACCAACTACAGAATATACATTTGTCTCATCTGAGTATGGAACCTTCTCCAAAATAGACCATTTGCTTGGCCACAAAGCAAATCTCAATAAATTTTAAAAAATCAAAATTATATCAGGTATCTTCTTGAACCACAGTGAAATAAAATTAGAAATCCATACCAAATGGAATTCTCAAAACCATACAAATACATGGAAATTAAACAACTTGCTCCTGAATGATCTTTTGGTAAACAATGAAATTAAGGTAGAAATAAAAATATTTTCTGAAGTAAATTAATATAGAGATACAATATACCAAAACCTCTGTAATACAACAAAAAGAGTGCTAAGAAGGAAGTTTATAGTGTTAAATGCCTACATCAAAAAGATAGGTCACAAATTAACATCCTATTGTCACACTTCAAAAAACTAGAAAATCAAGAATAAACCAAACCCAAAGGTAGCAGAAGAAAAGAAATAACAAAGACCAGAAAAGCAACAAATGATATTGAGACCCAAACAATAATACAAAGGATTAACGAAACAAAAAAATGCTTACTTCAAAAGATAAAATAAAATTTATACACACTACATAGATTAATCAAGGAATAAAGAGGAGACTCGAATAAGTACAATCAGAAATGATAAAGGTAAAATTACAACTGATACCACAGAAATGCAAAATATCATCAGAGTCTACTTTGGGTATCTCTACACACACAAACTAGAAAACCTACAGGAAATGGATGAATTCCTGGAAATGCACAATTTCCCAAGATTAAATCACGAAGAAGTAGAAATCTTGAACAAACCAATAATGAGTAGTGAAATTGAATAAGTAATATAAACCCCCTTTAAAAAAGCCCAGGACCAGATAGATTCACAGTGAAATTTTACTAGCATACAAAAAAGAGCTGGTACCAAAATTATTCCCAAAAAATTGAGGAGGAGAGATTCCTCCTTAACTCATTCTGTGAAACCAGTATCTCCCTGATACCAGAATCAGGTGAGGATACAGGCCAATATCCATGATGAATATAGATGCAAAAATCTTCAACAAAATACTAGCAAATTGAATCCAACAGCACATAAAAATGTGACCCATGATCAAATGGGTTTTATTCCAGGGATGCAAGGATGATTCAACACACATAAATCAATAAATAAATGTGATTCACCACAAAACAAAATTAAAAACAAAAGCTGTACAATTGTCACAATAGAAATGCAGAAAAAGCGTTCAATAAAATCCAACGTCCCTTCATGATAAAACTCCTCAGCAAACTAGACACTGAAGGAACTTACCTCAAAATAATAAAAGCCATATACAACAAACCCATAGCCAACATTATACTCAATGAAGAAACACTGAATGCATTTCCTTTAAGAACCAGAACAAGATAAAGATTCCCACTCTCATCACTCCTATTCAACATAATACTGGAAGTCCTAGCCAGAGCAATCAGGCAAGAAAAAGAAATAAAAGGCAATCAAATTGGAAAAAGAGGAAGTCAAATTACCTCTGTTCACTAACGACATAATCCTATACTTAGAAAACCCTAAAGACTCCTCCAAGACTCTGAGATTTGATAAATGACTTCAGTAAGGTTTTAGAATAAAAAGTCAACAGACAAAAATCAGTAGCATTTCTATGCACCAATAATGTTTAATCTGAGAACCAAATCAAGAACCACTTACAAAAGCCACACAAAAAATAAATTACCTAGGAAGACATTTAACCAAAGAGGTACAAGATCTCTACAAGAAGAACTACAAAACACTAATTAAATAAATCAGAGATGACACAAACAAATGGAAAAACATCACGCTTATGGAATTAAAAGAATCAAACTCATTAAAATGACCATATTGCCTAAAGCCATATACAGATTCAATGCAATTCCTATCAAATTACTAATGTTATTTTTCACAGAATTAAAAAAAAACTTAAAATGTATATAGAACCAAGAAAACATACTGAATAGCTAAAGCATTTCTGAACAAAACAAACAAAGCTAGAGGAATTATATTGCCTGACTTCAAATTATACTACAAGGCTATAGCAAGAAAAGAATATGGTACTTGTACAAAAAATAGACACATACAGCAATAGAACAGGATAGAGATCCCAGAAATAAAGCCATAGGCCTACCAGCAACTATCTTCAACAAAGTTGACAGAAACACGAAATTGGGAAAGGACCCTCTATTCAATAAATGGCTCTGGAAAAATTGGATAGCCATATGCTACAGAATGAAACTGGACCCCTATCTCTCATCACATACAAAAATTAACTCAACATGGATTAAAGCCTTAAATATAAGACCCGAAACAATAAATATCCTAGAAGACAACCTAGGGAAACTCTTCTGGATGTTAGCCTAGGCAAGGAATTTATGACAAAGGGCTCAAAAGCTAATGCAACAAAAAAATAGACAAATGGTACTTAATTAAACTAAAAAGCTTTTGCACAGCAAAATAAATAATCAACAAAGTAAAAAGACAACCTACAGAATGGGAGAAAATATTTGCAAACTATGCATCCAACAAAGGACTAATATCCTGAATCTGCAAGGAACTCAACTCAAGAAGAAAATAAACAGTAACTCCATTAAAAAGTGGGCAAGGACATGAACAGAAATTTTTCAAAAGAAGACATACAAATGACCAAGAAACATAAATTTCTCAACATCATTAATCAGAGAAATGCAAGGTAAAAATCACAGTGAGATACCATCTTACACCAGTCAAAATGGCTATTATTAAAAAGTAAAAAAAAAAAAAAACAGATGTTGGTAAGGATGTGAAGAAAAGAGAATGCTTATAAACTCTTGGTAGGAATGTAAATTAGTACAACCTTTATGCAAAATAGAATGGAGATTTCTCAATGAACTAAAAATAAAACTACCATTTTGCTGGGTACAGTGGCTCATGCCTGTAATCCCAACACTTTGGGAGGCCAAGGCGGTAGAATTGTTTAAGCTAAAGAGTTCAAGACCAGCCCGGGCAACATAGTGAGACCTCATCCCTATTAAAATTGTTTTAAAAATAACCAGGCATGGTGGCACATGCTTGTAGTCCTAGTTTCTCAGGGGGATGAAGTGGAAGGATCACTTCAGCTCAAGAGGTTGAGGCTGCAGTGAGCCCTGACCATGCTACTGCACTCCAGCCTGGGCGACAGAGCAAGACACTGTCTCAATAAATAAATAAATAAATAAATAAATAAATAAATAAATAAATCAAACTACCATTCAACCCAGCAGTCCCACTATTGGGTATCTACCCAAGGGAAAAGAAATAATCATATCAAAAAGATACTAGAACTTGTATGTTCATCACAGCACTATTCACAATAGCAGTCATGGCCTAAAGCTAAGTGTCCATCAACAGATGATTGGATAAAGAAAACGTGCTACAGGCCTGGCATAGTGGCTCATGCCTGTAATCCCATTGCTTTGGGAGGCCAAGGTAGGGGGATCACTTGAGGTCAGGAATTTGAGACCAGCCTGGCCAACATGGTCTCTACTAAAAATGCAAAAATTAGCCAGGCATGGTGGTGCACACCTGTAGTCCCAGCTACTCGGGAGGCTGAGGCAGGAGAATTGTTTGAACCTGGGAGGCAGAGGTTGCAGTGAGCCAAGATCACACCACTGCACTTCAGCCTGAGTAACAGAGGGAGACTGTATCTCAAAAAAAAAAAAAAGAAAGAAAATGTGGTACATATACATAATGGAATACTATGCAGACATAAAAATAATAAAATCATGTCTTTTGCAGCAATATGGATAAAGCTGGTGGCAATTATCCTATGTGAAATAGCTCAGAAACAGAAAATAAAATACCAAATGTTATTTATCAGATCTAGGAGCCTTGGAGCAGAGACTATGGTGTTTACTAGGTATAGAATCATGTCATATGCAAACGGAGATAGTTTGACTTCCCTTCTTCCTATTTGGATCCCTTTTATGTCTTTCTTTTGCCTGACTGTTTTGGTTAGGACTTCCAGTACTATGTGGAACAGGAGTGGTGACAGTGGGCATGTTTGTCTTCTTGCCCATTCAGTATAATGTTGACTGTGGGTTTGTCATAGATGGTTCTTATTATTTTCAGGTATGTTCCTTCAATTCCTAGTTTGTTGAGGGTTTTTAACACAAAGGATGTTGAATTTTATTGAAAGCCTTTTCTGCATCTATTGAGATGATTCTGTGGTTTTTCTTTTCAGTTCTGTTTACGCACACACAGATTTTGAAAACATAGCCAGGCCTTTTTGCATCTTTAACTTAGGGCCAAAAGGAGATGCCCTGAAGATGAAACCTTGTTTTCTCACACTCTGAGCTCCTGGAGTCATTTGTGCTGGGAAGGGTGATACTAAAAGGAGAGTTCTCAATATGGGCAAGAGAGGATTGGTTTGTGGGTTCCACAGACAGTAATAGGAACGTGAGCTCTAATTCCCAGAGCCACCCCTAAGGAAGAGCCAGGACCTTGGAGGGATGTCTTGGAGGGAAAGTTTAGTCTCGATAAAGATTCTCCCTTTAGGCTGAACATGTTAGGTACCTTGCTGCCCAACTAAGGAACCAGGCAAGTGTGGACAGAATGAGTATCAGTGGCCACTATGGAAGACTGAGGTAAGAGAATTTGTTATGTAGAGAAGGGAAAAGCTCCCCCAAAATGATGATTTGTTCTAGAGAAGGAAAAAGCTCCCCAAAAACAATGAGAATTAAATTTGCTGTCCTCCTGTCAGGATGACGACTTGGAGCCAGATTTCATTTCATTCACAGAAATAAACTGACATCTCTTTTACACTCAGGTGTGTGGAATGAGATTCATATGGACTAGCTACATGAGACAGATAATTCATATTTCTCATATTTTGCAAGTTTCAAGTGAAATTATTTGAGGCTAAAAACATACTACTTCCATATAAGTGGAAAACGTTAGTGAGCTGGGAAAGTGTAGATTGATATCATATTTGCTGGTTATCTCCCAAGGTGGAGCCTTGGCCATTGTTTCCTGTGGAAAATGTTGGGAAAAGAACAGGCTTTGCCTTCAGGATGCATTTTGGATCCTCCCTGCAGTACTGCCTTGTGCAAAGATCCTTTAGGGCCATTTTACTATCCTCATCACCATCATTGTTGTCATTGTCTCTGTTATCAACATGGTCATCATCATCATTGTTGTTATCATCATAACAGTTAGTGATTTATTGCAGACACTGTTCTAAGCACTTAAATGTATTATCCTATTTATTCCACACAACAACCCTCTGAACAAGCTCCTTTTATTATCCCCATTCTACAGATGGAAAACCAAATGCACTGAGATTAAGTAATTTGCAAAGTTAAGTGGCAAAGCAGCTTTCACTGATGTGGTAGGATCACTGGACCTCATAAAAATGCCATCATCACATATTTAAATATATTCTTACGAAAAATATGTTTAACTCCGAACAAAATGTAACACACCAATTTACATGTAATAAGACCTTAAAACTAATGTGAAAAACAAACAATTAAGTTCTAAATGGTAGGATTATAGCACATATGCCACTAACCAGTGATTACCTAATCCATAGGGTCAACATAGGCCATGGCCAAGTTTTTTATAAGTCCCTATTTTTGTATGTCATCTTATGGAATTAAACCTTTCCATGGTACTTTTCTGCCTTCTTTTTTAATAGTATTTTTAAAAAAATTTATTATAATAGACCATATCAAATGTGGAGTGTTACTTGGAAGTTGATAAGAAATATACTTTATTATTTTTTCTGATTATATAAGTAAGATTAGATCATTGTTTAAAATTAAAACATAATAGGCCTACATTTCCCAAAAATTTAATGTGTCTGACATCTCTCACACTGGAAAGACAAATATAACTAACAATTTAGTGCACCTACTCCTCAATATACTTTTTTCTCCATACATATACTCCTGCTAACAAATTTATAATAGCAATACATGTACCTGAATATACGTAAACATTTCCTTGCAAGGTGAAATTATGCAATATATAACATTTATCACTTTTCTTCAATTAACAATATAGTTAGGATTCTTTCCATGGCAGTACATATAAACCTGTCTGATTACTTTTTAATAAAAATAGTATATCCTTATGGTTAAACAAATTTCATATATAAAGATATATGATTAAAAGTAAAAATGTCTCATACTGTTGCAGAAGTATATTCCCAGAACTAACTACTGTATCCCTTTGAATATTTGAAGCATATGAGAGCATATCTTATTTCTACTTTTTATTAGTCTTAACCAAGATTAGTTATTGTGCTCTCAATTTCTTCTCTTTCCTCTCCCCATGTGGTTATCTCAACTATCAACCACAGATCATCTAGTTTGATTTCTAAGGCATCCCCTGTGTAAAAGAGTGGCTAGAAATAGAGAGTCTGGCAAAAGATTTCTATTTCTTAAAGAGCCAGACTTTTTGTCTTTTAAATCTTTTTTAAAGCTACAAATAACAGACAGTGCTTAAAAGAATATACAGGCTACTAAGCAAAACACAAATATTTTTTAGTGTGATACAGTTTTAAAAATAGGCCATAAACAACTTTCTTCAACAAACCCCACCTACTTATTCTCAATGATGATCCCAATTCCAATTTTCATGCTCACAAACCAGCAAGGGAACAGACTTTCTAAGCCTGTTTATTTAACACATCTCTCATTTATCACATGGCATCTCTGCTAGTCCCAGTTATCCAAGCCAAAAGTAATTCAGAAACCTAAATAGCTGCTAATGACCAATGGAATTATGAGACAAATATTTTAAACACAACTTTGATTACATATCTAGTCTTCTCTGTATTCTCTACAACCACTCCTTGTCTGTTGAGGAATCTTGATCATGTCAAGAGCTTAGCTCAAAACCACACTGCAATAAGCCCCATTTAACACTACAGTTATTTGTTTGGTCATGCAGTATTTCCCCTAAAAGGAACTCACTCAAATGCCACAGAGGAGTATGCACTTCTGTAGGTAACGGGGAGTTAGAAACTTTCAAGCAAGGAAATGGCACACATTGGTCTGCCCTTTGGAAAGATGTTTTTAGCTGGTTTAGGAAGAGGTAATAAAGTGACTGAAAGCTAGAGGTGATGCCCAAACCCATGGTTCAAGCAATACATAATAGAAGTTCAAACCAGGGAAGTCCCAGTGGGACGAAGAGGGCTGGGTAGATCCAGGGAGATAAAATCAATAGGATTTACTGACATTACGGTAGGTAAGAGAAAGAGAAGGGTCAAAAACAACCTCCATGTTTGTGGCTTTTTGTAATAGCAGAGAGATAATATAAATACAGACACCTGGGAATGAAGTTCTAATGCAGGGGGAGGAGTACTCTTGAGGGTGAGAATGGGCAATAAGGAGTTCCATTCAGCAAAGTTGAGGCTGGCATGTTTACTTGGTATCCACCATTTCAAGTATAAAGGGAACAAAAAGAATAACCCCTCACAGCAGTCAGGACTATGGTAGGAAAAGCATTAATGTCAAAGCATGAGCTTATATGAGAGATGTTGCTGAGATATAAAGAAACATAGGGAACTCTCCACAATTTTAGTCCCCAGGGTCACAAAACTCATTTTTACCCCAACTTGTTTCTTATACTCAGCAAAGAAGCTGACAGTGAAATCCATTAGCTTAGTCCAGAGGGACTCCCAGGGCTACTAAACTTCATCTCCTTACAGATATTCCAACGATGCCAGGGACAAAGGCTTCCCCTTCTGAAAGGAAACCTAAGAGCCAGCTTTCTCCCTCTGCCTTCCAGATGGCATTACACATGTCGATTAGAAATGTTCAGGAAGTGCTTTCTCTTTGCAACCAAGAGAAACATTTTCCTTCTTTGGAGCTTGCTCCCACTTTCTTTCCTTCCTTAAATGGAATCTGATGTGTTTTTTCCCAAATTATCCATGACTGATCCCTTGCACTGTTTGTGCTCTTGGTAGATACTCTGCAGTAGGAAGATAAGGATGGGGCTGAGTGACGTATATTTCTCTACTGGTTTCCTTAGCAATGCCTCAGCAAGCCTCCAGCTCCCCTACAAACCTCCTTCTGAGTCAGCCTGTTTCGGCTATAGTCCAGGCTCTGCCAGCACATCACTGTTAAAACAGTAATAACTTTTTTTCCTCCACGGCACTTTACAATGTATGACAATCTTTCGCAGTCTTTATTTCATTTTATTTTTATAGCATGATCTCACAGAGAAGATATTATCAATATCAGCATTTTATAGGTAAATAAATTGAAACTCACAAACGTTTAATAACTTGCCTAAATTTCATAGCAATAAGTCAATGGTCAGAAAAAGGAGCTCATGGAGTTTGTTCCTCTGGCAATAGTGGCCACTGAGTCACAACGAGACTTTCCCATATGCTCTGAAGACTTCAGTTAGGGGTTACTCCATCCAATGATGAAATAGGGGGAAGATCTTCCTGGTAAATTAAGATATGCTTAAGATTTATTGACATAAAGTTCAGTTCATGAACAGTGATAATAAAAATATTCTTAATTCAGCCACTAGCTTCTCCCAGGGAGCATTAGTGGTTAAAATACAATAGTTTTTATAGTGTCTATCATATAATAGTTGTACTATGAATTCATCACAGGTGTGCCCTACGATCGACCAATGTATAAAATTCATTTTGTCTTAACCGTTGATACATACAACTGTTCCACGGTGTTCACTATAAAACACTTATGGCAAAGTTTGTTAGGTATAGCACTGAGTTGAGTGGATCATCAAAATGCTGTAGAGTTGGTATAATTTATTTTGAATAATTGATATAGATTAATATCAAGCTGGCATCTAAGAAAGAGTACACATCTCCTGCACATGGCCATATGTATGTATGTATAACAGGGGTTGCACAGGGCAGTCAGAGCTTTCCTCAAGGAGCCCCACAGTGCTGATGGATTATACATTTTTATAGCATACAACTATAGATGTTTCTATAGAATCTTCAAGATACCTGTGTATGAGATTAGTATTTGCATTGTAATTATCTTTTCCTGTTCTTGAATCTCTTACTGTCTTGAGGGGAACTCTAAATTTCTAGTGTATGAATGTGAACTACGCACAGAAAGAACCTGAGATATCTTGTTCTAATTTCTATTTCTGACAAAATAAAAATTAATATTTAAGATATTTGATTTCAAAAAGTTTTTTAAAGGCTACTGAAAAAGAATTAAAAGGGCATAGAGTTAGACTGTCCATCTAAATTTAAGACTCTATCTGTAAGAAGATATTTCATCTACCCCACTTGACCCATTGACACAAGGCAGTCTGACTTTTCTATCGCACACTACTCTATTTCTAAAAATATTATTCTAGAGTCTTATTTAGGATTAGTATAAGTGGACTTCAGTTCACAGAGTCCCCCTTTCTTTTGTGGGCAGAAGATCACAAGCTTCTACGTGTATCAGTCCATCCAATACCTCCTGAAGCTCCACATTCTTAGTATTTTCCTTTATATTAATTAATAGTCTGCCTTATTATAGCTTTCAGAAGACACAATTAAGCAAAAATGATTGAGAGAATCTTGGGTTTTGAAGCTAGATAGCTTAATTTAAATACCAGCTGTGCCACTTCCTGTTTCTGCAACTTTAGATGAATTACTTAACGCTTTGGGGTGTCAGCATCCCAATCAATAAACAAGGGAGAAAAATAATAATAATACCCACCTCGTCTGACTGTGATAAGGATTCCTTGAAATAACACATATAATGTTCTTATGGCACAGTGTTTGTCACATAGCAGTTATATCATTAACTGTAACTACTATTGATATTCTATACACTAGTCTTATCAGACATGGTCTTATGGAGAAATGTGAAATAGATGAGTGAGCTCTTTCACATGTGAGCCTTTTCCTGTATTGGGAAACTGCTCTCAATGACATCCATGTGTTCTCTTAAGTTAACTAAGCACAAGTAATATTTTAAAGACGAGTGTATTAGTCTGTTTTCACGCTGCTGATAAAGACATACCCGAGACTGGGAAGAAAGAGGTTTAACTGGACTTACAGTTCCACATGGCTGGAGAGGCCTCAGAAAGGCATTTCTTACATCGTGGCAGCAAGAGAAAAATGAGGAGAAAGCAAAAGCGGAAACCCCTGATAAACCCAACAGATTTCATGAGACTTATTCACTACCGTGAAAATAGCATGGGAAAGACTGGCCCCTATGACTCAATTACCTCCCCCTGGGTCCCTCCCACAATACATGGGAATTCTGGGAGATACAATTCAAGTTGAGATTGGGTGGGGACACAGCCAAACCATATCAACAAGACAATCCACTCCTGTCCCCACAAAGTTAATTAAAAGGTAACAATGCCCACCGCTTATACAAGTGATAAGATTTGGGCTCTAAATAAGTCTGTAAGAGACTTACAAAAGGTGGCATAGCATAGCAGTGGAGCAAATAGCCAGCTAGGATTCCTAAGAAATAGATTTTACTTGTTCTGTGCTCTTGGGTAAGTCATTTGACTACTACAATATCTTCAATTGCAGAAAGGAGGAAATGGGACAAATGTCACAACACTATTGTGACAATTAAGGAGATACACAAAAAATACTATGAGGAGGACAGTGTTCAGCACATATAGGCATTCGATTAGTATGGGTTGATTTTATTTCTAGGCCCCAGACATTCTGACACCCAATTAGTATTTTCACTTGAGATAGTTAGCTATAGCCTTTCAGATGATGGTTATGATGGCTTCTTCGACTAGTCCCTCTGCTTCCAGTCCATCCCTGAAGATCACATGCTCAGAAGTTAAGAGAAGGATATTAAAAGAATAATAATTATATGTCAAAATCTATAGGAAATGGTTAAAACAATATTTGGAAAAAAATTTAGAGCTTTACTTGTCTTTATTCTTAATAAAATAAAAGAACATTCACTATGTTCCCACATCATATAAGATAAGAAAATTAGTTTTTGAAAAACTACAGAAGAATTGGAAACTATAAACATGATAAAATAAACAAGGTGATTACATAACAGAGAAAACTAAAACAAGTAATTAATATAACCAAAGATTACTACTTGAAAAAGACTAAGAAATGTCCAAAAAACAGCAAAATCTAATTTAAAAAACTAATAAAAATATAAATAAGACAGAAAATAGAGCAACAGGATAATAGAAAAATTGTACGAAGAAACATTTGGCACAGTTAAATGCTAATATATTTTAAATTCTGTGTGAAATATATTATTTTCTCAAAGCAAGGGAATTAACATTTACTAGCTACTGACTTTGTCTCAGTGCTGAGTGCTTTATACACATCCTTTTTTTGTTGGTATAATAAGCCATTTTATAAATATTTTTCCTCCTTTTATAGCAGAAACTGAAGCTTACAGAGATGAAGGTGTATGTCCAAGGTCACCCAGCTACTAAGAGGTGCAGCTGGAATTTAAATTCAGATCTACAAGGCCTATGCTATTTTTATTTTTCCAAGTGAAAACCCTAAAAATATAAAACATCAGAATGGTCATAAAAGGAAGAGGAAATTTGAATATACAGCACTAAAAAGTGTTCATACACCATTATTAAAATAAGACTTGAACATTCTTGTTTAGATCAAAATTTCTCCAAACTTTCAAATAGCAAAAAGTAACCTAACTACCCATTTCATTTCTTGAAAGAGAAAATAATAGCAAATTTCCTACTACGAAAGAAAAAAGTGGTCTTAATCCTAATTGTTATTAAAGTATGAACACACACACAACTATAGTGAGCTTTCCTCTTATAGATACAAAGATTTTAATAAAAATAAAAAATTGAATAAAGCAATCAAATAAAACTTATTCCATGCTACAAGAATACGGCATGCTGTAAGAATACAATATATTCTATTTCTTTCTAAAAGGAAAACATACTCTGTTTAATCTTTCTATTTCGAAAGCTTATTCATGACAAAATCACATCAACAAAAGCAATAAGTCACTTGAAAGAATCTGGGGCCCATTTCTAATGTTTTGAAGGTTTAAAAATAGGAAGGCAACATGACAGCATGAGGAGCTTCACAGATCTGCAACATCAGAAGCTAAGCACTGTGGGGAAGAGAAATAGACTTCACTAAAATAATCCAGCTAGTCACTAAGCAAATAGTAATAAAAAGCCACAAGGGAGGAAGATTAGAATCCATAGTTTCTACAATATATTATCTAAAATATTTAGTTTCCAACCCAACTGCAAAAACATACAAAGAAACATGAAAATAAAACATATACTGGAGGAAGAAAGAGGGCAGAAGAAACTGCCTGTGATAGCAACCAGATATCAGATTTAACAAAGTATTCAAAGTAGCCATTAGAAATATGTCCAAAAAAACCTAAAGAAAATTATAATTATAGAAATAAAGAAGGATATAATGACAACTGCTCATCAAATAGAAAAATATCAGTATTGATAAGGTCATAGAAATTTTTAAAAAAGAAACCAATGGAAATTCTGAAGCTGAAGGTACAACAATGGAAATAAAAGATTCACTAGAGGAGCTCAACAGTAGATTTGAACTGGCAGAATAAAGACTTAGCCTACATGAAGATAAACCTATAGAGATGATACAATCCAAAGAACAGAAAGCAAAAAGAATAAAGAAAGAACAGAGCCTCAGAGAAATTTAGGCATTATTAAGTACACAAACCTACATGTAGAATGAGTAGGATAAATGTGAGATCTACAGATACAGCACTGTCAAAATAGTGAAAGTCATAGACAAGGAGAAAATCTTGAGAGCATTAAGAAAAGAATGACTCATCACTTAAAAGGAACCCAAATACAATTTGCAGATCACTTCTCACCAGAAACAAAGGAGACTAGAAGACAGTAGAATAACATATTCAAAGTGCTCAAAAAAAGGCTGCTGACCAACCAAGAATCCTATTTCATAAAAGCTATATTTCAAAATTCTAAGTACAATGAAGAATTTTCCAAATAATCAAAAACAGAGAAAAATTGCTGCTTGCAGCCATTTTACATGCAATAATAAAAGAAGTTCTCAGGCTGAAAGCAAGCAACCCTGGACAGTAATTCAAATCCACACAAAAAGAGATCATCAGTAAAGGTAATTATATAAGAGATAGTATAAATTCATATTTCTTCTTCTTCTCTTAACTGATTTAAAAGCAATTGACTGTGTTGTCTATGATTTCTTTCAGCAGAGTTTTATAGTTTTCCTTGTAGAGACCTTTCACATCCTTGGTTAGGTATATTCCTAAGTATTTTATTTTATTTTTATTTTTTGGCAGCTATAGTGAAAGAGGTTGTTTTTTATTTGATTCTCAGCTTGGTTGCTGTTGGTGTATAGCAGAGCTACTGATTTGTGTACATTAATTTTGTATCCTGAAATTTTGCTGAATTCATTTATCAGTTCTAGTAGCTTTTTGGGTGAGCCTTTAGGATTTTCTAGGTATACAATCATATCATCAGCAAACAGTGACAGTCTGACTTCTCTTTACCAATTTGGATGCCTTTTATTTCTTTCTCTTTTCTGATTGTCCTGACTAGGACTTCCAGTAGTATGTTGAATAGCAGTGGTAATAGTGGGCATCTTTGTCTTATTCCAGTTCTCAGGGGGAATGCTTTCCACTTTTCCCCATTCAGTATAGTGTTGACTGTGGGTTTGTTGTAGACAGCTTTTATTACCTTGAAGTTTGTCCCTTCTGTGCCGATTTTGCTGAGGGTTTTAATCATAAAGCGATGCTGGATTTCATCAAATGCTTTTTCTGCATCTGTTGAGATGATCATGTGATTTTTTGTTTTTAAATTCTATTTATGTGGTGTATTACATTTACTGAGCTACATACGTTAAACCATCCCTACATTCCTGGTATGCAACACACTTGATCATGGTGTATTATCTTTTTGATATGCTGTTGGATTCAGTTTACTAGTATTTTGTTGAGGATTTTTGCATCTGTGTTCATCAGGGACATTGGTCTGTAGTTTTCTTTTTTTGTTATGTCCTTCCCTGATTTTGGTATTAAGGTGATACTGGTTTCATTGACTGATTTAGGGAGGATTCCCTCTTTATCTTTTGGAATAGTGTCAATAAGATTAGTACCAATTATTTGAATGTCTGATAGAATTCAGCAGTGAATCCATCTAGTCCTGGAGTTTTTTTTTTTGTTGGCAATTTTTTTTATTACCATTTCAAT
Organism: Homo sapiens; assembly: GCF_000001405.40. Lineage (NCBI taxonomy): Eukaryota > Metazoa > Chordata > Mammalia > Primates > Hominidae > Homo > Homo sapiens. The sequence goes on from NC_000005.10 coordinate 148,703,808, forward strand.
CTTGCTGCTTGTTATTGGTCTGTTTGAAGATTCTAGATCTTCCTGGTTTAAGCTAGGAAGGTTGCATATTGTCAGGAATGTATCTATCTCCTCTAGGTTTTCTAGTTTATGCACATAAAGGTGTTCAGAGTAGCCTTGAATAATCTTCTGTATTTCTGTGGTATCAGTTGTAATATCTCCCATTTAATTTCTAATTGAGCCTATTTGGATCGTCTCTCTTATTTTATTGATTAACCTATCAATTTTATTTATATTTTCAAAGAACCAACTTTTTGTTTCATTATTCTTGTATTTTTTTTGTTTCCATTTAATTTAGTTCTGCTCTGATCTTTGTTATTTCTTTCCTTCTGCTGGGTTTGGTTTGGATTGTTCTTGTTTCTCCAGTTCTGTGAGGTGTGACTTTAGTTTGTCTATTTGTGCCCTTTCAGACTTTTTGATGTAGGCATTTAATGCTATGAATTTTCCTCTTGAATGGGTAGAATCAATATTGTGAAAATGGCCATAGAGTCAAAAGCAATCTGCAAATTCAATGCAATTTTCATCAAAATACTACCATCATTCTTCATAGATCTAGAAAAAGCAATCCTAAAATTCATATGGAACCAAAAAAAAAGGGCCCACATAGCCAAAGGGAGACTAAGTAAAAAGAATAAATCTGGAGGCATCACATTACTCGACTTCAAACAATACTATAAGGCCATTGTCACCAAAATAGCATGGTGCTGGCATGAAAATAGGCACATAGACCAATGGAACAGAATGTAGAAACCAGAAATAAACCCAGATACTTAAAGCCAACTGATCTCCAACAAAGCAAACAAAAACATAAAGTGTGGAAAGGACACCCTATTTAACACATGGTGCTGGGATAATTGGCAAGCCACATGTAGAAGAATAAAACTGGATCCTCATCTGTCACCTTACACAAAAAGCAACTCAAGATGAATCAAAGACTTAACTCTGAGACCTGAAACCATAAAGATTGTAGAAGATAACATCAAAAAAAACCCCTTCTAGACATTGGCTTAGGCTAAGACTTCATGACCAATACCCCAAAAGCAAATACAACAAAAACAAAGGTAAATAGATAGGACTTAATTAAACTAAAAAGCTTTTGCACAGCAAAAGAAACAGCAAAGTTAACAGAAAATCCACAGAGTGGGAGAAAATCTTCACAATCTATACATCTGACAAATGACTAATATCCAGAAAGGACTCAAACAAATCAGCAAGAAAAAAAAACAAACAATCCCATAAAAAAGTGGGCTAAGGACATGAATAGGCAATCCTCAAAAGAAGATACACAAATGACCAACAAGCATGTGGAAAAATTCTCAGCATCTCTAATAATCAGGGAATTGCAAATCAAAACCACAATGCAATACTCCTCACTCCTGCAAGAATGGCAATAATAATAATGATAATAATAATAAAAGAGGTTAGCATGGATGTGGTGAAAAGGGAACACTTTTACACTGTTGGTGGGACTGTAAACTAGTACAACCACTATGGAATACAGTGTGGAGATACCTTAAAAAACTAAAAATAGATCTACCACTTGATCCAGCAATCCCACTAAGTTATCTACCCAGAAAAAAAAGAAGTCATTATACAACAAAGATACTTGCACATGCACGTTTATAGCAGCACAATTTGCAACTCCAAAAATACGGAACCAGCCCAAATGCCCATCAGTCAACAAATGGATAAATAAAATTGGTTATATATATATATAAATTGTTATATATATATATATAACATGTTATATATATATATAAATTGTTATATATATATATATAACATGTTATATATATATACATACACACACACACACCATGGACTACTACTCAGCCATAAAAAGGAATGAAACAATGGTGGTTGCAGCAACCTGGATGGAATTGGAAACTATTATTCTAAATGAAGTAACTCAGGAATGGAAAACCAAACGTTATATGTTCTCACTCATAAGTGGGAGCTAAGCTATGAGGATCCAAAGGCATAAGAATGACACATTGAGCTTTGGGGACACAGGGGAAAGGTTGGGGTGCAGCAAGGGATAAAAGACTGCACATTGGCTACAGTGTACACTGCTTGGGTGATGGGTGCACCAAAATCTCAGAAATCACCACTAACAAACTTATTCATGTAACTAAACACCACCTGTTCCCCAAAAACTTATTGAAATAAAAAAATTAAAAATGTGAAAAAAAGCAATTGTATAAAACAATGTGGGTAGCATGTATAAGTTTGGCCTATAACTTATAGAAATATGATACATTTACCTATAAAGACCACAAAGGAAGTAGATGGAATCAAAGTTGTATCGAGTTAAGGGAATGACTGCACATGTTAACTTGAATCCATAAGAACAGTTGAAGAGAAGCAGAAATGATAAATAAGAAGGTTAATATAAGAAAAGTTATAAATCAGGGGTGTCCAATCTTTTTGCTTCCCTGGGCCACACTGGAATAAGAAGAATTGTCTCAGGCCACACATACAATACATTAACACTAATGATAACTGATGAGCTTTAAAAAATTGCAAAAAAAAAATCTCATAATGTTTAAAGAAAGTTTACTAATTTGTTGGGCGTAATTCAAAGCCATCCTGGGCCACATGTGTCTTGCGAGCTGCAGGTTGGACAAACTTGCTACAAATATACACCTCTCTCTTTTCAGCTTCTTTAAAACACACAAAGTTATATAAATTAATAATTATAAAAATATACTGTTGGGCTTGTTACATTTATAGATGTAATATCTATAACAATAATACCACAAGGAGAAGGAAAGGTAAATAGAACTATATAGAAGTAACATTTCTATATCTCACTGGAATTAAACTACTTATAAATCTGAAGTTGTTTCTGATAAGATGTATATGATAAGCTCTAAAGCAACCACCAAGGAAATAATAAAATGCATGTAGAGTCATTAAAGCTATTTAAATGGTACATTAGAAAATATTCACTCAATGTAAAATAAACCTGTGAAGAAAATATAGAAGAACAAAAACAACATGAGTCATACAGAGGACAAAATTTAAAATGGCAGACATAATCCAAGTATATTAATGATAGCATTAAATGTGGATGCATTAAACAATCCAACCAAATCAAAAGGAAGATGTTGTCAGACTGGGTTTTAAAAATAAGACCTATAATACACTGTCTACAGAAGACACACTTTAGATTTAATGATATAAATAGATTGAAAGTAAAAGGATGAAAAAAAGATATATCATGCAAACAGAAATCACCAGAAAGCTAAAGTGGCTATATTGATATCAGACTAAATAAACTTGAAAACATAAAAATGTGTTTTTTTTGTAATTGGAAGTAATGAGAGATGTTTTATAAAAATAAAAGAATCAACCCATCAGGAAGAATTGTAAATCTATATATTTACAAGTATAAATGAATGCAACTAATAATAGCACCCAAATACATGAAGCAAAAGCTGACAAGAATGAAGAGAGAAATACACAACTCAACTATAATAGTTGTAGACTTTAATATCCCGTTTTAAAAATTGACTATAACAACTAGGCTGAAGATCAACAAAGAAACAGACTTGAAATACACTATTAACTAGCTAGACCTAATAGCTATTTATAGGACACCCAACAAATTAGGAGTATATATTCTTCTTGAGTGCACATGTAACATTCTCCATGATAGATTATATGCCAGGACATAAAATAGACCTCAATAAATTTAAAGAATATAAATAATACAGAATATGTTCTCTGACTATAATTGGGAAAAATGTAGAAATTAATAGCATGGTCCTAAATCAGTAATGGACCAATGAATAAACCAAAAGGGAAATCATAAAATACTTTAAGATGAATGACAATTAAGATACAATATACCAAAGCTTACAAGATGTAGCTAAAGTAGTTTTAAAAGGGAAAAATAGCTGTTAATCCTTACATTAAAGCAAAAGAATAATCTCAATTCAGTAACCCAACCTTCCATCTTATGGCACTGGAAAAAGAAGAGCAAACTAAACCTATAGCCAGCAGAAGTAAGGAAATAATAAACATTAGAGTAGAAATTAATGAAATTGAGACTATATAAACAATAGAGAAAATCGATGAAACCAAAAGCTCGTTCTGTGAAGTGACTGACAAAATTGATAAACCTTTAGCATTTATTGGCCAAGAAAAAGAAGAGAGAAGGCTCGAAGTACTAGAATCAGAAATGAAAGAAGGGACATTACTACCTCCCTTACAGAAATAAAAAGGGTTATAGAGAAATACTATGATTACTTGCGTGCCAATAAAATAATTTAGATGAAATAGACAAATTTCTGGAAAGACACAAACTACCAAAACTGACTCACAAATAAATAGGCAATAAACCTCACCAAAATCTCACCTAACTTCTTTGTAGAAATTAAGCTGATTCCAAAATTCATATAAAATTGTGATGAATCCAGGATATTAAAACAATATTGAAACATAACAAAGTAAGAGGATGTATACTACCTTATTTAAACGCTTAGTAGAAAACAGTAATAATCAAGGAAGTATGATACTGGCATAAGGATAAACATACAGATCAGTAGAATAGAATTGAACACAGGAAATAAGCTCTTGTCTGTGATTTTAGACATGGGTGCCAAAGCCATTCAGTGCAGGAAGGAATAGTCTTTCAACAAATAGTATTGGGACAACTGGATAGCCAAATGCAAAGAAATAAAGCTGGACTCCTACCTCCTACCATATACAAAAATTAACTCAAAATGGATTAAAGGCCTACATTTAAGAACTTAAATTATCATAAAACTCTTAGAAGAAAAAATAAGGGTAAATCTTTATGACCTCAGATTTGATAATAGATTTTTTAAAGATGACACTAAAATTACAAGCAGCAGAAGAAAACGTAGATAAGTTGGACTTCATCAAAATTCAAACTTTTGTGGTGCAAAGTACAGTATCAAGAAAGCAAAAAGGCAACACACAAAATTGGAGACAATATTTGCAAGTCAGTATCTGATTAGAAACTTGTATTCAAAATACATAAAGAAGTCTTACAACTCAATAAAGAAGACAAATAGAGCAATTTAAAAGTGAACAAAGGACCTGAACAGACACTTCTTAAAGGAAGATTTATAAATGTTTCATAAGCACACAAAAAGATAATTGACATTAGTCATCAAGGAAATGTGAATCAAAACCACAGTGAAATCGCATTTCACACTCACTAAGATGGCTACAATCAAAATGTCAGATCATAACAAGTGTGGGTGAAGATGTGGAGAAATGGAACCTTGATACACTGTCAGTGGTGCAGCCACTGTGAAAAATAGTGTGGGAGTTGCTAAGACAATTTATCATAGAGTTACCTTATGACCCAGTAATTCCACTCTTAGGTGTACAGTCATATGCCACATAATAATGTTTTGGTCAATGATGGACCACTTATACAGGGGTTCCCCCATAAGATTATAATGCCATATTTTTACTATACCATTTCTATGTTTAGATACATTTATTATTAAGATACAGAAACGCTTACCATGGTGTTAAATTGCATAGAGTACTCAGTATTATAACATGCTGCACAGCTTTGTAGCCTAGGAGCAATAGGCTATATCACAGAGCCTAGGGGTGTGTCGGCTATACCATCTAGGTTTCTGTAAGTGTCCTCTATGATGTTCCCACAATAACAAAATTGCCCAAAGATGCATTTCTCAGAACACATCCCCATCATTAAGAGATGCATGACTGAATAGGAGAATGCAAACATATGTCCACACAAAAGTTTGTACAGTTGGTAGCTGAATGATTCATAATAGCCAAAAGGTGGAAACAGTTCAAATATCCATCAACTGATGAATGGATAAACAAAATGTGTTATCTTCATACACAGGATATTATTAGGCCATGAAAAAGAATGAAGTACTATACATGCTACATGAATGAATCTTGAAAACATGCGAAGGTAAAAGAAGTCAGTCAAAAAATACCACATTCTATAAGTACATGAAATGTCCAGAATAGGCAAATTCATGGATACAGAAAGTAGAGTAGTGGAGGTTCAGGGTTGAAGTAGATACGGAGGATGGGAGGTGGTGATAGCTTAAGGGTTGGGGCTTCTTTTTGAGGTAATAAAATTGTTCTAAAATCAACTTTAATGATGGTAACATGTATCTATAAACACACTAAAAACCATCTGTATTACTGTGTTAAGCCTGCTGTAACAAAATACCACAGACCGTATGGCTTAATCAACAGAAATTTATCTTTCACAGTTCTGAAGGCTGGAAGTCCAAAATCAAGGTGCTGGCAAGGTTGGGGCTCCTCTGAGGCCTCTCTTCTGGACTTGCAGCTGGCCACCTTCTTGACACTTTGTTTTCATATAGTCATCCCTTTGTGCACATGGGTAACTGGTGTCACTTTCTCTTATTAGAAGGACAACAGTCATATTAGATCAGGGTCCCACCCTACTGACCTTACTTTAACCTAATCACCTCTTGATAGACTTTATCTCCAAATATGGTTACATTCTGAGGTACTAGGGGTTGGAACTGCAACACAAGAATTTGGGAGGGGGGGGTCATGATTCAACTAATAACACCATTGAATTGTACACTTTAAATGGGAGAATTGTATGATCTGTGAGTTATATCTCAATAAAGCTGTTTAAGAATAGTTTCAGAATATTCTCTTAACACAATAACAAACTTTTACTAAAAACCGAAATTAAACTTAGAGATGCATCAGTCATTCTCCTTAAAAACAAAACCCTGATATTATAAAACATTTGTAATGAAGAATATATGGATAGCAGACAGATACAGGAGAAGAAAGAGATAATCACAAACTCTTGGAGAAAAAGTAAACTGCAAGAAAGATGAAATTGACATAATATTACAGTTGGCCCTACAGACTGTCACATTAAGTCATCATATAGATCCATTCATGTATCCAGTTTTTTGAGCAGCTACTATATGCTAGGCTGATGTGTGGCATACTTTGGTAAACAAAACGAAGATTCTGCTTTCATACAGCTTGTATTCCGCTAAGAGTAGGGATACGGACAATAAACTGAAGACATATTTAAGTAAATTCAGTAGGTTAGAAGGTGGTATGGTTTGGCTCTGTGTCCCCACCCAAATCTCATCTCAAATTGTAATCCTCAAGTGTCAAGGGAGGAAGATGATTGGATTATGGTGGTGGTTTCCCCATGCTTTTTTCATGATAGTGAATGAGTTCTCCTGAGATTTGATGGTTTTATATGTGTTTGGAAGTTCTTCCTTCCTTTTTTTGAAGGTGCCTGCTTCACCTTTCCCCATGAGGAACTCTGAGTCAAATAAACCTCCTTTGCTCATAAATTACCCAGTCTTGGATAGTATAGTATCTTCGTAGCAGTGTGAAAATAAACTAATACAAAAGGCAGCAAGTGCTATTGGAAAAAAAAAAAAAAAGGCTTAACAGACTGAGAGACAGGAGGACTGTCTGAGAGTCCACCTGAGAGAGAGTAAGGGTGTTGGCCTTATAGATATCTGGGAGAAGAGTATTTCATTCTGATGCTACAGCTTCTGTAGAGGCCCTAAGGGAAGAGTATGACTGAACTCCTTAACAAATAGCAAGAAAACAAACAGGACTGAAAGGATGTGGGCAAAGGGGAGAGTGGGAGAAGAGACTATATTAGATTGCAATGAGAGCCAGAGCATGCAGGCCCTGAATGACGTTGTAAGGACTTGGCCTTTTCCTATGGGTGAGATGAAGAGCCATTGCAAGGTTATGATTAGAGAAGTACAAGATCTTCCTTGCATTTTATAAGAAGCCCTGTGGCTACTGTGTTGAGACTAGAATGTTGAGAGACAAGGGTAGAAGCAGGGAGACTTTTAGGGGCTATTGTATGCAAAAGTGAAAAAGACTGGAATCAAATTTTATTTTAAAAATAGTGAAAAATACTGTAAATATTGAGAAGGTGAGGGAAGGAAGGGAAGTAAGGATGGTATAAGAGAGTTGAACCAACATTTATCATAATAATGAGTCAAGTAGGTAATATTTAAAATTAATAAGTAAAGAAAAAGCAGTAAAAACATAGCATTTAGAAATATTTTTAATTAAAAGAACAGATGGCTAAAATGGTTTGAAACAATTGCCATAAGAGGGAGAAACTGGGGAAGAAGGACAAGAGACAGCTGTTTTCTATTACAAGCCTTTCACTTCATTTTATTAATGATATGAATTAATTGCTTTCATAATTATTTTATAAAGGACATGACAAAAAAGGGCAGCATTTAACTTGATAATCAATTTTGAGTTGGTGAATTGTGCAATTGCAAGAAGTTAAAAAGGAAGAAAAATGTCTAACTGTTGTGAAAGTGTATGTAAAATATCATTATTTGCGGATGGCAGAATGCCTAGTTAAAACAAGAGTCACTGAAAATATTTTAGATAAAGAGACATTTTTTAACTTACTGGTTAGTGTAATGTCTTGTTTAATAAATGTTTCTCTTCAGTGCAATAAAATTGTCGTCACTACTAGAAGTTCAGTGCTAAATTTGGCACTCAACTGTACTTCGTGATTAATATCCTAGAGCTTGCTCTTTTTAATTCTGAAAAACTAAATGACCATCCAGCTGTATCTGTTTTTTAATATCCTTTTAATATTAAATTATCATAATATTATTGCTTTGAGATCCTTTGGTAAGGAAAACAAATGTTGTATCCTTTCATCCTGGATATTTTTTTTGTTTAGAAACACTTGCTGAGTAGACCAACAACAGTTCAGGCATACGCTATGCTCTGGTCAAAAGTCAAGGGCAGGTCACTAGAAATAGCTTTTAATATTCACTTCCTTCTATTCTGGAAAGGGAGAGTAGAAAGTGGTTTCCACCTGAGTTCAAGTCAACAAATCATACATTTGCCCATTCATCCATCCATGCATTTACTCATCCATTCATTCGAATTCTTACTGAGCTACAGTAAGCAGAGCAATGGAGATGCTATCAGTAGGCTGTGTGAATAATAAATTTAGGGGACAGTTAGAGTACACTGCAGGAAGGACTAAGAGAGAGGTTTGCTAGTAGAGGCAGACCCAGAGTTAGCAGGGGTGGAAAGTGTTGGAGAGAGGGAGTGATAGTGATAGACAGGCAGGAAACAAGATGGATTGTATTGGTTGAATATAAATAATAGAATGGAGAGTTGAGCGACTGAGAAGGGGGGAAATGGCAAAGTATAGTGCTTTGGAGGAACTACAGAGAGAGAGAGAGAGAGAGAGAGAGAGAGAGAGAGAGAAACAGACAGAGAGTTACTCAGCCTTCTTAACTTCAAATGGCCACAGGAGCCAGGCAGGTTATATGAATGAGTGAAGTAGGCTGAATCCTGGGAAAGACAAGAGAGAGTAACTTAGACTATGGTTAACCTAGTAGAACATGCCCCACTGGAAAGGGCAACCTCTCCATAGCTTCTGTGATCGATGGTGGGCAGGACCTTGTGTCCCATATTTTCTGATTTTTCAAAGGAAATCCAGATTTGTATTGAGGTTTATACATATGAAATTATTGGTTAATTCAAATATTTTAAAATTATAAAAATTAAATCTACTGCATTCTTCCCCCAAACAACAACGATAAATCCATGACTAGTTTCAAAGCCAAAGCTATCAGTTTTGTATTCCTGATATAGCGGTTGAGTTCCTCGACCATATATTACCTTAAATAAATCACTTAAGTAATCTTAAGCCTCACTTTCCTTATGTACAATAGTAACATTATTTAATTTCATTTATTTAAATCCCAAGATTTTTGTGAGAACTAAATTAGAAAATGTATGTACAGCTATACCCTATTTAAAGTTGCTGCTTTGCTATAAGGTTTGTGAGATATTTTTATTAAAATACTGCATATACATATAAATCATTATGGTATGCTACATATAATGAATTCATTGCAGCATTCTTTATACACATATGTATTTGTTCTTAGCCAATGAAAGCTCAAAAACAGACTGCATAGAGGTTATCCATCCAGATGTGTAATTTAGTGAGCTATTAGTTTCCCTTCTGTCATTTATTTTTGCATTCTAGCAAGCAGCATTGACCCATAAGATTGGGTAGGTGACAGTGATGGACCTCCCTAATCATGACTAGGGAAAAGTGTCAATCTGCAAGTGTCAATCTGAAATGCAAGTGTCACAGCAGCTCCAGAGACTCCAAGGAAATGACTGCAGCTCAGAGGTTACAAATGGGAGCTTCAACCACAGGTTGATTGCAGACCTGGGACAGGATGAAGGACATTGCTGCAACACAAGAGGATCAACCAGAAATTGAATTAAGAAAAATTGGTAGAAACTGTGATTAAAGACACATGATAGGCTCAAGGAATTTGAAAAGAATGGAACCACACTCAAAAATGAACAATGTTCAGAAGTATCTATGCCCCACAGATCTTTCTTTATGAATTACTCAGCAATTCCATTTCCAGGAATTCTCACTTTGAGCTAAATGGGGTTTATGGTGAAGTTTTTGTATAGCAGCTGGCTGAAAATGTGACTTTTATTATGATTGGCTTGGTCTGACTAGATTATAAGGTACATGGTGGTAAAATATGAGGCTGAAAAGGTGAGTGACCAGAGGCCAGGTCACAAAAGGTCTTGGAGGGTATGCTAGAGAATTTGGAATTTCTCCAAAGAGTTGGAGATGCACTGAAGGATTTTAAGCAAATATTAATCCCTCATGTTAAATACAGTATAGAGCAAACAGTTTACTACTTACCCTCACACATGCAATGATTGACATAAAGCTGGAATATATTTAGTGGATTTTTCTGTTTTCTCCAGTGTGACAATGCATACACTGAGTACAATCTTTAGACTCTGCCTTTAATTAACAGCATATGTCTCTGGGAAGAAATAAAGTTTCAGTTCTATATGCTCTCCCCAGACAATGACACTGTTTCTGAACTTTGTACACTGACGGCTGCTCTAAGATAGCATAAGCAGAAGACAGGAATGGTAATATGGTTTGGATTTGTGTCCCTGCCCAAATTTCATGTTGAATTGGAGGAGGAGCCTGGTGGGAGGTGATTGGATCATGGGGGCATTTTCGCCCTTGGTGTTCTTATGGTAGTGAGTGAGTTCTCTTGATATCTGATGGTTTAAAAGTGTGTGGCACTTGCCCCTTCACCCTCTCTCTCCTGCTCTGCAATGTGAAGAAGGTGCTTGCTCCCCCTTTGCCTTCTGCCATGACAGTAAGTTTCCTGATGTCCCCCCAGTCATGTTTCCTGTTAAGCCTGTGAAACTGTGAGTCAATTAAACGTCTTTTATTCATAAATTACCCAGTCTCAGGTAGTTCCTTATAGCAGTGTGAGAACGGAATAATATAGAAAATTGGTATCAGGAGTGGGATATTGCTATAAAGATACCTACAAATGTGGAAGTGACTTTGGAACTGGATAATGGGCAGAGATTGGAACAATTTGGAAGGCTCAGAAGAAAATAGGAAGATGTGGGAAAGTTTGGAACTTCCTAGGGACTTGTTAAGTGGTCTAGACCAAAATGCTAATAGTGAGAGATATGGACAATGAAGTCCAGGTTGAGGTGGTCTCAGATGGAGGTGAGGAACTTGTAGGGAACTGAAGTAAAGGTCATACTTGCTATCCTTTAGGAAATAGACTGGCAGCAATGTACCCCTGCCCTAGAGATTTGTGGAACTTTGAACTTGAGATAGATGATTTAGGACATCTGGCGGGAGAAATTTCTAAGCAGCAAAGCCTTCAAGGTGTGACCTGGCTGTTTGTAAAAGTGTACACTCAAATGCATGAGCAAAGAGATTATCTGAAACTGGAACTTACATTTAAAAGGGAAGCAGAGGGCCAGGCATGGTATCTCATGCCTGCAGTCCCAGCACTTTGGGAGGCCAAGGTGGGCAGATCACTTGAGGCCAGGAGTTTGAGAACAGCCTGGGCAAAATGGTGAAACTCTGTCTCTACTAAAAATTCAAAAATTAGCCAGGTATGGTGGTGTGTGCCTGTAGTCCCAGCTACTAGGGAGTCTGAGGCATGAGAATCACTTGAACCTGGGAGGCGGAAGTTGCAGTGAGCCAAGATTGTGCCACTGCCCTCCAACCTGTGTGACAGAGCAAGACTCCATCTCAAAAATAAAAAGGTGTGTGTGGTAGGGGCACGGTGGGAGCACATCATAAAAGTTTGAAAAATTGGCAGCCCAGGCCGGTTGCAGTAGCTTAAACCTATAATCCCAGCACTTCGGGAGGCTGACGTGGTCGGATCATGAGGTCGGGAGTTTGAGACCAGCCTGGCCAACATGGTGAAACCCTGTCTCTACTAAAGATACAAAAAATTAGCTGAGTGTGGTGGCACACACCCATAATCCCAGTTCCTCAGGAGGCTGGGGCAGGAGAATCCCTTGAATCCAGGAGGTGGAGGTTGCAGTGAGCCAAGATTGTGCCACTGCACTCCAGCCTGGGTGACAAGGCAAGTCTCAAAAAAAAAAAAAAAAAAAAAAAAATAGAAGAAGAAAAGAAAAAGAAAAAGAAAAATTTGCAACCTGGCCATGCTGTAGAAAGGAAAAACCCATTAGAGCCCATTTTGGGGGGAGAAATTCAAGCCTGTTGCAGAAATTTGTATAAGTAAAGAGGAGCCAAATATTAATAGCCAAGATAATGGGAAAAATGTCTCCAGGGCCTTTCAAAGACCTTCAAGGCAACCCCTCCCATCACAGGCCCAGAGGCATAGGAAGATGTGGGAAAGTTTGGAACTTCCTAGAGACTTGTTAAATGGTTTTGACTAAAACACTGATAGTTACATGGACAATGAAATCCAGGCTGAGGTGGTCTCAGATGGAGATAAGGAACTTATTGGGAATTGGAGTAAAGGTCACTCTTGCTATGCTTTAGCAAAGAGACTGGCAGGTGGGAGTCCCCACTGGGTCACTGCCTAGTGGAGCTGTGAGAAGAGGGCCATCACCTTCCAGACCCCAGAATGGTAGATCCACTGACAACTTGCACCATGCACCTGGAAAAGCCACAAGCACTCAATACTAACCTGTGAAAACAGCCGCCCTGGGCTGTACCCTGCAGAGCCACAGGGGTGGAGCCGTCCAAGGCCTTGGGAGCCCATCCCTTGCATCTGTGTGCCCTGAATACGACACATGGAGTCAAAGGGGATTTTTATGGAGCTTTAAAATTTAGTGACTTGCCTGCTGGATTTCAGACTTGCATGGGGCCTGTAGCTCCTTTGTTTTGGCCAATTTCTTTCATTTGAAATGGGAGCATTTACCCAACGCCTGTACCCCTATTGTATTTTGGAAGAAACTAACTTACTTTTGATTTTACAGGCTCATAGGTGGGAGGGACTTACTTTGTCTCAGATGAGACTTTGGACTGTGGACTTCTGAGTTAATGCTGAAATTAGTTAAGACTGGCAACTGTTGAAAAGGGTTAATTGTATTTTGCAACGTGAGAAGGACATGAGATTTGGGAGAAGCAAGGGGTAGAATTATATTGTTTGGATTTGTGTCCCTGCACAAATCTCATGTCATACTGAAGGAAGGACCTGGTAAGAGGTAACGGGATCATGAGGGCGATTTCCCCCTTGCTGTTCTTGTGATAGTGAGTTCTCAGGAGATCTGATGGTTTAAAAGTATGTGACACTTCCTCCTTCACTCTCTGTCTCTCCTGCTCTGCCATGTGAAGAAGGTGCTTGCTTTCCCTTCACCTTCTGCCTCTCCTGCTCTGCCATGTGAAGAAGGTGCTTGCTTCCCCTTCACCTTCTGCCATGATTGTAAATTTCCCAAGGCCTCCCAGTCATGCTTCCTGTTAAGCCTGCAGAACTATGAGTCAATTAAACCTCTTTTTTTCATAAATTACCCAATCTTAGGTAGTTCTTTATAGCAGTGTGAGAACAGACTAAAACAAATGAAGAGACCTTACTGGAAAAATGGCATCTCCGCAAACTTGAACCGCAATCTTAAGTGAATCAAAGGATACATTGGTTCTGTTTCTGGCTCCCTGAAAACAACATCTGTTAGAGCCAAGAGAAGGCAAAAAGTAGGTGACAGGATCGCAGGATGCTGTATTTTGCTGATGGAAGTAGTTTCTGGGTAAGATCTAAGCCACAAATGCTACATAGTAAGCCACTAAAGGATGGCAGAGAAAAGGTTTTCTAATCCCTGGTGTGAAAAGGATCTCAGCAATTTTGCTTCATTACTTCTGGATGATGGTACAAAATTTAGTGGAGATGAAATGCTTTCATGAACTTAACTCCCTGGTAGTTTCTAAACTTCTTAGCTCCAGAATCACAAAGGGTACAGGAAACGAGCATTGACTGAATACCTGCTAAGCTTCTATCTACTGGGCATTTTTCTTACACTAAACTCAGAAAATTGCCTAGTCTTCTCCTATCCATCTCTTCCCTACACTGCCTCCAACCCCAAATAATCTGTCATTATCTCCCTAAGGCAGAAAGATTTTGAAAATGGCCAATGGCTAGATAGTTGCACAACAAGTATCATTTGTTTTGTTATTGTTGTTGTTGTTGACACAAATTTAGAATCCCACTGTGGCCTTCTGCTTCCCCTGTTGGGGTGCTGTCCTATTTATATTTAACTCATGAAGCAACCCACCTTTAATATGGTACAGAACATATAGTAGCTAACAAAAATCCAACTAGAAGAATAATAGATTAGACAGGGCTCTTGGACAAGGAACACCAGTCCCTTTTGCTTCAGAGTAATTGCAGGTGAACCTGCAGGAAGAAGCCTAGGAAAGTTAGTATTTCCGCTACGCTAATAAAGATTTTAAAAAGTTTTCTCCCTTTGCATCTACTTTTTGTCATTGCTGGGTACCATGTGGCAAATAACGATTTATTAATATTCTTCCAGATAAAATGATCTCTGTACTCTATTAAGTCATCTAGCACCCCAAAAGGCCCATGACCACTGGGGTAGGTGTGTATTTCACTTATTTTTGTAACTTATTATTGACTTAAGGATTATTAAGACATACTGTCAAAAAGTGCTGTGTGGCAAAAGCTGATAATTACCAATTTCATGCCCATTTTCCCTTCCTCCTTCAGAATAGAAACCTAGTTTTGTCAGGGATATCGGTGTGCACTGATACAAAATTACTTTTTTCAGCCTCATTTTAAGATAGCAGTGGCCAGGTAACTAAGTTCTGGATAAGGCTTTCAGGAAGGGTAAGAGGCTCTTTTTTGTTTTTCCATATTTCCTCCCTCTTCCTGCCCGGAATAAAGACTTGATATCTGGAGCTACTTTGTCTGTCTTGCTCCTTGAAGTTGGAAGTCACATGTTAATGACGACAGAATAAAAAGATAGCAGTCTAGGACATAGGTGGTATCCTAGAACCACTTCTACAACTATAGAAAGTCAACCTACAGACTACCTGTATATGAGAAAAAACAAACCTTCATCTTGTTAAACCGTATTGGTTCAAGCTTTCCTTATTAGCCCCCAAATGTATTTCCTAATTGCATCATTCTCTGTGTGGCTAAATAAGAACAGAACAAAAAATATTCAATCAAGGTATGAAAAAAAGAACAAAACATTTAAATTCTATGACTGTCAAGGAAGCGTTCATTAAGTGTGAGGAAGGGATTACTAGGTGGCGGTCATGGGAGAGCTATGATGTCCAAGTTGGCTACAGGAGAAGGGTTTTTATAAAAGAAAACTCTAAGAATCCAAGATATTTTATCTGTGGTTTCAAACACTTCACCCTTTGTGCAATTATAAAACTGCATTATTCATTAACATTGAATTTGTTTAGTCTGTAGGAGAAATGACTGATCATTGTAAAGTGTTTCTGGGATACTTTGGAATCTATTTAATGAAAAATCAAATGAGACAGGATAACAAGTTTAAGTTCATTTGAGTCAACATCAATGCCAGTTACTCCAGAAGCAGGAAAAGAGACCAGCAGAGAGGAAGGTAATAGAAAGCTCTTGGCGCTGCTTTCCAAATTACCTCTAATCCACTAACGGGCTGGAGACATCTTACAAATGCTAATTAATTAAGCCCCCTACCAGTCAAATGATGACTGTAGGAAGACGCCTCTGTGATACAGGTCTGGACTTTAAGAGAACACAGGGGGCTAGTAATGGACATGTAGTTAAGCAGGCAGTTGTTGAAGTCCTGTAAGGTCAGTTAAGGCAGTGAGAAGCACTAACCAAAGAAGAGTACAGAATTGAGAACTTGGAGCAACGTGTGTAATCAGCAATGACCTCTTTGCCCTCTTCTCCACGCAGTTTTCCACTTCTACTTCAAGCTAAAATAAGCACATTGCACCCTAATCTGAGAATTCTTTGTCTTCAGAAACTCTTCTAAGTTTCACCTTTGTGTTCTTTCAATTGCTCATTAATAACACACACATTTGCTAGAAATTATCATCTCATGGTATTGTCCTGTTTTCATGCTTCCTAAATTGTGTTCTGCTGAATCACGTTACAGAGGACATTTGAATCAGCCACAATACTTTTGGCTGCAAATAAAAGAAAGTTCAACTCAAAGTGGCTTAAACTATAAAGGGAATTTATTTTTTCTGGTTCACTTAACTGATGAGTTCAAAGGTATGTCAGCTTCAGGCACTGATTTAAGATTAGGGTACTCTGTTTCCCTGCATTTCTCTTGGTGCTATTCTCATCTGTTTGCTCTTTCCTCTGGCTGATTTCTATCAGTAACAAAATGCTACTTCATTTGGTGAGGTGTCTGGTGACACTGTTATATATCAGAGCATTCAAAGAGTTTCTTTGCTCAGATACCAAACAAATGCTTTGAGCTTCATCACTAATAGACAAAATTAGATTATGCACCCACTCTGGAAAAACATTTACTGACCCAAAGAATGGTGAATGAGTCAGTTTAGGCTAAGTGGTACTGGGATAGCAAATGACCCCAAACTGTCAGTGGCTTGCAAAGTAACAAAGGTTTATTCTCATTCAACTTGCATGTTGGCAGCTGCAGATCAGCTGAGACTTGAGCCATCTCCTCTTCATTTTGAAACCCAAATTGAAGATGAAGTCACTGTCTAGGACATATTAATCTTGTAGCAGAAATAAACGAGTAATAGCAGAATTATATGGTGACTCTTAAAACTTCTGCTTGAAACTGGCACAGATAACTTCCACTCACATTTTGTAGGGCAAAGAAAATCATTGCCTAAGCTTTTGTCAATGGGATGAAAAGTAAAATCTTTCTGGAAGAAAATCCAGATAGGATGAGTTTGAAATATTTTGAACATAATGCAATCTACTGCAAATGCTATATGTTGATTGGCTTAAACTGGGTTGCTCATCCCTAAATCAGTTACCAGGTGAGGGAGATGGGATTATTCCTTTGGGTTTATATCAATCAAGGTCTACTCCTCTAAGTGAGAATGAGATGAATCATACCTAAACCACCTGGTCTAATTTACCTACCAATAGATAGGGCATATTGGATACACCTTTTAAACATAAGAAACCTGGAACTTATAGGATTGAGACTTCAATCCTTGAGACATCAATGCTTGAGACTTCAGAGCCAGAATTTAAAGCCAGGTCACTTAAATTTATAGCTAATTATTTCCATCGTACTAAAGACTTTGAAATTGGTACTACTATATCTAAAAACAATCTCCTTACCTGACTCATTTGACCAACAAATTTAACATAGGTAAAGATCATATTGGAAATTTACTATTACTTTTGGACAATCACCATCTTTAAAATAATTAATAGGTCTCAAATTTGAAAAGCCACATCAATTGGAGAAAAAAAATTAGAAAATGGCATATTTCATCTAGAAAAACAGGCATTCTCATACAATGCAGTATGGAATATATATTGTACAAACTTCCTTAAGGTCAGTTTGGCAGTACTGTATCACTCAAAGCAAAAGCCTTTAAATGTGCTCATAGATTCACCCAGTAATTCCACATCTAGGAATTTATCTCATGCAAATAACCATGGATGAGTGGGAAAAAATAATAAAAATAAAAATAAACCACAAGGGTGTTCAATGAAACAAAAATTTAAACAATCTAAATATTCAAAACAATGGGATTTGTCAAGTAAACCAAGAAATATGCATTCAACAAAGTACTATATGCTATTAAAAAAGAACTTTACGCCTGGATAGTTAATTACATAGAAAGATTTTTAAAAATTGTTCTGGCAAATGTGAGTTAGTAAATGGTATATGCAATATGTTTCCTTTTATATATATGCAATAATAGAAGATTTGGGTTTTTTAAATTTTTGTTTATGTTTATACTCAAATTTTCTACATCAAATGTATATGACTTTAGATGTGTATGAATTTCATACTAAGAAAATAAACAATAAAATTTTCTTTTTTAATGAGTCACCCTCCTAAAGCCAAGTGAAACAGATGAGATTACCAACTGCAGAAGTAATTAGCTCTAAGAATATGTTGCTGATTAGACTAGGATGTCTCTCACATATGATAGAAGAGATTAAAATACAACCTAAGCAATCTATGATATGTAGTTTTGTGATAGCCCAACAAAACTGGTCTAGAAAAGTGGAAAATTCTGATTTAAAATGATCAGTATGACTTTCACCCTTGTCAGAGAGTGAGGCAGAATTTTACTTAGGCAAAAGATGGCCAAATATCCAAATGTTCCACTTTGGTGTTTAACAATACCAGGTTCCTTTTATTTTAATCCTGTACTGACCAAGCTATCTTCTGTCTGGATTTTTCTCTTTCATCAATAAGCAAAACCTCACGTCATGACACATGTTATTTGTCCTGACTGGTAGAATTCCTACTGAACCTGTCAAGGAAAGAATTCTGGTCTACAAGCCAGTTTTTGGGGAAATGTAATCAGTGTCATTATGTTTGTCAAGCTCATTTTCAATTAAGAATGAGGTAATCTCATCAAGTAGGGGACAGCCAACTGGCTTCTTTCTCTTTATTAACATTTCCACTTTCTTCTATACTTATAAAATTTCCAGTGAAACTAGATATGTTGGCCAACGGTTGTAAAATTTCATTCTTGAGATCTTTAAAACCCATGGGTAGGTATTGCCTCTACTCAGTAATTTCATTAAAATGTTTGATTTAGTACTACAGAAAGGAAAATTAGACATGTGACTTTTCCATATTCTAACCATACTTCTACCTAGTATTTCAGTGATAAATCTCCTTTACTAATGCCACAGTGCCTGGGCACATATTGCACAGCCACATTATTGTGCCTTTATTCAGACTCTTCCTTAAGTCTTGAACCCTTCTCCTACCACATGTTAAAATCCTTCTCAACTACCAACTCCCAGATGGAAAAATAAGTTCTCTGGCCCATACCACTAAACCCTAGAACTCTGGATCATATTAAGTAAGAATGTAAACTCAATACAAGCCTGTAGTTTATTTTGTTTATTTCTGTACATATATTGCTTATTTAAAAGTGTTTTTGTGTTAGTAGGAAATGCAAATTGCAAGAATTAGTGTAATTGTCTTATTTCTAGTTTCTCTCCTCACTAGACTGAATGCTTATTGGAAACAGACAAGAACAGTGTTCATCAGAATCTCTGATGGTATTGCACAACATGCATGTTTAGCTTTTTATGCTGATAGTTTTCAAACATATAACTAGTAGAGATAATGGCTGCAGCTCAAATAACTCAGTTTCTATTTTAACTGGCTTTTTCATATTCAACAACAAAAATTTTGAGCAATTCAAAAATGCACTTATGCATGAACCAAAGATAGAGTGATCTCATGATATAAAATCAAATTTCTATCCTGAGTGTTACATCCCTCACTTAAAAGCTAAAAACTTTCAATGTTTTCAAGTCCAGGTCCTAATTTAATAGATAGAGTCAATTAAACCTCTCAAAATGTCACTTGGAGAATGGAATTCGCAAGATAACACTTCTTGCTGAAGCATAATACATCAGTATCAGAAATATAACTTGCACTAGTATTCAACATTTGTTTAAAAAATGCCATATTCTGAGGCTTTTCATTATGATAGCTGAGCTCGCTGCATTTTTTCCCCAAGAAAAGTAAAAAACGTGACAGAGAGAAGCACCCAGACTGTGCCAGGACATACTTACTCAAGAATGTCTTCTAAAAGAAAAGTGAAATGAATAGAAAAGTAAGTCTATGCCTCCAGATACCCCTACATCATGAAACCACAAAGCAATTCTGGCTCAAGACCACTCGTGAAGTATTTTGACATTTGCTCCTTCTCCGGAAAACAGAAAAGTATTTTTGAAGTTATAATACACTTCTGCAGTTCAACAAGGAATAACAGAATCTCATAGTTGAAAATATCATGAACAATTTGACCTGGGGCCAGGAAGATAGGAAATGTAAGGCAGGAATGGCCAATAAAGAGAAGCATCCTAGGCCCGGTGAGGAGTTGGTCCCCCAGAATTGGGCAGAAGGCTTGCAGCTAATTCAATCCAGCCTTGGCAGGCTCAGATAGCCAAGGACAGCATGAGCGTGTGCACAGCAGCTATTCTGCGTCATGAGAATGGTAGCATCACAGTCTCAAGTTGCTCTATTAAGTTTGAAGCACAACTCCAGTAGGATCAAATAAGCCAAATGTATGAGGAATCAGGGTCACAGACAGATTAGAACTCACTGCCAGGCTCCGTATCTGGTAGAGTTGCAGTAACAAGCTCAGAAAAGCAAGGCACAAATGAAGTCCTGATGACTTGAAATTCATGACCCACGTGAACAAGAAATGCCCATTGACATTATTCACTTTGGCACAAGGTAGCAAAACCACTTACAGCCCACACAGCTGGTGAGGATGGAGTTCCTGTTACACTGAGAGGCTAGAACTGAGGCAGGTATTGGGAATAGATGTAGTTGTGAGCAAGTCCTAAAATCAGGGAAACCCAGAGTAATAATAGCTAACATCTACTGAGGGTCTACTATGTGCCAGACTTTGCACTGGATCTTTATATGAATTATCTTTTACTATTATCATTACCACCACTAACTATGAAGCATTTACTGAACATATGTTATGTGCCAAGTATTTTTCTATGTATTTTATCTGCATTATCTAATTTAGTCCTTACAACAACTGTATGTGCTAAATATTTCGTATTTCAATTCTTACATAAAGAAATTCTGAAAAATAACTGACTAACTTGTCCCTGATTCAATACCTTGCTCCCAGGTCACACAGATGAACAAGTGACAGAGCTGGGATTTTAATCCAGGCATCCTGAATCTGGAGTCCCAATCACTGCCTCATGATCTCATTGAACCCCTAGGAGTAGCTCTTGCTATATGCAATTTACAGTTGATGAAATAGACTCATTGAGGCTGCATGATTTGCCAAGGACATCAAGAACCTTCTGGTGTCCTCATTTAATCAACCCAGAAGGATCTTGCCTTGGATCACCCATTAAGAAAGTGCCAAGGGCACAGTGAATTTGTGTGTTCCCATCTCAAAGGTAAGGATGGGCTACTTACACTAAACGGTTTCCTCATCTGCTGCACAAGTCTCTCAGTTTTTGCCTCTGGTTACCTCTTTCATTTTCTGGCCATCTCATAAAATCTAGAATACAACTTTTTTCTGTCATTCTTCCTTTCTTCTCTCTCTTCATTCCTAGCAAGTGAATCTCACCACATATAAATCTTAATCCAGAGAGATACTCCCTGAAACTCAGTGAAGTCAGCCTGGGAGGTTTCAGGAAGACAGTAAGGGCAAATGAATCTCTAAATTACTTGTATTAATCAAATTCCTCCTAAATTTCCTCACTTCATTGTTTTCCCACATGACCACACCGGCTTAGAGCCAGATCCTTTCCTTAGCACAATTCGTGACACCTGATAGTCTTAAGAGTTGCTTGATCTAAGACAATAAGTTACTGCTCTGCTGTAGAAAACCGGGTAGCATTTAACTGGTGGAAAGAAAAAGGGGTGGGCAGTAGTGAGCCGGAACTATTTATGAAGCTCCAAATTGGACTTGACATGGCTGGAAGAAGGCAGGAAGAAAAGAGGGCAGAAAGCACAGGAAGAAGAGTCACCATAGTTTTCATGTGAATAAATATTAGAGCAGCTCGCTAAGGACACAGGTGATTACTTCCGTCATTTCTCAGCATATAGACCAGCAGGTGCAGATAAGGAGCATGTCCCTGTGGGAGGCTCAAGGTGCTGCAGTGGAAGTACTAGCATTTTGCAAATAGCCCGGAGTATGCAGGATGCTGGGCATGCATCACCTCATGTCGTTCTCACAAGAGCACTGCCAAAGTGGCTCCTAAATAAAAATGACACAAACGGCTATACACTGAGAAGTAACTTTCCTGTCTTTGTCCCTGTCTAACGCCATTCCCGTGCTTAACCTTTAATGGGAGCCATTTGATTTGTCCCTCATTTATCCCTCTGATTTTTTTTTTTTTTTTTGAGACAGAGTTTCACTCTTGTTGCCCAGGTTAGAGTGCGATGGCATGATCTTGGCTCACCACAACCTCCGCCCCCGAGGTTCAAGTGATTCTCCTGCCTCAGCCTCCCGAGTAGCTGGGACTACAGGCATAAGCCACCACGCCCAGCTAATTTTTGTATTTTTAGTAGGGATGGGGTTTCTTCATGCTGATCAGGCTGGTCTCGAACTCCTGACCTCAGGGAATCCGCCCGCCTCGGCCTTCCAGAGTGCTGGGATTGCAGGCGTGAGCCACTGCACCCAGCTGATTTTTTTTTTAAATTTTGTTTGTTTTGTTTTTGTAGATACAAACAAATGAAATTATATAGTCTTATTTTTACCCAGGAGCAGTAGTATTATCCATGCTCTGTACTCACAGGGAAACCAAAGTTCAGATAAATTAACTGTTTCTTCCTCTGGGCTGGTCTGTGGCTGATGCAGAATCCTCCTGCTCCTGGAGTTGCTGCTGGCAACAGGATCCAGCCTGAAGATCAAGGATCAAGGGACACAGCTGAGAGTCACTGTAGATTCTGAATTCAGAGTTGCTGCTTGAGTTAGCAAATTGGAAGCCCTGAAAAATGCCATTCCCCTTTCCTGTGGTGCTAAGAAATCAAAGATCTAAGCTTTTGCACCACTAATGCCTGAAGCTGGAGGTTTTCATGAACCATTCAATGGGTGTCTTTATGAAAGCTTCCTAGAAAGAAAGGCTGAGGTATGTGTGCTTGGGGTAAGGTTGTCAGATAAAATACAGGGTGCCCAGTTAAATTTGAATGTCAGATAAGCAGTGAGTAATTTTTTATTATAAGTGTGCTTTGCAACACATTTGAATGTGTTTGAGGATGATGATGATGATAATGATGATGAGCTAAATCTGACGGCCCCAGCATAGGGAGGTGTTGAACATTGGCCTTTAGTCCTCTAAGGAACAGCTGGCCTCAGATCTGAGGGGCTGATGGGTTCCTAAAGTTTTGGGTAAATTGGGATCTAACCCTTTATATTAATAAGTCCTAAAATAGAAGTCTTGACTTCTAGGTTTCATAAACCTTAAGAATAGAGAAGACGGAGAACCTTCATTATTTCTGGAAATACGGCTTTTTGAGAGTTTTCTCAACCTCAATTAAACTGCCACAAAAGGGCCTGAGTATAGCAACTGTAGCCTAACCTAGCTAGTGCTGTGTTGGCATTTCTCGGAATTGTTTGTTGTTATTAATTTAGCAGGTGTAAAATGATTTATTTTACTTTGGTTTCACTTTCTTGATTATTTCATGAGCTAATATAAAATCATTGCATGATTGATTTCTGTTTCTTTACTATTCGTGTTTCTTCACCATTTGCACTCTTCTGTGTTTCTATTTGTGCTCCCCTTCATATAGAAAATAAACCCTTTTATCCATTTATGTCTAATTTTAAATGAGCTCATCACAGATTATTATAGATATTAGACTGTCATATTTGATGAAAAACATTTTCTGTCTTGCTTCTTATCCCTTAATTTTAATTTTTAATTTACAGATGTTTAATGTTTATTCACATGAGTATATCAATATTATTTCCTTTGTAGTTGTTTCTATTTACTTCAAAGCAATAGAAATTTGTCATCCCTGTATTCATCTTATAAAAGTTTTACTTTCTACTTGTCTTTCTATGCTTAAGAAAAATCAATTAACTCTTTAATCTAGTGATTCTCAAAGAGTGGTTTGAGCATCACCTGCACCAGATTACCTGTTTTGTTTGTTTGTTTGTTTGTTTTAACGCCCATCCCCATTACCCTTGGAAGACCTTAGTAATCAAAGTTATTCCAAAGGACCATGAAAACATGTATTTTTAACCACCTTCTAGGTGATTCTTCTGCATCTGAAGCTTGCAAATCACTTCTTTAAGCCATATGAAATTACTAGACATCTTTGTTTTCAAGCAATAAGTTGACTCGAGATAAGCAAAAATAATATTTGTTGGAAAAATTGGGAGAGTGGATGTAATTGAAGTAAAACCTGAGGAGCTTGGCTTGGAGATGGAAAGATCACGCAGCTCCGGCAGACCTGAAAAGAATACAGGAGTGAAATGAAGGAACACTCACTGTCCTCGACCCATCTCCACCCCCACTCCTCAGGATGTAAGCTCCATGGGAACAGGGATCTCTGCCAGAGCAGGTGCTCAATGAGTGTTTTTTCTTGTTGTTGCTCCATTCACAGCCCCTTGAAACTGTCTCCAATTGTCCTGACTTCGGCGACAGCCACCTTGTGACCAGAAAAGGGCAGAGAATTTATAGTCCCACCCACACTGCATATACAGAAGAGGTTATCTCCCAAAGGAAATTAAATTTATCACCACAGGAAGGAAGCAACATCTTCAGTGGGTTAAAAACAATTATCTAGTGTATCATCATATAAAATATGGCTCTAAGATAATTTTTTCCCAAATGGTTTGCCAATTATTCCCCAAATCGCTTATTCATTCATCAGTTTTTCAATATTTCTTATACTGAGTACTTTACTTAACATGGGTCACACGGCAACAGCCAGTTACATCTATATTGAGATTTGTATTTTTATTCCATACACCTGGAACTGGAGGTTAATAACATTAAATTCACTTCATTTAAGATACCAGGTTTTCCCATTACCTTTTAGAAACCATTAAAAGATTAAATAGGCTGTTCCTTGTGCTACCTACTTGGTTTCATTTTCTCCAAATATGCTTCTAGTTTTAATAACCTTATTCTTTGAATTGCAGGCATCTTGCATTTCCCTCTAGGACTAAAAGTATGTTTGTTTAGCAATGGAACTCACTCTGCTTTTTTTCTCTGTCTTTAGGTATAATCCACACAGAAATCAATCATGCAATTAAAAATTTTCTTCTTTGAACTTCTCAATAACAGTGATCTCAATCTTTTTCATGTGAGTTTATTTTAGGAGATATAAAGCCACAGAAAACCAAAGAGGAAAGCTCTAGCAATATGTACCCATAATTTCTCAAGGTTCTTTAGCATTCAAGGGAGGCTTTCTGCTTAATAGCCAAATAATTCTATCTAAACCCCCATTCAATATTTTATCAATTTATTGTATAATAGCTATATTTTATCCTCCTTCTTACTCCTGAGAATTCTCAGGAAATAGTTCACACAATAACAAATCCACCTTGATTATCATTGGCCATCTCTTACTCTGAACCACTGCTGTAGGCCCCTCTGCTGGTCACCTCTCACAACTGTTTCTCAGGATCTTTTTGCAAGATGTTCTCAAAGAACACAGCCCAAGGGACACAGCCCCTGTCTTGGTATAGCCCATGCCAGAAGAACACAGACCTTTTCCTAATTCTCCTTAACCCAGCACATGCTAAGCTGTGAGGTCTGATGTCTACTGAAATATTGATAATAATGCAAGGAAAATGAAAATTTGTAACTGATACGAGATAGAACCACTCCTATGATCCATAGGTCTGAGAGTGTTTTTCCTCCTTCCTTCCTTTCAAGAACTGGCTCATCTCCCCCATGAGAATTTTATTGTCTTTTTTGCCCATTGAGTCCAAACTCTTACCTGCTTCAGCCCCAGAGGAATGAAAAAGCAAACCTACCCCCTTCCCTAATTTAAGGCCCAATTTATTTCTTTGATAGAATAAATCACAATAAAAACATATCCTTTCCACTATTCTGGGCTCCAGACAAGGCCACTAGAAAGTATAGTTCTCTACATATGTTCATCTGACTGGGGGACACAGAACACTTTAATCCACAGTGAACTAAACCACACCAGCTGCAGATCATGTTTACAGCTCAGCTGAAACAAAACATCAGATCTGCCTGCTGCCTGTTGGGAGGAATCAGGTCTTAGGAAGATCTATCAATATTTAAGCCAACATATTTCCCAAGAGAAAACAGTGATTTTTCTGGGATAGCCCAAACTAAATCTACATGAAGAAAATAAAACATCTCTTCTTGTAAGGACACAGTCATATCAAGGATACTCCCAATTTGTATTACTAACAGAGCACATAACTTACATCCTGATCTGAAAACTTTAGCAGGATTTTACTGACATCGTGGGTTCAGAGCTTCCCTGAGTGGAGGGAAAAGCAGGCATCTGTCTTACATGTATGTGATGTAATGTGTCGCCAAAGACTTAAGGCTAGGAAAGCAGTCCAGGAGGGCAAAATAAGCCTTGAATTCCCTGGTGAAGCATGATGAGTGATGTACAGAGGAATTTGGTAAACAGCAGGCTGAAAGTTTATGCTGGCAAATGTTACCTCCAGCAGCAAGACCCAGTATGAGAGACAAATGAAACATCCTTGGCAGCAAAGGCAGGTTTCTATTATCTTTGTTGTAAGGAGGCTTATCCTTGGGTCACAAAAGTCTGTCCAGGGTAATGATTCAGAATGCCATAGGGAGCTGCCAACAGCAAGGGCTGAAGGGAGGATTTGATTCATCTCTTGCTGGTATTGCTTCTCTTGCGGTTTCAATGCTAGAAGTGAAGTATCAGTGACAAGAGCTTGCTCTCCTGGAGAGGTGTTCAGAAGGCACAGGAGCCAGCAAGGTGGGCTCCATTTCAGGTCTTCACCATTTATGAGCTGGGCGGCTGTAACTCTGGGCGAGGTGTTTCAAATTTCTACCTGCCAGCTGGAAAATAGCACAGCGAATGGAGGATCTGGGCATGCTTTACTAGTTTTCAAGCTTGGATGACGGGGGGATTGGCAAAAGTGAACACCTAAGGGGAGATGGATACAGATGGCAAGACAGAGAATCACGGGACCCCTTTTACAAATGAGTAGCCCCCAACTGTCAGATAATTTGAGCTCGGTTTCCCTGCAGTTTGTCCTTTTCAGATTTTTTTGTAAAAGTTTAAAGGAGCTCCAGCACAATTCATTTGACAATAGTAACTATTTACTGTGACTACTTCCAATTGTGGCCAAGATCTGCCCTCTAGTGGTCTGACAATTGCAATGCCTCTTACTATTACATTGTTGAACTTGGTAATTTTCAACGGTCGGGCGACCCCTGTTGTCATAATAGTCGTATCTCAGTATGTTGAGCTAAAAGAAACTTCAAAAATCATCTGGTCTGTTTCTTTTCATAACTAATTCCTCCCAAAAATGCACCTGGCTCTTGCTTTAACACCCAACTCCACGTAAAGATAGCAGAGCAAAACAGGATCACAGAAACTTCTTTCCCCACCTGATGAAATGGTTATTTTTTAAGCCAAATAATACATTAGCGGCTAGAGAGGAAAGGGTACTGCTTGAATCATAAGGTTTGGCATCCATGAAAAGAAAGATTCTGATATGACTGGTACAACTTCTAAGGCCAGCCCTTCTCCCAAAAGCAAAGGTAGTCAACGAAATACTGAGAATTCAAAAGAATATGCTTTAATTAAAAAATAAATAGAAAGCCACACCCACCTCTGAAACTGATTCTTTGGTGAGGAGAAGACACGATAGTTCCAGATAAAGTGAGAAAGACATCAAGGAGAATCCATCCGCGTCATTTTACAGAAACTACAAACAAAACTGCTCCCTGTTAAGCATGAGCAAAATGAAAAGAAACAGTACAAAATTATGCAAATCTGCTACTACAAAATAAGTAGTAAGCAAGAAAAAGGCAAAACAAAACCAAAACCAAAAACCCTCAGGAAGAAAATAAAACTCAAAGGTGAAGTGCAAGTTCTTTTTGAACGCTTAATTACAGAGAAGAGTTCATTAAGAATATCAATTCAGTAAAACAGTACCTCTAAGATAAATTATAAAATAAAGAAGATGGAAGAAGACATTGTGGAGCTAAGAAAAATTGAAAAACAAAACAATGAGTTATAAATGTAATAAGTTATAAATTGCAAAGGAGAGAAAAATGTAGCTGCAAATGTCATGGAGAGATGGCTGGGGACAGTCATAGAAAATGCAGGATGAAAAGACAAAGCAATTAAAATAAAGGTAGATACAGAGAGAAAAAATTATCCAACGTGAAGACAACTGACATCCTTAGAGTACAAGGAAAGAAAAAAGAGAATTCAAAGATATAACCTAAAAAGTTTTCTGAAAAGAAGAACGGTATTAATGGATAAAAAAGAGGACAATTATGTCAAGAGAAATTGATACAGAATGGTCTAAATTGGGAAATTTCCTGGTTAAACTGTTAAGTGTTAAGAATCCAGAAAAAAATTTGACATTTAGGCAGAAAACGGCAAGTCAGCCCCTATAGGGGGAAAAAGTCAAGTGGTTTCAAGGCTTTGCCATGGCAACTCCAGTACCAAGGGACATGGAGTAATGACCACCAACTTCTGAGAGAAACAACATGATTCAAAAATATTGTACCAAGCTAGGGTGTCACCAAGCATGGAGATAAAGGGCAGATATTTTTTGACACGCAAGAGCTCGGGAAATATAATACTCATGAACTCTTTTTGAAACAAAACCAAACTACACACAACTGGCAAGTAATCCCATCGAACAAGAGATGAAAAATAATAAAGAACTCGAGTGAAAAAGCTGTGATGAAAAGAACTCATGTGGAACACCATGTTTATTTAATTTCACAGCTAAGGCTAATCCTGTGTGGCCTTGAAGGTAGTATAAGGGAATGTATCATTAAGTCCTAACAAAGTGAAAATAATATAAGCAAAACCTGGAAAAGAGTGAGATGAAAGGAAGAGTAAACAGTAATTATCTTATCTTTTGTAACAGGGGTCAGCAAATGACAGCCTGTGGGCCAAATGTGGCCCACTTCCTGTTTTTGTAAATAAACATTTATTGAAACACAACTACATTCATTCATTTACGTATTGTCTCTGGCTGCTTTCACGCTGTAATAGCAGAGCTGAACAGTTGTGACCAAGTTCTTTTAGCCCACAAAGCCTAAAATATTTACTACCTGACCCTTTGCAGGAAACATTTGCCGAGAGAGAAAAGCTCATTAAGAATATGAATTCCGTAAAACAATACCTCTAAGATAAATTATAAAATAAAGAAGATGAAAGAAGGCATTGCAGAGCTAAGAAAAATGGAAAAACGAAACAATGAGTTATGTTTTGTAACACTATTTTACAACACTGAGACAATCTATAATAACTAAAATTGAAATGTGTGGCTCAAAAAATGAGTCCGTTTTTAAAAATGCTTCAGTAATGTCTTTAACTTTAGAGGGATCTCTACTGAGGACGTTTTTATCCAACAGGATGTGTACATATACAGGCACAGAGAGATGTCTAAAGTAATATTCATCAAAAGTACTTGTTACTCCCACATGGTAAAATATGGAGTAATGTGTTGCTTTTGTGTTGGTGTAGTGTCTGATTTTTTTGTAATGAGCATGTATAATTCTTTAGAAAACAGTAAGAGTAATTCAAGTGATTAATTACTCTTAAAAATAAAAAGGCCAGTCGATTTCATCTTCAACCCAGCTTTCCTAAGAACAGTCAACCTGTTATTTGGGAGCTTCCTCAGGCCCCCTTCTCTTCACCTCAAAATTTTGGTATGAATTTTGGAAATGTGATTGGAGGATTCCTGTATATTCCATAATTAAGCGTCGGGGAGTTTTCTTTCTTCATTTCCTAGATTTGCCATCAATGTGGATTAAGAATTACTTGGAACAGCAGAGGGCGCCCTGCTCCATGTTTATAGGAATGTAATGTAAGTACCTGACCAGTACTGCCGTTTGGAACTTGTGTGAATGAAAGCCAGTAAGTGATCGCCTGTAGGACTCAGTTTCCCCATCTCCCACACCTTTCTTCTGCCAACCCATCCCCCACACTGCAGAACAGATCATGCCGCCCTTCTGACAGCAACCCTTCTGTGACTTCCCTTTGCACTCAGAATAAATTCTCAACTCCTTAACTAAGGCAGAAGAGGCCCCCACACGATCCCGCTCCTGCCATCTCACTCCATGCTCCACATTACACTTGATACCTCCACTACGCTGGCATTTAGTCAGTGTCTAGACCATATTGAGCTCTTTCCCATCTCTGGGCCTTTGCATTTGCTGTTTCCTCTGCTGAGCAATTTCCTCTCCCGAGCTCTTTGCATTTTTAAGGAATCTTTCTCAATGTTTGTCACCTCCTCAGAGAGGCCCTCCGTGATGACCCTACCAAAAATCTCACCCACTTTATTTTCTATCACAGCACTATTTATATTATCTTACTTCTACTTCTCACAGTCTGTGATTGTTTTATTTGTTACTATGTTTTGTCTGTCTCTCCCACTAGAACCTAACTTCCACAAGAGCAGGAAGCTGCCTGTTTTCTTCATTGTTACATCTTCAGCATCAAGCGCTTAGTAAGTACTCATAAATATTTGTTGAATGAATGAATAGACTTGCAAGATGTGTGTCCTGGCTGCTCTCTCAAGGCTACTATAAAAAGAAAAAGTGAGAAAGTTCTTGTGGTGGGTCAAATTGTATTTCTCTCTAAATTTATGTGCTGCAGACCTAACCCCCAGTACTTCAGAATATGATTGTATTTGGAGATGGGGCCTTTAATGTGGCACTTAAGGTAAAATGAGGTCATATTGGTGCACCCTAATCCAATTTAACTGGTGTTTTTATAAGAAGAGCAAATGCAGACACACAGAGAGACACCAGGGGTGCACAAGCACAGAGAAAAGACCACATGAGGCTGCTGACTTCAAGCCAAGGAAATAATTCTCAAAAAAGCCAAACCTGCCCACACCTTGCTCTTGACTTCCAGCCCCCACAGCTGTGTGAAAATAAATTTCTGTTGTTTAAGCCACCCACTCTGTGGTACTTTGTTATGGCAGCCCAAGCAAACTAATACACACCTTTATAAATCAAATAGTAGTAAGCAAAAGTGACAACTTAATATTTGAAAGAGCAATGATTAGGCATTAATGGTGGATTGAAATGGCAAGTTATGTTACAGCTATTCCATTGACGGAACAGAACTTGAGAAGGTAAATACTGAAGCTGGAGAGGCAGGGATGACTACATATTTTGCAGAGTACAGGGCAAAATCAAAATGTGGAGTTCCTTGTTCAAAAGGCAGGAAAAAAGTGCTGTTAAAGATACAAAATATAAAACTTTCTCTTTATTCCATGGCTTCTTTCTCCACTCATCATAGTGTTTTTACTTTGCTATTTATGTAGCTCTAAGAACAATTTAAAATTATCAGCATCAATTTTACCACTTGTCTTTATATTGTAGAATATTAGTTTTAAAATATAACATTTAAATATTAGTTTAAATGTCACAGCATTTAGCTTGATGTAGAAGCACTGAAATTACATTTTCTGTATCTGGTAGCTCACACATGCATAGGTATTGCCTCCTCATCAGAACTGTGGAAATGCTGCCAAGAAAAACAAACTCAACTGTGTTTATTTTACTTCTTGACATGTGCATATTCTACCAACACTATCTTCAGCTTACTGGCGAGGAAGGAAGGAGTAAAATGAGAAGACACTATAGGCCATCCACATTTCCCTTTCCTTCTGTGTCACCATTTTCAGCCTCAGTGGGTGGCTAACACAGGGAAGTAACATGAGTAAGAAAGGATATGAAAGGGATCCTTGGTCATTTGTGTTTCTCAGAATGCCACTGAACAGAAAGCATGGCCCCTGGGGGCTGTCAGTGTCCCCATTTACCCAGTAGATGTAACACACTCTGTATTCGCTGTGATTCTCACTGCACTCCATGTGTCCTGGGTACAGTTGACTTCTCTGTCCAGGGCATCCTAAATGTTATATGTGAGTGGGGAGGCAAGGAATGGCAGTGGACCCATAGATTACACGTGTTTCCTCTGATCCCATGCATGCTCCACTGTCTCATTGGACTTTACCTATAGAACACAAGTTCAAAGAAAAAATTATTCAGGATTTCAGGACGGCTACAGCAGAGCATTAAACCACATGCATGGCCCTCTGAGTGTGGGTCCCTGTGCAACGCGCACAAATCATGAGCTCTTGGAGCCAGCCCTGGAGAAAAGTGAAGCCATCCTTCAAAGAGCAAAGAAAGTAAATGGGTCCCAGACTGCTTGCAAGCTAATTCCCAAAGAATAAATATCCTGCGGAGGTCCCTAAAGCCTTTCTATAGAGAAGTGCCAAAGTGTGGTTCAGTACCCCACCCTTAGCAGGAGACACAGGAATTAACAGTCATGTGCTATTGATTTTCACGTTGGCACGTATTATCTCAGGTTCTATGGGATTTGCAAGTGAGACTGAGAACCTATAAACATATAAAACCATCTTCCTAGGGAAATTGTGTTTCTGAGTTTCCAAAGACCAACTTGCAAATCTTCTTTGGGAACCCACTCTATTTCTAGGTAAAAGCTATTCACACCTGGGAGTCCTGGGAGGCCATTTAGCTCTTAACAAGGCAGAGGCCAGTCAGGCACTTTACTGAGATCATTAAGAGACAGGTGGAGGCAACCAAGTACAGTGGGATCCCTGGGCTGGAAGTCGGGAGACATGGGTGGGAGGATGACTCTGATAGTAAAGTGTGTGAACTTAATCAACTTGCTTTCAAACACAGAGTCTCATTTCTCTCTTTTGTGAAACAAGAAAGTTGGATTTGATGGTCCCCAAGGGCCCACACTGGGCTAAAAATAACCAAAACCAGGAAAACTTTCTGACAGAGAAGGCAGAGAGAAAAAAAAAATGCCAAAGTCACATGGAAGAACTTGGCAGTGAAAAATGAACTGAAGACGCTTTTAGAAACCTCTGTGGGCTGGTTCCCTTTGCAGGTCTTCTAAGTCCCCTGGATGTTGAGGTCTGACTTCTGCCAGACCAGAAGAGTATGACCTGGGCAGGGTCTCCAGCAGCTTCTCCAGCTCACCTGTCCTCCTGCCCACTAGCCTGGGCAGTGCCTTTCCCCTGTCACTCTCTAGTCCAACTTTGGCCAACTGGTGACCCTGGGCCAGAGAAAGATCCTGAATGACTTGGGACCTCTTGAATGTTTTTATCACTACCCTTATTGCTGTTAACACATTCCTGACCTCTGACCACCTTAAGTCTCTGGGAACTTTGGTGGAAACAAATCAAACAAGTAGCAATAGAGTGTGGAAGAAAGTAAGTGGGGTGAACTCCTGAGATCTAGCTTTGGCCTGATATTAACAAGTTGAGTGACCTCAAACAGATCCTTTTCTTCCTGGATCACTGGATTTTGTCTTTTTCCTTCACTTGAGTGAAGTGAATTCTCAGGTGATAGCACCCTGTTTTTCACTTGTGGATATACCTCTCCTCTATTGTGAAATCATAATGTTTAGGTGGGACTGACCCTTCCCCCAGTTGGCAGATCCCATCCCTCTGGCCACAGTGATGGGCCACGGCTGAGAACAGGACCCAGTTAGAGCCAGTGAAAAGACTTGAGAACTGTAACTGGACTTCTGAGGGAGAAAGGTTATCTGTTCAATAGATTTGAGGTCATGAGCATGTGAGGCTTGGAGCTGCTCTAACCATCTTGCTGTCACGAAACAGCCAGCTATGAAGTAAAGCCAATACATGAATGGAGAAAAGCAGAGCAAATATAAAAGTAGACACACTGTGTCTCAATGACATTCTCTGAACTCCTAGATCAAACTGTGCCCCAAACCAAAAGCCACCCCTGGATTTAAGCCAATGAATTCCTTTGCTCATTTAAACTGGTTTAAACAGGACTTTTGGTCACTTGCAAGGGTAATAATCCTAGCTACTATACTCACATCTCTGAACCTTAATTCCCTCTACTGCAAAACAGCTGTTTTGTGGGTAGTAATTACCATAAGAGAGCATAACGGTATTATCTCTTTCAGGAGTGGCCATAATTCCAAGGTAGCAAAGACAATTTTTCAAAATGCCAAGAGCTGCTTTCTTCATTCACTAAGCATCATATTTTCAGCATCTTGGACATCTTACATGACAGCCTTTAATACATGTAATTATTATTGTTCACATGTAATTCTGCATCCCCAGCTGATGTCTCTCTTCTGAGCCTCAGATGCCATATCCATCTGAATGCTGGACACCTCCACCTAGATGTTTTCATCTCAACCTGGCAGGTCCAAAATTGAGTGGATCTTCCCACCCAACCCCAAACCCCTATCATGTTCCCAAGCAAAACCCAGCTTCCCAAGCCTGAAACCTACAAGTTGCCCTTTTCTCCTCTCTTTCTTTTTAATTCATTCCATCCACAAGGCTTGATAAGTCTGTTTTCAAAATAGCTCTCATACTTTCACCTTTTTCTCCAACTGTCCTGACAGTTCTATATTAGGGCCACCATTATCTCTTGCCTGACCACTGGAAAATATTTCTAAAAGATTTGAAGATGGCTCTCTCCTTCTGGTTCTTAATGCAGTTCCCTCCTTTCGTCCCTTTGGGCTTAGAATTAGAAACACCTCTGCTGCCACTACCCCTGGGTGACTGCATCAGCCTTTGTGCCTCCTCCTTACAAGCAAACCGTCTCTGAATTGTTCTAATTTGAGGATCCCATCTCTTTCCCATTGGGATTTTAAACCCTATAGATCCTTCCATGAACACTTTCCTCCCTACAGTCTGACTCCTGTAATGACTCCTTCTCCCTCCCTTTCCTCCTTTCCTAGACGTCTGCTTACATAGCCTAGAAAGAAGGAGGGAGGAGAAAGCGGAAAGGCTCATGGTAGCAGGGCCAGTTTTGACTTTTAAGAAGCCCTGGGGATTTGTGGGGGGAACAGTGTTCTGGCTCCAGCTATTGCTGGCAATCTTTAGAATGTGGCACTAGATCCTCTTTGTCCATTGTTTGGGGTTCTACTTGTCAATACTGGAATAATAGGAAAAGTGTGATATACCATCCTATCACATATGGCCGTCTGCAGCGGGACTTAATGAAGCTTTCAAATACACAGAGGCCTTGTCACCATAGCTCTTTCTAATGCTAGTCAATACTTTCTATGTATTAGGTTTCTTGCTAAAGCTTTGCCTTGAATGTTTACATGCGGGCAATACCCAAGAACCTAACTGGAGGCAAGACAGGTGAGGGAAGCAGGACAAACACACCCAGTCTGACCCAGTCGATAATGAGTTTTCTACATCTGAGAATGTGATATTTGTGTAACACGTTACAGTTTAACAGGAGCTTTCATCCCCCTTTAGCTGGCACATGGCTGAGTAATCAATATATGTTTTCGTAAATGATTGAATGCAACTATAGAGTCATTTTCTCCTCCTCAAAATAACCCTGTGAAGTAGGCAGTGCAGGGATTATTATTCTCACTTTACAGAAAAGGAAACCAGGGCCCAAAGAAGTGAAATAGTTTCCTGAGTCCACGTAGTCAGTGACTGTATGTGCTCAAACCAGAACCAGCAGTGTCAGGCACCCATACTAGCTCATTTCAAAAGTCAGGAAGTCAGGAAGCAGGACGGTATTCTTGATAAAATAGGGAATTGGATTGGATCAAGTGCTTAAGTGTCTTCTCAGTATTAAGTCTCTATTCCTAGCCTCCCTCAATAATCTTACAGCACAGTTGGGAGCTGCCATGGAAGGGGATGGTAGGCAGAAGTTCAGGCTGCTAACCAGCTGGGAATTGAGTAAAAGGAACAAGAGAAAGGCCTTCTGGTGCCAAGACTCTGGAGAAATGTTTGTTGACTTTTGGCTTTGCATTGACTACTTCCAACTAGGCTTTGAAGCTGACTTTTTGATCCCAGGGCTCCCTGGGATGGGTGGGGGAGCTCATGACATTGTTGCTGTGGTTCTCCAGGCAACCACAAACCCTCAGTAGCTCCAGGAAGATGCCTTAATTACGTGGAAAGCGATGAGGGAACTACAGAGAAAACAAGAGATATCTACAAGGAAAGTGGGGCAAAAACAACAAGAATCTAAAGGGCAAAACAAGAGAGGCCCCAGGGGCGAAGCAACAGCCAGCACAGCAGCACTGTGAGGATGTTGATGGTGCCTCTCCTGGAGTCCTTCAGAATAAACTTGTCCCTTATAAAACTGAACTAGAAAGTGTCTAAAGGAATGAGAGCCCTAGCTCTCAGCCAAGTCTCCTAAAATAAGTTTTAAGAGATGGAGTGATGTTCTAAAAACACAGACCTAAATATTCACTCCCTTGCTCATAAGCTCTCTTTGCTCCTTGTTACCCTCCAGATAAAGTCTGTGCTCCTCGGCAGAGCTCAAGGACACTATTCAGTTCCTCTCCATGCCCCATGACTCTCTCGAATCTGGTCTGGGCATTTGTGCAAGGTTCTCCCTCCTTGGCAAATCACTACTTATCTCAAGGTCTAAGCTTCAACATTAATTTTTCTAGGAACATCCCCTCGATCCTATTCCCATCCCCATATTAGGCACAGTGTTCCTTCTGTATGTTCCTACAACATCACGATCTTTCATAATGGCCACATCGCTGGCACCGTTAGGTGCATGTCCGTCCCCTTCTCAGATACATCTCTCACATGAAGCAGAGGTCCGGGCACTTAGGAAGTGCTCATTAAGTATCTGTTGGATAAATAATAATGAGAAACAGTCAAAATCTCTAAAAGAGCCTTCTGTTTCACCAAGCAAAGAGGAAGGAAAATAACCAAGTGTGGGACATTGAGCAAAGAGATTATTTTTAACAGGAACAGAAACCCAGACAAATAAATGGCCCTTAATTTATGTCAGGGTTATCAAGAAATATATTATGCCCTTGATAATTGTGCAGTTATAATTACTTCTTCTGGAAACTGGGCTTTGTTGGAAGAAAGATTGGAGAGATTTGGAGATAAGTTTCCTTAGGAATAAACATGGAGAATCAAAATCCACCAAATGCCTGGATATCTCGGAAAAGAGATCAAACTGAAATAAGTGAGTGGACAGAACAGCCAATGTGGGTCTGACAGAGTAGCTGCGTCTAAAGGGGCAGCTGCTTCTCAGCTCCAGCCAATTGTTGAAATGCAAGAATACCAGCAGCAGCAGCCAAATCTCGTGACTGTCCCAGAGAGGACTCAAGTCCTTGTGGGGTGTGTACGTCTGCATGTGTGAAATCCTCTGGGTTCTAAATCTCCCCAGCTTGTTTACATTTTTAATAGTTACTAATCAGTCCAAAACAGCAAGTTGTATGAGTCCCAGAGATGCCAGGGTTTGACCTTCGCACCAAAAAACCTGACCTCCCATGGCTCTGTTTACCGAAAACTGTCAACACCAAACTGCAAGCGCCAAAGCTCCAAACAACATGATCCACCTGCAGAAAGTGATCAATACATGAGGGACTAAAGAAGAACAGAGGTTTGTCTGGGTCAGTTATTGGCACATAGTAAGTGGGTGCTCAGTCAATAAATAGCTGTTAAATGGGATAAAGAATAAGGAAATGGTGGATGTATGTCTGCAGTTCAAGGTTTGTACCACTAGATGGTGAAGTTTGTTTTTTTTCTGCAGATGTAAGCATAGAGAAATAAAATACTAGGATAGTTTTATGGATACATCTACAAGCCATGAGTACATAGCTCGGACATCCCACAAATGCTAACAGCTGTTTTCACATCGTCTTCGCTATTCCTCCTCACTTCCAACTCCAGTCAGCTCCGGATAAAAATAAAGTCATTAAAAGTAGCTGGCTTTCCTTGATATGAGAAGGACCATGTTAGAAATAGAGGATTACTAGAATTATACAACCTCCCAAGACTGAGCCAGGAAAAAGTTCAAACTCTGAACAAATTACGAGTTCCTAAATTGAATCAGTAATAAAAATCCTACCAACAAGTAAAAACCCAGGACCAGACAGATTCACAGCCGAATTCTACCAGACATATAAAGAAGAGCCAGTATTATTCCTATCGAAACTTTGCAAAAAATGGAGGAGAAGGACTCCTCTCTAACTCATTCTATGATGTCAGCATCATCCTGATTCCAAAACCTGGCAAAGACTCAACAACAACAACAAAAAAGGAAACTTCAAGCCAATATTCTTGATGGATATCTATGCAAAAATCCTCAACAAAATACTAGCAAACCAAATTCAGCAGCATATCAAAAAGCTAATCCACCATGATCAAGTAGGCTTTATCCCTGGGATGCAAGGTTGGTTCAACATATACAAATTAATAAATGTGATTCATCACATAAACAGAACTAAAAACAAAAACCATATATAATCTCAATAGATGCAGAAAGGGCTTTTGATAAAATTCAGCATCCTTTCATGTTAAAAACCCTCAACAAACTAAGCATTGGAGGAACATACCTCAAAATAATAAGAGCCATCTATTACAAACCCACAGCCAACATCACACTGAATGGGCAAAAGCTGGGAGCATTTCCCTTGAGAACCAGAACAAGACAAGGATACCCTCTCTCACCACTCCTATTCAATATAACACTAGAAGTCTCAGCCAGCATAATCAGGCAAGAGAAGGAAATAAAAGGGTTCCAAATAGGAAGACAGAAAGTCAAATGATCTCTGTTTGCAGACAATATTATTTTATCCTTAGAAAACCCCATAGTCTCGCCCCAAAAGCTCCTAGCTCTGATAACCAACTTCAGCAAATTTTCAAGATAAAAAATCTATGTACAAAAATTAGTCACATTTTTATACACCAATAATTCCCAAGCTGAGTGCCAAATCAAGAACGCAATTGAGGCTGGGCGCGGTGGCTCAGGCCTGTAATCCCAGCACTTTGGGAGGCTGAGGCGGGTGGATCTCGAGGTTAAGAAATTGAGACCATCCTGGCTAACATGGTGAAACCCTGTCTCTACTAAAAAATACAAAAAATTAGCTAGGCGTGGTGGCGGGCGCCTGTAGTCCCAGCTACTCGGGAGGCTGAGGCAGGAGAATGGTGTGAACCCAGGAGGTGGAGCTTGCAGCGAGCCGAGATTGCACCGCTGCACTCCAGCCTGGGTGAGAGAGCGAGACTCCATCTCAAAAAAAAAGAAAAAAAAAAGAATGCAATTGAATTCACAATAGCTACAAAAAGATAAAATACCTAAGAATACAGCTAACCAGGGAGGTGGAAAGACTTCTGCAACAAGAATTACAAAACGCTGCTGAAAGAAATCAGAGATGACATAAACAAATGGAAAAGCATTACATGCTCATGGATAGGAAGACTCAATATTGCTAATATGGCCATACTACCCAAAGCAATGTACAGATTCAATGCTATTCCTATCAAATTACCAATGACATTCTTAGCACAACTAGAAAAAATTATTCTAAAATTTATATGGAAACAAAGAATAGCCCAAATAGCCAAACACTCCTAAGGCAAAAGAACAAAGTTGGAGGTATCACATTACCTGACTTTATAGTATACTACAAGGCTCCAGTAAACAAAACAGCATGACACTGATACAAATACAGACACATAGACTAATGGAACAGAATAGACAGCCCAGAAGTAAATCCACAAACCTACAGTTATCTGATCTTTGATAAAGTTGACAAAAACAACCAATGGAGAAAGGACTCGCTATTCAATAAATGGTGCTGGGATAATTAGCTAGCCATGTGCAGAAGATTAAAACTGGACCCCTTCCTTGCACCATATAAAAATTAACTCAAGACAGATTAAATACTTACATATAAAACCTAAAACTATAAAAACTCTTGAAGAAAACATAGAAAATACCATTCTAGACATAGGCCCTGGCAAAGATTTTATGATGAAGATGCCAAAAGCAATTACAAGAAAAACAAAAATTGACAAATGGAACCTAATTAAACTAAGAGCTTCTGCACAGCAAAAGAAACTGTCAAAGAGTTAACAGCCCACAGAATGTCAGAAAATATTTGCAAACTATGCATCTGCAAAGGTCTAATATCCAGTATCTGTAAGAAACTCAAATTAACAAGCAAAAAATTACCCCATTAATAAGGGTGAAGGACATTAGCAGACATTTTTCAAAAAAAGACATATACATGACTAACAAGCATATGAAAAAATGCTCTACATCACTAATCATTAGAGAAATGCAAATCAAAACTGCAATGAGCTATACTGTCTAACACCCACCAGAATGGCTATCATTAAAAAATAGAAAAAAAAATAATGCTGGTGAGACTGCAAAGAGAAGGGAACGCTTACGCACTGCTGGTGGGAGTGTAAATCGTTTCAGCCATTGTGGAAAGCAGTGTGGCCATTCCTCAAAGAACTATTAAATAAAATCAGAATTACCATTAGACCCAGCAATCCTATTATTGTATATATACCCAAAGAAATATAAATTATTCCACCATAAAGACATGCATGCATTATGTTCATTGCAGCACTATTCACAATAGCAAAGACATGGAACAACCTAAATGCCCATCAACGGTAGACTAGATAAAGAAAATGTGGTACATATACACCATGGACTACTATGCAGCCATAAAAAAGAATGAACTCATGTCCTTTGTAGCAACATGGATAGAACTAGAGACCATTTATCCTTAGCAAACTAATGCAGGAACAGAAAACCAAACACCGCATGTTCTCACTTATAAGTGGGAGCTAAATAACAAGAGCACATGGACACAAAAAGAGGAACAACAGACACTGGGACCTACTTGAGGGTAGAGGGTGGGAGGAAGGAGAGGATCAGAAAAAATGCCTAACAGATACTATGCTTACTACATGGGTGATAAAATAACCAGTACACCAGAGCCCCATGACATGAGCTTACCTATAAAACAAACCTGCACATGTACACCTAAACCTAAAATAAAAGTTAAAAGAAAATTTGGAAAATGTGGTGCATATACACCATGGAATAATATGCAGCCATACAAAGGAGATCATGTTCTTTGCAGCAACATGGTTGAAGCTGGAGGCCTTTATCCTCAACAAAATAACACGGGAACAGAAAACCAAACACCACACATTCTCACTTATAAGTGGGAGCTAAACATTGAGTACACATGGACACAAAGAAGGGAACAATAGGCACCCGAGACTACTTGAGGGTGGAGAGTGGGAGGAGGGTGAGGATTGAAAAACAGCCTATTGGATACTATGCTTATTACCTGGGTGATGAAATAATATTCTGCAACCAAACTCCTGCAACATGCAATTTATCCATAGAACCAACCTCCACATGTACCCCTAAAAGTTAAAAAAATAGAGGATGAATA
Source organism: Homo sapiens (assembly GCF_000001405.40). NCBI lineage: Eukaryota > Metazoa > Chordata > Mammalia > Primates > Hominidae > Homo > Homo sapiens. The sequence continues at coordinate 148,745,160 of NC_000005.10, forward strand.
CCAGATGATGTCTGTATGGGGCAGAGTGGGAAGGGCTGGGTATTCAAGGAGCTCATGGTCTTGTGGGGGCAAAGAGACCTTTAACCCAGTTACAATTTATTGTATTTGATACTATAATGGTGGTGTGTAGATGATGCTTTGTGAACCCAAAAGAGAGTGACTACCTATGTTGGTTGAGGAAGGGGCAGGAAGTCTTCTCAGAGGAGCACCTCAAGCACTGGATGAGCCTTGAATGATGAGAGGAAACCCACCAAGGTACAAGGGCAGGAAGAACATTCACTCATCCATCAGATATCTACTGAGCACCCATGTTGCCCAGCACTCTGCTGGCCGTTGGAAATATGGCAGTGAACAGGACACAAGGGCTCTGTTCTCAAGGAACTCACAATGCAGTGAGAGATACATAAAATAATCAAGAGAATAAGTACTTTTTTTTTTTGAGACGAAGTCTCGCTCTGTTGCCCAGGCTGGAGTGCAGTGGCACGATCTCCGCTCACTGCAAGCTCTGCCTCCCGGGTTCACACCATTCTCCTGCCTCAGCCTCCCCAGTAGCCGGGATTATAGGCACCCGCCACCACGCCCGGCTAATTTTTGTATTTTTAGTAGAGACAGGGTTTCACCATGTTAGCCAGGATGGTCTCGATCTCCTGACCTTCTGATCCGCCCATCTCGGCCTCCCAAAGTGCTGGGATTACAGGTGTGAGCCACCGCACCTGGCTGAGAATAAATACATTTTTTAAAAACTTTATTTTAAGTTCCAAGGTACGTGTGCAGGATGTGCAGGTTTGTTACATAGGTAAGCATGTACCATGGTGGTTTGCTGCACCTATCAACCCATCACCTAGGCATAATATCAAGCCCATCATGCATTAGCTATTTTTCCTGATGCGTTCCCTCCCCCCCGCACCCCATCCGACTGGCCCCAGTTTGTAGTTCCCCTCCCTGTGTCTGTGTGTTCACATTGTTCAGCTCCCACTTGTATGTGAGAACAAGGGGTGTTTGGTTTTCTGTTCCTGAGTTAGTTTGCTGAGGATAATGGCTCCAGCTCCATTCATGTCCCTGCAAAGGACATGATCTTGTTCCTTTTTATGGCTGCATGGTGAGAATAAATATATTTTAAAAGATTAACAGATTGTGGTAACAACACAGTCTTGTGGAAGGAAAGAGGCAGGATGCTGTAATAGGAAAATGGGAGACAAGACCCATCTCCTATAGGATGGTCCAGGTGATCCTCTCTGAAGAGGCAGCATTACTGAAGGATGAGAGGGAGCCAGTCATTCTATCAAGGCTATTATTTCCTTATTTTTCTTACAATGAATTTAATGTTATACTTAAAATATTTTTAAGGGAAATATTATCACTGTACTATATAGACAAAAAAAATTGTAATATTTACCATTAATAGCAGGTAACCACAAAATATAAATCCAAGACTAATAAAATTTTAAAATGTCTCACATGTCTCCTAAAATTTTCGTGACTGGTTCCATCCTAGACTTGAGGGTATGGGGATGGAGAGCATTGAGGGACTTTAATTAGATGACTGAGGACATGAGTTTATCAGAAATCAGTGTTGAAAGCACTCTCCTATTTAGATCTCCTACTAAAAAGTGATGATTATCCTGGCAGTCAAAAAAAAAAAAAAAGTATTTCCAGAAAAAAACTTTTTCCCTAAGGGACTTTCCAGAGGAGAGTTACATGAAGCCAACTTTGAAAGCCCTGATGAATAGCAAGCTACAACACAAAAATTCAGAGAGACTGGTTAAGGACAACCTGCTCACTGAAATTCCCAAGTTTAGTATCATTTCCTCCAGCTTGAGAAGGATGGCTTAGCTACTTGGCAGCTGGGGAGTAAAGAGATTTAGATAAAGCTCTTGAAAATGAGGAACTAGCTCATAATTCTTAACTGGGGAAAGCCACAATACAAAATCTAATAGACTTTTTTTGGTTCTTCTTATGAACTCATATCTGGCAGCTTAGAGAAAGACATGAACTTAAGTACCCATCCCCTGGAGCATTTAGACTTTGGTTTTGCCATTTGAAAAATATTTATGAAGCCCCTATAAAAAGTCAGATACTGTGTAGAAATCAAAATTACTTAATGGGGTTACAAATTCAAATGTCCAACAAGTGCCAGGAGGGAAATGTGAATGACACAGCAGCCCAGTAAGACAATAGAGAGTGGTGGAGGCTACCGAGAACTGAAGACTACCACCCCCAGTTGAAGGGGGAAACTGCTGCTCAGCTCCACTCAACGGTAGCAATCCCAGGAATGTGGGGCCTGTGTTGACAGGTCTTCAAATATTTTAACCAAAAAATCATTGTACAATGGTCACTATGTTTAGGGGAGAATTGGAGAGTAGGGGGAATATCTCTTGATTTTTAAAAGCTGTCAAGTATCAGAAAAGTTTTAAACATGCTGCAAAGCCAAGTAAAATATGCCTGCAGTCGCAGGCAGAAAGCAATCCAAGGGCCCCAGTGGGTGACCTCTGGATGTCGCAGAGTCTCAGCCTTTTTGGGGCTTATGTGTTGGAAGATAAGACATGTTCATAAATAACTACAATACAGAACATGGTGATAAGTGTTGTGTGAGCAAGATAAAGTGCTAAAAGAATTAAGAGGAGGGAGAGATTACTGAACAGTGGGTTCCTAAGGAGAGAGAAGGGGTGTCTCAGAAAGCTATTTCTGACTGCATGTTGAGGAACCCAATAAACTCAAGGAGGGAGGAAAAAAAGAGATATCCAATGATCTCAGTAAGCCGGCCAGGAAATAATTGATGCAGCCGGGACTGGGCATCAGCATATCACAGGGAGCATTTCCAAGATGCACATCTAGCTCTTACCCCTGACATCCTACATAGAAATTCCTTGGGTTGAAGATCATGCACCCAAGTTTTAAAATGTCTTTTTAGTTAATTCTTTTTCAGGCCCTTCATTAACTTCTGCTCTAAGGAGCTGTCCCCTAAAACACTGTCTAAAACAACAGGTATGTCTCTTTTGTCCTTTCTGTATCCCCAAATTCAAATAAACTAGGATGCACAGGTTGTCAAGTTTTTATTTTGTGAGTGTATCATCTGTGCCTGTACCTGGGATTCCATCCTGAGCCAGGCAAGAGCCTTAGTAAGGCACTGCCTTAGCCTGGAGGAGAACACACCTTCTTGTACTTATCCATTTGGAGCAGGTGCCATTTTGTTATTCCCAAAAAGGCACTCTATGCTACAGTGGCCTGCAGATTACCAAGGAATTGATAGATTTCCAAGCCATCTTTCTCCAAAGATTACCTTAAAAAAATATAATCCTTATGTTGACACGAGTTGTATATAAAAAGTTGGCACAAGTATATATTGAATTTGCTTAGAACTAAGGATGGGATTGATATCCAATACAGTTATAAAAATCCAGAAGTTCACGTATGCTTTTCCAATTTATAACTCAAAATTCTCATCAGAACCTTTCCATACGTGCCTTAGTTTTCAGCTTCTTTCAGGAATACCCAGGCTCAGTTTTCCATCAAAGACACCCAGAAAGCAGGCCCCATTGTTTCACTATTATTGTTGCCAAATCTGCCACCTCTCTCATCACTGGCCATCCCCCCTGAAGGGTTGCTTACCTAAACACCAATCTAACCTAACAAATCTTACTTCAAATTGTGCACTGTCCTAAAGAAGACATGCGAGGAATGCAGTGTTCTCTGGTTGTTGAAACATATGCATTTCAAAATCAAGGAAGCCTTCAGTATGCAGAAGTTGTTAGCTTTCTTGGCCCCTTCCTCTTTTGAGCTACAACCATTCTCTTCCATTCTACATTCCGGTAAAAATGCAAGTTGTCCATGCCTTCTAAGCTTGTGAAGTAAAAGAAGATGTGGATAATGGGAAAGCCTTAGTATCACGAAAATGAATGACTCCATAAAGTTCCAGTGGAGGTAATTAAAATGAGAAATGTTTGCATTTTGTGAACTACATGTGCTGCCCAAAATAAAATTAGGGGTACACTCTTGAATCCTGCAAGAGGAACTGATCCCAGGAAACTTCTTACAGTCAGTAGGGTGGAAACTGCCCATTCAGCTTGGTTATGGGCTTGTGCACTCGAAAAGGGGAGATAGTGAGCCCTTTAAGCAATAATACCTTATGTTGTGTGCATTTTGTAGTTCAGAAACATTTTTACATCCACTTCATCATTTGATTCTCACAGCAGTCTTAAGAGAGAGGCAGAGAAGGATTATTATTATAACCAATCTACAAAGAAACTGGGACCTACAGGGATGTGTAGTGGATATGTGATGCTGTTGCTGCCAAATGCCCCTTTACCCAGCTGCCAAATGCCCCTTTACCCTTCTCCAAGTTCACGTCTGGGGAACATCTGCTCTTGTTTTGAGTCCATGTGCTTATAGAAGATGTAACAACATAATTGATTACTCTAAGGATGGGGCATGTGAATCAGAGCCTTAAACTCTTTAGGTCTCACAAATTTCTTTAGGGATGGGCCCATAGACTTGGTTAGAGCTAACGAGATGCAAGACTTTTATTTATTGGTAGAGTGATGTGCCCACTTTCCTTCTTACCCTCACGTGATGTCTTGGAATAAAGTAAACATATAGGATAATAGAACTAGTAGAAAGAGAAAGGCTTGGTTCAGATGAAATCATTGATTTTCCCATCTTGGAGCAATTACATTTCCTTTTTTATTTTTATTTATTTATATATTTTTCGAGACGGAGTTTCACTCTTGTTGCCCAGGCTGGAGTACAATGGCATGAACTTGGCTCACTGCAACCTCTGCCTCCCCAGTTCAAGCAATTTGCCTGCCTCAGCCTCCCGAGTAGCTGGGATTACAGGCATGCACCACCATATCTGGCTAATTTTGTATTATTAGTAGAGATGGAGTTTCACCATGTTGGCCAGGCTGGTCTTGAACTCCCAACCTCAGGTGATCCACTCACCTCAGCCTCCCAAAGTGCTGAGATTACAGGCGTGAGCCACGGCACTGGGCCTACATTTCCTTTTTTTTTTTTTTTTTTTTTTTTGAGATGGAGTCTTCCTCTGTCGCCCAGGCTGGAGTGCAGTGGTGCAATCTTGGCTCACTGCAAGCTCCGCCTCCCGGGTTCACACCATTCTCCTGCCTCAGCCTCCCGAGTAGCTGGGACTACAGACGCCCACCACCATGCCTGGCTAATTTTTTGTATTTTCAGTAGAGAAGGGGTTTCACCGTGTTAGCCAGGATGGTCTCGATCTCCTGACCTCATGATCCGCCCACCTCGGCCTCCCAAACTGCTGTGATTACAGGCATGAGCCACCGCGCCCAGCCTTTTTTTTTTTTTTTTTTCTGACATTAACTTGAGCTGGGTTTATAGGCGTCTAAAACCGAAGAGTGATTCAAAATGGTTACGGTGTCCATGGCCCCATAACTTCACTTTACTTATGAGTGACATAGCTCTCTAGCTGTTATTTGGCATCACCTTTCTGCATTCGTGTGTGTTGTCGATTGGTAACTTTCCTCCATATTTTGGGGAGAAAAGTGAGAGGGTGGAAATGTTTCCAACTTCTTTTTTTGCCTCTAAAAATTTCTGGCCACTAGCCAGCCAGTGGATTCCACGCTCATGGTTCAAGTGCACACCCCCTTCCTGCCCCAACCCACAGTGGCCAGAATGCGAGGCCAGAGTGCAGAGATGGGGAAAGGCCAATGGGTGATAAGGCACAGGATATAGCCACTTGAGCAGCAGAAGCTTAGAAACGTCAGCTCCCTTAGAAAGAGGCTGTAGGCACAGTAAATCTTTCTATAGCACTAGTGCTTCTCAGTGCAGCCTCAGATATCCACAAATTCTTAGGCATCCTATGATAATGCTACAATTTTGCATTTGAATTTATCATTCAAATGTTTCTCATGCTTGGGTTACCTGCATGACTACCTTATGAGATTTCAGTGTTTGTATTTGTTGTATTTGCAAACAAATTGTATCCAAGTAATAGTACTCAGTTGTCATGAGTTAATGAAGAAAAAGGAGGCAATCTTAATGAAAAAGTGATACACTTGCATCATGTGAAAGTCAGATGACATCATGGATCTTCGTGGGACTAAAGCTTTGCAACAATGCCCACAGAGAAAGTGTGATGAAAGAACTGAGGCTCAAGAGTGAATAGACAAGTCAAACTCCAAAGAACCTCGCTAGACTAGATGTGAGCAGAGAATTCCTTTTAGCCATGTGAGATTATCCATCACAATTAATTTGGCCACTTAAATTTTAGTTGTTTTATAATTTTATTCATAGTACATTTAACTAAAAAGTTATTTTGCTACTTTGGTTATATACAACTATAAAATGAATGATTTATTCCTACTTTTATGTTTGTGTATGTGTAAATAACATTATAATAAAAGGGACATATCAATGATGGGGACTATGAGAAATTTCTTTTTTCTTAAAGGGGCTGGTCAGTGTCTCAGACTTGAAAACCACAGTGGTATAGTGTCTCTCCCAGGACTACCTGCTTTCTTCTGGCTTTCTTCTTGTGGTTTGAACCTTATAATACTCTTCCTCTTTTAAGCCACTTTATTAAGGTAGGATTGACATGCAAAAAGCTACACATATTTAATATGTACAACTTGACGAGTTTGGAGATAAATATAAAGCAAAATTTTTCCCCTCTCCTCTTATATATTATTTGTATGTATGTGTGTGTGTATGTGATAAGCTCACTTCATATAACATCTACCCATTCAGCAAATTTTTAAGTATACTATACAGTATTGTTAACTATAAGCACTATGTCGTGCAGTAAACCTTTAGAACTTATTCATTATGTATCACCAAACCTTTGAAACTTTCAACTAACACCTTCTAATATGTCCTCTCCTCAGTCCCTGGCAACCACCATTCATTGTCTGCTTCTAAGAGTTTGACTATTTTATATTTGTTGTATAAATAGTGTCATGTTGTGTTTGTCATTCTGTGTCTGGCTTATAATACTTAGCATAATATCCTCCAAGTACATCCATATGTTTGCAAATGGCAGGATTTCCTTTCCATTTTAAGGCTGAATAATATCCCATTGTATACATACATCACATTTTCTTTTTTTTACATACATTTTTTATTATACTTTAAGTTCTGGGGTTCATGTGCAGAACGTGCAGGTTTGTTACATAAGTATACATGTGCCATGGTGGTTTGCTGCACCCATCAACCCGTCATCTACATTAGGTATTTCTCCTAATGCTATCCCTCTCCTAGCCCCCCACCCCCCAACAGGCCCCAGTGTGTGATGTTCCCCTCTCTGTGTCCATGTATTCTCACTGATCAGCTCCTGCTTATGAGTGAGAACATGTGGTATTTGGTTTTCTGCTCCTGTGTTAATTTAATGAGAATGATGGCTTCCAGCATCATCCATGTCCCTGCAAAGGACATGAACTCCTCCTTTTTTATGGCTGCATAGTATTCCATGGTGTATATGTGCCACATTTTCTTTATCCAGTCTATCATTAAGGGGCATTTGGGTTGGTTCCAAGTCTTTGCTATTGTGAACAGTGCCACAATAAACATATGTGTGCATGTGTCTTTATAGTAGAATGATTTATAATCCTATGGGTATACACCCAGTAATGGGATTGCTGGGTAAAATGGTATTTCTGGTTCTAGATCCTTGAGGAATCACCACACTGTCTTCCACAATGGTTGAACTAATTTACACTCCCACCAACAGTGTAAAAGCATTCCTATTTCTCCACATCCTCTCCAGCATCTGTTGTTTCCTGACTTTTTAATGATGGCCATTCTAACTGGCATGAGATGGTATCTCACTGTGGTTTTGATTTGCATTTCTCTAATGACCAAGTGATGATGAGCTTTTTTTCATATGTTTGTTGGCTGTATAAATGTCTTTTTTTGAGAAGTGTCTGTTCACATCCTTCACCCACTTTTTGATGGGATTGTTTGTGTGTGTGTGTATGTGTGTGTGTGTGTGTGTGTGTGTGTAAATTTGTTTAAGTTCTTTGTAGATTCTGGATATTAGCCCTTTGTCAGATGGGTAGATTGCAAAAATGTTCTCCCATTCTGTAGGTTGCCTGTTCGCTCTGATAATAGTTTATTTTGCTGTGCAGAAGCTCTTTAGTTTAACCGGATCCCATTTGTCAATCTTGGCTTTTGTTGCCATTGCTTTTGGTTTTTTAGTCATGAAGTCTTTGCCCATTCCTATGTCCTGAATGCTATTGCCTAGATTTTCTTCTAGGGTTTTTATGATTTTAGGTCTTATGTTTAAGTATTTAATCCATCTTGAGTTAATTTTTGTATAAGGTGTAAGGAAGGGATCCAGTTTCAGCCTTCTGCATATGGCTAGCCAGTTTTCCCAACACCATTTATTAAATATGGAATCCTTTCCCCATTTCTTGTTTTTGTCAGGTTTGTCAAAAAATCAGATGGTTGTAGATGTGTGGTATTATTTCTGAGGCTCTGTTCTGTTCCATTGGTCTATATATCTGTTTTGGTACCAGTACCATGCTGTTTTGGTTACTGTAGGCTTGTAGTATAGTTTGAAGTCATGTAGCGTGATGCCTCCAGCTTTGTTCTTTTTGCTTAGGATTGTCTTGGCTATGTGGGCTCTTTTTTGGTTCCATATGAAATTTAAAGTAGTTTTTTCCACTTCTTTGAAGAAAGTCAGTGGTAGCTTGATGGGGATAGTATTGAATCTATAAATTACTTTGGGCAGTGTGGCCATTTTCACGATATTGATTCTTCCTATCCATGAGCATGGAATGTCACATTTTCTTTATTCATACATTTGTTGATGGACTCTTAGGTTGCTTTCATGTGTTGGCTGTTGTGAATAATAATGGAATGAACATGGGAGTGCAGATATCTCTTCAAGATCTTGATTTCAAATCCTTTGGATGCATACCCTAAAGTGGGATTGCTAGATAATAATGGTATTTTCATTTTTCATTTTTAAAGAAAAGTTTATACTGTTTTACATAGTGGCTTTGAGAACATTGTACAAGGTTCTTTATTGTCTATTACACATCCTCACCAACATTTGTTATCTGTTGGTTTTCTGAAAATAGTTGTCCTAACTAGTTTGAGGTGATATCTTATTGTGGCTTTGATTTACATGTCCCTGATTAGCAATGTTGGAAATATTTTCATATACCTGTTGGCAATTTGTATGCCTTCTCTGGAGAAATGTCTATTCAGGCCCTTTGTCCAATTTTTAAATGAGTTATTTTTATTATTTTTTTGTTTGTTGCTATTGAGTTGCAGGAGTTCCTTATATATTTTTGACATTAACTCTTTATCAGATATATGGCTTGCAAATATTTTCTCCCATCTGTAGGCTACATTTAACAATTCGTTAACAATTTGTTAATTGTTTCCTTTGCTGCACATAAGCTTTTCAGGGTGATGTAATCCCAATTGTCTAATACTGCTTTTGTTCCCTGTGTATTTGGTGTCATATTCAAGAAATTATTGCCAAGATTGATATCTAGAAGTTTTTCCTCTGTGTTTTCTTCTAGAAGTTTTATGTTTTTAGGTGTTACATTTAAGTAGTTAACCCATTTTGAATTGATTTTTGTGTATGGTATAAGATAAAGGTCCAATTTTATTCTTTTTCAGGTGGATATTCAATTTTCCCAGCACAATTTGTTGAAGAGACTATCCTTTCCCATTGTGTATTCTTGACTTCCTTGTCAAAGATCAACTGATCAAATATACATGGGTTTATTCTGGGGTCTCCATTCTATCCCACTGGTCTATATGTTTTTGGTTTTTGTTTTTTATGCCACAGTACCATACTATTTTGATTGCTGTAGCTTTGTAACATATTTTGAAATCAGGAACTTCCAGCTTTGTTCTTACTCAAAATTGCTTTGACTCTTCAGGTCTTTCCTGGTTTCATATGAATGTCAGGATTACTTTTTCTATTTCTCTAAAAAATGTCATTGGAATGGTAATAGAGCTTGCACTGAATCTATAGATTGCTTTGAGTAGTGTAGACATTTTAACAAGATTGATTCTTCTAATACATAAACATAGGATGCCTTTACATTTATTTGTATCTCCTTTAATTTCTTTCATTGGTGTTTAATGGCTTTCAGTATATAAGCCTTTCACCTCCTTGGTTAAGTTTATTTCAGAGTATTACATTATTTTTGATGTTATTGTAAATGAGATTGTTTTCTTAATTTTCTTTTTGAATAATTCATTGTTTATCTATAGAAATGCAGTTGATTTTTGTTAGTGTATAGAAATATGTGTTGATTTTGTATTCTACAACTGTGCCAAATTGTTTATCGATTCTAATAGGTTGTGTGTGTGTATGTGTTTGTCTGTGTAATCTTTAGGTTTTTCTACATATAAGATTATGTCATCTGCAAACAGTTAATTTTATGCTGTCTTTTTCAATTAGGGTATGTTTTATTTCTGTTTCTTGCTTAATTTCTCTGGCTAGAACTTCTAATACTATGGTAAATAGAAGTGGTGAGAGTGAGCATCCTTGTCTTGTTCCTGATCTTAGAGGAAAATCTTTCAGTTTTTCACCATTCACTATAATGTTAGCTGTGTATATGGAGTTTGTATATATGGACTTTATTGTGTTAAGGTAAGTTCCTTTTATACCTAACTTTTTGAGAGTTTTCATCATAAAAGGATGTTGAATTTCACCAAATGCTTTTTCTGCATCTAATGGAATAATCATGTTATTTTTATCCTTTATTCTGTTAATGTGATGTATCATATTGTTTGATTTGCATATGTGAACCATCTTTGCATTCCAGGGATAATTTCTTCTTGGTCACAATGTATGGTCCTTTTAATATGCTGAAAAATTTGGTTTGTTATTATTTATTTGAGGATTTTTGCACTCATGTTCTTTGAGGATATTGCCCTGTAGTTTCCTTTTTATCTGATATTTTTGTCAGCTTTGGTATTAGGGTGATGCTGACATCACAAAGAATTTGGAAGTGTTCCTTCTACTTCTGTTTTTTAAAGAGTGTAATAAAAATTCGTGTCAATTTTTTTAATGTTTGGTAGAATTTATTTGTGAAGCCATCTGGTCCTGGGCTTTTCTTTGCTGGAAGATTTTGATTACTGATTCAGTCTCCTTATATTGAATGAACAGTTAAATAGAAACAGTTATTGGTCTGTTTAAGCTTTTTATTTCTTCTTGATTTAGTCTTGGTAGGTTGTATGTTTCTAGAAATTTATCCATTTCTCCTATGTTGTCCAATTTGTTGGCATATAATTCTCACTAATAGTTCTCTATGAGCTTTCTTATTTCTTTATCTTTTTCATTTCATTACTGGTTGTAGTTGTCTCCTCTTCCATTTCTGGAACATGTTATTTTGGTAAGCCTTATCTCTTTTTCTCTTAGCCTAATTAAGCTTTTGTTGATTTTGCTTATCTTTTTAAATAACCAACTCTTTTATTAATGTTTTCCAATGCTTTTTTATGCTATATTTCACTTATTTTTTCTCTAATCTCCATTCTCTTCCTCCTGTTAACTTTGGGCTTAGTTTGTTATTTTTCTAATTTGTTGAGGTATAATGTTAGTTATTTATTTCAGGTCTTTATTTTTATGTAGGTGTTTATTATTATAAATCTTCCCTCTTAGTACTGCTTTTGCTGCACTCCATAAGTTTGGATATGTTGTATTATCATTTTCATTTGTCTCAAAATATTGTCTAATTTCCCTTTAATTTATTCTTTGACCCAATGATTGTAAAAGAATGTGTTTTTTGAATTTTCATGTACCTATAAATTTTTCAGTGTTGTTTTTGTTATTAATTTCTCATTTCATCCTATTGTGGCTGAAAAAATATTTCGAATGACTTGAATCTTAAATTTTTTAAGGATTGTCTTATGGTCTAGCTTGTGATCTATGGTGGATAATTTTCCACGCTCACTTGAAAAGAATGTGTTTTCTGATGCTGTTGGATAGAATGTTCTGTATATTGCCATTAGGTCCATTTGGTCTACAGTATTGTTCAATTCCACTGTTTCCTTATTGATTTTCTGTCTGAATGATTTGTCCATTACTGTAAGTGGGGTATTGGAGTCCCCTGCTATTGTTGTATTGCTGTCTATTTCTCCATTCAGGTCTGTCAATGTTTGCTTTATATGTTTAGATATTCTGATATAGTGTGCATATATATTTATAATTGTTATATCTTCCTGTCAAGTTGATTTTATCATTATGTAATAACTTTCTTTGTCTCTTGTGACAGTTTGTCTTAAAGTAATATATTTTTCATCCTTTCACTTTCAGCTTATGTGTGCCATTACATCTAAAGTTGGTCTCTTGTAGACAACATATAGTTGAATCTTAAAAAAATTTCATTTAGCCACTCTATCTTTTGGATGGTGAGTCTATTTACATTTAAAGTAATTGTTTATAGGTAAGAGCTTACTATTGCCATTTTGTTGGTAATGTTCTGTCTGTTTTGTAGTGTTTTTGTTCATTTCTTCTTCTCCTACTATTTTCCTTTGTTTGATGATTTTTTTTATAGTGATAAACTTTGATTGTTTTCTCTATCTTTTCTGAATCTGCTACAGGATTTTTTTGTGTGGTTACCATGTGGCATGTATAAAACTTATTGTTATAACAGGATTTTTTGAGGTGATAACAACTTCAGCTGCATATGAAAGCTATAATTTTACTTCCTCCTCCCACACACTTTATGTTATTAATGTCAGAATTTACTTTTTATATTTTGTATTAATTAACTATTTTTTGTGGTTATAGCCATTCTTAATACTTTTGTCTCTTAATGTTTACTCCAAGGTTAAAAGTGATTTTTGCACTACCATTATGACATTACATTATTCTGTATTTGTCCATATATTTACATTTACCAGTGAGATTTATACTTTCATATGCTTTTGTGTTGTTTAGTGTTCTCTCATTTCAACTTGAAGGACTCTATTTAGCACTTCTTGTAAGGCAGATTCTAATGGTGATAAACTGCTTCAAGTGTTTGTTTGTCTGGGAAAGTCTTTCTCGCCTTCATTTTTAAATAATAGTTTTGCCAGGGTTGGCAGAGTTTTTTTTTTCTTTCAGCATTTTGAATATATTACCCACCTTCTTCCTCACTTTCAGGAAGGTTTCTAATGAGAAATATACTGATCATCTTCTAAGGGTTCTCTTGTATGTGACCAGTCATTCTTTCTTTGCTGCTTTCAAAAGTCTCTTTTTATCTTCGAATTTCAACAATTTAATTATAATGTGTCTCAAGTGTAGACATCTTTAGGTTCAAACTACTTAAGATCCTTTAAGCTTAATGAATTTGAAAGTTCATTTTCATCCTTAGAAATGTGAAGTTTTCAGCCATTATTTCTTGAAATAAACTTTCTTCTTCGTTTTCTCCTTCTTCTCTTTTTTAAACTACTGTAATGCATATATAGTTTTGTTTGATGGTGTCCCATAAGTCCTATAGGCTTTTTTCACTCATTTTCTTTGTTTGTTTATTTTATTCTTCTAACTGTGTTATTTCAAGTAAACTGTCTTTGAGCTCACTGATTCTTCTCCTTGATTGAGTCTGATGTTGAAGCTGTCTATTGAATTTTTTTAGTGTGTCACTGTGTCCTTCATTTACAAAATTTCTGTTTGATGCTTTTTTATTGTTTCTATCCCTTTGTTGAACTTCTTATTTTGTTCATGTATTGCTTTGTGATTTTATTTAGTTGTCTATCATGTTCTCCTGTAGCTCACCGAACTTCTTTAAGATAATTATTTTAAATTATTTGTCAGGTAATTCATAGATATCCATTTCTTTAGGTTCATTTACTGAAGTTTTTTTTTTTTTCCTTTGGCAGCGTCATAGTTTCCTGATTCTTTATGATCCCTGTAGCCCTGCATTGGTGTCTATGCATTTGAAGAAGTGGTCATCTCTTCCAGTCTTTACAGATTCGTTGCTTCAGCAACGAAAGCCTTTCACCACCATGGTCGGAGACTCTAAGCAGACCAACTGGCAGGGTCCGTGGGTGGGCAGACCTAGTGGCAGAGTCCATGGATGGGCCTACTGCTAGAGTCTACAGATTGATAGGTGTGATGCCTGAGTCCATGGGCAGGTGGGCCTAATGTCTTGGTCTAAGGCAAGCCTGCTGCCAGGATACATGGCAAAGTCAGATACTTACATCACTCTCCCTTTCCCTTATGAAATAACCCACAGGCTGATGGAATCTTCCTCAGTGCTGTGCTGTGTTGGCTTGCAAGAGAAGTGGCGTGGGTAAAGTGTAACTATTCTTACTCTCTGAAACGTGTCCTTTCTTTTTCTGTTCTTCACTTGAGTGCTGTAATGTCTTACCTGAAATCTAGAGATCTCAGGAAGGTATTCTTGACTATGGGTGGATGTTAAGTCCACGTTTCTGTAAATGAATAAGGGCTGGAACCTTCTATTCCATCATCTTGCTAACATCACTCTGTAATACCTTTCCAATGGGGCTTCCTGTTTGGGGTCTCTCTACCTCTTAATCATTCGAGGTAAGAACTAATCTTACTTACATACTTTCTTCATGTCAGTCCTAGACTCAAGAACTTCTGATAGCTTTAATATGACTATCAAATATAAGTTCAAACCTCTCTTTCTGACATTCCAGGTCCTGCCACTGGGCTATCACACCTGCTCTGCTTTCCTCACCTATGGTTTGTACCCCAGTCATTTGGATTCTCTTATTGAGACCCAGAGAAAACCCTGTGCCTTCCTGTTCTTTCATCTTTGCCCTTGCTCTTGACATTGCCTCTCTATTGTCATTCATCTCTTTAAATTATTCTCAACTACTTCAAGTTCTACTTACATTACCAAATAATCTACAAAAAGCCACTCCATAATAATTTCAGCCCATAGCAACCTATATTCTATTTTTCTTTTCATAATACTTAGTAGGAGTTCTCCATATTTCTATATTTGATTTTCTTCAATGTGTATGTTGTCTGCTAATATTATCTAATGTTTCAACTGCAAGTTCTGTTCTAAAAAGTCTCAGGATTTCCTCCTGTGCATTTTAACTCTGAGTAAGGTAGGCAGGATGCCTTGCATTCAGCTTTATTGTCCAGAGAGATGAAGACAGTTCCTGAAGGTACAGGTAAGCAAAAATAAGATAACACATTTTATTGAGTGGGTACGTGTGTGTATTTTCAAAAATGTCATAACCATTATAAAAAGAAAACTGTCTTAAGCCACAAAATATTTAATGGAGTAAATATGTGAATTATACTTTTTGTTTATCTCTGGTCTTAACTGCCATCTCTGCTAAGAAAAAAAAACAAAAACAAAACATGATTTTCTTTGTATTACATGATTTGATAAGAGTCTCAACTGAATTTTCATCTTAGAGTCAAAGCTTTTCTTTGGCATACTTATATCTGGTGCCTTAAGGATCTAAAAGTATGAGGCTAAACAAACTCCCTGCCTCCCTCCCTCCCTCCCTCCTTTCCTTCCTTCCCTCCCTCCCTTCCTCCCTCCCTTCCTTCCTTCCTTCTTTCCTTCTCTCAACAAATATTTATTGAGCCATCACCATATTTCAGGCTATGTACTAGGTGTTGCTGATATAACAGCAAGCCTATTGGACATAATCCCTGTCCTAATAAATTCATAGTCAAATAAGCACTCCTGTTGAAAAACTCAGCTGTATACGCTGACCAATCAAAACCTCAATGTCTTTAATTTTCAGCTAATATAAGAAAAATACTGTTGAGAGAGAGAGAAAAACAATGTATCCTATTTTATCTCTCAACTCATAGTAATTCCTGTTTCTTTAATTCTTGGTCTTCAAAAAAAGAAAGAATTGTGGGTCAGCATTTATCATGCATCTATAAGAAGTGGGCAGCACCCTCATCAGCAGTGCTAAAAGATGTGCAGTGATTCCCTCTCAAATGGAGCCACTGTAAGAAAGTAATTATGTTATGTGAATCACCTGATTCTGGCTGACCTACAAGTCACAGTAGTCCTCCCAACTTCTTCAATGCTAGCACAAAGATCAGTGGGTAAGCCTGGCCCTAACCACACATAGTGTTCTTGACCACAGTGTTGGTTTCACAGGAGTGCATGTAACCTCTTCTGGGCCAATCAGAGCTCTTCTTTGAGATTTTCTGCTTGGGAGCAGAATGAGAGTTTTTACTTCACCCTCTAGGTTCAAGGAACAGAAAAAATGCAAGCCTAAATTTGCCTGCTACCTCATTGTCCAAGAGATGAAAGATATCCACTACATTTGTAAAGAATGAAATCAACCCTCAGGGGGGAAAAAGAGACCTGAAAGAAGAGGAGAAAAGAAATGTCTCTAGGACATCATCTGAGCCCCTCAATATGGCTGTGCTTAAAGCCAAACCTAATAAATGCCATATTTTGCATAAGCTAGTTTGGGTTTAACCTCATGTCATTTGCAATTAACAAACGTTAGCAGCTTCTTTGGATTATTAATTGTTGCTTGTGAACGTTTATTAAAGGATATGTTTCCTAATGCTTACTTATTATTTAAAAGAAAACATGTGTGTCTATGTGTATGTATATATGTACAGGTATATGTATGTGCTTTCTTCTGAGCACATTAGAAGCAGGCAAAGAGGGATTCTAAGGGGAGCTTTAAGCCTTGAAAAGTATAGCTTCATCATAGATAAACAGGGCCTATCATGTCATTCAATGAAGCAGGTGAGTTAATCCACTTGAAGAATATTTATTGAGCAGTTATCTTTTCAATTTTTTGAGTCTACTAGAACAAACATGCCACATTTTTTTTACATAAAAGGCACATACCATATATAATATTTAGGATTTTTTTCTAGTCACTTAACAATATATTTTAGAGCTACAATAAAACTCTACTTCATTCTTCCTTTATGGCTTTTTACTTTACTACTAAATAAATGTTTTATATTTTAATAGTTGTCTATGAATGGAAAACTATTATTTTTAGTTTCTTGCTGCTACACAAAAGTAATTATGATAAATGGTCATGTAGGTATATCTTTGCTCTCCAAAAAGTTGGGCATTTAGAAGTTGAGCAGATTTTGCCCAATTCTTGCTCAAAGACCTTTTACCAAATTGTACTCACACCCACGGTGTATGAAAGTGAATCTCTGCACCCTTGGCTATGCTATATTGTCGTTTTTTAAATCTTCATCCATCTTATGGATGAAAAAAAGATATTTCAATGTTCTCATTTACATTTTTAAAATTATTCATGAACCTGATTATTTTTACAAATTTGGAAGCCATTTTATTTATTTTTCTGTGAATTGCCTGTTCATATTATTTATGTAATTTCATTGTTTTTCTTCCAAATTTGTCATAGCTCTTTAATATTGAAAACAAGTTCCCTCTGTTCATTTTTATGTGTTGCAATATGCTCTTGCTTTATTTGTTTATTTATTTATTTACTATGTGTATGGTATAATTTTCTACATAGCAGTTTTTGTTTTTATTTTTGAGACAGGGTCTCACTCTGGTCGCCCAGGCTGGAGTGCAGTGGTGTGACCTCCCAGGCTCAGATGAACCTCCCACCTCAGCCTCCTGGGTAGCTGTGACTACAGGTGCATGTCACCACATGCAGATAATTTTTTGCATTTTTAGTAGAGTTGGATTTTGCCATGTTGCCCAGGCTTGTCTCGAACTCTTGGGCTCAAGTGATTTGCCTGCCTCAGCCTCCCAAAGTGCTGGGATTACAGATATGAGCCATCCACCTGGCTAGTTCTTAATTTTTGTATCTGTAAATGTATCACTCTTTTTATAGCTGCAGTTTTGTGCCTTGTTTTGAAAGAATTTTCTCACTCCAAGCAAGACTTAAAATAAACACAGTATATCCACATTTTCTTTTAGTACTTTTATTAGTTCATTTGTATATTTAAAATTTTTATCATGATGGAATTTATGTGAATAAGAAAAGAATTGAATTTTATGTCTCCTCAAACTGTTCATGGTATAATTCTTCCTTTTCCATTGATTGTAAATACTATTTTATTGTATATTTAATTACTAATATATTTGGGTGTATTATTTAGTGGTTTACTATTTAATATGGTCCTGTCATTAATAAAGGCAGGTAGAAAACATCAAAGTAAAATGTACAAGCAAGTCAACATTGCTTCAAGTGCCATAAAAGTAGAAAGGCAAACAAATTTTCAAATATATGTTTTTTTCTTTACATATTTCTTCTTGGTTCTGATTACTCTCTTACTTATCCAACACTACAATGTTTCACATCTATTTTCTCATTTCATCTTAGGAAAGTGCTGCTATTTCTCTATCTTACAGATGAG
This sequence comes from Homo sapiens, assembly GCF_000001405.40. Lineage (NCBI taxonomy): Eukaryota > Metazoa > Chordata > Mammalia > Primates > Hominidae > Homo > Homo sapiens. Next base: position 148,763,395 of record NC_000005.10, read on the forward strand.
GGAAACAGGTCTCAGAGAGGCCTTGTGGTTTGTTTCAGGAAACCTGATGGTAAGTAGCAGAGCTAGGAGTTAAAATGAGACTTTCTGATTTTAGGTTTCTTGTTGAATTCCAAGATTTCTTTTAGAAATCAGCCATCGCATAAATTACTCATGAATGACAGTCTCCCAATCTATTCCACTTTCTAGTATACCTGGCTTCTATTACAGTGAGTTTCCTTACAAGATCCTCAATTAGGCATCATTTTTCACCTGAGAAAAAATAAATCTTAAGTTGTGACAGTCAATATTCAATAAATAGCTGCTAAATGAATTAGTCCTTCAGTCCACCTCCCACTTTTTACGGAAAAACTGTATCTTCAGTGGGAACTTATCAATTAGAATTTGTCTTCAAAAGAAGAGTCTCTTGGGTTACTATATTGGTCCACAAACATTAATATTTAAATATTATCTCAAAAAATAGAGAATTTTGATTTTCAAAAGGATCTCCTACTCTCATTCTTATACCTTCAAACTTTTCAATGTGGTTGGAGATTTTTTTGTACTTTTTCTTACAGTTGAAATCCCCTGAGATTCAAAATTGATTATATGATCAAAAGTATTTCTTATTAGTTTTTCAACAGCCATATCTCACAGCAAAAGCCAAAGTAAGTCACCAAATCCTGTGAGACCTCCTGAGGCAACTCTCAGGTTTTGCCTTGGTGCATTGGCTGATATGTGAAGAAGCAGAGCTTATTTTCTTGACAAGTGGATTTGTACAATTTCAACATGAAGAATTATTCAATTCAACTTTTGACCTAGGTCTTTCCACACATTTCAGGGAGTTAGTTACAGAAAAAATTACACAAAAGAATGTTGAAAACTTTCTAGCAAGTAGAATAACAGCAATGTAAAATATAGTCATATTTACCAGAAGAAGTCAAGAAGACACCCAAGACCTTCAGGAGTTAGTGTGCAATAAGCGTTCTTTTAATCACTCATTCATTCATTTATTCATTCATTTGACATTTCAGATAAACCATGAACAAAAATGAATATGATATCTGCCTATATGCAGCCTACATTCTGATGGAGATTTAGGATTACCATGTTACAATTAATTTTCTGTTTGTTCCATTAATTTTTTGTCCTTCTGTTTTTCCTTTCCTGCTTTTGAGTTAGTTTAATATTTTTTAGAGTTTCATTTTAATTTTTCTATTACCTTTTCAGCTGTCCCTTTTGTGTTATTATTGTTGCTCTCCTTGTTGTTGTTATTCAAGTGGTAGCTATAGGGAATTTCAACATACATTTTTAATGTTTCAATCTCCTTAAAGTTATTGGTGTGCCACTTAATGTTAAATGAACAAAACTTGCAATCATATAAGTTCATTTACCTCCCAACACTGGTCTTTATGCTATAGTTGTTATTTTTTATGTATAGAAATGTTATAAGCCCCACAATTCAATCTTACAACATTTGCTTTACATAGCCATATGTCTTTTAAGAAAATTAAGAAAAAAATTGTTTTAAAAAATATTTACCTACACATTTATCATTTCTGATATTCTTCATTTCTTACAGAAGAAACATGTTTCAATCTGGTGTGATTTATCTTCAGCCTGGAGAACTTTTGAATTTCTTATGGTATTGTCTGCTGGTGATGAATTCTCTAGTTTTATTTTATCCGAAAATATCTCTGTTTCATCTTAATTCTTAAAGGATGATTTTACGGGATACAGAATTTTAAATTTAAAAGTTTAATTTTTCTTTTTTTCTTTCTTTCCCCTTTTTTTCTCTTTCTTCCTTTCTTTCTCTCTCCCTTCCTTCCTTCCTTTCTCTCTCCCTTCCTTCCTTCCTTTCTCTCTCTTTTTCCTTTCTTTTTCTCTTTCTTTCTTCCTTTCTTTCTTTCTCTTTCTTTCTCTCTTTCTCCCTCTTTCTCTCTTTCTCTCTTTCTTTCTCTCCCCTTCCCTCCCCTTCCCCTCTTCCCTCTCCTTTCTCATTTTACTTTTAGCACTTTCAAGATATAGTTCCATTCTCTTCTGGCACCTATTAGTTCTAATGAGATGTCAGAGAAAATTTATAATGTTCTGCCATGAAATCTGCCATTTTTCTCAGGCTAAATGCAAGATTTTTGAATCTGTAAATTTATTTCTTCAAAGATTTTTTTCCCTTCCAAGCTATCAGTCCCTTTTTCCTGGGATTCCAGTTTGGCACAATCATGGCTCATTGCAGCCTTGACCTCCCAGATTCAAGCAATCCTCCCGTCTCAGCCTCCCAAGTTGGGACTGCAGGTGCATACCAACACATCTGGCTAACAAAAAAAAAAAAAATTGTAGCAAAGGAGTCTCGCTATGTTGGTCAGGCTGGTCTTGGTCTTGACTTCCTAGCCTCAAGCAACCTTCCTACCTTGGTCTCTCAAAGTGCTGGGATTACAGGCATGAGCCACCATGCCTAGCCATATTTGCTTATCTTTTTTATGTGGTCCCACAAGTCACAAAGGTTGTATTTAATTATGTTTAGTCTTTTCTGCTCTCTTTTCTTCAGGGTGTATTATTTCTTTTGCTCTGTCTTCAAGTTTTCACTGGCTGCTCCTTCTGTCATCTCCCAACTGCTGTTAAGTTCATCCAACAATATTTTATTTACAATATTGTAATTTTCTCCTCTAGAATTTCCAGTTTTTCATAATTCATTTTTCTTTTGTGAGATTGTTTATTAAGATAATTTCCTTTCTTTCTTTTTTTTTTTTTTTTTGGTGGCAGCATCTCACTCTGTCACCCAGGCTTAAGTGCACTGGCATGATCTCTGGCTCACTGCAACCACCTCCACCTCCCAGGTTCAAGGGATTCTCCTGCCTCAGCCTCCCGAGTAGCTGAGATTACACTCATGTGCCACCACACCAGGCTAATTTTGTAATTTTTGGTAGAGATGGGGTTTCATTATGTTGCCCAGGCTGATCTCGAATTCCTGACCTCAAGTGATCCGCCTGCCTCGGCCTCCCAAAGTGCTGGGATTACAGGTCTGAGCCACTGTGCCTGGCAGAGACCATTATTTTTCCTTATATCCCTGAGCATGGTTATAATAGTAGCTTGAAATTTTTGTCTACTAATTCTAACATTTGAGTCATCTCAGAGTCAGTCTGCTTTTCTTTCAAGTGTAGGTAACAGTTTCCTGTTTCTTCATATGTCTAGAAATTTGTATTGAATCTAGAATATTATGAATGACATATTAGTGAATCTGGATTCTGTTATGAACCTCTGTTAGTATTGATTTTTAATTTTAATAGGCAGTAAACTTGTTTAAACTCAGACTCTAAATTCTGTTCTTCTAGTAGTAGGCAGCAGTTTCAATTTCCAATCTGTTAACTTAGGTTCAGTCTTGCATAGGCATATTTCAGGCTCAACCAGAGATTAAGACAATGTTTTTATGCAGAACGTAGCATTCTCTGTGGCTCTCTCATTTCCACATTTCCTCTTTCCCTTCTTACTCCTGTGGTAACACCAGTCTGTGTCCTCTAGTTCTGAAACCATCAAGATTAAAAAGTTTTTCTGAGTTTTAGCATCCAGTCTCTGCCTGTTGGGGTCTGCCCTCAGGAAAAAGCCTTAAAAAGTAGGTAGCTCATCCAGTGCCCTTCGCTCTCCTGGTATGAACTGCTGCTCAGTTTCTGCTGGCTTTTGTTCGCTTTCCAGTGTTTTCAGGTTCATACCATGTATATTTTGTCCAGAGTTTGGAAATGTTATCTGCAGGAGGGTTGGGCTGATGGAAATTACTTCTCAATTATTCAAAACTAGTTGAAACTTCATTCTAGTGGATGAGACAAGCATAAATCAAATCGCTACTCAGATAAAGATAAAAATAGCAATTATGCGAAAGTGCTCAGAAAGAGAGGTACATGGTGTTGATAAGAGTTTATATTTTGATTCACTGATAGAGTTAGTCAATTCTTCATTGAGTTACTTTGATGATAAAATGAATACATACATGTACAATCCTTTAATGTACCTGGGACACAGTTAGCACTCAATAAATGTTAGCTATTATATTATTTGTATTTTCATTAGGATGATCAGGGAAGTCTTCTCTGGGAAAGGGGTATCTGACTTAGCTCTAAAGAGGAGTAGGAATCAATGTGGTCAAAGAAGGAGAAAAGGGTTTTCTTGGTGTAGAGAAAAGCACATGCAGAAACCTTGCAGTAGCTGAGAACAGACAGAAAGGAGGCAGTAAAGGCCAGCATGGTTGGCATGGAGTGGGTGAGGGGAGCATAGTAAAGAAGACTGGAGTGGGTGGAGGTCAGGAGGTCAGACCTTTTGGAGATTGTAGGCCATGTTAAATAGTTTAGTTTTCATCTCAGGAGTAATGAGGAGCCACAGATGTGCTTTAAGGAAAGAGGTAAAATGATGATATTTTTGTTTCAGAAAAAAAAGTTTCTGGCCACTGTGTGAAGAATGAAGTGGATGTGGGTGGAACGATGGAAGACTGCTGTAGGAGTCTAGGCAAGGGGTGAAAGGGTGGCAAGGCAAAGATGGAATTACATAGAACAGGTTGGAATGAGAGACCCAGAAGGGACCTAGATACAGGGCCACATTCTCTAAGATGATCCATAGACATCTTTAACTCAACAGGCCAAAACAGAATACCATTTGCCAACTTTCAATGACAGAAATTTCAGTAATTCCTGCTGCTTCTTGCTTTGTTACTCCCCAAAGTGAACTGTCCCCCAAGTCATAGAAATTCTTCCCCCAAGCCCTCCTGCATTTATCTACTGCCACTCATTGCAGAGCCTTGCTCTTACTCACCAAAGCGAGTGAAACAGCTTCCTAACAGATATCCCTATTTCCAGTCTCAACATTTTCTTATTTGTCCTCCAACCAGATCCAATACCATCTTTTCTAAAGACCCAATCTCATATGTTATCTGTGCTTAACAATCTTTCAGGACCCCTATTTGGTATAGGAGAAAGTTCAAATTCCCTAGCATGACATATGATGCTCATGACACATGGATCTTTCCTTTCCCTCTTTCAGCAAATATTTTTATGCGCCTTTATTTGCTGGAGAAAAAGGAGAAAATGTTGACAGACATCCTTGTGCTCATACTGCCATTAGTCTAATGGGAGAGACAGAGGCCAGTTTCAAATTCATCTTCCTCTACTTCTTTCTCTACCTACACTGGTCTTCTTAAATTTTCTTCAGCACATAGAATTTTTGTCACCATTAATCACTTTGTCTATTCCTTGGTATCTCTGAGCCTTTGCACATGCTGTTTACTCTTCTTTCCTCCTTCTCTTCTTAAGAAGACACAATTTTAATACCAATTTTTCTAACCCCCATACACATGGTACATCTTTTTTTTTTTTTTTACTTATTATTTCAAATTTCTATCAAGAATCTACTGCTTGGTGAGCAGATACTTTTGTAACTGTACTTAATACTTCATATTTCACCATTTCTCCTCTTGTCTCTTGCAGTAAACAATAAAATATTTGAGAGTTGGAAGCTGATCTGTTCGTTTTTGTTGTTGTTCTGTCATCTACAACATGGCCCAGCCCCAGTCAACAATCAATTGTTTATCGACTCTTTTAAAGCCATCTCATTCTACAGATGGGAAAATAAAAATGCCAAGAGGGGAAGTGACAAGCCTTGCGAAAGGTCTTGGAGTTATTTTAAGACTACTGTTTCTAAGTAGGGGGTTGTCAATATTTCTCTAAGTAATGTACTGGAAGGTTTCATGGAAGTGACAGGACTTAGGATGAGCTGACAAGTTTGACTAGGATTTGGGATTGTGGATATACAACTGGAAGCTGGTGGAAGTTGACCTGGGACTGAGGAATTTGGTCAGTAGTTTAATGACCTCTGTCAGCTGAATCTATGAGCACAGGTTACTAAATAGAAAGCAAAGGGGCTGTGGTGAACGAGTACTAACATGCAAGAGCAAAACTCTGAATTCTATTCCTAGTGCACACCTCACTGCGTGGTCTTGGAATAGTCCTGTCTTTTTTCTGGGTAGCAATTCTAATAAAAAGATACACAGCATTATCAATAATAACCACTTATATTTATTAAATCATTAATATTTTCTAAGTACTATTCTAAAACCTTTATGTTTTACAGATGAGGATACCTACTTTCAAAGAGTTGAAGTAACTTGGCCAAGGTTACATAACTAGTTAGTGATGAAGCTAGGAATCTTGCCCCAGGATGTTGGACTAGACAATCCAAATTCCAATTTAACTATAAAGACTTTAAAGGAGTTTCTGCCACAACAACCCTTGGACATCCTAGGGCTTATTACAAGAGTAACCGTCTCTCTTTTAAAGTAACCTATGCACCCAGCTTCCTCCCAGCGGGGTAGAATTTCTCACCTGGGAAGCCTAGCGATTATCTCTGGTTTGCACACACAAAAAACACATGGATCATTTGAGATTCTCAATTGGCTGTGATGGTAAATCATTATTTTTAAAAATAGATTCAGTACACAGAGGTCTTATCTGCATGGTTCTATATTTCACTGCTATTTTTTATCTTTAAATATTATTAATCATATGAGCAAGTTAGCAAAGCACTTTCACATATATTTCTTTCACAGTCAATACAATTGCCTGTTTTGGATGAAAAGACAGACTTATTCTGTGATTTTCTCAAAAGCACACAGATAATAAGTGGTTACATTGGTGTTTGAACTTCAAAATCTCTTCTTTGCAATCTTCCCATCTCCAACATGTGGTTGGCCACAGATACAGGTAAATTTATGTGAATCATCAAGTAATAAGAATCCCGACTTCCTTTGGCTGACTGCTTTGCTGCACTTTAGAAGCTCAGGTTGCAAAGTTTAGATCATTGAATTCACCATTCCTCCTCTTACTTCACCAGTTTCATCCTCCACTGTTTGGAGTACCTTTTTTTTTGTTTTTTTGTTTGTTTTTGTTTTGAGACGGAGTTTCGCTCTTGTTGCCCAGGCTGGAGTGCAATGGCCGACGACTCACCGCAACCTCCACCTCCCAGGTTCAAGCGATTCTCCTGCCTCAGCCTCCTGCGTAGCTAGAATTACAGGCATGCGCCACCACACCCAGCTAATTTTGTATTTTTAGTAGAGACAGGGTTTCTCCATATTGGTCAGGCTGGTTTTGAACTCCCGACCTCAGGTGATCTGCCCACATTGGTCTCCCAAAGTACTGGGATTACAGGTGTGAGCCACCATGCCCGGCCTTGGAGTACCTTTAATAGGTGGTAGTCCAGCCTCCAAAGGTAGCTGTGATGGTCAATTTTACGTGTCAACTTGTCTGGGCCACAGCATGCCCAAGTAGCTGGCTAAACATTATTTCTGGATGTATCTGTGGTGTTTCTGGAAGAAATTAGCATTTGGATTAGTGCACTGGCAAAGCAGATGGCGTTCCCCAATGTACAATGTGCGTGGGCATCACCCAATCCATGGAGGGCCTGAATAGAACAAAAAGGCAAGAGAAGGTGAATTTTCTCTGTCTGATTGCCTGAACTGGGATATCAATCTTCTATTGCCTTTGGTGATCCTGCCTCTCAGGACTTCAGACCCGACTAGAGCCTATATCATTGGCTCTCTGGCTCTCAGGCCTATGAACTACACCTTTGGGTTTCCTGGGTCTCCAGCTTACAGGCAGGAGAACATGGGACTTACCAGCCTCCAGAGTCATGTGGGCCACTATGTTATAATAAGTATCTTATAATATTTATAATATATATTATAATATCTTGTAACATACTATATTATAATTCAATTATACCTATATTATATTATAATAGAAATCATATAATCAGCCTCATCATGTATGCATACATGTATACATGTATATAGATATAGATACAGATACACACACACACACACACACACATATATATATATATTCTATTGATTCTGTTTCTCTGGAGAACCTTGACTAATACAGTAGCCCACCTTATCCCTGAGCAGCTTTGAAGTTAATATGAAGATTAATAACCTTCTTTTATTGAGTGAAATTTCCCTCCTGATATTACCACTCATTGATCCTAGCTCAGCCTTTTGCCTCTTCTCTCTAACAACCTCTCAGATAATTTATTTTGGTTCTCAACTTTGATTCTTTTCTCATTTTTGTGTGTGTGGATTTGCCTTGGTCTCAGCTTCCTCATTTACAAAATGGATAGATAGACTGGTCTCATGTGACCTCCATAAAGCTTTGATCCTATGATCCTATGGTATTATATTAATAAATGTCCAAATAATTGTACCCCAAAACAGAAAAGCTTGCTTGCTGCCAGGAATACTAAAAGGCAAATGTTCCCTAACATTTCGTTCATTGTATCTTTTCCTTTCTTTCATTTTGTTTGTGTTTTTCTGGAGATGGAGAAGATAGTCCAGAGAAGGTGGGTGGATGCCTGCTTCATTGTTGATGCTGCCATGCCCTCAGGCTAGGAAAAGATTTGAAGTGGTTAGAGATGCTGAAGGCCCAAAGCAGTCCCACCCTTTCCCACCTTGGCTTCCAGCTGCATTTCCAAATTACAGGGTGTTTTCCAGATAAAAATCCTGATTGACTGGCATTCACCCCAAGTCTCACACAGCCTCCTCTCTGGCACCTTCTCATAGATGCCTCACATACCCAAGTGTGTCTGTGACCTCTCCTCCACAATATTCTCTGATGAAGGGGTACAGCTTTTCTGCAATCTATGAAAATATAGAGAGGACCAAATGTTTAGAAAGCTTGTATAGACCCACACACACTGACTGGTGTGTGAAACAGTAACAACAATAAAAAATAATAACAAATAGCTACTTAATAATAAATACGTTCTAGCACTAGACTAAGAGCTGTATGTACTTTATCCTATTTATATCTCACAATAACCCTAAGAGATTGGTATTATTTTTCACCTTTTTGTAGTTAATGAAACTAAACTTGGATACATAGATCACTGACCCAGTGTCACACATGATCAATGGAGAGCCCAAATCCCAGCCCAAAGTTGTAAAACGATAATGCCTGAGCTCATCACACTATACAATACTGCCTTATTTTTAAAATTATGTTTTTAAATTTTTCCATCTGTTAATCACTGCTTCCCTGAAGCCTTCTAGGATGTCCTCTACAACTGATTTAGGGCTCTCCACTGTGTTTCATTGTATCCAGTGCATGGTTTTATGCTAATGCTTAGCACACTGTTTAAAATCTTCCATTTGTCTTTTTTTCACTCGTTTGTAGGCTACTTGAAGACAAAGACTGTGTCTCTTTGTGTTCACCTGCCTTTCTCCTACCACACCTTTCTTCTCAAATATGAGTGTTTAGGACACTCTTGCTCCAGAGGATTGTCAATAGCTCTTGGTTTTATGACCAAAATCAGAAATTACTGGGTGAGGAGATGGCAAACCCCACCCATCCCTTTCTAGGAATTGAGAGAATTAATTCCTCCGGGTGTTCCCAGAAGGGATAGGAGCTCAGATGCTGCATTAAGGAGAAGAAATGGTATGACTTAAGAGGTAGCTCCCCCGATATGAAGTAGTGTTGTGGTGTTTCAGGATTTTTATAGAAAACTTTCTGGAGTACTGACTGCTAAATGTCACTGGACCATGGACCTAAAACCATGTATTCTTAAGAAAAGCATGGGGAGTCTCTGTAACTGAGCTTAGGTTCAGTGCAGAGGAAGAGTATGGGGACCATCTCCGAGCCCATCTGGAGGACCAATGATGCCCAGCAGTATCACGTTCTGGGAACAACAGAAATGACAGTGATGAGCATCTTCAGCTTTCATCAGGACCCTAGCCTTCCCCATCGTCCATACCCTTTAAGCTCCAAAGAAGTGAATGCTTCAAGCATGACAGATTTCACTTACTATCAACTTTCATATATGGAGGCTGAGAACTTTAGTATGCCAAAATCATGGAGCAGATCTGTACCTGTTGTGTTTACATATGTATATCAGTGTATGGGCATGAAAACTTTCTGGGAGAACATGCAAGAAACTGCTGAAGGTGGTTGCCTCAAGGTAGAAGAATTAAGGATCTATGGGGAAGGGGAGGTGTGTTTTTCACTGGAAATGTTTTTATAATGTCTAAATGTTACATCAAGTGTATGTATTATTTGTATAACAATATAAAAAAGCTAATTTATATAATAAATGTAATGAAAGTTTATTTTTAAATATTTGGCACAAATTTTAAAGGATTGGAATTTGCATCAATTCTATGTAGAGACCCAGCCTGAGCTCCAGATGTGTTTTCTTTAGGATTCTAGAGGAGAAATTGTGGGGCAGTTCTACCAGAAGTTTATTTACACGGAACGCTAAAAAGTCTCCTGATAAGTGGATAAGAGAAGGGTGGAGGGAGTGATTCAGAATAATAGTGGCAATCAGAGAAATAAGTAACATTTAATGAAGGCAAAATACTAGATTCTTTACATGGATCATCTCATTTAAACAGTCCAGTGAAGCAGGTGCCATTATTATTCCTGTGGAAATTGAGGCTCTGAGAGTTTGAATAACTAGCAAATGGCAAAGTTGAGATTTAATTCCAAGCAACCTAAAGCCAGAGCCCAAATTATTTACTTGTGTGTTCTAACTCCATGTGAGTGGGGCACCCTATCTGATATGCAGATTCTCTTTCCACCCCAGCTGTCTTGATAGCATAACTACCTCCAGCAGGGACAGAGACAATCTGACAACTACCCATCAGGAAAAATGGCAGATCCCACTTGGCCACCTGGAGAGCCAGTTTTTGGATTACATGTGACATACTTTGGGAACTCTCAAAACTATCTGGAAAGAATTGAGAGTAACTGAGAGAACAGAGGGGCAGAGCCAGAGAAATGCTGTATTGTGGTTATTACCATGATACTATTTTTATTCCCAGTGGCCCAGGAAACAGTTTTACATAATAATGTTTAAAGGAAATAAGAAATGTCAAAGCAGGGGCTCCCTTCCCCCAAATCATAAGAATAGGATTATCTCAATTCCTACAAAGCAGAATTACCTGAAGTTTAACTATGAAAGAAGAAAAACTCATTTCCTGCAGAAGTTCTCAGCCTATTGGTGCTGGTGACACCTAGAATCAGAAGGAGTGGGGTTAAGAGAGGAGAGTCTACATCCTAATGCTCTATGACATCTCCTTGATGGTGGAATGGAAAGTTAGCTCCCTGTGCCCTGAGGCTTTGCATGTAGCTATGTAAATGGCTGCACTTTCATTCACTTATGTGTCTTAAGACTGATTCCCACAGAGAGTGAATACATTGAACGTCAAACTATCTAAACTGGAGCTAGAAAGGAATTTGAAGTTTATCTAGTTCAGAGGTTTTCTTTCTCTCTTTTTCTTATCTTTAAAAGGATCAGAATTCCCCTTCTTTTCTTTTTCCAAATGAGATCTTATGTAGAATTTTATCATATAAAGCAGATAAAGGATAACTGCTCTGGATGAAATGGGGGTCTCCTAGGCAGTGCCTGCTCATGTTCCCTAATGCCCAACCCCTACATCTGTGCCTTGTTGTGTTTTGAGATGGCTTAAAATAAAGGAGTCATATAATCTATTGTTAAAACTGAGACAGTTTTGAGCATATAAGGAGACCCTGTTAATAATTATGCTGCAACAACGGGTGTAAACTGGGACTATCATAAATAAATTAGAAAGCATGGAACCCTAGTTTTAAGGAATATAGTATGAAAACTGTTGGCTCAGTCCAAACTCTGCATGTAAGGGATGAGGACTCTAGGGGAAAGAACTTGCCCAAAGTCACATAGTGACTCAGTGCCAAAGCTAGGGCCAGAATTCAGGACTCCTGAGCTGGAGGACAACAGTTCATCATGCCTCTCTACTAACTTGACAGCTGGATGAGCCCCCATGACTTGCTCCAGTAGGGAAAATCAAGGCCTGATGAGAGCAAGGAAACTCCACAGCAGATGATCCATCACCTCTGTCTAATCCACTGGATCTGGATCCAGATGTTCCACCCCAAAATAAACAAACCAGTAAAAGAGTAAATATTTTTTCTAAAAATTGAGTTGGTGTTGGGTTCCCTAACCTCAGTTATCCCAGTATTACCTTTGTTTTTCCATGACACTGTACTATCTGTACTATTATTTATCTCAGTGTTCTTCAAGTCAATTCATTTTTTACTCTCAGATATCTCTACTTTAGCCTTACCCAAAGCAGTAAGATTTGTGATGTCACGGAGCCTGTATGTTAGTTATATTCTCTCTAAAATTTATTAAAATACACAAATAACCATTAAGATATATATCTATGTACCTCTAAAACTATCAATATTCTACCTACAATATGCCTATTATATTTTGGAAAGCATTCATTTAGTGAACAGAGCTTACTGAATATTAAGAATCAATTAATTTAAACTGTCAGCTCCTACAATTCTAGTCTCTACTAGAATTGGGTATAAGTTGATACATGATTCAGCACAGCTTGCTTTTTTAAAATTTAACAGTAATATGCAATTCTGTTTTATGAAGTACACTATGATTTCTAGGAACTTCATTGCCTAAGCAAGGTGGTCACTTTGCCTCATTCAATTCAGCCTTCCTAATATGGGCATCTGCTCTATTTTAACGCTATTATCTCTCTTTTATCTATTTGTTGATAGATGCCTTTGTGTACCATTTGGTTGTGCAAAAAAAAATTTCCCAGTTATTTTTGAAAAGGTACGTCTCATGTGTCAGAAATAAAGTCACTGGCATTAAATGTTCTTATAAATATTTATTGAGCACCTACCACATGCCAAATTCTATCTAAGCTAAGGAAAGTAAGAGGCATACAGTCTTGGCCTCATGTTCCTTAGTTTTAGTGGGGGAAAAAGACAAGTAAACAGACACAATACAAGGTGCTAAGTGTCACATGAAGGATGGGTTTAGCATGTCTCTTTTTGCTGATCAGCTTAGGGGAAGGAAAGCCTGTGTTAGGAGCAGGTATAAACATTATACAGTAAGTTCTCACTCAACATCCTCAATAGATTCTTGGAAACTGCAACTATAAGCAAAATGAGATGGTATAAGAAAACCAGTTTTACCATAGGCTATTTTTTTTTTTTTTGAGACAATGTCTTGCTCTGTCACCCAGGTTGGAATGCAGTGGCATGATCATGGCTCATTGCAGCATCAACCTCCTGGGCTCAAGTGGATTCTCTCTCCTCAGCCTCCCAAGTAGCTGGTACCAGAGGAATGTGCTACCATGCCCCACTAATCTTTTATTTTTTGTAGATACAGCATCTTACTATGTTGCCCAGGTTGCTCTGGAACTCCAGACCTCAAGCAATCCTCCCTCTTCAGCCTCCCAAAGTGTTGAGATTACAGGTGTGAGATGCTGCGCCTGGCCTACCATAAGCTAATTGATATAAATAAAAGTTAAGTTCCTATAGCATATTTCTGGTGACAAAAGATCACCAAACTTCTAAATAAGACTAAAGCACTTTAATATTAAACACTGAAGAAATTATGAGCCATACACACATTTAAGAAAGATTAATAAAGACAAATAAGAAAATTACTTACTCACTTACTCCAGTTCAGGATTTGGGTGGCCAGAGCCTGTCCTGCAGCTCAGGGAACCAGGCAGGAGCCAGCCCTGTACTGGATGCCATCCCATTGCAGGGTGACTCACATACACCCACAGTGACTCACACCAGGGCCATGTAGACCCACCAGTTCACTTAATATGCACATGTTTGAGATGTGGGAGGAAACCAGAATACCTAGAGAAAACCCAGGCAGACATGGGTAGGATATTCTAACTCCACACGTGCAGACAGTCTGGCTGGGAAGCTACTTTTTTCTCATCAATGGAATAACAAAACAACATTGAATAAAATGACATTATTCAAGGACCTGTTGTACTCAACAAATCAGATGGGCAGAAATGGCCATTTCTTTATTTTTCTAACAGAACTCCCATTTTTCCTTTCTGAGTGCTCCTCTTCCCACTCTCCCGAAAGAATAGTTACGGAAATGCAGCTAATTTTGGTTAAAACTTAGGCTCCTCCCTCCAGTGTATAAGCTGAAACAATGTATAATTCAAACTCCATAGCAGGGCCCTTCTGTCCCACTCAGCGTTCTCCACTCCAATCCTGCCCTGCAGTGGCATCTGGGCAGGAGACAACAAGCATAGTGTCACAGAGTTGGGAATGAGGAGTATCAAATCCATGGGCTGGACTTCAGAACCTCACTGACCTTCAGGCTCCACACAGTCTGGGCACCCTCCATGGGTATCAGCTGGATGTGACTTCCCTGCCCTGGGCTTTGGAGCATGACACTGGAATCCACTATTGAAGCCCATTGACTGGGGCCAAGTTGACAACAATCTAGGACCTTCCTGGTCCAACCACATCTTTTTGGGCCCAGGGAATTCTCACCATGCTGGGGTCATTAGGGTCCTCCAACTTCTACTCCAACCCACTCAGGCATCCCCCTCAGTCAGGCATTACTCTTCCACTGCTCTCCTGTCCTGTTGGCATGAGCCACACCAAATATGAAGCTTACAACTTGCTGGTGCTGTTTCCTGGGATTTACTCCCTGCTCTGGAGTATCTCTAAACCTTTGGAGGTGCTGCCACATGCCCCACCCTCACCCCAGGTTTTGATGACCACCCCATCTTTTAGGAGTTCCCCTTATTTTTATATCCTCATCCTTTCTCTATCCATGCTCAGTCATGGTCAATGTGAAATCTGTGCTGTGGCTTTCCTGGCTTGGCTCTTCATAGATAAACCTATAAAGCCAAGATTTGAGAAATCTTTCTCTCTCTCTCTCTCTCTCTCTCTCTCAATAAAGTTGGTGTTCTTTTTTTTTTCTTTAGCAAATTGGCAACATTTCCTATCAGATTATGTATTGTTCACAGGCTATACAAACTCTAGGAACTATCAGGGGTTATTTGGAAGAAAAACAACTGGTGTACTATTTTTCTAAATACTACACCTACAAAACATCCAATATTACCAAGGTAGCTTTACTAAGAGAGCTGAGTCATTCAAACCATCTTCCAGCCTGTCTATATTTGATAAATTAAAGGAAAAGGCAGAGATAGGTGAGTTACCATTTATTGAGTGTCAACAATACCAAGCAGAGTAATAGGTGTTTCTTCACTTTCTTTCACCCTCATAACATATCCTTTATGTAGATATCACTCCCATCTGACAGAGGAGGAAACTAAGTCTCAGAAGAGATTATTTAACTTTCCAACTTTCCCAAATGATCTGTCTAGAAGTGATGAAGCCAAAATTCACACCCAGATGTACCTGGTCCCAAAACTCATTTGCTTTCTCCTTTCCACAGTCAGCAAAACATAAGTCATCAAATGTCAGCCCAACAACATAATTAAGTTTCATGTCCTGTACGTTATTTACAGCATATGATGTCCTTTACAAAAAAAAAAAAAAACAACGGATCTATTTATTTATAACTGTTTTTCTAGTTTTTGAGTAAGCTTGATGTACTAACCTTGAGCGTTAGTGGTGGTTGATAATTGAACCTTTGGTTTTCATACCTACTGTTGGTACTATCTTGACTGGTTTAATGTGGAATCCTTGGTTACCAACAAAGAACCAGTGATAACATTACTGGGAAAATTAAACCTGCTGTTTGATAGTCTGCTTCTTAACACAGTTTCCAGGAGAGCATTCTAGTAAAAAGAGGAATTTATGCACAAATACAGATTTCCTGAGTGGCCCCAACTCAGAAGAGAGGCTGCTAAGTCCCATAAAGAGCAGAGCTTGTGGTTGAGCATGAGGCAGCCTCAATGTTGCATGCTGAAAAGAGTCATCACTGGGATCCTGGCAATTGAGCCATGACAGTCCCCAGGTTGTGCAAGTAAATATAGCTTTCCCACCATGAAAATTTTCTCAGGCTCTTCAGGGAAGACTGTGACACAGATTTCCCAAAAAAGGTAACAGCATCAGTGAAGCATTTCCTAAAGATTCAGGAGCTGAGACTCCCCAGATTGTAGGTGAAATAATCAATACAGAATTGATGTACAATTTCTTCATTTCCAAAAAAGAATTTGTGTGAGCCATGATAATAAAAGTAAAAAAACAGATTATATACAATGTGTTCTTAATACATAGATGCAACATCAAATTTAAATTGATTCATATTTTATAAAACGTCCTTTTTAATAATTTGTTATATATTATATATGTATAGATATTCATAAAGATAAATGTGTGTGCATATCGGCCTTCTATATTCACAAGTTCCATATTTGTGGATTCATTCACAGCAGATCAGAAATATTTAAAAAAACATCCAGTAGGGAGGTGGTCAAGATGGCTGACTAGAAGAAGCTAGCGTGAGTGGCTCTTACCAAGAAAAACAGAAGGGGTGAGTAAATATAGCATCCAGGTACTTGCACTGGGACTAATCCAGCAAACAGCCTAACCTATGGAGAATGGGAAAAGCAAGGAAGAACTACGGCCCACCTGGGAGCCACAGAGAGCCAAGGGAACCTCTCCCGCCCAGAGAAGCAGTGAGTGAATGTGCAATCCTGGGAACCTACGCTTTTCCCATGGATCTTTGCCAACCTCAGGTCAGGAGTTCCCCTCAGGAGCCCACTCCACCAAGGCCTTCAGAGCTGCATAGAGTCTCAGCAGAGTAACTACTCAGGCACATGTGGCAATCTGGGAACCTTAGATACTCAGGCCCTCTGGGTTTCCCAGCAAAAGCAGCTGCGACTCTGGCAAAGCAGGAGGTCAGACCCCGGAACATACCCCTAGGAAAGAGGCTGAATCCAGGGGGCTGAACAGCGACAGTCTCTATGTCCCACTTCCACAGCACCTCACAGAATAAGACCCACTGATTTGGAAATCCAGCCAGCCACTGGTAGCAGCATTGCACCTCCCTGGGAAAGAGCTCCCAGGAGGAGGGGCAGGCCACCATCTTTGCTGTTTGGACTATTTAGCCATTGCAGCCTTCAAGCTTTGTAGGGTCCAAGCCTACTGGGGGTGGAAAGGATCCCCCAGCACAGCACAGCTTCTCTACAAAAGCATGGCCAGACTGCTTAAGTGGGTCCCTGATCCTGTTCCTCCTCACTGGGTGGGACCTCCCAGCTGGGGCCTCCAGCCACCCCTGCCATGTTCTCTGGCTGACAGAGATTTGAAACCTGCCTGGGACGGAGCTCCTAAGGAGAAGGGCAGCCGCCATCGTTGGTGTTTGGGCTGCTTAGCCACTGCAGTCTTTGGGCTTTTGAGAGTCGGAGCTAACCGGGGGCAAAGGTGGTTGCCCAGCACAGCACAGCTGTTTTAAAGTGGGTCCCCGATCCCATTCCTCCTCACTGGATGGGACCTTCCAATGAGGGTCTCCAGCCACCTCTGCCAGTGCTCTATGGTGAACAAGATTTAAAACTACTCTAGGATGGAGCTCCTAGAGGGAGGAGTAGGCTGCCATCTTTGTTGTTTGGGTGAATTAGCTATTGTGGACTTCGAACTTTGGAGAGTCCAAGGCGACCAGGGACTGAAGTGGGCCCCCAGCACAGCACAGCTGCCCTACGAAAATGTCACCAGACTGCTTTTTAAAGTTGGTCCCTGATCCCATCCCTCACCACCAGGGGGGACCTCCCAACTGGGGTCTCCAGCTACCCCAGACAGTGTTCTCTGGCTGACACAGGTTTCAAACCTCGCTGAGTTGGAGCTCCCAGAGGGAGGGGCAGGCTGCCATCTTTGCTGCTTTTGTGACTTAGCTATTCTGTCCTTTGGGCTGAGGAGTGTCCAAGGAGAGCAGAGGCTTGAGCGGGCCTCCAGCACAGCACACCTGCTCTGCAAAAACATGGCCAGACTGCTTCTTAAAGTAGGTTCTTGTTTTCATTCCTCTTCAATGGGCAGGAGCTCCCAACCAAGGTCTTCAGCCACCTCCCACAGATGCATTTGGGCTGGCCACAAAGTCTGTATCTACCTGGGATGGAGGTCTCAGAGGAGAGAGCAGGCTGCTATCTTTGCTGTTTTGCAGCTTTCACTGGTGATACCTCCATGTACTAGAAAATCTGAGGTGACTAGAGACTGGAGCGGGCCTTCAGCATACCACAGCAGCCTTATGGAAAAGTGGCCAACCTGTTACATGGGGGCCCTTTCCCATATCTCCTCACCAGACAAGTCCTCCAGGCCTGGGCCTCCAGCCACGCCCTGCCAAAGCTATTGAGTCAGTAGCAACTTGGCAACTCCCTGGAAAGAGCCTCCATAGGCAACTGAAAGTCTCTCTGCCACTGCCTCTGCATTGGAACTGCCCTTGCTACCCTCAGGCTAACAAATGAGCAAAGACCCTGAGAGCTTTATCCACACCTCCAACAAGCTGCAGTCAACCCAAGGATAGGAAGCCAGTCCATCTCCCACAGGTCAAAAACACACCCCAGTGCTCATCACCAGACAGGGAGCCCCTGGTTTGGGACCACAACACAGACCCTCCCTCCTGGGATGATTGCACTGAGTGATTGCTGACCTGCATCTGTCTGGGGTGGAGCCCCCAGGAGACAAGCAAAAGATCCTTGGCCACAACCACTACTAAGGTCCGTTCCTCTGCTCCCTTCAAGATGGGGAAGAAACATAAACACTGAGATACCCCAGAGCAGCCGTTGGCAGCCAAGGAGTGCCAAGCCACAATCTACAGCCAGAACTCAAGGGGAGAGGAACCCACACTTTCAGAGCATTGAGAGGGAACACAGCTGCAACTGTTAGGAAACAGAGGGGAGCCATACAACTGAGCAAGAGTCTACTGTCTGACCAGTGAGCCTAAGTGCCACTTACTGGATCATACCCCAAAGCTTCTCACTTATAAGTGTGAGCTGAATGGTGAGAACTTGTGAACACAAAGAAGGAAACAACAGACACCGGGATCTACTTGAGAGAGAAGGGTGGGAGGAGGGAGAGGAGCAGAAAAGGTAACTACTGGGTACTGAGCTTAATTAAAAATAACCTGTACAACAAACCCCCGAAACATGAGTTTGCCTGTGTGACAAACCTTCACGTGTAACCCTGAAACTAAAATAAAAGTTTTTTTTAAACCAACAAAAAAAAAAATACAAAATAATATGATTAAATTAAAAGACAATATTCCCAACATAAAGAGATAATAAATGTTGGAGATGATGGATACGCTGATTTTCCCGATCTAATCACTATTCATTACATGTATCAAAACCTCACCGTGTACCCCATGAATATGTACAATGTTTTCTGTCAATTTTTAAAAATTAAATTAAATTTTTAAATGCTGTGTAACAACTATTTATATAGTATTTACACTGTAGCAGATATTATAAGTAATGTAGAAATGATTTAAAGTATATGGGAGGATGTGCATAGGTTATATATAAATATTAAATAATAAATCATTCTATAGCAGGGACTTGAGCATCTGTGGATTTTGATATCCACGGGAGTCCTGGAATTTCTCCCTCAAGAATATCAAGGGATGACTATACAAATATGTGTGTGTGTGCATGTGTGTGTGCATGTGTGTGTGCATGTGTGTGCATGTGTTATGATAGCATAGTTGAGAAAAGAGCACCAACATAGGATTTGGAATTAGAGTATAATCCTGGCTTTTCTAATAGTATACTGCACATCATCGAACTTTTTGAACTTCAGTTTGCTCAGCTTTAAGGCAAAAAATGTTAGACTTCCTTTAGTGTCAGCTGTTAACTTGTAAGTATATAATTCAACTCTCCCTGAAAACGATGTTAGATTGGTCTTTCAAATGTTAGTTCTACTTCTTCCTTCATGAAGGCAGGTAGAATGAAATAATATTTTCTATCTTTTTGTTGGTTAATATTTGTTTCTTTCAAAACATTTTAAGCTCCAAGAGGATAGGAACTGTGCCTTTCCTGTTCCTCATTGTACCTCTGCACTTGGCTTGGTACTAGCTAAAGTTAATGCTTTTTGAATAAAGAATAGATAATAAAAGCAATAACTTGTGAGGAAGATGGAGTATTAGTTCTGAGATTTTGCCAAATGACACTTTAACATGGTTACCATAATTTGCAGTGCTCTCACCATTCTTGCATGTCATCTATGACTTCAATAGGCTAATTCAAAAGGCTTCCAAACTCAAATGTCAGGCTTGATTCTTTTTGTCCCCTCTGCAGTTTCCACTGCTGACCCACCCCCTCCCCCCAACTTTCCTGTGGGACTTTCTCCTCTTGGCCTTGGTGATAATGCCCTTTCTTAATCCTTTCCTTGCAACCCCAACCACTTCTCTGTTTTCCTCCTCAACTCTTCCTCAGGCTTCCCCTATATATAATATTCCCTAGGACTCATCTTTTTGCCCTTTTCAAGCTAGGCATCCTAGACCATGAGTATATTTCAACAAATACATCTACTTCATCCCAATGGGAGTTCAAATGTTTAGCAGGTAAATATTTGTTGAATGGGTGATCCTATAAATATCTGTGGCTTCAACCATTACCTCTTAATACTCCCATCTATACTGCCAGTCTCTACCTCTTCTGTACTTCAAATTGGTAAATTTATTAGTTTCCTAGAGCTACTATGATAAAGTATCACAAATTAGGTGGCTTAAAATAACAGAAATTTATTCTCTCAACGTTCAGGAGGCCAGAAGTCCAAAATAAAGATCTTAGCAGAGTTGGTTTCTTTCAGAGGGTCTAGGGACAGAAACAATCCCACACCCCTTTCCTTCTGGTGGTTGCCAACAATCTTTCATGTTTCTTGGCTTGCAGATGCATCACCCGAATCTCTGCTTACATCTTCAGTTTAACTCGTCTGTGTCTCTGTCTCCTTTTCTGTCTTCTATAACTCTCATTGGATTTAGGGCTGACCTTAATCCAGTATAATTTCATCTCAGTCCTCATCTTAATTATATCTGCAAAACTCCTTATTCCAAATAAAGTCATATTCTGAGCTTCTAGACAGAAATAAATTTGGAGGGGGCACTATTCAACCCACTACAGTCTACATGTTGGCCCCTCAATATTCACATGCATCCCACATGCAAAATATATTCACCCCATCCCAACATTTCCTAAAGTCTCAATTCATTCCAGCATTAACTGTAAGTCTCCAATCTCATCTAAATATCATCAACCCAAAAAGTCTCAAATCTCATCACCTAAATCATCTAAACCAGGTATGTGTGACACTCTAGGTTTTCTCCATTCTGGGGCAAAATTCCTTTCCATCTGTGGCCCTGTGACACTAAAAAACAAATTATCTGCTTCCATAATGCAGGCAAAGGTATAGGAGAGACATTCTCATTCCCATAGTGAGAAATAGAAAGAAATAAAGGGATCTCTGGTCCAAGTAAGCCTGAAACCCCGGCAAAATTCTATTGCGTTTCAAGGCCTGGGAATAATCTTCGGTGGCTTAAAGTTTGAGAAATTTGACTACATAAAAATAAGAACGCATAGATAACCATAAGCAAAATTAAAAGACAAATGACATATTAGGAAAAATGCAACTCATAGAATAAACTGCATGTTGTTTCCTTAAAATATAAAGAGCCTCTGAAGCATGATCAAATAAGACCAACATCCATTTGAAAAATGGGCAAGATGTAGATGAAATATTTTTAGAAAAAAAAAGATGGCTTTTAAATATATGAAAATATGATCAACAGCACTCACAATGAGAGAAATATATATTAAAACGTTCCAAAAGGAACAATGTACATTGGACTACTTCTTAGGAGGGCATTTGATAGTATCTAACAAAATTAGACATTCGTGTACTCTTTGACCCAGCAATTGCACTTCTGTGAATTTATCCTACAAGTCAATTAATAGACATAAAAAATGGCAAAGGAAAAGCTTAATTACAAAATATTAGAAAATATATGAGTGGTCATTTACACAGAAATGTTTAAATAAACCATGCTGTATTATACAAGCACTAAAAAATTAAATTAAAAAGCTTTGTATATAAAGATAAGTAACATTCTCCAAGATACATTATTATGTGAGGGTGGAAAAGGTATACAGAACTCAATGTATATGAATTTGTACATACATTCCTAATATATATCTAGAAGACTGCTAAGAAACTGTTGGCATTGGTTGCAGAGAACTGATTGGCCAGGCACCATGGTAGAAGAGAATGTTTTTACTTTAAAACATTGTGTACCTTTTGGATTTTGAACACTGAAAATATTTACCTATCATGATTCATGTATTCATTTTTTGAATTCTTTGAAAGGTTATTAGAGACTACCAGTTAATCATGGCAGGTTGTAAATATGATTTATCTCTATTTATTTCTGAAACCCACCAAACAGACAGTAAAGAATATTTTTGCAAAAACATCATAAGTCAACAAGGACTAAAGAAAGGAAAGATAAGACAGTCTCAGACCTGATACCAACAAAATCTTTGAAAGGGGGAAGATATAGAATCCCTTACCCAGAAACTGGGGCTCCAGGATTTCCGAGAGTGGGATAAAGAGCATAGCCAAAACACGGGAGTATACTACTTTAAAAAGTAATGACGGTATAGACAGGTTGTTCAGAATTACTGAGATAAATAATAGAGGATACAGTTTAAAAAGTTGACAGTGGTTGCCTCGGGATTGAAGCTAAAAGAGAGAGAAGTGGATAGAGGATTGCCATTTTTTATTGTGTACTATAGTTCAACATCTTTAACTATATACATTATTAATTTGAAAAATGCCTTTTAAAGTTATTATTATTCAACGTCATGCTAATATACTTGAATTTTCAGTGACATAGCTTAGCCTTTGCAGCAATATAAATGACCAAAATTGACCCCCAAAGAAAAAGAGATGTAAACTCACTAATGAACCAAGAAAGAAATTGGAAAAAAATTTTAAATAAGTCTTATTACTACCACAACAAATATAATTGGTATTACAGGTAATTTTTTTTGAATATTTACTTCCAAAATCTGTGTTTTAAAATAAAAAGAAAATTTTTATATGGTAAGTAATTTATTTTATTATGAGACTTTCTAAACAGAATCTAAGCAAATAGAATTTATCCATATGCTAAGATATATTCTTTGTGACTAATCACAGTTTATACTATTATTGCAAAACTAGAAAAAATAAAAGAAATTACTTAATAATTCTAAGCAAAAACCATTAAATAGACTTGAATAAAATTATAAATCTTTGACATAAACCAGACTAATACTAGAAATACAATAAAAGATAAAATATGTGTTATGTCCTCCAGGAATTCATGGTGTAATATTTTCATAATAAAAAAAAGTAGAAGAAATTCTTATTTAAAGTGCAAAAGAACACTTGACAAAAATAATGACTTAAAATCATCCACTGTTTGAGCAAATATCTTTGTAAGATCTGTGAGCCAGACACTCTTGGGTAAGGGTTGGATAAGATGAGTAAGAGACTGACATGAATTTAAGAATAATCATATCCTGATCTCAGTTGTTATCATAATAGATGACATTTCTTGAGCACTTATGTGATAAAGCTGGAAACTTTACACAGTAATAGTGACCAGTAGCTCCTTAGCTGGAATAGAAAAAGCAGTAGGGGGGTTGAGCCAGACTGGCAGGCCATTGGATCACATATGAGGGAACTGAGGAAACTGAGAGAGAAGCTTGTAGTCAGGGAAAGGAATTTTGGCACTGGGGATTCTGGAAGTACAGTTACAGGCAAGGATAGGTACCAAACCACAATGCAATGCTTAATAGCAAAATGGAAATCACCCAAATGCCCCAGCTTAGAGTGAGATAAAGCCGACGATGGTATCCTTAAAGCAATCAACTATTGTGTAGCCATAAAATTGTAAAACTACAAAGGCCATAAGGATACATAAAGATGTACATATAAATTATGCTAAGTGGAAAAAATTAACCCAAGTATTAGAGCTGAGCAAAATCTCTGCTTGCACATTGACAGAAATAAAAAGAAATTATAGGCATGGTTAATAGCTTCAAAAAAGTTCTATTTTTGTGTCTTTGGCAGTGTTCTTGTCTTAGTTCATTCCTGCTGCTATAACGAAAATATCTGAGACTGGGTAATTTATAAGGAACAGAAATTTATTTCTCACAGTTCTGGAGGCTGGAAAGTCTAAGATTAAAGCTCCGGCTTCTGATGACCATTGAGGGCCTTCTTGCTGAGTCTTCACAGGGCAGAAGCTAGCCGGCTAAACGCCTATGCAAAGCCTCTACTTTTAAAAGGGTCTTCATCCCATTAGTGAGGGAGCAGCCCCAGGGCCTAATTATTTCATGAAGTCTCCACCTCTTAATTGCAACACTGGCAGCACCTGAACTTTGCAGGGGACATGTTCAAAACATGGCAGTTCTATAAGCATGTACTTTCTTTAAAAGGAAGACCATCTTCAGTTACTCCCAAATTATCTCCTTTGCTGAATCAGAAAACACCTGTCAGGACTCCAGAGATTCCACAGTTAACTTACTTCTCTTTCTTTACTCTTGGACCCACAATAAGTTATGTCCCTATGCTGAACTGAGAAAGCATTTATAAATAAAAGACAAGTTTAATAAACCTCTTCTTTTCACCAAATAAATCCCAGTTCAGAAATGCCAGCAGATGTCTGAAACAGCAAAGAATAATGCATAAATTTATTGCTTTATTTTACCTGGAATATCCACGGTATCAATAAGTTTTTGTAGTTGAAAGATAATCTGGAAATCTAGACTAGTAATCTTCAATTCTGTTCTACAGAGATGACTCAGGGATCACCTTTGGGATAAGGGGTGACAAGGTGGGAAAGTAAGCACAATTCCTTTGTCTCTCCTCCCACACTCCCCCTGGAGCTCCAAATGCATGAGCAATTCAAGCAGAGCAGCTTTGGTAAAATATTGGCTCCATAGGCTAGTGTTTCCAAACATAACAGCATATAAAAGTCAAATGAGGAGTCTTTAAAACATTGAGTCCTGGGCCGCACACCAGACCTATCGAATCGGCATCTCTAGTAATGGAGCCCAATGATCGGTATCAGTTTAAAGCTTCTCATTTAATTCTGATGTAATCCAAATAAGGGAAACTTTTCTAAAGAAGACTGGAAAGAAGGAAACATATGACCTCTGCTGAAATGTTTCTTATTATGGGAGCTTCTCCCCAACAGAAGGCATTTGTAATTACTAAGAGAGAACACCCTGTCCATGGAGCTGAGCTAGCTCTTTCTGCCCTCTTATGCTACTTAGTCCCAGTGACCTCCCTCATTCCCAGGACAGATGAGGGCGTTTACACCTGGGTGGCTGCCCCCTCACCATAGAGCTTCACCTCTTTTCTGTTACCCAGCTTCATCCACCTTGCCATAAGAGTCAACAAGATTCAAAGTCATTCAATCATAATTCCTTAACTTCTGGCTAGAGTTTTTGACCCAAGCTGATTCAATCAGAGCACTCCTCCACGACTTTTAAAGATTAAAGCTGGAATATAGAATCTTTTCTTTTTGAAGTAATAGAGCTAGACAAATGTAAATCTACGGCCACTAGTGGTCATA
This sequence comes from Homo sapiens, assembly GCF_000001405.40. Taxonomy (NCBI): domain Eukaryota; kingdom Metazoa; phylum Chordata; class Mammalia; order Primates; family Hominidae; genus Homo; species Homo sapiens. The sequence continues at coordinate 148,788,751 of NC_000005.10, forward strand.
TCTTCATCGTAGTGGGTCCCATGATGGGCCTCTAGATATGCCACCAGATCAGGACTGATGCATTGACACTGACTACCGCAAATGCCACTAGTACGACTCACAGCTGAATCTTTCTCTGCACAAGGAAGCTGCCTTTCCCTTGGTTTCCCAGCCAGCCACATCCAATAATTGGTTAATATAGAGGTATAAAGACCTGATACCTCTGTTTAAATTTGGGAAAATCTTGAAGAGCTATCGCAGCTCCAGAGATCCCCATGGGATTGGATGAGGCAATTGTTGTGAAGGCACTGTAGCCCAACTTCTCCCTCTTTCCCCTCTTGCTTCCTTCATTCTCTCAGAGCTGGTGTCCACACAGATCTCCATCGGAGAGTTTGTTTTCCCAGGGAACCTAACCTATGTCATTATGGAAGAAACCCATCTGCTGAAGGAGGAAACAGGGCTGAACAGAGACAATAGAAATGAGAGACACCCATATGGAATCCTGACTCTCTTAAATCTTCCAATTGTGCATAACTATACATAGTTCTAAATAGCTCACCATCCTGATAATGTGATGCTCAGGCCTGAATATAATTGTCCAAGGCTGGACCCGCTAGACTAGAGTATGGGGGGATTTTACACTCATGGAACTTCTTAATTTAGCTGAACATTAGATGAGCTTTTTAGAAGCCCCAAAATCCTGTTGGTTTATTGGAGACTGTGTTCAACAAAGACTCCTACATTTCCTTCTGTTGAGCCAGCTACCTCTCCCTGCATCCAAACATCATTTACTCTCCTTGAAGAACTGCCTACACTTTATGGCTGGCAGTATTTCTTAGCCTTTTAAACACATGCACCAAATATGAGCACAGATCTGGAAGAAGCTGAAGGGACGAGGAGGTGGGAGGTTGTTTTTGCAGTTTATAGTATAAAAACAGTAAGTTACATGGAACACAATTTTTCCAAAACTGCACAAACTGTTCAACCATCCTATGTTCAGCCCCCTAACAATTGTAGAAGACATCTCTTTTATGACGACTTGGAGTTCTTATAGTTCTTACTTAGAACTTTTAAGCAGCGCTAATATCTGTGGTGCACATAACAAAAGTTCCAGAGATATTCCCTTTGCCAGTAATGAAGCTAGGTCTGAAAATTATATGCTCTGGTAACAAAGTTCCAACGAGAAAAATTGAAGTGGTAACAAATTTGAGCAAGTTTATTTTCTTTAATTTCTAACCATGAAATGTTTGGATCTGTATGGGACTTTGAAGATCATCTAGTGCCAGAATGGCAAACACTCCCCACTCCCTTTATGTCTCTCCTCCGCCAGAGTCCTTGGCAGACATTACTATGGGACTCAAGATTCTTCTCACAGAGCTTCAATGCTGCTCATTTTCCAAGGATCTTCTTCCCAAGGATCCAAATGATGTTCCATAATTCTCAGCACACCGCATCAGACAGCTACTACCAATTAATTGGTCTGGAAAACTAGACAAACTTTATTTCCTTTTTTTGCCCCAATCACCCTACTCTCCTAAAGGGGTAAAATCATTGACCCAAATTTATGTAATGCTTACTAATCAAGCTTAAACTCCTGATTCCCAAATCAGTGCTCTCTCTCTTTTTCTTCCCCCTCTTCATTGAAATTTCTCCAGTAATTTTAACCATTATATGCCCACAGGCTAGTCAGGTATGAAGAATTCTGGACCCAACTTCAACTGGCATGTCCTCCATTATCGAATGAGTGTGTAGCTGTTGCTCACGCTGCTTATGACATATGTAGGAACATAGAGGCCATCTGAAGGAAGAGAGGTGGTCAAGCTGGGCTCCAGTTCCCACGCGGTTATAGATGCTTCAATAATAATAATAAAATGCTACGACAAATAGAAACATGCCCTGCACCCAATGACTCATGGCTCTAAGCTAATCCCACAATGGCCCCACCTCAGTATTAAAAACACGAGAGAGAGAGAGAAATATAATTCCATGTATGTCCGTCTGTTTGGTAACCAAAACAACCAGCCATAAATGGGAAGTGACTCCCTGATAAATGGTTTTGTGTGAAGTTAAGACCATCTCACTTGCTCTTGAACTGTCACCTGGGGCCTTGAAGAAACAAGTGGCCCTAAGGCTATTTGGGCTCCTTTAAAAATGCTAACCCTCTCCAGTGCCAGCACCATTTTTCTTGTGCTTAGAGGATGGCAGCACTATAGGTGGGATGGAAAATAACCAGCTGGCATGAGGTGCCCTAGGAGCCAGTCTGAAATTACAGGATGATGTGTCAGGATCCAGGAAATGATGGGTGCAATGAGTGGGTCATTCTTTCTCCTTGGCACACGAGAACACACCTAGAACTCTAACCTCCATCCTAGGAGGTCTGAACGCCAAAGTGAAATGAACTTTAGAGACACCAGACACAATCCCACCACTTAGTAGATTATTAGAATGAGGACCAGAGAGGGAAGAGACCTGGCTAAGGTCACACAGCAAGTATGACTGGTGTTTCCAAAAGTAGATTCTTGGAGTAGTAAAAAGAAACTGGAAACATGTAAACATCAGGAGCAATGATAAACTGAAATAATTCATCCAGTGAAACGCCACCTGGTCTTGAAGGAAGAGAGGTGGTCAAGCCAGACTCCAGAGCTGCTCACCACAGGAAGGAGGGGTCCCATCCCCCACCCACATCCACAGCCCTACCCCACCAATGTGTCCCCCTTTTTCCATCTCTGACTCTTACTAAAGCAAAATGCTAGCTACAAAGTGACTCATTTTGGGAAATAGACTTTGTGACTCAGTTCTGCTCTCTAACCACTAGACTAAGCTCCTCATGACTTAAGGAGGTTTCACTACATCTATCAACAAGCTGAATGAGAGGGGATCCCCTTGCATAAAAGACAAATAGGTGGTTTATCCATCAGTGGTAGGTACTATGAAATAAAAGGCAATGTAATATGTAATTAATTCAGTATACATTAAACTAGGATCAATGCCAGACATACTATCCTCTTATATCCTCATAACAACCCCACTGGTAAAGACAATTATTCAATGTATCTAGAAGCTAAGAATCAGAGATGGTAAGTGACTGGAAATGAAGTTTGGGAGAGGTTAGGTGACTTGTCTGAGTTGGCAGAGCCGGGATTCAAGCCAAGTTGTCTTGGTTTCCTCTGCTCCATACCCTTGGTTCCCAAACCCACACCCCACTGTGGCATTTTTCACATGGCCAAGGTGATACAGCAGAGGCAAGCTTCCAGTCTCCTACCTCAAAGGCACAGCGACCTCTGTGATTTAATCACCACAACAGTTCTGTGGAGGGTTGGCAGGGGATTTGTCAGATAAACAACAACAACAAAAACCAACAGATTTCAGAAGCATAAATCCCACGTGGCCTGGAGGCAACCATTTTCTGTGTAGTAGCCTCGGTCTTCTTCATTTGTAATATGGGGATAATTAGAGCATCTACCTGATAGGTTTGCTCTAAGGACGAAGTGAGATAATATAAGTGAAAAGCACTTTGTGTAAACTGCTAAGTGTCATTCAGTGAAAAAAGAATCAGAGACATGCCGAAAGGACAAGCAAAATGCTAACCCAATGAACTGGGTCTAGTATAAAACCATTACTTGCCTCATAACAAGAAATAATAGTGATATATATCTACTTAATGCCTACAGCTTTATAGTTTATATAGAGTTTTTTAGAACACAATTCTTTTCAAATCAATAACCAATAGCCATGATTTGAGTCTTTTCTAAAAATGTATTTGGTATAGCCATTTACATGGTGAAGCTATAATATATATGCTAGGTAAGTTGTGGCAGCCTATGTTAGAAATCGTATATAATTCTAACAAATTTCTTCTGAAGTAGGTGCTGCTCCACAGCTAATGAGAGGAGAAGCTGAGCTTTGAACCTAGGCCTGGCCTGACTTTCAGGAACCTACGGTGCACACTTTTCCAGAACACCACAACTCACTGCACCCTCAGCAGGCCCCAAAGCAGAGTGTTATCCACCCAGGAAACAGCCATGTGCAGCCGAAGAAACAGCCACATGCATCCTGAGGTATGAGACATGAAACCTCCTTCCTAGAACTTGAAAGAGCTGCCACGGCGAGGAGGACATGAGCCTTACTGTGGGTCTCCAGGGTTCACCTCACACGACTTTCTCTGGCCCCTGTGAGCAGCTCCCCATCCTGCTCTGAGTCAGGCTTCTTGTTTCTCATTTTTCTTCCTAACATATTTTCCCACAGTGCTTTTTCTGAACTTCTTCTTTCCTGAAATCCCCAGCTCACCCTGAAGGACCCTACCACCACCTTTCTCCCTAACCCCACTTCCCAATTTTCCTCTATGCCTGTGATTCATTCTGTGAGTTAACTGGGGAGGGTGGCCCTAACCTCTCTCTTGCATGTGTGGTTGCCATCCCCAGCCTTTGACAAGGGAGCAGCATAAAGGCCTAGGGAGTGGGCCCTCTAGACCGACTCTCTGGGTCCAAATCCAGGCTCTGCTCTTAGGGCCATGTGGGCCTAAGCAAGCAAGTTGGCCTTTATGTAAGCTTCAGAGAGACCTGTCTCAAGGAACCACTGTGGGGGTTAGAGGAGATTATGCTTTTGACAAGGGCATGTTACAGAGCAGCCATTATCAGTGGATTTGCATGCATGACTGGTTCCATCATTGGTGTTACCCTCCTACCACCCCATCTCCAATCTCTGAAAAAACATCTTTTCTTAAGCCAAATTTTCCTCTTACTCATCCATTTCAACCTCCCCCAGGAATATAGTCCCAGGACTCTTCTTCCTGTCTATGACATAATCTAATTCCTCTTCCACCCTACCCACCTCCTTGTAGACCCCCCCATCTCTGTTACAGACACCTCCACCCCTGGCATCCAAGGCAGGACATCTAGCAGTCTGTCTTTTCCTATGCCTCTATGCCATCCCATCATAGTGACCATGGCCTTTGGACTCTTCCTAAGCTGCCTCCCTGGCTTCACCTTTCCTTGCCACATGTCATTGTCCTCCCTATTGCTCACCCCACAGCCTTCCTCACCACAACACTCCCTTCCCAACCTTGCCCCTTGGTTCTTCTGTTCCCCATTCTTGGAGAGCCCTTTTCTCTCCCTGCAGGGAAGGAAGTGCTTATCCTTCAAAGCACAACTTATCCAGGTGCTTCTCATCATTTCCAGTTAGGTTTCAATTTTCATAGTCTGCCCAGTTTTCAAATTATATTATTATATGTTTATGCTTTGCCCCTAACTAAATTACAAGCATCTCAAGGGCATATCTCACATGTCTGTGTATCTCCTTACAAGTCCTAATAGAATGCCAGATACAGAAAATGCCTCTGAAAACATGCATTGACCAATTGATTTAAAAATCAGTCTACAAGCTTTAGAAAAAAGAAGACATCTGAGTTAAGAATTATATTAGCTAACAGTTGCTCAGTTCTTGCTATGTCCTAGATAATGGACTCAGTAATGAGAAAATAAAATGAAAGAATAGTATCTACCATTGTATCAAATATCTTACATGCATTGTTCATTTAATCTTCACCATAGCTATATGCAGGAAGTACTATTATTATGCCCATTTTGCAGTGTCACTTATTAAAGCAATTAGCTCTGTGGGAGAAGAACATAAACAGAGGCTCAGCTATTCCACCAAGTCATGCAAACAACCAGAATTTGAACCTTGATGAAACATCTTTTTTTCACTTATGCAATAAATATTTCTTGAATTCCTACCATGTGCCAGGCATTCTTCCAAGCTCCAGAGATAGAATTGTGAAAAAGACAAGCACATTCCCTTCCCTCTTGGGTCTTACATTCTGGTGAGAAAGGAAAACAAGAAATAAGTAATCTAATGAATATATAACTCAATGTGGGTAGTGCAAAGACTATGAAATAAAGGCAGCAGCATGTGGGATCAGAAAGTATTTAGCGGAAGACATGGGAGCTTCAGGTCCAGAGGTCCAGGAAGACCTCACTGGGCAGGTGACAAGTGAGATACCTGAGTGAGAAGAAGTGTGAGCACGGGAGGATGTGGGCTATGAGCATCCCCTGTGAAAGAGAGAGCACATGAAAAGACCCTGCAGCAGGAATTAGCTTGGCATCTGTGAGAAAGGCAGAAAGGTTACCAAGAGCTGGAGTGGCAGAAAATTATGTTGAGGAAGTAGAAGGGGGCAGATCACTGGACCATAAGAGTCTGTCTTCTTTTTGCATATTTTGGGAGAGCCCCTGAAGAGTTCTGAGCGGAGGAATGATATATATGATTTGTGCTTTTAAAATATTGCTGTCTAACCGATTGTTGCACAGAGCTGTTTATGAGAGACCAAGTGGTTTCTGAAATAACTGAAGTTTTGTGGCTAGACATGGTTCATCTGGGATGATTTCATTAAGGGGCAAATGTGGTTCTGAGGGAAAAGAAGACAGTTTGGCTCCCAGGAAGGGGGAAGCCATTCTTGATGATGGTAAATACATGTGTGATAATGAATGGAGAAGTCAGAAAGTTGTGAAAGGTAGTATTTCCCAAAGTTTATTCTATTAACATTTATTTCAAGGTTTGTGAATAAATGTTACACAATGAAACATTGACTCAGCATGGGAAATGCTCTGTTCAACAAAGGTAACCAGACCTCTTTACTGGAGGACTTCTCAGAGTCTTCAGGATGATTATTTGCGTCTAGTCTCCTTAAGACAAGACTGAAGTTGGCAGAGTTCCCCAACCTTATTTGACCACAAGACTCTTTTCACATAAAACACACATCGGGAAATCCCAGTGTAAGGATTTCATCCTAAAACCAGCTAAGACTGTTCAGAGATGAAAATAGGGACATAATGAGTAATAGACCGTGAAGGCAGGAATGGGGCATTTTTGGTTATTATGAGGCCAATGTAAGCTTACCAGTTTGATAAAATTCATAACAGATAATTACATGAGAAGGTCACTTTTGCTGTCCTGTTTGGAACTGATAAAGTAGAGGTAGAATCCAAACATTCTAGGGATTCTGTAAGATGATTTATCTACAGTGTGGGAAGGAAAAATTATGTTGTCTATTTATATTTATATTGTTTCAAAAATCATAAAGAAATTAATATTCTAATATTTACATGTATTACATGGGTTAAAAGTGACACATTAGTATGATTTATAAATATATATACTTGGCTTGGATGTTCAAAAATGTTATAAGAAGGGATACATGGTAAAGAAAAGCCTGGAGATTGCTAGATTAGGTGACCTGTAGAACGAAATGTCTAGTGCATGCACCAAGGCTGTGGTTGTGGAAATGTAGAGGAAGGAATAAAATCAAAGAACCGATGGGGTGGGAGTTAGAGAAAAGAGTTTTGGGGAGGTGGAGGTGTCATCAGCAGCAACTATGAAAAATGTCTGTGGAGTGGCTATGAAAAATGAATGATGACTGCAAGGCCAGGAGCTCTGGAGATAGGTTTAAGTTTGCTGCAGAAATTGAGAATGAATAGGGGGCCCAAGCACTTATAATGCATTCACATTGCAGCATTAATTGTAGTCCGGTATCTGGGACATAATATCTGTTCAACAGATGTTCTTAAGAAGAACAAATGAGTAAGTGAATGAATTAATGAATGAATAAATTCACAGGGCTTAGCAAAGCAACGTGGAGTAAGAAAATTTGGGCAAAATGAAAATGACCTGACCAAGATTCCACAAAATGTTATTTCCTAAAAACAAACAAAAAAAAGTATAACAGCCCCTGATATTAGTTTGTTTTTGACATTAGACCAAAGTATTTTCAAAAGAGAATTTGTTGGATATATCCATACATATTTTTATGATAGACTTTTTAAAAATGTTATGTTGGCCGGGCATGGTGACTCACGTCTGTAATCCCAGCACTTCGGAAGGCTGAGGCAGGTGGATTGTTTGAGCCCAGAAGTTTGAGACTAGCCTGGGCAACATGGTGAAACCCCATCTCTACAAAAATACAAAAATTAGCCAGGTGTGGTGGTGCACACCTGTAGTCCCAGCTTCTTGGGAGGCTGAGGTGGGAGCATGGCTTGAGCCCGGGAGGCAGATGTTGCAGTGAGTGGAGATTGCACTGCTGCACTCCGGCCTGCATGACAGAGTAAGACTCTGTCTCAAAAAAAAAAAAAAAAAAAAAAAAAAAGAAAAGAAAATGTGTCATACATGTACGTTGTAGAAAAATCAGAAAATACAAAGAAGCAAATAAAAGGGGGGGCGTGTGCAAAATTTATCATACCACTATCCAGAGATAACACAGGTATATATTTATAAAAATGAGCTTATATTTTAAATACTATTTTGTAATTACTACTCAGTCACATTCAGTTTTTTAGTTGCTATTCCTCCATGGCCTCAGGACCCAGCTGGAGGACTCTTGTGTCCATGTGATCAGCCCCATTAGTCATAAGCACTGCCAGGTCTCTTGCCTGTAGCTCCTTGTGAGCAATCTGCCCATCCCTGGCACCTTACTGATAAGTTCTCCCCAGGCCTGGACACTGGAGGCCCCAGTCAAGGCTGGAGTTAGGGTGAGGTAAGTAACATACCTGCCTTGGGGACAAAAATTAATGCAAAAATATCCATGATGAGCAAAATGTCAAAGTTTTAAATAAATATAGGACCTGACAGGGCCAAGATTAGGGTGAGGAGAGGGAGTAGGTCACACGATAAGTGCAGAGTTGGATCCTGTCTTTATTAAAATGTTATTCATTATGGAGGTTATGTATTGGTTTTGGTTTTTAAAATATTACATTAAGATATTATTTATCTTCGCCACCCCTTAGATTTTGCACTTGGCTACAAACTAACCCCACCCTATTCCTGGCCTTTTAGTGTGGATTCTGGTGGGGCAGAGTAGAGTATGGGATCAGCTTCATGGCTGAGAGTAACGACACCTGAGCCCTCGTCTAAGCTGTACTATTAATTACCTATACATTTTTCAGTTATTTCCCCTTTCTGGACCTCCGTTTCCCCAAATGTAAAAATATGTGGGTGAACTCTATGATTTGGAAGCACAAATTAATTGCACAAATTCCATGATGCTAATTAGAATTGTAGCTAGAGATCAGGAGATTTCCTTCCTGATACTACCTCTGCCATTTACTAACTATGTAACCTTGGGTAAATCACTTCCCAATTAGACACAGACAGGCTTCCTAATCTCCACTAGCTGGGGTGAAATCAAAATAGTCTACAAGGTTCTTTTGAGCTTTATATGTTTCTGATTATTTTCCTACTTGAAGCCAAAGAATATCCCAATACCATAAACAGTAGAAGCCAAGTGTCTTGTTATAAGCAACCAGATTTTAACAAACGGACTTAAGAGCAAAGTTAATGATTTGGCAAGATGTTAGGAAGTCTTCTTTCTGAGGAAAGAGAATTCAGTGTCAAGCAGGCAATATCTAACTATTGTTTAGTTTTGAGACACCCTCATTAGAAGCTTGTGCTTATGTATTTCTGTTGAAAAAAGTGTGGATCAAGGGACTGGTGTTTTTCATTAACACGTTGGCAATCCATCTAGTGACCTGGAAAGAGGGCTCATGGTAGCTTAGTGTTAGTGTACTATAAACTTGAAAAAGGCTTATAACTACTTTGGATTCCTTTTCACCTGTGAAATAGGGAAAAGGAGGGCTGCTCATGGGGTTGGTTACTGTGGAAATCAAGTAAGATATAAGTGAAAGTGCAATTTAAACTAAAGAGTTCTCATGTCATGAAATCCAACTCTGCACTTACTCTATGACTTTACTCACTCTCCTCACCCTGATCCTGGCCCTGTCAGATTCTATACTTATTTAAGATTTTGATGTGTTGTTCATAATGGATATTTTTGTATTAATTTTTACATCCTTGAGGCAGGTGCTTTACTTACATTACCCTAACTCCAGCCTTGTCCAGGGGCCTCCAGTGTCGGGGCCTGGCAAGAGAACTGGCCATGCTTAGGTGCCAGGGATGGGACAGATTGCTCACAAAGAGCTACAGACAAGAGACCTGGCCATGCTTACGACTAATGAGGCTGACCACTTGGACAGAAGAGTCCTCCAACTGGGTCCTCAGGCCATGGAGAAGTGGCAACGAAATAAATGGTGTATGGACCTAAAGTTGTTAATAACTCAAGTTCTCATGATACTAGCTTGAGCCATTCAAAGATTAATCATTTAGGAATTTGTATAATGTTCAGTACTTAGTTTCATAAGATCAGATACTTAAGCACTGGATGGATGAACTGGTTTGTCAATTAAAGGGAAAAAATCTGGTCCTTTAACTGAAAACAAACTCAAAATGAGCCCATTATGGAAGGTGACTCAGAAACACAAATGGAATCTTGGGCTGTACCCATGGGCTTGTAGTATTTAGAAGCTGTGAGCCTAATTCCATGGAAAGCCAAGGCCAAACAAATATAGTCTGTCCTGTCTGTAGGGAGAGCTCAAGGTTGTTATTTGAGGCTGGAAGGATGCTTGCTGGAAGGATAGGTTGAATTGTGTCCTCCAAAACGATGTTGAAGTTCAAAACCCCAGTACCTGTAAATAGAACCTTATTTGGAAACTAGGTCTTTGCAGATATTTAAGTTGAGGTGAAGTCATTTGTATCCAATATCACTGGTGCCCTTATAAAAGGTGGAAATGTAGACATAGGGACAGCCACACACAGAGGTAGGATGCCGTGTGAAGATAAAGGAAGAGATCATGGTGATGCATCTGAAAGCCAAGAAACACTAAAGATTGCCAGCCAACCACCAGTAGCTAGGAGAAAGGCATAGAACAGATGGTCTGTTACAGCCCTCAGAAGGAACCAACTCTGCTGACACCTTGATTTTAGATCTAATACAGTAGTGCAGAGAGCATTTGGCCCAGCATTTGTGCCTAAAAGAAGCACAGACTACCCATCTAATATTGAGATTCTCAGACAAAACCATCTCCATTCCTATCATGTGCCTGGCAAATAGCAGATATGCAGTGACTACTTTTTTTTTTTTTTTTTTTTGAGACGGAGTCTCGCTCTGCTGCCCAGTCTGGAGTGCAGTGGTGCTATGTCGTCTCACTGCTACCTCCACCTGCTAGGTTCAAGCAATTCTCTTGCCCCAGCCTCCCGAGTAGCCAGAATTACAGGCGCCCGCCACCACACCCGGCTAATTTTTGTATTTTTAGTAGAGACTGGGTTTCACCATTTTGGCCAGGCTGGTCTCAAACTCCTGACCTCAAGTACTCTGTCTGCCTCGACCTCCCAGAGTGCTGGGATTACAGGCATGAGCCACCACACCCGGCTGACTACTCATTTAAGAAAGAAATGAATTTCAAAACAATCCACTACTGTTAGAGAAACAAAAAAGAAGTTGATAAGCTAGATTATGTTCTTTCAACTTCTCCGTTATACTAAGCATGAGCCATTTTAACCTCATTCTATTTTCAGAGAATGAATCATAAGATGTCAGGCATAGGCAGCATCATAGAGATTATAAATTCAATCATCCAATCTGCAGATAAAAAAATGGGACTTAATGAGGAACAGGACAGGTTTTTTCATATATGTGTTTCCCTGTCATACGGGGGAACCCCTTCCTCTTTTTTTCCATCATACATTAACATACCCCTTATATTTTGCTGTCACCCACAGCTTAAAATGCAATTGAGAAATTATTCAAGCCTACCAGAAGTCAGAAAAGATATGAAACCCACTGATGGTTCTCACAGAGGAACAGCAATATCTAGTATTAGGGAAAATTTTATTTTTTCCTGGGCCCCCCACACAAAGCACTTCAAATGAACTATCTCATTTATGACTCACAGAAATGCTACTATGTAGGTTTTATCTTTGTTTTATAAATTAACAAAACAGACTTTGAGAAGTAGAGCAACCTGCCCAAGTAGTGGAGTTCAGATTTAAACCCAGGTATGACGGTTTCTGAAGTCCATGTTCTTAATCCACTCTGCTGTGCTGGGATTGGACAAGTTTGAGAGGCCACATGAAGCAGGGGAAAGAAGTCTGTCTCAGCTATAAACCAGGGAACTTGGGTACCATCTGGCCTTAGCCACCAACCAGCTCTGGGACTTTAAGCATATTTCTTCATCTACATTGACCTTTCCTTATCTGCAAATTGAAGTGGCTGGATTAGAGATTAGATCATGGATACTGAAGTTTTATAATGGTGGACCATAGCTTCATTCATCCATTCATTCCACAAATATTTATTGAGTGCCCATTATGTGCCAGGTACCATTCCAGACACTGATAACAGAGCAATAACCAATACAAACAAAGTCCCTGCACTCATGGAGCTTGTATTTTAGGAGTGGTGGAAGTAAAGGACACAGAATACACAGGTTAAAAGTTTCAAAATCAGAAAACCTCATGAAGAAAATAAAGCAAGATAAAAGATTGAAAATGACAGGTCTAAGATGGTTACTACTTCATACAAGATGGTCAGGAAAAGCCACTCTGAAGAGAGGACCTTTGAGCAAAGAACAAAATGATGAGAAGGAAGTCTTAAGAAATGAACATACACAGGCTATGTGGAATCAGTACTAATGGCACTAATGCCTCAAGAGGGTCCACAGTCAGTAAATAACTACTGAAAATGATCCAAATTTCTCAGATGTACGCAGAAGGTTTGTTTAAGCACGCCCATCTTCACCACTTTTGTTCAAGAAATCTTTCATCATAAGCCCAATTTCATGATGTAGCCTCAAAATTATATAACTCTCTCAGGTTCGGTTATAACTAAGCATTGTTCTAAGACTAATGGAGTGACTCCTGGCCAGAGCAGGTTACAGAAAAAGAGCTGCAGTCAGGGAGTACATGTTATTGGTGACATTTAATATTGTGTTCTGCCTAATTAGGGTTTTTTTTTAAAGTTTTTGCTAAAAATCTCAGATGATCAGAGGGTCACTCAGACTTGACCCATGTTTACAGGTTAGAAGCCTCAAGAAGCAATAGTTTCTAAGGTCCATAGCTTTTACTACTCCTGTACGTCTCATAGCCATTCACTTTTCTCTGTGTCCAATCCTACTACTCCAGTCCAGGCCACCACCATCTTCCATTCCCATCTTTGTTCTCAGCCCCTTCTGATCTATTCCCCATAATGAAGTCAGGAGGATAGTTCTAAAATGAAAAATGTGCTGTGTCACTGCTGTCCTTAACACTCTTAAAACCGTTGATGGTGGCTACCCAACTCATGATAGTGGTGGTTACACAACCATATGCATTTGTCAAAATACACATAACTGCACACTAAAGAGCACATTTTACTGTTTGCAAATTATACCTCAGTAAACCTGACTTTCAAAAAATCTCCAGTGATAGGCACTGATCTTGAGTTAAAAATCTAACCTTTCACAGGCAGTGGTATTATGTAACTGATATTTATTCTCAGTCTGGGTTCAAAGCTCAGTTTCACATCTCTTATTAAATAGGTAACTTTGACCAAGTCACCTGAACTCTCCATACTCATTCTCCTTATTTGTAAAGATCATAATAGTACGCACGTTTTAGAGTTGTCATGAAGATTAAATGAGTTAATACCTATAAGGCATTTGGAGCCTAATGTTTAATAAGTGCTTATTAAATGTACAGTATTACTAACAAGGCTTATAATAATAATGTCCTTCATGATTAGTCCCCATACTAGTTTGCTAGTTTGTATTCATTGCTGTCATAATAAAGTACCACAAACCAGGTGACTTCAATGACAAGTTTATTGCTTCACAGTTCTGGAGGCTAGAAGTCTGAGATTCAAGGTGTCATAACTTCTGAGGGCTGTTAGGAAGAATCTAATCTGTTCCACATCTTTCTTCCAGCTTCTGGTATAGTGTGCTGGCAATATCTAGTGTTCCTTAGCTTGTAGTGTGTCACTCTGACCTTTGTCTTTGTCTTCTTGTGATCTTCTCCCTGTGTGCCTGTCTATCTTCAAATTTTCCCCTTTTTATAAGGATACAAGTTACAGTGGGTCTAGGAGCCCACCCTACTCCAGGTATGATCTCATTTTAACCAATCCCATCTACAACAACCTTATTTCCATGTAAGGTCACATTCTGAGGTACTAGGGGCTAGGATTTTAACATATAAATTTAGTGGGGCAGGGGGGTTACCTAATTCAACTTGTAATATGCCCTGACAGGTTCTCTTATCATCTCTGCCCATAATATCTCTTCCAGCAACCTCACATACCCACCCATTTGTTTGGCAAACTAATTCCTATTTGTCTCTCAGGTTTAAGTTAGATCTTGCTTTCTCAGAGAAGTCCTCCTTAATATTTTGCCACCTCCCCATTTTAGATTTGGGTCTCATATCCTCCCAATTCCCCCATGTACTTACACCCCTCATAACAGTTTTTACTCTGCTTTATACTTGACTGTTTACTAACCTGTCTCCCCACAAGACTTCAAACACTTTGCACCCAAGAACTGTTTAATACTGTGTTCCATAACCCAGATGCATCTCAAGTAAATATTTGTTGAATAAATAAATGTTAATGTCCCTTCCTATATTCTAGACATCACTTATTTTATAATTCTATGTATGTTTAGAAGTAGAAACTACAAAAATTAGAGAGTAAAAGTTTTTAAGTAACATATCATTAGAGTTTACTTTGAAGATGAGAAACCATGCTAGGTATTTCAAATAAAAGGTATTAAATACAGGGAGTTCATTGCACAGTTCTTGGAAGTTTATACAAACAAAAAGAAAATGATGAAGAAATTTAGATATGAGTAACTGCAGAAAGTAGCTACCACGTATAGCATTGAAAGAAGAGAAAGGAAATGGAAAGGCTACAAGAAACTCAAATTTATAGGGGGTTGCCATGCCTATCTGATGCTTACACCTCAGGAGGAGGAGAAACCATGTGGCTGGATCTCAGACTTCTTAGTTGGGAAATACCCGCAGCTTATAGTGGGGGTGCCGAGTTCATTGCACAGTTCTTGGAAGTTTATACAAACAAAAAGAAAATGATGAAGAAATTTAGATATGAGTAACTGCAGAAAGTAGCTACCACGTATAGCATTGAGAGAAGAGAAAGGAAATGGAAAGGCTACAAGAAACTCAAATTTATAGGGGGTTGCCATGCCTATCTGATGCTTACACCTCAGGAGGAGGAGAAACCATGTGGCTGGATCTCAGACTTCTTAGTTGGGAAATACCCGCAGCTTATAGTGGGGGTGCCAAAAGGAGCTAGAGATAGAACGCTAACTCTCCTTTGTTGCCAGAAGGAAACATCAAGATACCCAGCAAGAAATTCTGTGAAATATAGTTAGTAGACTTCCAGCACTAGCATCATAGAACAGACAGGAAGGTGGAATTGAAGCTGAGATGCGATAGGTACGTAACCAGCACAAGAACCTGATATAAAGGTATACAGGTTTCACATAATTAGGAAACAGGGCTGCCGATGGGTTTCTAACTCTACCTCCGTCACTGGTTGACCTTGTCCTTGGGCAAACATCTTTCTTCCTCTGAGCTTTAGATTCCCCATCCATGGCAGGGGGAAAGAGCTAGATGATCGAAGGGCCTTTCCAAGTAGGAGCTGGGATTTGACAGAAGCAGCACCAGGGAGTTGCTGGGATTTCTGAATGACATCACTCTAGAGGGTCCTATCTCAGGCTTTAGCCATCAAACAAATAGGGCATCTCCTGTTTCTGGTTCTGCAGCTACTGTTTACATGCTCCAATAAAGGCAGAGGAAGGAAGCCAGGGCTGAATTTCTTCAATGTGGTGACTCTATTGGCCAAACTGATTCCAAAACGTGCCATTAAGAGGAATGTTTCACTGAACTTGGAGCAGTAAATGGAAAAATAACCAAAATGACAGCAGGGGGAGGAGGGGTCGAGGGGAAAAAGGAGCAAGTTGGGAGGTGAGTAAAGAGAGCATGTGATTTTTAGACACACAGATCCTAAATTTGCCACGCGTCTGATTCACAGCAGCATTGTATTCTCCAGTTCTGTCTTCCTGACATTGCCTCTCTGCCTTTCAACAGTCATGGCTCTTTTTGAAAGTCGGTTATAATGCACAGAGACTGGGTTCAAGTCTCAATTCAGCCACATACGAGCTGGGGGACCTAAAACAAGTCATTTATTTTTGCCTCCTGTCAGCCTCAATTTCCTCACCTGCAATTCTGCCTGCCTCTCAAGATCATGAAAATTAAATGAGCTAATATGTGTGGAAGTGCTTCCTCAATCTGGGTGCTATGTATAAAATGTAGTCATTTTTTGAAAATGCATTAGGCATTAAAATACACTTATAAAAATGCATTGAGCATATTTAAGATTTTTGTACTTATTTGTATGTTATACTTCAATAAAATAATTACAAAAAAGGTAAAACTATGAGAAGAAGTAAACGGTGGATTAAATTTATTTAATTTATGAACTAATGGTAGTAACATGTGATAAGTGACCAACTTGGATAACATAGGCAATAGTATGAGTTAACATATAAGGGGAGCAAAGCGCTCTAAATTTTATATACATAGCTAAAATTCTGTAGGTATAGCCTTTATTTAAATTCTAGCTTTGCAAAAGAAACCTATGGTCATTGTAGAAAATTTGGGATCTATAGGAAAACACAACGAGGAAAGTAAAAAGTAACCATAATTTCGGCCCATATACAAAAAAAAAGTAATCTGTGAATTGTAAATGCTACTCAACTAGCTGACGAAAATGTTATTTCTTTATTCATTTCCTCCTCCTCTACTTCTTGACATGCTCAGAAGTTGAGAATTATTATAAGCCAGATGGGGCAGCAACGCAGGGGCCTGCAGAAGGCAGGAAGGTAGCACAAACAAGTGGAACAGTGGGATGAGTCACCACAAATGCAATGACAAATGATAGCTGCCCACTCAGCCTGAAAGCCGGGGGACTTCAGGGAGAGGTGGAGACTGGCAAACTCCAAGCCATGTGCCCCAAGGGAGCAGGCTCTTCTCAGCTTCAGCTCGCTCCTTTCATATTTCCAGTGTGGCTGGGTCATTGACATTACTGAGAGAAACTGGCAATCTGGAATGCTGTGTGAAGATACTCAAATTTTAAATGTTAAAGCCTAATTAATTTTTTACACTCTGCAGGCCACACCAAAGACATCCATAGGCCAGATGTGGGCTGTGAATGCCAGTTTGCAACTGCTGCTAATGGCAAAGGCAGTGTGGGGGCGGGGGAAGTTCACTGAAGGTCTTGGGCTGGGAAGTAACAGGAGCACGTTTGTAGTTCAGAAAATTCCTGGGGTAGCTGGTAGGAAGGAGAGACTGGAGTGGGGAGAGACTGGAGGTGATATAAATATATTTCTCTGAGTGAGTGATGATTGGTGCCTCAACTAGGGCTATAAAAAGAAGCTGGAGTGGGAGGGGAAGGGGTGTGGTGTTGGAGAGTTGATGCAGGGAGGGGCTGGGAGCCCAAGGGGGTGCCCATGTAGCAGTTTTGCCTAGAGCCCTGGAGACCCACAATTCAAGTTTGAGGAACAAACTTGTTTCATAACAGACAACCGGAAAGGAGAAATTGCTTGGTATTGGGGAGGCCTTCTCCAAAAATAGCAAAAAGGTGAAACAAGCCACTAATTGTGGAACTTGAGGGCAGGGCCTTGGAGGTTGTGAACACTGAAAGAAATGTGGGCTGAGCAGCCTCAACTAGAGATCAATGGAAGAGAAGGGAACAAATTTGATATGAAGTCCTACACCTTGAAGGGACTGCAGATGCTTAGTCTAAGGAAGAAAAGACACAAGGAAAATGGAGCTTGCTTGCAAAGATTACTTATTGAGCATCAACACATTCAGGAGTTCCAGCTGGTGCTAGATTTGGGGGATATAATGATAAGCAACAGCAAGTAAAGTCTATGTTGTTTCTGCCCTGAGGGAGTGTTTGGAAAATATATTAATGGAATGATCTCACAAATAAAGGCGAAGGTGCAAGGCTGAGATAACTGCTGGGAAGAAGGGCCCAGTGTTTTGAGAGCATGTCCCAGAGGGTGGGGATGTAGACTTCCAGAGGAAACGATGATAAGACTGAGAGCTAAGAGATGAGCAAGAAAGTAAGAGATAAACAGAAGGGAAGGAAAGACTTTTAGACATTGGGAACAGCATGTGCAAATACCTGACTCACAGGAAGGGCTGAGAAGGTCAGCATGGCTGCAGCACGCTGTGAGGGACATGCAGGGCTGTCTCCAGAGGCCCATGAGCTGTGGGACAGAGGAGCGATGGGGCTTGTTCTGTGTGGTCTGCAAATGCATCCATTAGGGGTGCTGCAGACAGTTATTCAGTTATTCTAAGAGACTTACGGTGGAGGTGCTGGGAGTTTCTTTATTTTAAATTCATGAAAATAAAAAGGTAGCATTTATTCAGTTTCACCATGTGCCAGGCCCTGTCTAAATAGTTGTCTCGTGAATCCACACAATAGTCTCAGGTGGTAAGTGCTCCCGTTACCTACTGCTGTGTAACAAACAATCTTAAAAGAGCTGGTGGCTGGAGTAGGCTGGGTGGGGGATCTGTCTCCATGCAGCTGCTCCATCGCATGGCTACTTTGGGCTTCTTCATAGCATGGAGGTCTCTGAATAGTATACTTCTTACATAGTGGAGGACTTTCCCCAGAGCAAGCAGTTCTGGTGAGACAGGCAGAAGTTGCCAGTCCCCTAAAAGCCTAGCTCCATAACTGGCAGCCTCACTTTCACTGAATTCACTGGACGTAGCAGTCACAGGTCAGACCACATTCGAGGAGGTGGAAGAATAAACTCCACTTCTTGATGGGGCAATGGCATGTGCATGAAGGATACAAGGAATCCAGGATGGTTATCTTGGAGACAAGCCTTTATACAATCCCCATTCTACAGATGAAGGGACCAAGGTTAATAGACACACTTTCCCAAGATCATACAGTCAGCAGCAAGTGGCAGAATTGGGATGCAAATCCAGGTCTATCTGACTTCAAAACATCCTGTCTTTAGTTACTGTCATGTTCCTTTCACAGGATAGGATGGGGCCATGAGAAAAGTCCTCAGCTGTGAGTCCTGGGTTCTGATCCCTGCACTGCCTCCAATTTGCATGTGACAATTATAAGCCACTTCCCACCTGTGGGCCTCAGGCTTCTCATCTGTGCAGGGAGAATTGGACTCCTGGGTCTTGCATGGCAGTCCCAGCTTTAGGATTCTGGGGTTTTGAGGGTCTGTGCTGCATCCTCAGGGCTTGTTGGTCACTGACCTGCTGCTTCACTCAGCATGTCAGCCGAGTGAAGCATATCAGCATGTCAGAGCCCTCCAAGGGGCAGTAGCCTCTGTTCTTCCTCTTTCCCTTCCCTCTTAGCAACACTCTGCTTTGCTCCCGTGGCTGCTCTGTTTACCCAGTCTCTCCTCCATTTTCCAGTAACCAGTAAGAAGTACTTTAGGTCTCTCCTCCTCAACAGGCTCCCCTGAGTGGCTGATTTTAATCTTGACTCTGAACTTCACAGAGGCTGAGACCAACATCTTTTTATGAGTCAGTGCATATCAGTATTTGCTGAGCTTTGCAAATAATTGGCAGCTCAAGAGTGAATTGAAGGATCATTCATATAAGCAATTGCATGTTCTTGTTTTGTTCAAACCAACAAACTATACACACAACTGCAGACCGTTGAGGACAGCAATTGTGTCTGAATTACTCACCATTGTATCAACAGCACCTTGCAAAGTGACTGACCCAGAAGAGGTAATCAAATTGTTACACTTTTTGGTTGCATTGGCAAAATTTATTTAAATCCCTGACATTTGAATCTTTAAATATTAGTTTTACGGTTCAATTCACCCGCGAAAATATTTGAGTGCAATTTTCCTCTTTTGTCTATTCTATTATAGTTACTGATAATTTTTCTCCTTATTGGTTTTTGCAAGTCTAATATTGTTTTTCCCTAGGAATATCCCCTTTTCCACTTAAGCCACTGAAATTTAAACTTCCCTTCAGGCCTTTTCCTTTTCTTTTCTGGCTCAGCTAAAAGGTAAAATAAATCAGTAACAGAGATTGAGAGTCAGAAACCATATATTCTAGACCTGTTTCTCCTACTACCTCTGTGATATTTCTCAAATTCTTTCCTCACTAAGGACCTGTTTCCCTGTTTGTATTAAGAAAGGGTTGGTATGTCAGTGGATATTTTTCAGCAATGGAAGATTTGCACAAATACAAATTTACGCAGAAGCAGGATACAGAAAGCAGCCAGAAGTGGAGCAGCACCAGCCGGGGTGGGGACCAAGACCTCCCACCCTCCTTGGTGTCTGTCTGCCTTTGAGGTCCCTCTGCCAAAGTGGCGCTCTGCTGAGCAAAGTAATCCCTCAGGGCACTCCAACTCTGAGACAGAATGATTTATAGCCCTGTTAATCCACCAGGCTGTCAAAAACGGCCACATCAGCAGACATACACAGAGACATGCAGTCACATACACTCAGGACAAAAAATAAGCCCCAGAAACTGCTTGAGCAAGCTCAGGCTTTTCTCTAGCACCTTCCTCATTTGTTCAAGTTTTTGCCATCTTTATTTTCATTTCCTGGTTTCTTCTCACATCCTTCCTCTTTTCCCCTCCAAGTTACTAAAAATTCTAACAATTTCTACTTTTACTTCTTTGCTGTTATCTGCGGCACATCGTTGCCCCACCCCCACTCTTGGTCGCTATAGTCACAGATTTATTATTGAGTTTGTTAACTTTTGCTTCTCAATTTCTCCACCCAAAAAAAGAGGAGATGAAGGAAAGGACTCTTGTGGCCATGACACTATATTCAAGAAATCTGTGGAGCATTAGTTTTGATTTTCGGTTTTGTTTTTACTGAATTGCACTTTTTAATAGTAGTCATAGTAAAAACTCAAACAAAACAGGTGAGTACCAAAATGAAAGTAAAAGTATACTGTCGGGGCCGCTCCACAGGTCCCATGCCCCAGTCCCTAGTCCCCTATGTTATATATACGTTGTTAATTGCTTCTACTTTCCAAAATATGTTTGTGAATATAAACACGTGTTACTTATACTAAAAGGCGATATTTTACGTAGTTTTGTTTCAACCTTTCTTACTTCATATCTGGGAGATCTTTATGTACCAGCATATATATCTAGTTCATTCTTTGAACTACAGCATAAAATGTCATTGTACATTAGACTAATTTATTGAATTTATATACACATATTCCTATGGTGAGCATTTATGTTGGATAGATGCCACATACAACTGTTTGTTTACACAAATGGAGACATGCTACTCACACTTGTACAATTCACTTTTTTACTTCTTGATGTATTTTAAATATTGCTTCAGATCAGCTGGCACAGAGCCACCTTTCTAAAAAAATAATAGACTTCCAGCCTGAGCAATATGGTGAAACCCCATCTCTACAAAAAATACAAAATTAGCTGGATGCAGTGGTCCCAGCTACTCAGGAGGCTGAGGTGGAAGGATCACTTTAGCCGGGAGGCAAAGGTTGCAGTGAGTCAAGATCTCACCACTGCACTCCAGCCTGGTGACAGAGTGAGACCCTGTCTCAAATAATAATAATATTAGACTTTATTTTTTAAAGCAGAGGTTCACAGTAAAACTGAGTAGAAAATACAGAGATTTTCCTTACACTCACTGCCCTCACACACACACACCCACACACACACAGCCTTCCCTACTAGCAACATCCCACACCAAAGAGGTATATTTGTTACAATCGACGAACCTATACAGTCAAATCATAATCATCCAAACTCCACAGTTTATGTTAAGGTTCATTCTTGATGTACATGCCAAGGGTTTTGACAAATGTAGAGTGACATATCTTACATCTAACATTATGGTATCCTACAGAATAGTTTCACTGCCCTAAAAATAGTTTCACTGCTCTTCTGTGATCCATGTACTCATCCCTCCCTCTCCCCAGGCCCAGGTCCATACAGTAAAAACAGGATGGGGCCATGAGAAAAGTCCTCAGTATGGATACAGTAAAAACATCCTGTTTTTACTGTATCCATAGTTTTGCCCCTTCCAGAATATCATATATAGTCATGTGCCAATTAGTGACTGGGATACATTCTGGGAAATGCATCATTAGTCGATTTCATCATTTTGCCAACATCATAGAGTGTACTTATACAAACCTAGATGACAGAGCCTACTGCACACCTAGGCTGTATGCTATAGCCTATTGCTCCTAGGCTATAAACCTGTACAGCTTGTTACTGTCCTGAATACTGTAGGCAACTGCAACACAATGGTAAGAATTTGTGTAGCTAAACATAGAAAAGGTACAGTAAAAATATGGTATAAAATATAACAAATGGTACACATTTTAGGGCACTTTCCGTCAATGGCAATTGCAGGAGTGGAAGTTGCTCTGGGTGAGACGATGAGGAAGTGGTTAGTGAATGTAAAGACCCAGGACATTACTGTACACTAGTATAGACAGTATAAATACTGTTTGCTTATGCTATGCTGAATTTATAAATAAAATAATTTTTCTCTCTTCAACAATAAGCTTAGATTATTGTAACTATTTTACTTTAAAAACAATTTCTCTTAACTTTTTTATTCTTTTGTAGTAACACAGCTTGAAACACAAATACAGAGGAAGATAATTTTTTTCTCTCCTTATATCCTTATTCTATAAACTTTTACCTATATTAATGTTATTTTTATTTTTTACTTTTTACATTTTTCTTTAAAAACTAAGACACAAACACACCATTACCCATTAGCCTAGACCTATGTAGGGTCAGGATCATAAAAATCGGCACCTTCCATCTCCACACCTTATCCTACTGGAAGGCCTTTAAGGGCAATAACACCCAGGGAGCTGTCATGTCCTGTGATAACAATGCCTTCTTCTTCTGGGATACCTCCTGAAGGACCTGCCTGAGGCTCTTCTTGAGATGTCACTCTTTTCAGAAATGTGTTCATGGTGGTTTGTTTGGTTTGTTTCTTTTATTCATCATAGATTTGCTTGTAAATAGATAATGCACGATGAACATTCCTCTCTACTAATGAAAATCATTTCATGTTGGAGTCAACATTTTCAAACGTTTTAAGGAGTTTGTTGAGGTCTGCAAAAGCTTCTGCCTAAACCCATCACTGTGAATATCCTTGGGGGCTTTTCTTTTTTTCTCCTGTAGTTTCCTTTCCTCTTGCTATGCATTTCTGTTCTGGTTCCAGTAACTCGTCATTAGTCAATTCCTCAGTGACCACATCTGTGACCTCCTCAATATCATCCTCCTCCACATCCAGCTTAAAGTTGTTTGCCATTTCAACTAAAGCCTTGTGAATATTTTTTTTTGCAACATCCTCATCCTTAGCAATGTTTTGAAGTCATGGACAAATGTCTTCAATATCTCTTCCCAGATAGCATTTACACACTCCTTGGTGACTTCACCCCCAACTTAACCAAGGTTGTTGATGCTGCCATAGATGTTGTAATCCTTCCAGAATTGCACCAGTGTGTTTAAAAAGGATCTTTCTTATTTGCAGCAATAGCCTAGGCAAAGGTCCTCCTCAGGTAGTAATCAGGCCTTAAAAGCTGCTATAACTCTTTGATCCATTAGTTGGAACAAAGGGGTGGTGCTTGGAGAGAGAGACAACAGTGTGACGTTGAATGAAGATAACCAAAAAAAGAAGGATGTGCAGGAGCATTATCAAAAATAAGCAAAACCTTGAAAGCATATTATTCCCCAAACAGTACTTCTCCATTTCACTGGCAAAGTTTAAGGAGGACATCTTGGAAGAGGAGCTGGATCATTCATAACTTATTATTCCTGTAGTACACTGCAGTGTGTGCTTACTGATATGCTTGAAGGCCCTGGGGTTTTCACTGTGCCAGATCACAGAGGATTTCAATTTGTAGCCTGAAACATAGCCCCCAGGCAGGGCTGTTCCTTTTTTTTTTTTTTTTTTAGACGGAGTCTCGCTCTGTCGCCCGGGCTGGAGTGCAATGGCGCCATCTCCGCTCACTGCAAGCTCTGCCTCCCGGGTTCACCCATTCTCCTGCCTCAGCCTCCCGAGTAGCTGGGACTACAGGCGCCCGCCACCACGCCCGGCTAATTTTTTGTATTTTTAGTAGAGGCGGGGTTTCACCGTGTTAGCCAGGATGGTCTCGATCTCCTGACCTCGTGATCCGCCCGCCTCGGCCTCCCAAAGTGCTGGGATTACAGGCGTGAGCCACCTCGCCCGGCCAGGGCTGTTCCTTTTAAGGAAAAGCCTTGAAACTTGGCATTGACTTGGCATCCTTTTGGACGAAGGTCCTTTCAGGCATGTTTCCAGAACAGAGAAATTTCATCCATATTTGCTCTGGCAAGTAATTTTGCTCCACAATCAACTTATTAAGAGTTTCCAAAAATTATTCAGTTGCCTTCGCTTCAGCACTCACAGATTCACCACTCGCTTTCACATTATGTAATACGTAAGAATTCTTGAATTGTTTAAGCCAAACTTGTCCAACCTGCTGCCCGTGGGCCACCTGCAACCCAGGAAGGGCTTGAATGTGGCCCAATACAAACTTGTAAACTTTCTTAAAACATTATGAGATTTTTTGCGATTTTTTTTTTAGCTCATCAGCTACCGTTAGTGTTAGTGTATTGTATGTGTGGCCCAAGACAATCCTCCTTCCAGTGTGGCCCAAGACAATTCTTCTTCCAATATGGGAAGCCAAAAGATTGGACACCCCTCATTTAAGCCATCCATAACTAGCAGTAAGTTGAACACCATGGTTGGAGTGAGCCTTTTATTTCCATATCTCAAATAAGATTGCAGCATTGGTGGAATGGGACACGCCTGACTGGCAAGTGAAAACCAAGACTGATTTTCCACCTCTGTGGCCCCTAGTCGCTTTTAATTTTGTTTCCAGGTCAATCCTTCAACATGGCCTCTTACTGACAATACTAACAGTGGGTTTTGTACACTTAGGGGCCATGATGAACAAAACAACATGAGATTAAATCAAGATCAAGAGAAAATTAAGCAATTAAGAGACATGTAAAATAAGACGTGTGAGGCTGCTGCCAATATAACAAGACATATTGTTCTGCAATAAACTTTTTCTTCATAGGGAGTACACTCTAAAATAATGATTAAAATACAGTGTGGTAAACATGAGTTTTTATTATCACTATCAAGTATTATGCATGGTACATAATTTTATGTGCTATACTTTTATAGACTGGTAGTGCAGTTGGTTTGTTTACACCAGCATCACCACAAATGGGTGAATAATGCATTGTGCTATAACAGTATGATGTCTATGATGTCACTAGGTGATAGGGAATTTTTTTTTTTTTTTTTTTTGAGAAGGAGTCTCGCTCTGTCACCCAGGCTGGAGTCCAGTGGCACGATCTCTGCTTACTGCAAGCTCTGCCTCCCAGGTTCACACCATTCTCCTGCCTCAGCCTCCCAAGTAGCTGGGACTGCAGGTGCCCGCCACCACACCTGGCTAATTTTTTGTATTTTTTTTTAGTAGAGACGGGGTTTCACTGTGTTAGCCAGGATGGTCTCGATCTCCTGACCTCGTGATCCACCCACCTTGGCCTCCCAAAGTGCTGGGATTACAGGCGTGAGCCACCGCGCCTGGCCAGTGATAGGGATTTTTTAGCTCCATTATAATCTTATGGGAACACCATAGTATATGAGGTCCAGTTGACTGAAACATCATTATGTAGGGCATGACAGTAGCTGAAATCGTACAGTTTGTCACCTTTTCAGATTGGTTTCATTCAGTTTGTGATATACATTAAGGTTCCTCCATGTCTTTTCATGTCTTGATAGCACATTTCTTTTTAGTGCTGAGTGGGATTCCATTGTCTGGCTGTACCACAGTTTATTAATCCATTCACCTACTGAAGGGCATCTTGCTTGCTTCCAAGTTTTGGCAAGTATGAATAAACCATTCTGCTGCTATAAACATTCATACTGCTATAAACATCCATTTTTGCATAATAATCTATAGTATGTCAATACATTAATTTATTTAGGCATGCTCCTTTGACATACATTTAGGTTAGTTCCAGTTTTTGGTTTTTCTTGTTGTTATGTCAAACAATATTGCAATGAACATCCTTTATGTATATTCTTTATGTATTTGTGTGCATGCACCTGAAAGAGAAATTCCTAGCATTGGAATTGTTGAGTCAAAGGGTATGTGCACTACAAATTTTGATGGAACACTAATAAGGTCTACCAGTGTCTGTTTCCAACTTTAAGTTTTTATAAGATATTAAATTTGCCGGTATTCTATATTTAAAAACAGAAAATTTTCTTGTTGTTTGTGGATTTTGCATGTTGATCCATTCATTCCTTTTCATCCTTCACTGCCCAGACAACCACTCCATGAGCTCACACAGCTTGTCACACACCCTTCCCTGTGTCTCCTGGATGCTCCACTTGTCTGAGGTCTGTCCTATATTTTCTAGTAATAACAATCACAAATCCCTATAGGAACGCAGCTTTTCTCCTGCAGTCAGTCCCGAAGTCTTACACACATTTGTCCATTTGATTCTCACCACCAGTCTGGGAGCTGGCAGGAGAGGAGTATAAATTTGCTTTACAAATGAGGAAACAAAGCCCTGACACACAGCACAGACCCATGGGTGCAGCATCATGTCCCTCCCCTCACCAAATTTGCTTCTTCTCATCCACTTGCTTGGCACAGGGCTGCTGAGAACATCTCTGTGAAATAGCCTCATTTATCTAATTGTTGGCTGTTTCCCAGATTAAAGCTTTCCAAGGCCTTTCCACCCCCCTTCATGATTTGTCTTGAGCCTCAACTCCTCCCCTCAGTATTCAGGGGCTTTAAAAATATCTGGCCCAACTCACTATTACTGTTATTTTACTGTTCTCCTCCTCACATACCTGGTGCCCTAGGTCTCCTGGAACACTTGCTGTTTCTCAAGCATAGTTCAAAGGTTTCCACTTCTGTGCCTCAGTTCATGCTGCTCCTTCTCCCTGGCATTCCCTCCTTCCATGCCCTACTACCAAAATCACAGGCATCCTTCAAGCTCTGCTCAACAGCCACCAGCAGAATGAAACTTTTTATGATGTCTCTTCATCTTCCCTGACAGCACTAACAAGACTAGCTGTCTATTGAGTGAAGATCCCCTTTTTATACCTCTTTTGTAGCCTTTATCACACATCCTGTCCATCATTACCCTTTTTATCTTTGCCATCTTACTGTAAATCTTTGAAAAGTAGTACCACATGGAACTGCTAACCATGCCCCCATGAGCTTACAAGAGGACCTAGAAATAGGGGCTTAGCAGTGTTTCAAAACTCTCATACATATATTTTTCCAACATAGCAAAAATTGAATCATTTTCTATAAGCTTATATGCAATTTACTTTTTAATTTTAATTATAAAGCAAGGACAACTTCCTGAGTCAGTGCATTTAGATCTATTTAATTCTTTTTAATAACTGCACATCACAATATCTGAGTTTCTACTAATTTATTAGCCATTTCCTCTTCCTGAACAATTAATTTTCCTTAATCTTTCTTTATTACAATCAAAACTGAAACAATATCTTCACATACACACCTGACATTTACGGAACTAATTTCCAGCAATGAAAGTTTTAGGTGAAAAGATACATACATTTTACACTTTAATAAGTTTTGCCAAATCGGTGTCCAAACAACAGTGCCAATTTATTTTATTTTATTTTTTTGCAACCCCATTCATCTCTTGGCTGAAGATTCTTTGTTATCCAATGTTCACCTGCTCTTCTTGGAAGGCTTCTCCATGCCTCCTCCCCAGTGTTTACATGGGGAGATAGGGTACTAAATTAATCCTCTGTTGCCCATAAATTCAAGTTCCTAGCCATTTCCTCTTTCTGAACAATTAATTTTCCTTAATCTTTATTGCAACTAAAATTGAAACAATATCTTTACATACACACCTGACATTTAAGGAACTAAGAAACTCAAGTTCCTACCTCAATCATAGAATTTACTATGTTACGTGGAAGTCAAGTTTATGTGCTAATCTCCACTACTAGCCTGTGAGTTTCTTACAGGCAAGGACCCTGCCTCTTTGTTCATTTTTTTATATGTTGTAGCCCTTTACACAGTACTTTAGGAAGTTTAGGTTATTGTGTGTGTGTGAGTGTGTGTGTGTGTGAGTGTGTGTGTATTGGGAGTGGGGATTTGTGCAGGAAATGAGGAAAGAAGGAAAGTGCTGTGAATGGAGGAAGGGGCACAAGCAAAGCCCAGAGACTCACGGCCAATGATATCTAAGCCCTAACATCCTCCCTCTCTTTTTAGAAATTGTGACCAGGGTAGTTGGCCCTAAATCTTGATCATTTGGCATTTTTCCCATAAGTGATAGGAAACTGCTGCCTCTTTGCTCCAGCAGTCTGGTAAAACTCAGCTGTGAGACCCTGACAACCAGGGAACTTCCTTTTCAGCAGCCTGAGCATGCAGGCTTGATTGAGCTTGGACTATTGCATCTGAATCTTGTGTTAGTGGTGCAGAGTGAGACTTTTGTTTAGACAGAGCTGGGTTCCTTCTCTTCCTATTATCTACTATGTAACCTGAGGCAGGCTGCTTAATTTCTTTAAACTTCAGTTTTGTCATCTGTAAAATAGGAATAACTGTCTATTTTGAAAACTGTACAGAAATAAGAATAAAAGCAGGGAATATGTACGTAAGGGGCCAAGCCCAGCTCCTGGTATATAATAACGCATGATAAACAAAAAACAGGCTTATTGTTTTTCAGAACCCTTAACCACCACCAATTAACTATGATGTGCCAGGCACTGATCTTAAAGATCACTCGATTTGACTTTATCACTTTACAGATGAGGAAATTGAGTCCCAGAGAGAGGCAGTCACACAGCAGGTGAGAAGGCCAGGACAAGACTCTCCTTTCTCCAGGCCCAGGGCATGTTCCACCACCTCATAGCGATTAGACTTAGCCGGGGTACCTTGACCTTCTCTCCTTGACCCAGTGAGATTTCTCCCTCTGTGCCTCTCAAGAGAAGGCACTGCTTTGGAGAGAGGCTGCCCTGTTTCCTTTCCTTCCTCTGTCCTTCAGCCATCATCTGTTTTATCTCTTCCCATTGTTTCCCCTTCAGCCCTGCTCCTTGACCTCCTCTTCTGTGGCAGGTGCTGCTTGATCTCCACAACCATTTCACTTCTTCTTTCCTCCAGGGCCTAAAAAATACTGTGCAATTCCCTTTCTTAAGCTCTAGCACTGGGCAGTTTGCACTTAGATGCAAGAAGTTGTAGGTACTATCTCTTCCCCGTGGAAGGTTTCCTGAGTGCCACAGCCAACAGAGCTCCCCTAGGTTTCATATCAATAATTAATTGAGCACTGAGTATGGGCCACATCAGTCCTAACTACTTTACAGACCTTAACTCATTTGATCTTCATAACAACTTCATGAGGTTGTGAGATAATATCAACAGCCCCAATTTACAGATAAGGAAAGTGAGACACAGAAAGGTTAAGTGACTTGTTTAGGATTTTATAACTAAGACTTGGAGAAAGGAGGAAACCAAGCAGTAGGCTCCAGAGCTGCTCCTAGGATCAGGCAACACTGGGTCTTTGCCTTTGCTTCTTCCCTTCTCTGAGCTGTTTCTCCCACTCCCTGACTGTTTTCTTTTGGGAGCTTTCCTTCCTCAATCACTTGCATACAAATCATCTCAAGGCAGCTGCTAGAGAATCAAACATTTGGACATCCCTCCAAATCCACCCCAAATGTTACCACTGTTCATAGGTTAATATATAAAAGGATTTTTTTCCTCTTAGATCAATTTATTTATTCATTCGAAG
Organism: Homo sapiens; assembly: GCF_000001405.40. Taxonomy (NCBI): domain Eukaryota; kingdom Metazoa; phylum Chordata; class Mammalia; order Primates; family Hominidae; genus Homo; species Homo sapiens. The sequence goes on from NC_000005.10 coordinate 148,818,431, forward strand.
AACTGCCCTTAGAGAAACTAGTGTAATTTCCAGAAATTGGGGTTGTCCCAGGAAATCCAAGATGATGATAATGATGATGATGGTAATAATGATAAATAATTTTTTTTGAAACAGCATGCTAAGTTCCTTAAATGCATTATTTCATTTAACGTTCCAAAACATCCTCTGAGAGTGCTGCTATTCAGGCAGTGCTTCCACCATAATCGTGACCACCCACAGACACATCACTTCAGTTTCTCATCTCCTAATCATTATGATATTTTTAACTTCCATTTTGATGTCCAACCAAAACCTCAAATTCAGTATGGTAATATCTGAATTCATTGCCCCTTCCTGTCCTACAGCCACACTCAGTCCACTGCTCTCCTTGCACCCTGCTTGGTAATGGCCTCCTCCACTCTCTTGACTCATTCCCCCTTACCCCCCAGCCAATCCCAGTTATGCTGATTCGTTTTTTGTCATGACTTTTGGTTCTCTCCCTTCCTTTTCAAATCTAGTGTTTTATATATTCCGTCTATTTCTTCCAACTATCCAAGGCATTTTACCCTCGAGCCCTCTGAGGCCCAGAAGCCTAAAGCATATTGCCTGAAGCACACAGCTGATCAAGGACAGTGTCATCATTGGAACCCACATTCCTTCCTCTGGCTCCAAAGCCCATGCTCTTTCTATCACTGAAGTGTATCCCATTAGCACAAGTCCAGGACTGAGATACCTGCAGGTGTAATCAGAAATTATTTTAAATAATTTAGTAACAGTACTTTAAATAACAGTGTACTACTTAGGAGTTATTCCCTTTTCAATTTTCTTTCAACCTTTTAAAATAAATGGAGAAAGTCCCATCTGATGCTAGAATACTAACGGTATTGCAAATCTTCCTTTTCAATAAAAAGAGAGCAGGCCTAAGGCTCAGAACTTTGGCAAGCAACAAAATCTAGCTAGCATTTACTAACATTGTTTTGTCTTCATGGTTACTTTCTATTTATGGCAAATGACACGAGTTTTCCACGTGTGGTAATGGCAGTCATATAAAATTTTCTTTAAAAATAAATGCATTGAGTTTTAAAAATGAGTCAATAATTTTAAAAATCATAAAAGTTTTAAAAGTGAGTCAATAATTTAGAAAACTGTAGAACACCTGCTGTTCAGAATAGCATAAATCACAAAGATGAAATGTGAATAGCTGAAATATGGAGGATAAAAAAACATAATCAAGTTGTTGTGTAGGATATTGGCAATTTTTGCTTGTCAGCTCCATGGTACTTCTTCCGAATCAAAAATTTATCTCCTCAGTGGCCCTCAAAGCACTTTCTTCCCACTATAGGCTTGTTCAGTTTAGAGTAGACAGGCCCTTGGATGTTACCAAGCCCAACTTCCTATTTCATAAATGAAGATTGAGAAACAAGGCAACTTGCTTAAGGTTACAATAGAATATGAGAGCTGTTTTGGGACTAACACCTAGGTCTCCTAATCCCCCATCCATGCCCTCTCCACTGAACCAAACCGCTTCCATCATATATATATATATATATATATATATACACACACACACATATATATATTATATATATACATATATACATATATATTATATATACACATATATATTATATATACATACATATATTATATATATACATATATATTATATATACATACATATATTATATATACACATATATATTATATATACATACATATATAATATATATATTATATATAATATATATATAAAAATATATAGTATATATAATATATATATAAGATATATATATTATATATATGTGTGTGTGTATGTACATACATGTATATCTGAATGTGTGTGTGTGTGTGTATATATATATATATATATATACATTCACCATCACACAGTGTTCATTCCCATACCTGAAGGAGACTCAAGCAATTCCTCTCAGATTCAGCAAAAGAAGATTCAGTTAAGCACTATACCCTAAGGCATCCATTGCATTGTATGTAGTGACTTAATTTCTCTCTTATGTCCCTAGGAGGGTAAGAGATATGTCCCAGCTTTGGGAAAAATAATTTTCTGTAGGGCTTAATTCTCTTGCAAAATCCCAATTTGAGAAAAGCTGCTAGAGTGTAACCTCTTTGAATACTGATTCTTTTCAGACGAAGGAGTCTTTTGAACGGCCAACTGAAGTCTCCTCTGCTTTAATTTAATGCCGTCTCCTTTTGTTCAGTGCTTCTAAGATGTGGAGAATTTATTAGTATGTCTCATAAAACTCTAGTGTAGCAGGAAATTAAATTCATCTGGTATAATCAGCTGTTTGGAAAGATTTGCTGGTTGCTCTGCTCTAAGTTATGGTTGCCAAGGTGATTGCAAATTGATTGTTTGATGACTTGTTCTAGCATCTTTCCAGGTACTGATGTTAAGTTTAGACATAGACAAACCTAAGCAGGAATAAAAGAGGCCTACCATGATGGTAAAAGGGACTCTAGAACCAAGGGAACAAGGAATGTTTAACCTGAAGAGGTTTTGTTTGCTAAGGAGAACTTTAAGGGATTCTCCCAAAAGCTAGGACAGAGAAGAGACTTGTTTTCGGTGGCCTCAAGGGGGCAGACTTAAGATCCATGGGTAGAAGTGAGAAAATGGATTTCAGTTCAATACTGGGATAGCTAGAGAAATATGCACCTGCAAAAGGGGCTGGTAAGCTTGCTCTCTCTAAAAATACCTCTGAGTTTTGGTGGGTGCATTGTGTAAGAAGCTGACTAGATTGTGAGATGCTTCATTCAAAAAACGCTGACATCCCATCTAGCTATATTACTCAATGATAATAGTAACTTACAGAATCATTCTTCTTTCTAAAGAACCAAGTTTTGTCTGTTTTTTCAATTATTTTTTCACAGCAATCCAAATTAAAGGTAAATTAGCAATTATCCATGTTCAAAGGATCCTATCATACATTTCATACATGCGATTAGATAGGACCAATATGCATTCTATATCTATTTTTTGATTCAAAAATAAGATACTAACAGTAAGGTTTTTCTTCTACGGCAGTATGCTAAGCACTTGACATGCATTTAATCTCATTTAATGTAAATTTAATGGGATAATGCTGTACAGAGACATTTTTAAAGACAAGCATTTTAAACTATTGTTTGAAAAGAAATCTACAGATGTTTCTGTGCTCCAGGATCATACACAAGAAAGGACTCTTGTCTAAGCCAAGACCCAGTATAAGATTTTCCTAAGCATCCAGCTATTGGTGTGAGGGCATGCTCTGGCACCATGGAAGCTTACTCCTATTCAGACATTCATTAGGTAAATCCAGATATGAGGTTTTATTCCTGTTTGACAGGCTGGGAACGACAAATCAGTGTCTTAAGGGATTGACAAAATATGTAATTAGATGCTATCAATCACCATAAAAGAGCCTGCTTTTTCTTACATCAGATAAAGGTGCGTTTAGTCTACTAAGAACTTTCCAGTTCAAATGAAGCATTAACTCTCTAAGGTCATGTGAACAGTAAGCAGTGCTACTCGAACTCCTCTGCTGGGAAATAAAATAACAGCATTAGGCAGGGAAAACTTGTGAGGCCATGAGCAGACCTGGACTCCTAATTTTCCTTAACACTTTGGCCTGGACACTTCTTGTTTTTTCACTTCAGTAACCTCATTTGCAAACTTGGGGGAAATAAATTAACTGATATATTAAGCTCTTTCCCAGTCTAACTTTCTCTAAACCTAAAATCACAAAAGGAGGTCAGGAGAAAAGACTCTTAGTTAGCTGACTACATCTTGACATTTCTACCAGCTTGGTGAAGCAGCAGGGAAAGAGCGTGCATCCATTCGTCAAGGCTGGAGGGCAAAGGCCCAGAACTTCCTAATTGATATAAGCAGATTCTCCTTTTTTTATTATTATTATGCTTTAAGTTCTAGGATACATGTGCAGAACGTGCAGGTCTGTTACATAGGTATACATGTGCCATGGTGGTTTGCTGCACCCATCAACCTGTCATCTACTTTAAGTATTTCTCCTAATGCTATCCCTCCCCTAGGCCCCCACCCCCAAACAGGCCCTGGTGTATGATGTTCCTCTCCCTGTGTCCATGTGTTCTCATTGTTCAACTCCCACTTATGAGTGAGAACATGAGGTGTTTGGTTTTCTGTTCCTGTGTTAGTTTGCTGAGAATGATGGTTTCCAGCTTCATCCATGCCCCTGCAAAAGACATGAAGTCATCCTTTTTTATGGCTGCACAGTATTCCATGGTGTATATGTGCCACATTTTCTTTATCAAGTCTATTCTTGATGGGCATTTGGGTTGGTTCCAAGTCTTTGCTATTGTGAACAGTGCTGCAATAAACATACATGTCCATGTGTCTTTATAGTAGAATGATTTATAATCCTTAGGGTATATACCAGGTAATGGGATTGCTGGGTCAAATGGTATTTCTTGTTCTAGATCCTTGAGGGATTGCCACACTGTCTTCCACAATGTTTGAACTAATTTACATTCCTACCAACAGTGTAAAAGTGTTCCTATTTCTCCACATCCTTTCCAGCATCTGTTGTTTCCTGACTTCCTGTTTTTTTTTTGAGACGGAGTCTCACTGTGTCACCCCGGATGGAGTGCAGTGGCACAATCTCGGCTCACTGCAACCTCCACCTCCCAGGTTCAAGCGATTCTCCTGTTTCAGCCCCCAGAGTAGGTCAGACTACAGGCATGCCACAACTTCTGGCTAATTTTTGTATTTTTATTAGAGACGAAGTTTCACCATGTTGGTCAGGCTGCTCTCGAAGTCCTGACCTCAGGTGATCCACCCACCTCAGCCTCCCAAAGTGCTAGGATTACAGGCATGAGCCACTGCGCCCGGTCTGTTTCCTGATGTGTTAATGATCGCCATTGTATCTGGTGTGAGATGGTATTTCATTGTGGTTTTGATTTGCATTTCACTAATAACCAGTGCTGATGATCTTTTCTTCATATGTTTGTTGGCTGCATTAATGTCTTCTTTTGAGAAGTGTCTGTTCATATCCTTTGCCCACTTTTTCATGGGGCTGTTTGTTTTTTCTTGTAAATTTGTTTAAGTTCTTTGTAGATTCTGGATATTAGCCCTTTGTCAGATGGATAGATTGCAAAATTTTTCCCCCTTTCTGTAGGTTGCCTGTTCACCCTGATGATAGTTTATTTTGCTGTGCAGAAACTCTTTAGTTTAATTAGATCCCATTTGTCAATTTTGGCTTTTGTTGCCATTGCTTTTGATGTTTTAGTCATGAAGTCTTTGCCCATGCCTATGTCCTGGATGTTATTGCCTAGATTTTCTTCTAGGGTTTTTATGGTTTTAGGTCTTACGTTTAAGTCTTTAATTCATCTTGAGTTAATTCTTGTATAAGGTGTAAGGAAGGGGTCCAGTTTCAGTTTTCTGCATATGGCTAGCCAGTCCTTCTTGATTTAGTATTTGTGGGTTTTAAAAAAGGAGTTTCCCAAAATATTCAGTTAAACTTTTAAGTGACTTACGTGTATATCTAAATACATGATCAGTTAATATTTGTCTTAAAGGGGTTTTCTTTGTTCTTTTCTTATTATAGGAAGGTTAAACAATATGCTTATTTATGCCATAGCTTCACAAACAGGAAGGAGGTTTTAAATGGTTTAGTTCCACAATTTGAGTAGATGCATATTTAAAGAAACGTTGTTGCATAATAAATACTGCCTCTTCCTAAAATGCATCATGCCACAGCCAATTTTGGAAAACACAAATATGAGGTGAGTGTATTTTGAAAACTATGTGAATATAATAGATCTTTAATTCATATTTGTGGATTTTATGGGAAATACTTGTTTTCTAAGGCATCTGTCTTGCAAAAAGTCAGTTTCTGCTATGAAGGATGTTAAAGGGGATATGTAGGTTAAATTCTGTTTCTGAGCTTTGCTTCCAGAGTAAACACCCAACTTACTTTTGCCCTAAAGTATTTTATTGTTCTAGTAGAGAAGACTAACAACATATTCTAAACCACTAAGTAATTTATGTAAACTTCGCTTACAAACTACACTTGTGTGACACTTATATGAGCAAAAGCATTTTCATATTTCTTACTATATCATTCAATTCTTGCTTACCCCAATGGAAGTGACTTTATGCCCCTTTAGAGACAATGGAAATCAGGTACTTCGTGATTTCTCTTAAAAAAAAAAAAAATGAACTAGAAAGCTCCAAGTTTGGTGAATCTGGAACCTGGGTATTCCAGTTCCAGTTGTAGCCCTTCCTCCCTATCCATCACTCCTGTCTGCATGTAATTATGCAATACATTGAAAAGATTAAAAGATGGGTCTTGGACTCAGGCAGACCTGGGTCAAATCCAGATTCTGGCACTGCCCAGCCATTGCCCCTGGGCAAGCCATTTTCCTCTTTGAACCTCATTTGTGAATTAAGCTAAAAATAGTCCCCACCCCCATGGGACTGTGGGAAGGATTAAATAGAATAATGCATGAAAAGCAAATAGCAGAATGGTCCATAAATGTTAACCATTGTTATGTTATTATGTAATCTACAAAGTACGTTTAGTTACACTTCATGAAATACTTTCAGTTTTTCAAAGACACCACTAATACATGGGAAATCAAACCCTGAAAATTAATTTCACTTTAGCAGTAAAGTCACATGCCAGATGGAAAGGATAGTATTTCATGAACAAAGATCTTACTTTTGAGATTTGGTCTTACTTTTTTCTTTTTCTTAAGGGAGAATTATCTTGTGTTTTTTGTTTTGTTTTGTTTTGAGATGGAGTCTTGTTCTGTCACCCAGGCTGGAGCGCAGTGACGTGATCTCGGCTCACTGCAACCTTCACCTCCCGGGTTCAAGAGATTCTCCTGTCTCAGCCTCCCGAGTAGCTGGGACTACAGGTACGTGCCACCACACCTGGCTAATTTTTGTATTTTTAGTAGAGACAAGAGTTACACCATATTGGCCAGGATCTTTTGCTTTCTATAGCTTCAAAATGTTCTTAATGTTAAGACATTCTTAATACTCTGAACCATATGAATTTGCCATTTTGGTAAGTCACAGACGCCAGATGGTGGCAATTTCACATGGCACAACCCGAAAGATTAACAAACTATCCAGCAGATGAAAGGATTTTTTTTAGTTTCATTGGGTTTACTGAAGAAATTGTTTGAATTCTCATTGCATCTCCAGTTCAACAGATAATGAGTGAGTGATGCCACACTCTCAAGAGTTAAAAACAAAACAACAAAAAAATTAAAACAAAAGCACACAACTTTCTCTCTCTGTCCCAAAATACATACTTGCATACCCCCGCTCCAGATAAAATCCAAAGGGTAAAACTGTCTTCATGCCTGCAAATTCCTAAGGAGGGCACCTAAAGTACTTGACAGCGAGTGTGCTGAGGAAATCAGCAGCTGTTGAAGTCACCTCCTGTGCTCTTGCCAAATGTTTGAAAGGGAATACACTGGGTTACCGGGTGTATGTTGGGAGGGGAGCATTATCAGTGCTCGGGTGAGGCAAGTTCGGAGTACCCAGATGGAGACATCCGTGTCTGTGTCGCTCTGGATGCCTCCAAGCCAGCGTGTGTTTACTTTCTGTGTGTGTCACCATGTCTTTGTGCTTCTGGGTGCTTCTGTGTTTGTTTCTGGCCGCGTTTCTGTGTTGGACAGGGGTGACTTTGTGCCGGATGGCTTCTGTGTGAGAGCGCGCGCGAGTGTGCATGTCGGTGAGCTGGGAGGGTGTGTCTCAGTGTCTATGGCTGTGGTTCGGTATAAGTCTGAGCATGTCTGCCAGGGTGTATTTGTGCCTGTATGTGCGTGCCTCGGTGGGCACTCTCGTTTCCTTCCGAATGTGGGGCAGTGCCGGTGTGCTGCCCTCTGCCTTGAGACCTCAAGCCGCGCAGGCGCCCAGGGCAGGCAGGTAGCGGCCACAGAAGAGCCAAAAGCTCCCGGGTTGGCTGGTAAGGACACCACCTCCAGCTTTAGCCCTCTGGGGCCAGCCAGGGTAGCCGGGAAGCAGTGGTGGCCCGCCCTCCAGGGAGCAGTTGGGCCCCGCCCGGGCCAGCCCCAGGAGAAGGAGGGCGAGGGGAGGGGAGGGAAAGGGGAGGAGTGCCTCGCCCCTTCGCGGCTGCCGGCGTGCCATTGGCCGAAAGTTCCCGTACGTCACGGCGAGGGCAGTTCCCCTAAAGTCCTGTGCACATAACGGGCAGAACGCACTGCGAAGCGGCTTCTTCAGAGCACGGGCTGGAACTGGCAGGCACCGCGAGCCCCTAGCACCCGACAAGCTGAGTGTGCAGGACGAGTCCCCACCACACCCACACCACAGCCGCTGAATGAGGCTTCCAGGCGTCCGCTCGCGGCCCGCAGAGCCCCGCCGTGGGTCCGCCCGCTGAGGCGCCCCCAGCCAGTGCGCTCACCTGCCAGACTGCGCGCCATGGGGCAACCCGGGAACGGCAGCGCCTTCTTGCTGGCACCCAATGGAAGCCATGCGCCGGACCACGACGTCACGCAGGAAAGGGACGAGGTGTGGGTGGTGGGCATGGGCATCGTCATGTCTCTCATCGTCCTGGCCATCGTGTTTGGCAATGTGCTGGTCATCACAGCCATTGCCAAGTTCGAGCGTCTGCAGACGGTCACCAACTACTTCATCACTTCACTGGCCTGTGCTGATCTGGTCATGGGCCTGGCAGTGGTGCCCTTTGGGGCCGCCCATATTCTTATGAAAATGTGGACTTTTGGCAACTTCTGGTGCGAGTTTTGGACTTCCATTGATGTGCTGTGCGTCACGGCCAGCATTGAGACCCTGTGCGTGATCGCAGTGGATCGCTACTTTGCCATTACTTCACCTTTCAAGTACCAGAGCCTGCTGACCAAGAATAAGGCCCGGGTGATCATTCTGATGGTGTGGATTGTGTCAGGCCTTACCTCCTTCTTGCCCATTCAGATGCACTGGTACCGGGCCACCCACCAGGAAGCCATCAACTGCTATGCCAATGAGACCTGCTGTGACTTCTTCACGAACCAAGCCTATGCCATTGCCTCTTCCATCGTGTCCTTCTACGTTCCCCTGGTGATCATGGTCTTCGTCTACTCCAGGGTCTTTCAGGAGGCCAAAAGGCAGCTCCAGAAGATTGACAAATCTGAGGGCCGCTTCCATGTCCAGAACCTTAGCCAGGTGGAGCAGGATGGGCGGACGGGGCATGGACTCCGCAGATCTTCCAAGTTCTGCTTGAAGGAGCACAAAGCCCTCAAGACGTTAGGCATCATCATGGGCACTTTCACCCTCTGCTGGCTGCCCTTCTTCATCGTTAACATTGTGCATGTGATCCAGGATAACCTCATCCGTAAGGAAGTTTACATCCTCCTAAATTGGATAGGCTATGTCAATTCTGGTTTCAATCCCCTTATCTACTGCCGGAGCCCAGATTTCAGGATTGCCTTCCAGGAGCTTCTGTGCCTGCGCAGGTCTTCTTTGAAGGCCTATGGGAATGGCTACTCCAGCAACGGCAACACAGGGGAGCAGAGTGGATATCACGTGGAACAGGAGAAAGAAAATAAACTGCTGTGTGAAGACCTCCCAGGCACGGAAGACTTTGTGGGCCATCAAGGTACTGTGCCTAGCGATAACATTGATTCACAAGGGAGGAATTGTAGTACAAATGACTCACTGCTGTAAAGCAGTTTTTCTACTTTTAAAGACCCCCCCCCCCAACAGAACACTAAACAGACTATTTAACTTGAGGGTAATAAACTTAGAATAAAATTGTAAAATTGTATAGAGATATGCAGAAGGAAGGGCATCCTTCTGCCTTTTTTATTTTTTTAAGCTGTAAAAAGAGAGAAAACTTATTTGAGTGATTATTTGTTATTTGTACAGTTCAGTTCCTCTTTGCATGGAATTTGTAAGTTTATGTCTAAAGAGCTTTAGTCCTAGAGGACCTGAGTCTGCTATATTTTCATGACTTTTCCATGTATCTACCTCACTATTCAAGTATTAGGGGTAATATATTGCTGCTGGTAATTTGTATCTGAAGGAGATTTTCCTTCCTACACCCTTGGACTTGAGGATTTTGAGTATCTCGGACCTTTCAGCTGTGAACATGGACTCTTCCCCCACTCCTCTTATTTGCTCACACGGGGTATTTTAGGCAGGGATTTGAGGAGCAGCTTCAGTTGTTTTCCCGAGCAAAGTCTAAAGTTTACAGTAAATAAATTGTTTGACCATGCCTTCATTGCACCTGTTTCTCCAAAACCCCTTGACT